>NC_000004.12:173296381-173921381 GCF_000001405.40 Homo sapiens | reverse complement strand
GGGAAAGAGAAAAACAACCCAGAGAAGGAAGAGAGCGTGGTATTTTCATGGCACAGTCACCAGCAGAGAATGGCTGAAGCAGAGTTCAGAGAGAGGAAGAAGAAAGGGAAAGTCGATGAGCTGGGTGGGCTCATACTATGCACGGGGCCTGCTTACCAGCTGCTGCTTCACACTCCTCCACTGTAGAAGGGAGCCCTGACGCTGGGTAGCACAAAAGGCAACTTTATCTAAGTCCTAAAGTTCTTTGTTTTTGATGAAATAGTGATTTTGTTCCCCAAATTGTTTTAGAGCATAAAAAGACAAAGCTGGCATAATTTTTATTTTATAGATCATAAAGCTAAATTTCAGCATGGGATAGTGACTGCAACATTCTAATTAGAGAGTAAAAATTCAAGCTAGAACTCTGATGTCTTTCCTTATCTCCTATTGTCTTTTCACTCTACCATATAACTATCTTCTTATAATACATTTAAGGCTGAATATCTAATTTTTAGAAACACAATGTTTATCACTAAAAATAAAATGCCTTTTTCCACTCCCAGTCCCTCTCCTTTCTTAGCACAGGTGATGCCAGATTAGCACTCCTAAAGTACAATCCTCTGCAGGCTGCTTCTTTATTTCTATGTAATCATACAATAGTCAATTTTGAGCAATAAAAATAAAAAGCTTTTATATTGAAAGAATATGTTATTTTCATCTCACTTTATTACACATACTGACTAAATCACTTAGGAGATAATAAAATACATAAGTAAAATATATTTCCTTCCCCACCAAGTTGATATTATTATTTTTTTTTAGATTTTGGCACTTTGTCACAAATTTGGTTTTATCAGAGAGTTCAAAGAGTGCTTCAGAAAATAAGAAAACAAAGTGATTCCTTCCATCATTCTATATTTTCCTTCTGATAACCTTCACCTATCAACTTAGTCACCATTTAACTCTTAGTGATAGTTACCCTTCATCTTATCTCTACAAATTTCCTTCACAAAAAAGGAGTCCATTTGTCTTGTAGATATAACTAGTTTTGAATGGAAATACAAAAGAAATGTATTGTGTTCTTACATAACAACTACAGATATTGACTATATCAAAAAAGAGACAGTTCGAAAAAAAAAGTGAGCCAGTATATACTTACAAATTTTAAGAATGATTTTATAAAGTCATTTCCATTTAAAATCTGCATTTACAAATTTTACATCCTCCCCTAGTTCATGTTTTTCACAAATGAAATTTGAGAAGTCTTCCTCCCAGGCACTGTGGCCCAAGGAGTTGTGTGTACCTTAGTGACTTGTGCTGCTCTCAGTGACAGCCTCTATAGTTTGGGAAGCCTTGTGTCCTGGGAGCCACAGCACAGCCCCTGGGAAACCCCTGTGAGATCTGACACCCAAAACGGAGAGCACACATGGATCTGTCTGCCTCATATTCCTCTCAGGATCTGAATGGAGACCCCAGGTGTCAACTGCCCCAACACTAAGTTGAGAAACTCTGGATCTCAGTCAACCTCCAGTGTTTCCCACAGCCTGTACGTGATTTTTTGGTAATCTACTACACTTAAAGTTCCTGGACACGTCTCTGCTCCCCCAAGGGTATCACAGTAATGGATCTCTTCTCAGTTTCCATGGAGAGCAAGTAGAAAATGACATCCTTCCCATTCCTCTGGTCATTGCAGGCTATTCTTAAGGGTTGTCATTCACTAATGCAAACTTGAAAGAAGCCATTAACAAAATGGAACACTACATTTTAAACATTTAAAAACATTATGCAATTCATCTGTATCAACGTTTTATGTGTATTTGAAGTTTATGTAACTTGAGATTTGAGAGATAGCTGAGAAAAAAAACTTACGTTTATTTATACATGAAACATTTTTTTAATACCAAAGAATGCTGAAAGTCAGAGAGTTGATACTTGAAATAGTTAAACTTGCAAAGAGACTCATTCATTACTTTTCAGAGAAGAAAATCTTCTTAAAGCTAAAACATTCAATTCTTGGTTTAAGTCCAAAGGTTCTGTTCAGTTGTTTTGAAGTTACAGGGAAAAAAATGTACTTTTCCTATCGTACCCATTGACATTTTTAAACAAAAATAATTCAAAGATATTTAAACAGTATGACTTCAAATGTCTGTGGTTAATCCATTGTGGAGAAGAATCTGTAGGAGAAAAAAAAACTATGAAAAAATAAACTTGGAGTTTGATCATGCTTTCAAACACTGGAATCAAACTAAAATTCTTCTAGGTTTATAACTGTACTATCAAAGTTTGGTTTATTTTTAACTAAAAGAGAATATAGGTTCCTGTACTGTATTTTTTAAAAGTATTTTAAGGGTAAATTAAAAAAAACTATTAGACTCACAGAATAAAATAGTCACATAACAGGGAGTTCTGTTTCATTAATTCTGTAGAATTAATATGTGATCTTCCCCAACCTATTTTTGAGTTGTAATTTAAACTCAAATTCTATTCTGAAGTGGTCAAAAATGCATAATTTAGTTTAAAGGGATGACTATTTGGTACAACAGCCCAGAGGTAAAAGCTAACAGACATGTCAGTGTTATCGATGTTTATGCTTATTTAGCCTCTTGTACTCAGGGACAATAAAAAATAGATGGGATTGAATTCTTGGGTAAGATACTTTATGTCTTTCAACTTTCATTTCTTTATCTGTAAAATGGGGTAACAGTAGGATTATTGTGACTGTTAAAAGAGGAGATATATGTAGAACAGCATAGGTAATATCTGACACACAGTGTATACTTATGAATTGTTAGTTTCTTTCACCTTTCCCTGAGGCATTCATTAATGGAATTAAAAATTATGAAATATCAAAGTAAAATAAGACTTAATAGCTGATGTGAAACAAATTTGTGTAATAAATTCATTTACTCTCATTTGAGTCAATATCTTTTTCAAGTTGTTCTTTATACACTATTAGTGGGTGTAAAATCAGCGTAGCTGATTCTGACCAGAAGGGAAGGGAAGAGAAGATAAAGTATCAGAGTATCTCACACATAGAAGAAAGGTTTCTTTCAATTTTCATTTCAGTTATACATATGGCCTATATATGTATTGCAGACTAGGTCACAATGTAAAATGTATTTCGTTCTAGGGGTTACTGTTTTGTTTTGTTTTTTAAAGGGAAATATTGCATTATCTGTTCTTTCTATTCTCACTGATATCTTTTTCTGAGTTCACAAAACATATATGGAGATGGCCTTAAACATACGCCAATGTTCAAAAATTCACTGAAGCATTTTAATCAACTGAGCATATTTTCCAAATGAAAGAAAATATTCTGACTGTCTGATCTCATATTATAATTTTTTGAGCCATTACCAATTATGAGACATTATGCTATCCACACACTCTATTCTTCACAACTGCCTCAAGAGGTATTGCTTATTCTCTTTATGTTACAATGAGGAAACTGAGTCTCAGGGAAGTGAACTCAAAGCCAGGGCTAGATTCCAGTTTTGTCTCACTCCATGCCCAAGCTTTTCACCACTAACCCATAAACACGTTCGCAGGTGGAACAAAAATTGTGTTGCCTGGTCAGTGGACAAATGGCTCCTACGGCTCTTGCTGAGTGACAGACTCGGGAAGGAATGCACCACACAAAGGAAACGGCTCTGATATGTTAAAGAACGCTTCTCTCACAGAGCAAGTTGGGTCTATCAGTGACTAGTTTAGTCATAACACAATTTAGCCTTTTAAAGAGACAGAATTGTATAAATACAGTACAGGAAGTTCAAAAAGTAATATTTTAGAAACCACATTCTTTTCTCCAGAACAGACAGCACAAAAGGTTCCATTCCCCACATTAAAACACTCTGTCTTCTCCTTGGGACACAGTGAAACGTTTACTAAGAAGTCTGAACAGCCTTAGGAGCATGAACCCTGATTTTTTTTCCCACTGTGTTCACAAAAGCAATGGATTCATTGGCAGTCCAGGACTCTGAAACAGCCTGTTCAGATTTCTTTGCTCATGCTCAGCTAATATGAATCACTTTAACTAAGTATTGCCCTGCTTTGCAGAACGGTTCTGACATTGCTAATAGTTGGCTCAGTTGAGTTGACCACAATAAGAGCTTTCTCCAGACTGAGAGAGAGCCAATCAGGCCCTTGTGAATGTCAGCATTTAGTTTGGAGATGGATTCAGATCCAAATTTTAAAATATAATAAACACTCTCCAAAGATACATTACAGTAGGGCAGCTACTAAAAGCCATCATAACAGGGCAATTGTGGAATGCCAGATGAAACCTAAACTTTGTATCATACAAGAGCATGCTATAATGGAACTTCTTAAGGGGCTTTTCACAGTCCCTGCTAAAGAATGTATTCGTCTGCTTCTATTCCTTTTTCAGTTTTTGGTTCCTTGAAGCTAATAAATTCAAATCTGAATCAACTTATTCTTATATGATATTAGATGGTCTTAAAAATATCTTCTATTTCAAAATTCCTCCTTTATAAATGGAGGTACTCAGCAATAAAATATTATAAAGAGCTTTTAGAAAGTACTGTGAGAGTCACCAAGAGGCATGCTGCACTTGGGCCCCGTGTAGCACTGCCATTGACAGAAGGAGAGACACTCAGAGTGGCTTGAGAGATTGAATTTAAACAACCTCCACATATCCTGAACTAACGTCCTTTCTTACAAATAAAAGTACTGCATAGAATTCCAATTAAATTGGTCAAAGCCACTATATTTAGACCAGAAGCAACCCCTTAAATCACTTAATTCATGTTCTGCTGAAAAGGGTAATCCTCTACCAAGGAACCTATGATTTGTCTGCTTTTTAGGAATCCAAGAAGAAATAATGATTTATTTTTTAATAACAAAAGTTAGACTATTGACATCCTTTCTTGCAACCACCTCCCACTCCCCTTAGCCCAAATTTCATTTATAATTGCATACTTAGGACAATAATGCCATTCAGCTCATGCTTTCTCAGACTGAGTATAGAAAAAGAATCATAACAGTTTTAAAATTATTATATTTTATATAATATTTTGGCAGATAGTCTCAACATCATTTCTATCAAAGTTCATTTTCTGTTGATTTCTTAAAAAATTGATTCATTATTTATGTATTTTTATAGTTCTTTTCTTGGGTATAGTTTCTGTTTGTGTAATATAGGCTCAGCATAGGAAAATTAGAAAATAAAGAAAAAGATTGAAATGAAAACAAAAAGTTCCCACAACACTGCCATGCATAAGAAATCACTGTCAACATTTAGGATTCTATCCTTCCAAAATTGGTTTCAATGCATATGTGCATGCATTAAGTTTTACAAAATGTATCATCATATAACATATACATCCCCTCAAAAACTATCAATTACAATTAATTGCCCTTGTTATTAAAAGTTGTTCAAAAATATGTTTGACAGTTACAAATTTTGTATTCCTGGAATGTGCAATAATTTATTTAATTATCTTACATACTAGGCGTTTAGGTTTCCCCTAAATTTTCACTATTACAGTTTATGCTGCTGGTAATATCTTTTACACATGCCTTATATTCATTATTTCTTTCTTTCTTTTTTTTTTTTTTGAGACAGAGTCTCGCTCTGTCGCCCAGGCTGGAGTGCGGTAGTGTGATCTCGGCTCACTGCAAGCTCCACCTCCTGGGTTCACGCCTTTCTCCTGCCTCAGCCTCCCGAGTAGCTGGGACTACGGGTGCCCACCACCACGCCCAGCTAATATTTTGTATTTTTTAGTAGAGACGGGGTTTCACCGTGTTAGCCAGGATAGTCCCAATCTCCTGACCTCGTGATCCGCCCGCCTCGGCCTCCCAAAGTGCTGGGATTACAGGCGTGAGCCACTGCGCCCGGCCTTCATTATTTCTTAGAGGTAACATTGCTATGCCGCAAGGACCAAGGAGATGTTAAACGTTTTGCATATGTTGCCAAATTGCCCTCCAGACAACTAGAAACAATACCTTCTCCCCCCTGTTTCATTGCTGTCTGCCATGTTGGAGGTTCTTATTGTTAGGCAGCCTTTAAGATGGTCCGCAATGATTCTCTCCTCTCCAGGGTGGGCTGCACATAGTGATTTGCTTCTAGTGAACAGAATATGGCAGAAATGATGGGCTATGGCATCAGATTTCAGTAATAAAAAGACTGCTTCTGTCTTATGTGCTGCTTGTCTCTTTCTCAAATCACTTGAGCTGGGGGAAGCACAGTGCTGCGTTGTTGGCAGCCCACTGAAAAGGTGGACAACTCATCGCCAGGAGCTGAAGTCCCCAGCCTAACAACCCAGAGGAACTCAGACTTGCCAACAACCGTGTACATGAGCTTGAAGACAAACTTGCAACTCCAGTCCAACCTTGAGATGACCGCAACTTCACGAGAAGCCTTGAGCCAGAACCACCCAACTAAGCCGTCCCCAGATTCCTCATACCCATCACTGTCAGAAAGAGTTTGTTGTAAGCTGCTAAGAATTAGGGTGAGCTGTTAAACAGAAATAGATAAGAAACAACCATTTTTCCCATCCTCACTAATTTTCATTTGAATGCCTTTTACCTAATACAAAGGTTGAATGTGGTTTTCATTTGTTCAATGGTCACCTGTAGTTCTTTTGCTGAGAATTATCTGTCATCATATTTTCATTTCCTCTTATTAATTCACAAGAGCTCCTTATGTATGAAGGACACAATTCTTTATCTTTTTTGCATGTTGCAGTTAGTGTTTTCTCAGTTTTCCATTTTGTTTCTATTTCTCTAGACACTGAAGTTGTTTGATATTTTTTAAAAGTTCCAATTTGTTGTAGAAAAATCTATCCATATTTCCTTCTATGGATTGTTCTTTTGAGATAATGCAGAGAAAAATCTTACTCATCCCTAAATTAAATATATATCTACCTATATTTGCTAAGAGTATTACATAATAAGACCATAAACATGTACTATTTAATCTATTAAAATGTATTTGCATAAAATTCGGTACAAATAAAATTTTTTTCTTCCAAATAGCTTTCCAGTAATCCTAGAAATATTTATTCAGAAAATGTTTTCAGACTGATTTAAATTCCACCTTTATTGCATAGTAAATTCTTAGAGTAGCAGTTCTCAAAGTGTATTCCATGGACCCTGGGGGTTCCTTAGAAATTTTCATGGGTTCCGCAAGGTCAAAATTATTTTTATGATAATACTAAAGTATTGTTTGACCTTTTCACTGTCTTGACATTTGCACTGATGGGTGTCAAACTGTGGATGCCTTAGCACAAATCAAGGAGGTCTGACCATCTGAGCTAATGGTCATTATGTTGTTCATTTCCACACACTTGCACTTTTAAATATAAAGGTAGTTTCACCTATGAATGACTTAAGTAAGGCAGTAGAAATTATTAATTGTATTAAACCTCGAACCTTGAGTACACATCTTTTTGATATGCTGTGTGACACAATAGGAAGCACACATAAAACACTTCTACTGCATGGTGGAGAATTATAGTCTTCTTGAGAAAAAATGTGATTGTTTGAATTGAGAGCTTTTTTATTAAATATTATTTTACTTGAAAAATTGACTTATTCAGGCTTAGGTATCTGGCAGACATTTTGTTGAAAATGAATGGAGTGAAATTATCACTTCAAGGAAAACAATTGAAACTATTTTTTGCCAATGATATAGAGGCTTTCAAGTGAATACTGGAATTTTGGGCAAGTTGCTTCTTGCCCAAACTTGACATAAACTTGACAGCTTCCCGGTACTTAAGGATGTTTCTCACTTTGGGAGTCTGACGTAGGTGGATCACAAGCTTAGGAGTTGGAGACCAGTCTGGCCAACATAGTAAAACCCCGTTTCTACTAAAAATACAAAAATTAGCCAGACGTGGTGGCGTGCGCCTGTAGTCCCAGCTGCTTGGGAGGCTGAGGCAGGAGAATCACTTGAACCTGGGAGGCGGAGGTTGCAGTGAGCTGAGATCATGCCACTGCACTCCAGCCTGAGCAACAGAGTGAGACTCTATCTCAAAAAAAAAAAAGTTTCTGATGAGATCAGTGATATTATTAAGTGTAATTTTTTGACATTGTATGATAAAATGTTAGCATTTAGAAGAGCTACATAACTTGATTCAAAGCACAAGACAGACAAATTGATTTTAGAATACAAAATATTCATTGATATCATTACAGATTCCACATTGCAGCTAATCTTCATTAAACTACCACGTGGTGAATTTTAATGTAGTATCCAAGAAGCATACTGACACCTTCTCCATTGTCCTACTATGTATCTGTGTAAGGCCAGATTTTCTTCATATACATTAACCAAAGCAACATATGGCAACAGACTGAATGAAGAGGCAGGTATGAGAATCCAGCTCTCTTTTATTAAGCATAACATTAAGGAGATTTGAAAATATGTACAACAGTGCCATTCTTATCACTCATTTATTTTTACTTTGGAAAATACAGTTTTTAAAATAAAAATATGTTATTTATGTGTAACAAATTTATTATGGCTAATTTTAAAATAATAAATACTTATTTTAATAATTGCTGAATTATGAATTCTCATATGGTAAGTATTGATATATATGTATATAACCCAAATAAAGCAGACCGCTTTGGGATTCCACTTTCCTTCTTTCCTTTTCCATGTCATGTCTACCACATCCTTCCCATCAGCATTTAAATATGTTCAAGTTCTAAAATACTCCTCATCCCACTTCTCCTCAACACAGCTTGTCATCTCCTCTTCAAAACCAAACATTCTTCTTTCTTGGCTTCAGTTAACATTGATAACTCATCATCCTCTATTCTGTTTTTGAATTGTGAATTCACACAGGGTCCTGAATTCGGGCCATTCAGGCCCCTTCTTGTCTCATTATGTCTTTCCTCTGTCAATCATTTCACCTGCTTTTATGCCTGTATAAAATCTCATCAATATTTATGTCTCTAATGTATTTCATTTTATGCAGGAACATGATCTTTTTCTCCTCTATTTTTCATGTTGCTATAAACATTTAGTTGAAAGCAACTGCTGAAAAATTCCATTTTCTTGGAGGCCCTTTGAGCACATTAGATAACATTAGATGGGGACAGTGGTTTAGATCCAAAGTTCTGCCAGTTGTGTTTCATCCTGGCATGTTTGCAATGGCTGATCAAGGGTACATGAAAGAGTTTGGAAAGGGCAGGCTCTTCCAATTTATATAAAAGGCTTAAGTTGCTGCTAGTGGAAGTGAACTCTGTAAGTGAACTAAAACAGTCTACTACAAAGATCTATACTTCCCTTAGAGAAATTTATAAGCTTTCATTATCAGTAGCATAAATCACTCAAACAACCACATCAACTAAACCAAATTTTGTGTAAATCATATAAGGGGCCCAATGGCTGGAATAATTCTAGAGCAATTTAACTCATTAGAGCTGTTTATCTTATACCAAAATTTTCCTCAATCTTGCTTTTTATAAATGATCATTTCTTTGTTGTCAGGTTTCCTGGGACTCTGTTGCATCAAATTCTACTGCTAGGCATCAATTTTAAAGTATTTCATCAGTTGGACCTACCAAATATCAAGTCAGGATTTGGCCATCTCTGCTCTTGCCATTCCACCTCTCACGACTCTATCCTCAAAGTAAGGAAAACCTCATTTTCAAATTCCAACTGCTACAGTTATTCACCTCTTATGTATGTGAGCTTTCATTAAAATGGTTTAGACTCTTAATGCTTGTTCTTTAAAGGGTGTTTAGTTTTCTGTAAGTACTATCTTTTAAAAAAAATCTAGTTGACACAAATCATCCCAGTAAGGTAAGTCTTGATTGCTGAATCTCTGAATATACCAAGCAAGCTCAGAAAAACAATGCCAGTAAATTATTTATTCTCTGTGAGAGTTGCTAAAATATAGGAGTTATAAGGAGCATGATTTTATTTTAAAGATAGGAGACATGTCTGGGGAACATTTGGCACATACACACACACATATATATACATAGACAGAGATCTCAGTGCAAGACCCCACCACACCATATATATATATATGCATATATGTGTGTGTGTGTGTGTGTACATACATATGTGGATCTCTGTCTCTCTCAATATATATACACACATACATACATATATATGGTTATATATATATACATATATATATAGTGGTGTTTTTTATATATACATATATAATTATAAGGGGATGGTCTCTCATTGAGACAGGAACTCACTCTGTTGCCCAGGCTGGAATGCAGTGGTGCAATTGTAACTCACTGCAACCTCAAACTTCTGGGCTCAAGCGATCCTTCTGCCTCGGCCTCCCAAAGTGCTGGGATTACTGGTATGAGCCACTGTGACCAGTCACTTGGCGTATTTCGTAAGCTATTTGAAAACCACAGTGTGAGAAGGAAAAGAGGAACATAATTTTTAAAGAGACTTCTAAGTGAAAAAATATTGCCTCTGTGCTTTAAAATGCACCATTTTATTTTACCTTCTCAGAATCACTGTGAGGTAGGTATCTTTTTGCTCTTTTAGCAAATAAGACAATGAAACTGAAAGGTTAAGTAACATACCTAATATTACATATTACATTTGAAGTCAATAAGAATGATAATTTTGAAATATTTTCCAATGCCCTTTCTCTGTCTTTAATGTACCTGTTCTACCAATAAGGATAAACCCAAAACTTATTGTCCTAAGAAGGAAAAGGGTTGGTATAGTTCAGATTCTAGAAAAAAAGAGGCCCTAGTTCAGCTTTGATTTCCAAGGTGACTTTTTTTAAGTCCATGATATTTGCTCATTTTATTTCCCCAAAACATTTCTATCCTCCTATATTCTCCATAATTTTCAATGGCTTCTGCCTTACACCATCTAACCTGGACATTTGGTGGTCACCCTCAACACTCTACCCTTTCCATCACCTTCCAGGTTCAGTGGTTACCGAATCTGTTGATTTCACTTTCAAAAAATAGTATATATGTACTTCAGTTCTTCCTCTGTGTTCCAATTCTAGCATCCTAAATCAGAGTTTCATGATCGCTAAACTGGCTGCTAACACATTCTCCTACGCTGTCCTTGTCTTCATTGTGTAATGCTCCATCTCCCCGATCATCCTCTTTACCATACTGAGAATAATCTGAAAAACAAAACTGATGTTGTCCTGCACCCTCTAATTAAACTTAGTTAATTGTCAAGTTGTCCAAAGTATAAGGTCCAGATTATTTTGGATGGAAATAAAACACCTTTACGATCTGGTGGCTGCCTCTCTCTCATTGCACTTTCCTTCTTCCTGTGCACTGCAAAGTCACACCAAATTATCAAGAGGTACAAGAATTTACCCTAATCTTTCTCAACTACATGCACACATTACTTCTTTTGTTCAGAATGGCTCTAATCATCTGGGAAACTCCTAGCTTAAATGTCCTTTACCCTTAGATGTTTCCTGGACTCTACTACGTGCCCTCTCTCCATTTCCCCTTCTAGAATTCAGTCCTTCCTCTTCTATCTCCTATAGAATTATAAACGCCTCTTTTTGTAATTAAGTTCATCTCTTCAAATGTAAGCTAAAAGGCAGATTCCATGCTCTACTTTTCTTTTTAGCTCCACTTAATAGAAACTTGTCATTTGAATGAAGACAGAAAGGGCAAGAGTGCAGTGGTATAATTTTGAGCCTTTTACAAGCCCACATCTGAGTTCGAGATGCCTATATGATATGAAGGTGAGATACGCAGCACATCACCGAGGTTTGTTTTCAAGAGATTGATTAATGCTGGAGATAGAGATTTAAGAATCATTAGCGGTGATAGCCGAGGCCATGAGTGTGGGGAAAAAATTTAAGAAAAGGGAGCTAAGAATTGGACGCTAAAGAACATTAGTATAAAAGGATTAGAGAAGTCAGAGAAACTTAGAGAGATGACTTAGGAGTGCTCTGAAAAGTTGGAGAGAATGATATTGAGGAAGTCAAGACAGAATAGAGTTTCCAGAAAGAGGAAGTGTCTAATAAAGATAACTGAAAAGTATTCATTAGTGTAGACATTCAGTTTAGTTATAATCTTAGCAGGAATATTATTTTTAAAGGTGGAGACAAAATTTAAGTAGTTGAGAAATAAAGATAAAAATGTTGAAATAGTGAATTGTGATTTTTTTTCATCTAGGATTTGTCGGTCTTAGAATTATAGTCTTGGGTATATGGAGACACAGTGGTGAGAAAAATGTTAACAGTATCTCTTGTTGGGGGAATGCTACTGGCCTTGGGGACAGGACAGGGTTCAGAGTGAGGGACTGGTGCCGAGCATCTCTGACCTTGTCCATTAGTGGCCCTTGTCATTGTGAAAGCCAAAAATTATCCCCATTTTCTAAAGTCTGCACATGGGAGAGTCCAGCTCCTAGTTGAGAAAAGCTAATACCTGGGTTTGCTGTGACAACAGTAGCAGGATGCCGCAGAGAGTTTTGGAATTTTCTTGACTGAAAAGTTTTTTAGAGGTGGAGGTTATCAGAAGCCTTTCTTTCCTAATCAAGACGTATTATTAGTTTACTGTTAGATTACTGAGAGCCTTTATCTTTCAGCCACTGCTCATATCTCACAAAAAAGTTTTGATACTTCTTGCCTGTTTCCAGCAGCACTTTCACATCTGCTTCCTCATAAATATTTACATGTTTTGCTCTTAATACATCTTTAATGCTACTGTTCCTGTTGAAAGAACACCAATACCAATTCATTATTTTTAATGTAACCTTAATCTGTGTGAACATACAGGTGTTCATAAATGTAACTGTGTGTATAAGGTAAAATCTTTTTAAGATTTTTCTTGTGTATTCTTGTGTGAAGACATACTGCAAAATGTATGTAATATATTTTATTATGAACACACACTGCTCATTTCTACCTTTGTACTTTCCTCATGCTGATGTCCTTCATGGAATATCATTTACTTTTCTGCTCTATCCAAGTTCTTCTGGTACTTAGAAGCCCTGCTCAAATCACTCTTCCAAAAGGCTTGCCATAGTGCCCTAGCACTGCTGTAGGAACTTACTACTTCCATAATCTTAGGCAAGCCCTGACCTCGTTGATCTTTGATTTCTGAAACTTTAAATATTATTATCAGCATGGCCTACATCACACTCATTAACTCTGAGGTTCAAACAAATTATTGTATGTAAAAGTAACTATGTAAATATAAAGCCTACTATACACAGTAAAAGCAAATTCATGAATCTTCTATTATTTCATGTCAACAATTTCAATGTATTTTTGCTATTTAGAAATACATTTCTTTTGGAGGTACACTTTGTCTGAGACAGAGTTGTTTTGCCATTACCTTCAAACAGCATGTTTTTTACTGAGTTGTCCAACAGGGTGGCAAAAAGCCGCCATAGATTTCACGATCCATACAATTGCACATGAGAAACTGAGAGCAGACCACCAACTTACTTCATATTGAGACCAAACAGCTCTCAGATGGAAACAATGACTTTTGGTCATTAACAGCCCGATTAAACAGAAACCATTGACCTGGAGGTGAAAGGCTCCAATCCCCCGTTCCCTATTCTTAGATCTGAGTAACCTACCCATGTGCTTTGCTTAATTACTTCACTCATTAATGGAATGCCACACTAAACTGCAGCATGTGTGTGTGAAACACACACACACGCACATGCACACACAGATGCCTGTATCCCACCAGAGCAGAGTTTTATATTTCAATTGTCCACTTTCTCAGCAATTTTTGGAGATAACCTAGGGAATTTGTGGCTTTGCTTAAGCCACACATATCACACAGGGAAATACCTGGAACACTGAAAGGATGTTTAAAAAGATCAGAGGAGATTATATTATAAAATAATATTTATACTACTCACATATACCAACATAGTCCTAAAATGATTAGGGCCATGTTTTGGGTTTCAGAGTGAGGCATTTCTGGCAGGAGTGAGTTATTGCAGCACTAAGAGCTCTGTGGCTGCTGAAAGACTACCAGCCTGTGATAGGTTTGTGAACTGATAGGGTCTTTTTTTACCTTTCTCCAGATGAGTGCTATCAAAAACACAGTAAGAACCTTATTATATTGCTGTATAGCACTAAGGGAAATATATTCACATGAAGTGATTATCTCTGATAGTTCTGGACAATCTAAAGATACATTACATTTTCCTAATAATACTTACCTTCTTTTTGATATGATGTTTTAGAAGAACAGCTTGAGCTTATAATCAGTACAATTTATCACCTTTCCCCAAAGTACCCTGCCGTTGAAATGCCTGACATATATATTGGGTGTCATGGATTTAGCAAAAATTGAATTATAAATTGCCCTGCCAGTTTTTGCCTCTGGAAATAATGAAAAAGTAAGCTAAAGAAATGTTCTCCTAAAGGATTTACTTTTAAAGCAACTACAAAGAAAGAAACAAGCAATATGAATTCCCAAAATATTATGTCTCTGAGCATAGATTATTTAGGCAACTGAGAAAATATAACAATAGCGTTAAGAAAAAGTGTAAATTCCACTTCCAGGAAGCAAAAGCAGTTGTAATATAATATTCATTTTAAACAATGGAAGAATTTGACGTTTAACAATCTCAGGGTCCGTTTAAAACCAAATCAAATGTCATGCAAAATTCCTTTTACAGATTATAATTTATTCTTATAAATGAAATGATGTCCTATTGAGTTAATTACTTACTTTAGCAATTAGCAGTCAAAATAGGTTTATTGTTCAGCGTCACTCGATTCGTTCGAACTTTATTTAATATTCCTATGAACAATTTTATGTGAACTTTTTACTACATGCTCATTGTATAAAACTGTGACATGCAAAAGCTTATAAAGAAAAACTAAATTTTATGTCTCCACTCAAATTTGGGGTAAATTTTTCTAGTATTTTTTCCTCTGCTGTATGATTTCAAACGAAATTATGTGTATACTTTGTATGTACATTTAGATTTGTTTTTCCTACCCAAATATAAGCCATTATATTATATGATATTAAAAATATGTTATTTAATGCCATGTGAAAGTATACTCCTAAAATATTTCTCTATTTTTGAACTGTGTTTTTCTAACTTTTGACAATGAAAATAACAATAAAATGTATTTATACTTAATCTATGCTTCAACTCTGACTATTTGCTTAGAAATAGAATTACTGGCTGAAAAATCTGAAAGTTTTGAAGTTACTTGATAATATTTTCAAGTATCTTTTCATAAAGATTACATCGCCTGTCCTCCGAACAGCAGCCTGTATGACTGCCAGTAACAGAAAGAAAGCCTTATCAAATTTAAATTGTTTAAGCTTTTGTCATTGTGGCAGGTAAAATATTTCATCTTTTTAATTTGAATGTTTAGATAGCAGATTGTAAGTTCTTTTTTTTTATTTGTTTATGGGCTGTTTGAAGTTTTTCTATGAATTGCCTTGATAGTGATCTTTATTTTTATTGAAATGAGTAATTTCTTTAAATTTACTCTTTGTTGAATTGATGTTTTAATAATTTTTTTCTCTTAGTAATATCTTACAATAGATATCATAATTGATTATACAGGGTATTTTTCCATTATATATATTCATAGTTTTTTAAGAACATGGTTTTAATGTTCTGAAAGAGGCTGCATCCTTATTTAAGTATGCTTATTACTTTTTTTATATTTGTAATAACGAGCTTGATCTTTCAAAGTTTTAGTCATTTTAGGATTTATTTCAGTTCCATTCACTGGGAGAGAAGGAAGATCTTACAAATTCACTGATGTTTTCCAGTTGGTAACATTTTATAAAGTCATCTTATTATTTTCCTCTGACATTGGCCTCACTAATGCATTTAACATAGGTAGAAGCATTTTCAATAAGGCTATTTTGGAAACTTACAGAAGCACACAACATATATAATAGGCTTATTACTAGTATTCTGTATACTTTATAGGCTCAGCTGTTCGTAAAGATCTTGGCAGTTTCAAAGAGTCTTTCCCAGTCATGCTAATGTCAAAAAAATTAGAGAGAAGTGGGGGTCCAGTCTGTGTGTGTATTCTCTTGGATCCTAATGCAAAAGGTGGAAGTATGAAATTAGGAATGTAATAATAACAACCCCAAGTAGGAAGAAAAACAAAGTACTGAAAAGTGGTTAAAAACCGCATCCCTTTTTTCTTCTCAGATAAATGTAAAATGCATCTACTGGGATTTGACACTATTCTGTACTTACTTGCTGAGGGGCCATGGGCATATTATTTCACTTTTCTCTGAAACCTAGTTTTTTCATTTATAATATTGGATTTTTTAAAAAATCTACTTTACAAAGTTATTATAACTATTAAAGAAACGTATATAAGGATTCTGACGCTTAGAATAGGTTTTACTGTATATTAGATGTTCAAGAAACGATGGCAACTACTGCCGTAATTCTTCTACTACAATTTCTACTACAACACTACTACTGCTACTATTTATATTTGAATTTCTTAATTTATTTGAAGTGTTGTTCACTTGGCTATCTCGGTAAAAATACTTTAAAATTTGTATAAAATCTTTGAGTTTTATAGTTCTTTTCTAAAATATCTCACTTGATCTTTACACAATCCCTGTAGAATAAGTAGGAGAGGGGTTACTATCTCAGTTTTATAGACATGGAAACTAAGTTTTAGAGGTGATCAGTGGCAGGACTAGACCCCAAATTTTTGTAATTTAATTTAGCCCTGTTTCCATCACCGCTTCATCATCCATCCATTCCATCACTTCCTGAGGAATTCAAAGGAAGCCAAACAAGGTCAATATTAGAATGCAAGACTTTTCTTTCTGTTCTCCAGTATTTTCCTTTACCTCTTTTGCTACCCCACTCATCAAACAAATGCCATTTGAGTTCTAGGAATAACATATGTTCTTCTCGAGGTGAACAATGTAAATGAAATGCATGGAGGTACAACAGCCCTTATGAGAAGTGTTAGTCATTAATGCTGAAGGTTAAATAGGGTCAGCTGCTGCCATGAAATCCAGATGCCTTTGGATAACTAGCTCCTCCCTAAAGCTTATGGTGACATAACCCTATATGTCGTTATATTCAGATTTTGTCAGTGCAAACCTCATTGGCCTGTCTCTGAATCAAGTAGTCCATGTCTATATCACGAATGGCCCAAAGGTAGATTTTTCGATACAATGTTAAGTTCAAATTTCAATTTTTTTTTACTCATTGCCTTTATTGGTGATTTTAAGTAGGCAAAATGACAAAGGCAGGATACTTGGCTATGTTTTTGAGAGTTCAAACTCCTTCCATGGTTGGAGAAATGAGCTTCACAAGGCACAGAAGCTCAACTCCACTTCTAATGCCATCACAGCCTCTTGATCTTCCAGGAGGTAAGATTTCCCTCCAGAGAATTATGAATCAGATATTCAAAGTAACATCTCAGAGACAGTGCAAACCATAAATCTGCTAACTATTTTCTTCTGGGTTTACGTGTGGTATGACAGACAAGGAATTCAGACCTACATAATAAAAGTAGCCAATATATTCTTGCTAATGGTGGACTTGCTGCCACTGGAATTACTGTCCTAAATAAATGCTATAAAAAAAAAGTCTCCTGGACTTCATTTTATTCTGGCTGACTTCCTGGCTTTCCAAAATAGTGATAGAAGTCAAGACCCAAAAGGGAGACTAAAGCCAAAAAAGAAGGAGGATACATGTCACACAGACATAACACAGATCAGCTAAACCCACCTTCACTTAACAAACACTAGATAGTGAAGGCAGAAAATAGAACCATCAAACGTTATAGAATAAACTCAGGCAATTTCAAACAAACATGTGGACATGGGAAGTGCAGTGTATATGTTCATACTATTTAATTCTTTCCTTTAAACTGTAAATCTGCAAACAAATAACTACAGAAATTGCTTTTGATCTCAACAAATCTAGTCTAACTTGCACTTGGGGTCTAAGGCTGTGACACTGAATGTAAATGTGTTTTCTCTTCCCTTTCAGACCTGGGCTTGGCTGGGAACAAGAGATTTAAATCAGACTCTTTTAGGTTTTCCTAATAAGACTGCTGCAAATAAGGTAAACCACAACAAAAATTGAAAAACAATACTAAACTTCGCAGAAAATAATGTCTCAACCTACGTGCAATCTTCATAGCTTTGTCTTACTTGCTGCTTATGATTTGAAATTATCCCTTTCTAATGGTCAAGTGCCATGTCAGTGCAAGAGTTCTGGGGCTGCTTCCATTTATGAGGCTAGAATTTTTTTATCTCTAGCCTCTCAAATTGGTTAAAATGTATTTATTTGGCTCACAGGGCACTGTTTTACTTAAGGGAGACAATATTTTAAATACAGAAATAGCAAAAGTAATTCTAACTGTTGAATGCCTTTTAGTTTGGTAAAATGTATGGCAAAGTCTCATGTGTATAAATTTATATGGAATAAAGATACTAATGTCTCCAAAAGTAATATGAAATGTGGGAATATAAAGCTGTTTAGTGAGGCTGTCTGTTAAGTCTGTATCAGAGGGTTTCAGAGCGTCAGTTTCTTTGTTTGTTTGTTTCATGCAAACAGACATCTTGCAGAGTGCATCAGTTTTGATTCAGACCCTACAATTTCTGTTATTCCCTTTCTGCTCTTATCCTCCTTCTTGGTCTCCACACCCCCACCATTCCTCTCCCCACACCTTTAAATGCTGGCATTCTTTCAAATTCGGTCCATATTCTAATCTTTCTCAAATGTATCTGATCATACAAAGCAACTAGAGTGCTTATTAAAAACAGATTGAGATGGGCATGGTAATGGGCACCTGTAGTCCCAGATATTTGGGAAGTTGAGGCAGAAAGGTCACTTGAGCCCAGAAGTTTGAGACTGTAGCACATTATGATCGTGCCTGTGAATAACCACTGTACTCCAGCCTAAGCAACGTAACGAGATACCGGTCACTAAACAAAACGAAACAATACAGATTGCCACTTCTCAACCCTGGAAACTTTTACTCAGTAGGTCTCAGGTAGAGCTTAGGAATGTATATTTTAAATAATTGCCCAGGGATCCCTACGATCCAACAAGTTTGAAAGCACTGCACGAGGCCATCTTACTCATCCCTCTGGTTTTAGAAATCATCTACATTCTGGGGATGTCTAAATTTACAGATCCTATCCAGACAGCTCTTGTATGTCTATTTGACAACATTGCTTGGATGTCTTATATGCATCCTAAATTTAACATGTCTAAAACTTATCTGAGGATTATCTGCCCCATATTTACTCCATTTCAGTCTTTCTTTTCTCTACAAATGACACTAGAATCCACCTGGTTACCTAAAAACCTTATAGCAATCATTGACACCTCTTTCATGCTTAACTCCTCCGTTTAAACCATCACCAAGATCTGTGAACCAGACGTCCGAAACATATGGCACCCATCCACTCTCATCTTTCACATTTTCACTGCCGCTGCCCTTGGAAATAAGTCAACAGTTTTCTTGCCTGAAGTACTGTGATAGCCCCTTGATTTTTCTCCCCCATTTTACTCTTGCTGCTTTCCTACTCATTCTCCACGCAGCAGCCAGATGATCTTCTTAAAATGCAACTTGGATCATTCCTTGCTTAAGAATCTTTAATGAAGTTTCTCAGTACTTAGGATACATTCCAGTTCTTATCCCATGTTGGATGAATTACCTCATTTACCTCTCCAGCCACAGCCTGTGCTACACTTCTACTCACCACACTCTGGGCTGTTTCTCTCCAACCAATCGTTAATAATCGTCTAGTCTTAGTCTCACTTAAATGTCAATGCCATAGAGAAGCCTTCCCTGACCACCATTCCCTCAAACTAAATTACCATGTCTCTCAGAATCTCTTGTACCTTTTTTTCCTTCTTAATGCTTGTATGTTTGTTGTTTGTTCTTTTGGTAATGTGTTTAATGACTGTTTATCCCGCTAAACTATATACCCTTGAAATCAGGATTCATTCGTATTGTACTAAAGACTTACCTACCAGTGTTTGGTAGGTTTGGTGCATACTAAGTTCTCAGTAAATGCTTTTTGAATAAATAAGTGATTGTTAGGTATTAAAGACACTTAAGGGAACAAAAAATAATAATAATCCCTGCTTATAGGGAGTTAACATTCAATGAGGGAGCTATTATTACCTGGGGTATTAATATGTTTGTGACAAAGAAAATGGAAGGGATTTTTTGTTTTGTTTTGTTTTGTTTGAGACAGAATTTTGCTCTTGTTGCCCAAGCTGGAGTTCAATGGCACAATCTCTGCTCCCTGCAGCCTCCGCCTCCTGGGTTCAAGCGATTCTCCTGCCTCAACCTCCCGGGTAGCTGGGATTACAGGCATGCGCCACCATGCTCAGCTCATTTTTTGTATTTTTGTATTTTTAGTAGAAATAGTTTAGTTTCACCATGTTAGCCAGGCTGGTCTTGAACTCCTGACCTCAGGTGATCCGCCTGCCTCATCCTCCCAAAGTGCTGGGATTACAGGCATGAGCCACTGCACCCAGCTGAAAATGGAAATTTTTATTACACACACACAAAAAAACTTGAACAACATGAAAACACATTTTATAACATTCATTTGTTCTTTATAATGTGGTAATTACTGATCATGTCAGCATCTGTACCATTTTGATTATTTTAAAACTTGTAAATGAATAGAAATTTCTAAATAATTTGTGTTTAGAAACTATTTAGAAGAGATTTTAATTTTATCCCCAACTACTCCAGTTGGATGATTGTTCGTAACCTCAAGAGATATTCTTCAAATGTGCAGGATTGAGCCCTAGCTGAAGGCCTCATCCTTCCATGCCCTTTGCTTGTCCACCCATCAACAAGCCAGGATGAGGAGAAGCAAAGACAGCAGCATTTACCCACAGAACCCTTTGTTGGCAGAAGCAAAAATTGATAGTGGAACACATGAGGGCAGTTCCACAAGATCCGTCCATGAAGAGTCGGATTTATCAAGAAAAATATTATTCTTTCGTGAACAAGAAAGAAAACAAGACAATTTAAAAACATCTAGATTAAAGATGAGCATGTCAATTTCAGGTGAGTCATGAGCTAATGGAACTAAGTTAGCAGAATTCTCAAAAAACTTACCACTTATTCATATTTTACTAAAACAATGCCAGA
The DNA here is from genome assembly GCF_000001405.40 of Homo sapiens. Taxonomy (NCBI): domain Eukaryota; kingdom Metazoa; phylum Chordata; class Mammalia; order Primates; family Hominidae; genus Homo; species Homo sapiens. The sequence continues at coordinate 173,900,352 of NC_000004.12, read as the reverse complement.
AATGTTTTACAAAAATTATAGAAAAAGGAGAAAGCCTGTATTCTAAACCCTAGAGTGTGTTTAGTGTGAACTCCAGGTCTATAGCAATGTAAATCATACAACTGTAGCCAACTAATACCTCATGGGAGAAAGAAACCCAAAATGTCATTTTAAATCAGAAACCAGAGTTGGGTGTGGTGGCGTGCACCTGTAGTTCCAGCTACTGTGGAGGCTGAGGCAGGAAGATTGCTTGAGCCTGGGAGGTTGAGGCTGCAGTGAGCCATGAGTGCGCCAGTGCACTCCAGCCTGGGCAGCAGAGCAAGACCCCTGTCTCCAAAATAAATAAATAAATAAATAAATAAATAAATAAATAAATAAATAAAATTAAAATTATTGGAAACTAGTAAGTATGGTCCATTTTAATCTGAAATTTTCCTTACACTCTAAAGGAAAACATTGTTCAGTTTTTCATTGCCTTGGAAGCACAGGATCCTGCATAAAAATGTCAGCTACAGATTTCTAAGCAAATGTTCCTTTTACAATATGGCACACATCATAATTCCTTTGCCCTGGTCCTCCCTGAAAAAGAGGGGGAGTATAACCCACTAACGAGCAGCCAAGCACTCTTTTCTTCAAAATGAGGAAAGAAGGAAGGAAGGAAGGAAGGAAGGAAGGAAGGAAGGAAGGAAGGAAGGAAGGGAAGAAAGAAAGAGAGGGAAGAAAGGAAGGAAGGAAGGAAAGAAAGAAAGAGAGAAGGAAGGAAAGAAGGAAGGAAGGAGAAAAGGAAAGAAAGAAAGAGAGAGAGAAAGGGAGAAAGGAAGACAACCACAACAAAACAAGTTATCCAGAGCAAAGGTCATGCCCTGAATTAATCATTTCTATTTCCTCTAGTCTTTTAAAATATCTCTAGATGCTTCCTTTTTGCAAATAATTAAAGGTCAGTTAGTAAAATCACTGTAAAAGTATTTTCCTCAAATAAACTAATGCAATTTGGCCCCTAACATCCAAACACTGGTTAACTTTTACTGTTCATATTATCTCATGATTAGTAAAAGCAAGTCTGAAATTCTAACGCTTAGTCCTATTTTGTTTTAATGGAGAAATTCTCCTTGCACGAAGAAAGTTCTTTAAAAAGAATTCACTCTTCTGAAAGCCCATATATATCTGGTTCTTTCCTTTTCCTCAGAACTTATCTATTCTCACACCAAGGTATAATTTGCCAATTTCCAGACAGGAGTTAATTTTTCTAAAAATGTTATAAGCATTTGAAAAAAAAAAAAAGTTCAGATCCTTAACCAAGCAGCATGAACAACATCACTGCCATAAACAGTCATTTAAGGGCTTTTAGTTAACTGCAAAAGCCACAGGGAAACTTTCATCTCTGTTCTGTTCCTTTGTCCCCATATTGACTGAAAAAGGAAATATATCTTAACATAATATTATTATGCCTTCCACTTATGATAGTGGCAACTTTAAGATAAGTGTGCATAATTATTTTGTCCCAGGAAGGCCTTTCTAATCCAGCAGATCCTACAGAGGGGATATTCTTTCATCAGCTCTTACATTTGCCTCAGCTGTACACTAGGAAATTAGAAAGTGTTGCATCAATCATTCCTACCATTCAGCTAGCCAAGAGGAAAATATTCCCAGATAATTAAAAGTGCAACTGAGGCCTGTGGGTTGCTAAAACACATAAACAACAACAAACAAGAGTACCATTCATAATTTGTTATTAATAATATTAGTATTTTTTCTCTTTCTCTGAAGGATTCTTCATAAAACTAACCTTCATGATTTCTCTTATGACCCCACATCTTTCTTTGATGAACCAGAAGCCCAAAAACAAACTAGTTAGATGTGGGCAAGAATAATGCCCTTCTATGAAATTAAAAAATATATATATTGATACTATTCTTTTCCCATCCAGAATAAAGAATGAGAATACACTTAACAAAGGACACCTCAGAGGTATGGCTAAACTCCCAAGTGAAGTTAATAATTAAAGGAAACAAAAAATGTGTGATTCCATTTGAGTTCAACTCTGCTGAAGACACAGTTGACATTAAATGTAGCCATTTTAACAGCTAGTTACCAGGCATATTTGTCCTATGTCCAAGAACAAATGTGCTACATTTTTTTTTCAATCTCTGTATTACTCTAATTATTCTTACCAATAAAGAATGATGATTGGAAGGTGGCATGTGTAGGCAACACCAGAGCCACCTAATTTTTCAGATTTTAAATATTGTCAAACCTATGAAGCAGAACTTTTATAAATGACATCAAGGTAAAATTTGAAATGCCAATTAGGTGAGCACAATGAATTGTTCCATTTCAGAAAAGAAAATGTAACATTTGACACCTTAATGGTTAAATAAATTTTAATTCACGAAAGAAAACATCCTCAAGTTCCTCTTTAAATGAAGGAAGGAAGGAATGAGGATAAGAGGAGAGTATTTGAGATTTCATGACTGAGAAGGGCTTTGATAGTGTGGCTAACACAAAATGATTACTATATATACCCTTAAATGATATCATCTTAAGGCAATAAAAAAAAATCCCCCAAAAAACAAACAAACAAAAAAGCCTAGAATCAAAACTGTACCAAAAAAGCCTAAAAAAAAAAAAAGCCTAAAATGAAAACTGTGCATGGAACACAATACTAATGTGTTTTAAAACGCGTAATACCCTAGGTAAATGCATCCATGATCAGGTTGATTATCTTTAGAACATCACATTATAGTTGATTTTATTTCTTTTAACTTTTTTTTACAATGAGCATATTTTATAGTGAGAAAACAAAACAATAAGCCTAATTTTCTAATGGGCATTTTTCTTCTCATCAAGAAATTGTTTGTACTGAATACCATAATATGCAATAGCATAATAGTATCATTATAATTATTACATTATCATCACATATGCTCCAGAAATGATATTAAAGTCTTGGGGACCCTGGAAGTGGAAATCATTCATACCAGGTGGAATAATAAGGAAATTCTCATATGAGGGAGAATTTAGAATTGGTTCTAAAGAATGAGAAGAGTACTTACTTTTTGTTTGTAGAAAGGGCATGGTGAGAACACCCCGGTCAAGAGATGTGTTTAAGAAGTGTGATTAATTTGGCATGCTTGGAGAGGGAAGCCAGATGGTCAAAGGTCTTGTAAGCCACCATTGTTATCATCATAATAGCTGACATTTTAAAAAATTCCAAACTATGTATTGGGTGCCATTCTAATACTATAACTTACTTTTCATCTTATCTAATTTTTGACATAACCCTGGGGGGTAGGTACTCATCCACATTTTGCAGATGAGATGCTAAGGCAAATTGAGTAAGTAACTTGCCCAGGATAACATTAAACAGTTCCATTAAATGATACCAGTTTAGTGAGAATATTTTAAGGATCAAATGTATGTACCAGATTCACATTCATTGAACAAGTAGAAGTACTTGTTCATTCTTTATTAGAAGTTTCCTATTGTTGTCTCACCCTACACACCATTTTCAAACTCAAAAGCCCAAAGCTGTTATTGATTATTTTTCCATCACTGACTATTCTTTCTCTCTTGCCATCCATACATTGTCATTTAACTGACAGTTTCCTACATTCGTCCTTGTCTTCTCTTCTTCCCATCCTCACTCAGGTGTAAGTGGCCTCGCAGGAATGAAAGGCTGTGCTGTCTGTATACCACTGCACTGTTGCCTCCCTGGAGAACTTTATGCCTTACCCTGGAAGCACCCTATCTTCAAAGCAGGGGTGTTTGAAAATTCATTCCCATAACAGTGTGGAGCACATCGAGAAAGACTGTACTGAAACTTCCAGATAGAACTTATGAGGACCCAGACCCAGCAGTGGCTGTGAGGATGAAGAGGCAATGGGATCTGGGACCTCAGATAGATCCAAGAAATATGCAGCAGTGGGGATCAACGGCCTTGTATAGATCCTTGATGTTAGAAGGAAAAGTGAGATGAATGACGATGATATGCACTAAAAAAAAAAAAAAAAGAAAGAACTTTTATTTTAGGAAAACATTTTTCAGACTAAATGGGCTGAAGGACTTCAGAGTGATTACAGATGCTATTAGGGTGACCTCATTTACACCAAGAAAATATCCAGAAAAGACTTTCTTTTTGCACTATCATCCATCAAAATTATCTATATAAAGTACATCCTAGAAAAAAAATGCGCAGAATTAAAAAGAAGGAACACATGCTGTCTGACCTCAAAGAGTTTAAAAGCCTGGTTGAGAGAGAGATGATGAACAGAGAAAGCATGAGGTAGAGGAGAAAGAATACAAGGAACAGGAGGCACTTTAAAACAAATGAATGAATGCATGTCCTCCCTTGTACCAGACAGGATTTATGGTGTATCCGTGGTTGCAACCAGGGAGGTATTCCAGGAGCTGCAGCATATATATCAGCTTTTAAAAGCTTGGAGGAAGGAAAAGACAAGGTTTGCTTGAGAGATGCTAAGTTTGACTGTAATGGAGATCTCAGGAAAAGACGTTGGAAGTGAGTCTTGAAAGGAGAAAGCTTGTGAAGGATCTTGAAGGTGGAATTAGGAGTTTGAGATGTGGGCAAAGGAAATTCATTGAGAAATTTTGATCAAGGCAAAGAATCTCATTGAAGTAGCCCCTTGAAAAGAAGGCCTGTGGGTCTGACGAAGGACTACTTGGAAAAGGCAGAAAGTGGAGGCATGATCCAAGCGCAGGAGAATTCATGCCTAGGCTCCGTGATGTCATGAAGAGGGAGAATGAGACTAAATTAAGAGATGTTTCAAAGAAAGAATCAATAGGAAACCAGTTGCATTTGGGGTTAAGAAGAAGAAAGAGTCAAAAAAGAATCCTGGAGCTATGTACAGGTTATAAAATTGGAAATCATTTGCTAGAGTCAATCAGTTCTCACGTCCTTTCATTCCTTTCCCCCACTCCAGTACCCTACTGGCTCTGTGAGGTTAGAGTTTTGGACTTTCCTCAGTTAGAACCTGGGTTTATGTTGTAAATTGGTACTATTGACATGGAAATGCTGTCACAGTATACAATTATAAGTTTGTTGTTTTTGTTTTTGTAGAGATGGGGTCTCTCTATCTTGCACAGGCTGGTCTCAAATTTCCTGGGCTCAAGTGATCCTCCTATCTCAGCCTCCCAAATTGCTGGTATTATAGGCATGAGCCACAGCACCTGGCCATAAGTTATTTTTAAAATAGCTAAGTTCAGTTTTTATTCTTTGAGTCTTATTATGGTGTTTGATCTCAGAACAGTAAAATGGTGATTGGACCAATATCTTTAGCAACAGGAAAGCCAACAGTTGTACAAGCTGTAGATTGCTTACTCTTAAACAAAATACTACTTCCTTATGAATCTCAGTATGTTTTTGCTGCTATAACAAAATACTGAAGACTGGGTATTTTATAAAGAACAGAAATTTACTTCTCACAGTTCTAGAGGCTGGGAAATCCAAGACCAAGGTGCCAACAGATTCAATGTTTTTTTGGGTTTTTTTTTTTTTTGAGACAGAGTCTCACTCTGTCCCCCAGGCTGGAGTGCAGTGGCACGATCTTGGCTCACTGTAACCTCTGCTTCCTGGGTTCAAGTGATTCTCCTGCCTTGGCTTCCCAAGTAGCTAGGATTACATGCATGTGCCACCACACCCAGCTAATTTTTTGTTATTGTTGTATTTTTTTAGTAGAGATGAGGTTTCACCATGTTGGCCAGGCTGGTCCCGAACCCTGGACCTCAAGTGATTCACTCGCCTTGATCTCCCAAAGTGCTGGGATTATAGGCATGAGCCACTGCTTCTGGCCAGATTCAAAGTCTTGTGAGGGCTGATGTCTGCTTCCAAGAGGTGCCATGTGAGGTGTCTCACATGGCAGAAGGCAGAAGGCAGAAGGCTAAGACATGAGGGTATTTCCTTCAACCTCTTTTATAAAATCACTAATCCATTCCTGAGGGCAGAGCACTTGTGACTTAATCCTTCTTAAAAGTCCCCACCTCTTAACACCATCATCTTGAGATCTAAGTTCCAACATATGAATTTTGGAGGGACACACACATTCAAATCATAACACCGTGGAAGCAAATTTCGTCCCAACGTTTTAGAATAGTGATGTTGGGTTGAATTTCTGAACTCACAAAACTGCCATTATAAGTCCATTTTAGTGCCAATCTACACAAAAATAAAAATTTTAACAATGAATTTGCCCTAGCGTCTTTTAATCATCAAAAATTAGGGAAAGATAAATTATCTATTAGAGAAAAATGCATATTCCTAGTTCTTCTTGGTATCATATGAACTTTCCCACAAAAAACTCTGTCCTCTCTTTGTTACCTATAATCCATGAAGAAGATTGCCTTGTCTAATATGCAGGTTTGAAAGAAAGGGATAAGATGCTTTGTCTCAGCTTCTGAGCCTCATTCTCTGATTTGAAATCAGCATGACTGCTGGGATCATGAGCTCTGGTCTGCTCCGAGCCATCTGCCTTGCAGAGGACAGTAGTCATCCAGGCAGATGCAGACCTGGGCCTATTGGTTGTGCCTGGATACACTCTAGACACACCAAAAATATTTTTGCATATACCACCCAAATAAAAGTTTTAAAAAAAAAGTGTGAGACTCTGTGAAATTTTTAAAAATTCTATTCCTTTTTTTAAAATTTCCAGTCATAACCCTCTAGATTGATTTCACAACCCACTAATGGGCCATGATTCAAAGTCTCAAAGCACATCCCAGACCCCTCCTGCCTTGCCCCATCATCTAAGCAGAATCTTCCTAATTCAAGTCTCTCCCACCCCACACCCTGATAGTTCCAGAATCTAGGTTTCCTCCCCATCACCACTTCTGGAACATTAGCACATGTTCTAATAATTTCTCATTTCTCACCAAGACTATTGCAATAGTACAAATAGGACTAATCGAACACTAATAATAGTAAATCTAGAACCTACATTCATTAAGAGCCTACTACATACCAGAGGTTGTTCTTGGAGCTCTTCATGTAGCAACACTTTATTGAATCCAAACAACAACCTAGGCTATTCTCTCCATGGGGGTCCTCTTGCCTCTAGACATGCTGATTCTTTCCTCCATCTGTGCTTGTTGGGAACAAGCCCCCCCAAATCTCACCATAAACTGGCCCCAAAACTGGCCATAAACAAAATCTCTGCAGCACTGTGACATGTTCATGATGGCCATGATGCCCACACTGGAAGGTTGTGGGTTTACCGGAATGAGGGCAAGGAACACCTGGCCCACCCAGGGCAGAAAACCACTTCAAGGTGTTCTTAAATCACAAACAATAGCATGAGCGATCTGTGCCTTAAGAACATGCTCCTGCTGCAGATAACTAGCCAAACCCATCCCTTTATTTCAGCCCATCCCTTTGTTTCCCATAAGGAATACTTTTAATCTATAATCTACAGAAACAATGCTTATTACTGGCTTGCTATTAATAAATATGTGGGTAAATCTCTGTTCGATGATCTCAGCTCTCAGCTCTGAAGGCTGTGAGACCCCTGATTTCCCACTCCACACCTCTATATTTCTGTGTGTGCATCTTTAATTCCTCTAGCGCCGCTGGGTTAGGGTATCCCAACCGAGCTGGTCTTGGCAGTGCTCCCTCCATACTACTTTCAGTATGATTCTAAAATGCAAATGGAATCACATGATTCTAATTTGTGATATGGCTCAATTTATAGGACAAGCTACTTAGCAAAAACACCAGTCCCATCAGGACTTGCACCTAGACTTATCTACCAGCATTCCACTGGCAGCTTCTACTCAGAATGCTCCCCATCCCCTATCTGTACCATGCACTGCTTTGATGACTTGTGAGCTCTTTACTCCATATTCAGCCATACTCTATGCTCCCAGGGGCTCCAGTTTATATCTCTCATTGATCATTTCTTCTATTGTGCTAGGTTATTTATGTGCCTGTCCCTCCCACTGGACTGCAAGCCCCTGGAGGGTCAGCACTGCAACTGTTTTATGTTTGCATTACTGTTTTCACTGCTAATATTCTGGTAGCTATCTAACCACATCATGCCAGAACCACAGTGTTAGTCTTCTTCCTGCTCTTCTTGACTCTGTTACTTCAATAATATTTAGCCTGCAATTGCCAAATGTATTGATTATGTTCTACTTCAGCTCAAGCAGTAGCTCCCCATTACTTGTCCCGTTATATTCAAATTTCCTGCAGTGCATTTTAGAGCCCTTTATAATGGGTCACTCTGTGCAAGTACAACCTTATTCCTCACTTCAGTAGGCCTAAAAATTCTCAGCTTTCACCTTTATGGGTTTTACTATATTCAGTGATAACAATGTTCCATGACATGTGGTCATTTGAAAGTTATTGCGGCAGAATCTTTAAAACAGAGGGGCCATTTGAGAACAAAAGTCTTGCCACTGAGTGAACCTAGCCGACTGCCCAACATCCATGTGAATGGCTTTGTTTAATATCATGAAAAAAGTAACTCTAACTCTACCTAGAATCATGAATACAGGAATGAGATGATTAAATATTTTTAATTATATGTTTCTTTATTTAATGGAGTAAAAAATATGCTATGATGGTATTCTTAAATTTGAGACTATAGAAGACTTGACATACATCACCCTCTAATGCATTATCAGTGCAGGTGCTTCTCAGGGTCCTCAACTGTCTTTTTTTGTTGTTAATATTGCCTACAGAACCCAGATTCCTGGCATGTAATTTTCCCTCTACATTCTTGTCAAATGAATGGATGAGTCAATTGATCAGAGGACAAAATGGAACTCAAATAATTTAAACTTAAGACATGATGAATTTAACAGCTGTTTACAAACACAAGTAATGACTGAAACAGTCTATTAGATCCAGAAGACATACATGTGTGGAAGAGAAGCAAAAAAAAAAAAAAAAAAAAAAAAGTAATACCACGAATGTGCTAGATTAAGGATTTCTAGGCAGGTGGACAGAAATAACATTAAGGAAAACAAATACAAATATTTCACTTCAAATAGGTAAGAAGGGCTTCTTTCTTCATTTTATTATTTCTCAAGTAATATGAAGTGCAATAATTAAATTATTACACAATAAAAACAATTGATAAAATAACAATTGATGACGTAATCTTAACATTTCTTTTCATCCTTAATAATGACTCTATTTGATATTGAAATCAGACTTCCTGTTTACCACATCAAGTCTAGCCTATTTTGCTTGACTTTCAAGGTCTTCTATAACATGGACCAACATGATGTTTCCAAACGTATTCCCCTTTCCTACTCACCTGAATGCCTGGTACTCCAGCCTAGTCAAGGAGTATACTTAGTGTCTGACAAAACTGCCTTGTTCGTTAGTGTTCCCTTTGCAAAAGACAAAGGTATGCATTCCATCTTATGCCTAGTACAGCACTGGACACATAGCAAGAATTAAACAAATAATTGAAGTTCAGCCAGCAAAATAAGTTGGCCTACAAGTACTCAAAAATCTGTACTATTTGTTGAGAACTTGCTAGGTGTGGTTGAGGATTCAAATGTAGACTACATAGAATCTGTCCTCAAGAAGTGAGTTATTTGTCTTAAAGCAATGAACAGTAAAATGCAAAACAACACATAAAAAGTGCTAGATATCATCATACAATGTTTTTGCAATTTTTGTGGTCCTTGGCTTCATATCAGAAGATTATTCCTTCTTCAGGAATAGTGTCACAATTATTTTATGTATCCATCAGTATTTAGGTCCAGTACCTTACACACATAATTGAATTATGTTGCACAGACCAATTATGCATTAGGAATTTAAAGAGAGGTGAAGTGGGGGCGGGGCCAAGATGGCCGACTAGAAGCAGCAGCCATCAGAGGTTCCCATTGAAAAGATCCAAAACAGTGTGCGAAATCTGCACTGGCAACCAAAGTATCCAGGTTCTGTCATTAGGACTGACTGGGCAGCTAGCGTGACCCACAGAGAGGAAGGAAGAGCAGTGTGGTGTGGCAGCCCACCTGAGAGCCACATGGGGCAGGGGAGCCCCCAACACCAGCCAAGGGAGGTGGTGAGTGAGCGTGCTACCCAGCCTGGGAAACAGTGCTTTTTCCACAGAACTGTGCAACCTACAGATCGAAAGATCCCACTCCGGAGCCAGTGCCACCAGGGTCTTGGGCCCCAACCATACAGCCACGTAGATTCTCAACACCCACTCAGCTAAAATTGGCCTAAGCCTACCAAGTTCCCTGGAGGAGGGGCAGCCATAATTACTGCTGCAGCTGCCTGTGGTCTAAGCCATCTGAGCTCTTTGTGGGAGGGGGCGGCAGCCAACACTGAGGCTGCAGGGCATCCCTGCAGGAACTCCAGTTCCAGCTGAGGGCTCAGGGACAGAACTCTGATCTCGCTGGGCCTGAGCCCCTAGGGGGATGGCTGGCCATAGTCTCCATGGACCAGCAGACTTCATCCTTTCTCTTGCTAGCTCTGAGGAATCAGGACAGCCCAGAGAAATGGGATTCCCCCCAGCGCAGCACATGCCCTCCAGCAAGGGACAGCCAAAGTGCCTCGTTAAACAGGCCCTGCTTGCCATGCCACCCAACTGGGTGAGACCCCCAGCAGGGATTGTCAGACATTCTATACAGAAGCGTTCCTGCTGGCATCAGCTCAGTGCCCCTCGAGGTCAGATATCCCAGAGTGAAAAACAGGCACCCATCTTTGCTGTCATTCAGCCTCCTCGAGTGACATCTCCAGGCATGGGAGTGAACCAGATGAATAGGGTCTGAAGTGAACCCCCAGCCAACCACAGCCACCCTGCAGAAGAGGGAACTGACTATTGAAAGAAAAACAAAGAGAAAGCAACAATAGCATCAACAAAAAAAAGTCCCCACAAAAACCTCATCCAAGTGTCAGCAGCCTCCAAGATCAAAACTAAACGAACTCATGAAGATGAGAAAGAGTCAATGAAAAAAACGCTGAAAACCCAAAAGGCCAGAGTGACTCTTCTCCTCCAAATGATCTCAACAACTTTTCAGTAAGGGCACAAAACTGGAGGGAGGATGAGATGGACGAATGGACAGAAGTAGGCTTCAGAAGGTGAGAAATAACAAACTTCACTGAGGTAAAGGAGCATGTTCTAACCCACTGCAAAGAAGCTAAGAACTTGATAAAGTTTAGAGGAGTGGCTAACTAGAATAACCCATTTAGAAAGGAATATAGATGACCTGATGGAGCTGGAAAATGCAGCACAAGGACTTCTAGAAGCATACACAAGTATTAATAGCCAAATCAATCAAGCAGAAGAAAGAATACAGAGATGGAAGATTATCTTTCTGAAATAAGACAGATGGACAAAATTAGAGAAAAAAGAAGAAAAAGGAATGAACAAAACCTCTGAGAAATATGGGACTATGTAAAAAGAACGAACCTATGATGGATTGGAGTACCTGAAAGAGATTGGAAGAATAGAACCAAGTTGGAAAAAAACACTTCAGGATATTTTTCAAGAGAACTTCCCCAACATAGCAACAGAAGCCAACATTCAAATTCAAGAAAAACAGAGAACACCACTAAGATACTCCACGAGAAGATCAACCCAAAAATCATAATCATCAGATTCTCCAAGGTCAAAATGAAGGAAAAAATGTTAGAGAGAAAAGCCAGGTCACTTAAAAAGAGAAGCCAATCAAACTAACAGCATATTTCTCAGCAGAGACCTACAAAGAGACTTAAACTCCCACACAATAATAGTGGGAGACTTTAACACCCCACTGTTAATATTAGACAGATCAATGAGACAGAAAATTAACAAGGATATTCAGGACTTGAACGCAGCTCTGGATCAAGTGGACCTAATAGATATCTACAGAACTCTCCACCACAAAACAACAGAATATACATTCTTTTCAGTGCCACATGGCACTTGCTCTAAAATCAACCACGTAATTGAAAGTAAAACACTCCTCAGCAAATGCAAAAGAACTGAAATTGTAACAGTCTCTCAGACCACAGTGCAATCAAATTAGAACTCAGGATTAAGAAACACTCAAAACCACACAACTACATGGGAATTGAACAACCTGTTCCTGAATGACTCCTGGGTAAATAATGAAATTAAGGCAGAAATCAGGAAGTTCTTTGAAACCAATGAGAACAAAGAGACAACATACCAGAATCTCTGGGAGACAGCTAAAGCAGTATTAAGAGGGAAATTTATAGCACTACATGCCCAAATCAGAAAGCTAGAAATATCTCAAATTGACATCCTAACATCACAATTAAAGAACTAGAGAATCAAGAGCTAACAAATCAAAAAGCTAGCAGAAGACAAGAATTAACCAAGATCAGAGCGGAACTGAAGGAGATAGAGACATGAAAAACCCTTCAGAAAAATCAATGAATCCAGGAGCTGGTTTTTTGAAAAAAAAATTATTAAAGAAGAGACAAGAATCAAATAGGCACAGTAAAAATGATCAAGGGGATATCACCACTCACCCCACAAAAATACAAACTACCATCAGAGAATACTATGAACACCTCTATGCAACTGAACTAGAAAACCTAGAATAAATAGATAAATTCCTGGACACATACTCCCATCCATGACTAAACCAGGAAGAAGTTGAATCCCTGAAGAGACCAATAACAAATTATGAAAATGAGGCAGTAATTAATAGCCGACCCACCAAAAAAAGCCCAGGGCCAGATGGAGGCACAGCCTAATTATATCAGAGGTACAAAGAGGAGCTGGTACCATTCTTTCAGAAACTATTGCAAACAATTGAAAAGGAGGGACTCCTCCCTAACTAATTTTATGAAGCCAGCATCATCCTGATACCCAAATCTGGCAGAGACACAACAAAAAAAGAAAACTTCAGGTCAATATTCCTGATGAACACTGATGCAAAAATCCTCAGGAAAATACTGGCAAACCAAATCCAGCAGCACATCAAAAAAGTTATCCACCATGATCAAGTTGGCTTCATCACTGGGATGCAAGGCTGGTTCAACATTCACAAATCAATAAACGTAATCCATCACATAAACAGAACCAATGACAAAAACCACATGATTATCTCAATACATGCAGAAAAAGTCTTTGATAAAATTCAACATCCCTTTATGCTAAAAACTCTCAATAAACTAGGTATTCATGGAACATATCTCAAAATAGTAAGAGCTATGTATGACAAACCCACAGCCATTATCATACTGAATGGGCAAAAGCTGGAAGCATTCCCTTTGAAAACTGACACAAGACAAGGATGCCCTCTCTCACCACTCCTATTCAGTGTAGTATTGGAAGTTCTGGCCAGGGCAATCAGGCAAGAGAAAGAAATAAAAGGTATTCGTATAGGAAGAGAGGAAGTCAAATTTTCTCTGCAGATTGACATAGTCCTATATTTAGAAAACTCCATCATCTCAGCCCCAAAACTCCTTAAGCTGATAAGAAACTTCAGCAAAGTCTCAGGATACAAAGCCAATGTTCAAAAATCACAAGCATTCTTATACACCAATAGACAAGCAGGTAGCCAAATTATGAATGAACTCCCATTCACAATTGCTACAAAAAGAATAAAATATCTAGGAATAAAGCTAACAAGGGATGTGAAGGACCTCTTTAAGGAGAACTACAAACCACTTCTCAAGGAAATCAGAGACGACACAAACAAATAGAAAAACATTCCATCCTTATGGATAGGAAGAATCAATATCGTGAAAATGACCATACTGCCCAAAGTAATTTATAGATTCAATGCTGTTCCATCAAACTACCATTGACATTCTTCACGGAATTAGAAAAAATTTCTTTAAAATTCATATGGGACAACAACAGCAACAAAAAAATCCCGTATAGCCAAGACAGTCGTAAGCAAAAGGAACAAAGCTGGAGGCATCATGCTACCTGACTTCAAACTATACTACAAGGCTACAGTAACCAAAACAGCATGATACTGGTACCAAAACTGACATGTAGACCAGTGAAACAAAATAGAGACCTCAGAAATAAGACCGCATATCTACAATGATCTGATCTTCAACAAACCTGACAAAAACAAGCAAATGGGGAAAGGATTCCCTATTTAATAAATCGTGCTGGGAAAACTGGCTAGCCTTATGCAGAAAACTGAAACTGGACCCCTTCCTTATACCTTGTAAAAAAATTCACTCAAGATGGATAAAGACTTAAATGTAAAACCCAAAACCATAAAAACCCTAGAAGAAAACCTTGGCAATACCACTCAGGACATATGCATGGGCAAAGATTTTATGATGAAATCACCAAAAGCAATTGCAACAAAAGCTAAAATTGATAAATGGGATCTAATTAAACTAAGGAACTTCTGCACAGCAAAAGAAACTACCTACAGAGCGAACAGACAACCTACAGAATGAGAGAAAATTTTTGCAGTTTACTCATCAAAGGTCTAATATTCAGAATTTACAAGGAACTTAAACAAATTTACAAGAAAAAAAACAACCTCATCAAAAAGTGGGCAAAAGATATGAACAGACACTTCTCAAAAGAAGACATTTATGCAGCCAACAAACATATGAAAAAAGCTCAACAGCACTGATTATTAGAGAAATGCAAGTCAAAACCACAATGATATACCATCTCACACCAGTCAGAATGGCAATTATTAAAAAGTCAAGAAACAACAGATGCTGGCAAAGCTCTGGAGAAATAGGAAGACTTTTGCATTATTTGGTGGGAATGTAAACTAGTTCAACCATTGTGGAAGACAGTGTGGCAATTCCTCAAGGATTTAGAACCAGAAATACCATTTGACCCAGCAATCCCATAACTGGGTATATGGCCAAAAGAATGTAAATCATTCTATTATAAAGATACATGCACACGTATGTTTACTGCAGCACTATTCACAATAGCAAAGACATGGAACCAACCCAAATGCCCATCAATCATAGACTGGATAAAGAAAATTTGAAACATATACACCTTAGAATACTATGCAGCCACAAAAAGGAATGATATCATGTTCTTTGCAGGGACATGGATGAAGTTGGAAGTCATCATCCTCAGCAAACTAACACAGGAACAGAAAACCAAACACCACATGTTCTAACTCATAAGTGGAAGTTGAACAATGAGAACACATGGACACAGGGAGGGGAACAACATACACTGGAGCCTAATGGAGGGAGGGTGAGGGGAGGGAGAGAATCAGGACAAATAGCTAATGCATGAGGGGCTTAAAACCTAGGTGGTGAGTTGATAGGTCCAGCAAACCACCATGGCACAACATACACCTATGTAACAAACCTGCACATTCTGCACATGTATCCTGGAACTTAAAGTTAAAAAATAAATAAATAAAATATAAAAATTTTTAAAATTTTAAGTATTTTTTAAAAAGAGCGGTGAAATCAACTTTGGAAGAGATTTGTCAGCAATTTTTAATAAAGGTTTCAATTTAGCTGAAGCCACATATTAATATACAAATGGAACAGTTAGGCATGGTAGAGCTGCAAGGACATTGGCTTTGAAGTCAGAAGATATACACTTAAGAGTTATGTTCTACTAACTGCTGGCTGAGTGACCTCGTTAAGTCACTTACCCTGAGACTCAGCTTCCATACCTTTGAAATAGCTCTAAAGATAGCTTCGCTTCTTCCTGTCTCACAAGGATGTCTAAATGAGCAAATTAAGTAATATGGGGTGAGAGAAAGTTTTGTAAGCATAATAGTATACCGGCATATGTTATTCTATTATTAGCTATTATTTAAACTCTTTTGCTACTAGATGAGAATACAAACTTGTTAGAAAATATTCAAGAAGAGTCAATTATCAACAATACAATTTCAGCTTAAAGGACATGAATGCTTTTCAAAGGAATCATCCTGGGTCAGAAGTATTTAGTAACATCTTTAATGACACAGATGAATTTTGGGAGGAGCTCATTAAGTTACTAGTGGCACCAAGCTAAATTATCTTTTCCAAGCTTAGCAACTTAGAGAAGATAATTATACTTTTAAATGACCTTGAAAAATAAACAGAATTAATGGAAATAAAAATTTAATCAGAACAAGTGAAAAAAGGAAAAGCAAACCATACAGAAATGATGTTGAAGACGTGGTTACAGACAAATACAGCATAAAAAAAAGAATTACAGAGGATCATACATGAGTCACCAATGCCATGTTAATGTTTAAAAATGTGTTGATAATAAAGTGAAATAACTAGGATTTTAGCAAGTGGGAGTTACTAGACCATCTTCCCACCATCCTTAGGATTTTATCGTTTTGAAAAAAAAAAAAAACTTATCAAATACCTACTGCATTCAAGGCACAGTCATAGAGAAATGTGTCTGATCTGAGGCCTTAAAAATGAAGTATGGGCTCCCTGGATGGGATCCCAAGAGAAGAAGCAAAATGATTCATAGTTTGCAAACTAAGGTCTCTGAGTAAAAGTTAAAAGGATTAGGTTTATTTAGAGTGGAGCAAGGGAAAGCAGGGATGTGGAGGTTGGGCGAGATTAGTAAGTATCTAAAATTACAAGAAAGAACATATAGATAGAATAAGAGAAAATGCGTGCATCTGTCCAGGAAGAGTTTGTCTTGGGCAACGCCAAGAAGCTGCCTGCCTGAGCATTGTGAGAGTTGCACCACTTTGCCAAAGAGAGGCTTCTTGTTACCAGCATCCTGGACAATTACATGTTCGGTAAGTGCCGTTTCACGTCGACAGAAATGAAGTTTACATTTATTGAAATTTTTTGTTGCACCCAAATTTTTTTCCTAACTCAATTTATGAATGCCTTAGTGCTGTCAGTATCTTTATCTCTTCTGATTTTTCCATATTCTATTACATTATCCAAGCCAGAGGCCGAGGAGACATCCTTGATTTCTTCCTCCCACTTTCCTCCAAATGTTCAATTAAGCATGAAGCTTATTTTTGGTTACCTCCTAAATTCCTCTTAAAAGCTTTTGTCTTCTCTCCAGCACTGAGAGAATCTTAATTGTTCTTATTGACTCTTACCTAAACCATTGCAATTACTTCCTAATTGGTATGCGTGCCTGGAGTTCTGGCCCTCCCAAACTTTTCTTCCATCTACACATCCCAGTGATATATTGAAACTGTAAATCTCTACTAAACTGAGTTATTAAACAGTCTTCCCACCATGTTCAGATTGTGTTATTCTGAGAAACATTTATGAAACAACTGGATGCTTGGCACAGGTGTAAAAAGAAAAAAAAAAAAACCTCTAATTTGAGGCCTAGACCCCAGATAAGGCCTTTCTAGGTGGATTCCAAAAGAAGCAAGAGTCTTCAATAGCTCCCTTTCACCAACAAAATTAAATCCAAGATTCTTGATGTTCAAGCCCCTTGATCTGGCCCTTCCCAACACTCTGCTCCCAGCTCTTGCTTCTCTTTTTCTTACACTTACACTCCAGCAACATGTTTTTCCCATCCCCTACTTTTGTTCCTGTAGTCCCCTCAGCCTGAAAGCCTCTTCTTCTATTCTTTGCTCGGCTTGCTCTTAGGGATCCTTACAGTCTCTGCCTGGAACGTTTTCTCTGGCCCCCTGAATTAAGATACTCTGTCGGGGTTCTACTGCCCATGGGTCGCTGTCTCTTAATCACCTGTTAGTGTGACCATCTCACATAGTGAGTGAGTACCTTGAGGACAGGGACTTGGATGCATTTCTTGGGTCTCCTAAGCCCCTCTCAGAGTACCTGGTAAAGTGGATGCTGGATGGATTTTTAAGAATTTCTAAAAATGGAAGGAATGAAAGAATGAAACCATCATCAGTTCTTTTGTAAAACGTTACCAAATAATTTAAATTCTAGCAGAACCATAGTCCCTTCATGTAAGGTATGAAGCCATGATTTAACTGCGTATATCCAATAAGTCACATTAAATGTTTTTTTTCATTTCACCAGTCTAAATGGAGTTAGAACAAATGGCTGAGAACACAACAGGTATCATTCTTGAATGCAAAAACAAGACAAAGCACAAAATAGGATGACTACAGTGAGATGTTTTATTCTCCTTAGTTGAAAAGCTTAGAGTTGAAACTGGAGAAATATTAGAAATTGTACAAAATTAAAGATGGATTATTTTGACAGGATTAAACTTAGTAGAAGCCACTCTTTTTTATTTGCTACCAAATTGCGAGGTCTCACATTACTTGAGCTCTACCAACCTCTTTACTGTTACATTAGCTTGCTCCACTTTCCCCACGGCTGCTATGTACAATGCGAAGGTCATGCATTTGAGCACTCAGCCAAGGAGGTGATGGGGCCGAAATACAGCCCACATGCTGTTCAACAATCCATGTGCCCTGGTGCAGTCTGCACCCACTTTGACAAAAAGGTGCACAGAGACACTGAGTAGGCAAGCTGGGCTCTGACTCACTTCACCTCCTGTACTGATGCCACATGGACCTTCTCTCAGGCTCACCACAAAGCCTTTCACATATGCCTGTACCCCTGCCTGGAATTCTCCTTGTTCTCTTTAGCTCATCGTTCATATTTCAATTTGAGCCGCCTTTTATCAGGGAAGCCGAACGTCTATGACTGAGTAGGACAGTGCTCCTATGGTTAGTAAGCTTTCATCAAGCCATAAACCTCCCTGTCACATTTCCAGGTTGATGATTGTACAATCACTAGATGTACGGCTCTCTCACTATATTGCAAGCTCTATGAAGACAAGGATGGAGTCCATTTTTTACTGCTATTGTACCCCCAGAACACATGGCAAAGGTTAAATAAATGATTGTGGAATTAACAAATTAATTCACACAGAGCACATGGGGCACATAAATTTTGTTGAATGATTGAATTGCTGTATTTCACTCCCAAGTGATTTAGCTGATATTAAAAATAAAATAATAAAAATCAAGTATAATATTCTAATTCCTCTACACACTTTGGACATGATTGGCTTTTGATTTGGTTTGTTTCATCATTTCATAATGATCTTCATCTTCATCTTCAAGGTTTAGTGTTAGGGGAATAAATCAATACTTGATTTTAGCATCTTAAAGGTCAGAAACACAAAGTTTAGTTATTTAATCATCTGTCAAATCAGCAAAAGTTTAATGCTTTATGTACATGCTTTCTATACAATTTGTTGGAATAAAAAATTAATGCTTTATTAAATAGTGAAGATAATATGAACTTTCAATAATGCAGACAGGTTGATTATAACTGTAAACCACATGCTTATATACTTCGGACTTTTACAGCTTTTAATTTATCAAAGGAAATAATTAGCACACTTTGTGGCAGCTAGTGATGGAATTTATTCATTTGGAAGGCCATGGGTTTCCTGTCATTAAAACTACATCATGTCCTTCCTTTTCTATTAAACTTCCACTGAGGGCAGTAAGAAGTCACTAAAAGGAAATGAAGAGTCTTTTTGGCAATGTTTTTGTACAATGATTTAATACTCTTAAAAGATAGCAAACCCATAATGTATGCCAACAAGTATATTATATAAGATGAGGGGCCCAATTACCACATTATTTCCTTTATTTGAAGTTTCATCTGAGACTCAATTAACTGTGATTTGCAAACTCTTGTCAATAAATTTAGTTTCTTTTTACAGGTTAATGCATTTTTTTGTTTTCATTAGTAATGTTTCACTCTAGCAAAGGAATAGATTTAGATTCCATAACCACTGTATACAGTTTTATATGTCAAAGGATATTACTTTCCTCTCCACATGATCAATGGCATCTCATTAGCCAGAGAATCATTGTAGTTAAAGCTCACACATATTTTTTTTCTCACTGAAAGGATTTTCAGTGAGATTAACTACTAATTCTAATCTTTCTTCTGCTGAGATAGTACTAAGGTTTGATCTTGACTTTGTTCCAAATATTAGAACCATAGCTGTTAATAAATGCTCTCTGGTTTGGGAAGGTTTAAATGAAATCCTTGTTTTCCTAAGGCTTAAAATGGGCCGGACAGAGAGGCGGATTTAGCCTCTCACCCCTAGAAGTGGGTGGTCCTTTGAAGCTATACTCAAGGTACACTGTTGGTGAAGGTTTAGTCTCAGTTCTCTGACAAAGTTGGTGCAGGTGAAGGGGACTTCACATAGTACGTGAAGGGTTATTTGGCTTGACTATAAACAAACAGTTGGTGAAAATGCTTCAGACAAGTTCATAAAGTCCTTTTGCCTGACATATGCTAAGAAACAAAAATGCCCTTAGTTCTTGAAATCACCAAAACGGATAAAACAACAACACCCTGAAAACTCTGTTAATTCATAAGCAGAAAACAAAAAAAAAACCTTCAAATTTTACCCCAGTCTTTAGGCTATCCCATTATAATTTTATCTGGACAAGAACAATGTAGTTATTGATAGTACATCAATTTGTTTCAGACTAGTTGTAGATTTACAGAAATGTTGTAAATAGAGTACATAGAGTTCCTTTCACAAAGTTCCTCCCATCGTTACCATCTTACATTACTACAGTACATTTGTAAAACTAAGAAATTGACTTTAAGCATGTTAATTTTAGGAAATAATAAATAAAAAATAAAAATAAATTTTGTAATGTTTGTAAGTTTCTTTTTTTAAAAAAAAAAAAATGGCTCCGCATTAGTACAGAGGACCTTTTACTGAATTTCTAAGGATAAGTCCATTTCAACACTGTTTTGTCTGAGCCACTTAAACCAGGTACTGATATTGCTGCTGAGTTTGCAAATTAAGATGTAAGATCAGAGCTTGGTGAGATTGTCATATTGTCTCCTTTAATTTGGAAAACTAGAACGAGGCTAGAGAGAGACTCGTAAAACAGGCTTTACGACTCTCTTCAAGACAGATATAGAAGCCCACACTCCAATCCCTTCTCCCAGCTTCTGCAATTACATTTCCGCAGGAAGAAAGAAAAGGAATTAGAAACAGGATAATGTAGTCTTAAATCACCATTTTTAGCCTTTGCCTTCTTGTGGGAGCTCTGAATTTTTATAACATGGCCCTCATATTGTATAGTGTGACACAACGAAAAACACAACTTGACCCTTCCTCAATAAAAATCATTTTGTCTGACATCCTATAAACCCTGTGCATGAGTCTATCCTAAGCTCCAGTGTCTCCTCCAATTGGCAAAAGAAAACATTGTAAACATGTACAGTAAAGCTAAAGATCTCTTTCAGTGTAGTTTACAAAGAGCTAATCATTGAACATTTCTGGCTGGGTGTCAATTCCTAATACTGAACCAGCTGAAAATGTGGAACATTGGGACATTAGAGATAGTCTTGAGTCATTTGAGTTGTCTCAGGATTCTTTTTAAGTAGTCTAAGAATTAGAATATTAAAATTGAAATATTCTTATTAGAATAAGAATGTAATGTGATCAAGTCTTTAGACCAAATCTGAACTGCACTGGTAACAGCCTGCTTCTAACAGAAAGCTGTGTATCTTGACGTCATTAGAAGTGGATGTTGGGTGTAACACATTACAGTGTTTTTCCACAGAAAGCACATGATAGCCACAAGCTTTCACCATCACCTCTTATCTTGGGCATCAGCAGCGCCAAGAAAGCTAGCCCTGCGTGTCTGAATGCACGTGGGAGGGGATTCACAATCTCTACTCCCACTGACTTTGATAAGACAAGTCCTGATGAGATCAAGAGTTAGGAGGATTCATGACTCACAGCTAGTTTAGCACATATGCAGCTTCTCCAAGTATTTGCACTGTATAATTCCAATCAATGAATACAAAGCTAACATGAACACGAACATATGCTGTGACTATTTTTAATAAAATATTTCATAGCACCTTGGCACACAATATCCTGAGGTCTGCAAAATTTAATGAAAGTCAAAGATAATAGCCCAAGGTATTTTGCCCCTCGTTTCCAAGTCCTATTTCTAAAGTCAGAAAGAGAGATTTTGCCCTTCAAAATGAAGAGAAATAATTATATATTCTGTGATATAATTAAATACTACATCTAATTACCACGTGAATGTCGCTACCTAATGTAACCGACAAAGGCACCAATATATGTTTCAAATGAAGACTTTACATACAAGGAAATGCTATAATCTGTATCTTGTTCACGAGTTGAAATTATTAAGTTAATTATAATTAAATAAATATGTAATTATTTTACAATTAAAACAGAGTGTTAATCAAAGATAGGAAATTTGGGTTTTAACGTACCTCTGCTATTCTAGATGTGTAGTCTTAGATTCATTCCCAAATGTTCTATGCCTCAGTTTTCTTCTCTGACAGATAGATGAAGAGAGAAGGAGGGACAAACAGAGAGATAGAGGTATTAACAATAGCTACTTTGAATTGCTGGAATTAAACCTAAATTTCCACCATCTATATATTCTGAAATCAGATACTATGTAGCAAAATCCAGGGACACAAACAAACAAACAAAAATTTCTTTTTTACTTGTATCACAGGAAATACATTAAGAAACCAAATCTAGTTTGGTTTACACCAAAGTGTAAGTTAACAGAAATGCAAGTTTCCTAAGCATTTTAGTCCTACATAATAATATAATATACTATAAAGCATTTACGTTATGTTTACAATGGCTAATTCTCTAAACTGACAAAAATGGATCAGTCTTTTTCTGAACTATGAAATACTGACATTTGCTGTCTCTGAATACTTATGCATAAAACTCAATGTTTTAAAACTTGTAAAATATTTAAAATATGGAATTTAAAGTTATTTTCACATAAACTGATGTGATCCACAGTTCCTAAAGCATGCTGTTTATCTGTCTTAAAGGAAAAGAAAACAGTCTTTCATCAATTATGGTTAAGGATCCCCAAACTGAAACACATGTGGCTAAACGCCATTCATATCACCAGCCCACACCAGTCTGGTGGTGGGGGAGAGAAGGAAAAAGAGGAGATAAATGGCCTACATGATTGATTTCAACTAAGACCCAAATCTTGGAGAACAATTATTGGATTTACCACTGTTTGTTTTTGCAACATTTCGGAAATCGGCAAAAAAAAAAAAAAAAGTTTACAAAGTCGAAGAGGCATGTGGCAGCTAAGAAGTTGTTTCCTAGGTAAGTGATGTTTTTTTTCAAAAACTTCTTTTCTTAATTTACCTTTACTGGTACTAGGCATTGGAAATCATCCTTGGTGAAATTATCAGTCATGAAATTAACAATATGATGGTGCAAAATATTGTCAGTGCGTGTTTCCCAAATATATATGTGTGTGTGTGTGTGTGTGTGTGTATACATATGATACATATTTCCAAGCTCTAGTATTATTTAGAAGATTTTTTAGATTATCTGAGCTTACATGTACCTTTAATTATCAGACTTTAAAAAAAAACAGAACCAATCCATTTTGTCCAAAGAGAGGGATTATGTCTAATTAATATATCAACATGTCTCTTTCTCCTAAAACTGACAAATGCTAAATGCTTTATCAGTCTGGCACCAAAAATGATGTTGTCTCTGAATTTTCCCAGACTGCCTTGTCTGAAAAGCTACATGAAAAGGTTTAATGATCATATATTAGGTTGGAACTTTAACCTTCTTTGTACCAGGTCAATTGAGTAGGTAATTGGAAAAGTCAGTTCCACTTGTAATGCATTCAAAAGGAAACTTACATTTACACAGAATGTAGTTTTCAGTCATAGAAATAGTGTGAGGCTCTAAAGAAAAACAAAACAAAATACAACACAATAATTCTGCATATAGCTTTTCATTTATTTAATTGTATTAAGGTTAAAATACTAAAAAAGGAATAAAAGGCACAGATCAGAAGAAAACTTTTTATAAATTCACTAGTCTCTTCTGAAAATAGGAAAAATTAAATTTAATTGAAAATTAAATATAAATAATTGTTATTGAGAGTTGATTTTTGTGCCTGGCATCGTGTGAAACTTTTCACAAAAATAATGTCATAAAAATCCAGTAAAGGCTGGGCGCAGTGGCTCATGCCTGTAATCCCAACACTTTTGGAGACCGAGGTGGGCGGATCAAGAGATCAGGAGTTTGAGACCAGCCTGGCCAACATGGTGAAACCCTATCTCTACTAAAAACACAAAATTAGCTGGCCTGCTGGCACATGCCTGTAATGCCAGCTACTCGGGAGGCTGAGGCAAGAGAATCGCTTAAACCTGGAAGGTGGAGGTTGCAGTGAGCTGAGAGTGCGCCATTGCACTCCAGCCTGGATGACAGGGTGAGACTCCATCTCCAAAAAAAAAAAAAAAAATCCAGTAAAAGGAAGGGTTCTTATGACCATATGATAGGTAATACCTGCACAGCGGAGAAGTTAATAGTGTAGACTTGGTGCCAGCTACCATGCTTTCAACTACCACGCTTTCAACTACCACTTATTAGCTATCTAGCCTTGGGCAGATTAAATAACCTCTCAGTATGTCAGATTTTTCCATCTCTGAAATGGAAGTGATATCCGTGCTTCCCTCAGAGGGATGTTGTGAGGAACAGATACAATTGCGGGCATACAGATGTTCTATAGAAGTATTTTTTGTTATTATTTTACAGACCATGAGACAGAGGCTAAAAGAGGCTTTAAAACTTGCTCCAAATCACAGAGTTAAATGACAGGACAGAGGTCCGGGCATCTCTGCCCTCCAGGAGCCTATAGATTAGCAGGAAAAGCAAGGAAGAGAGAGAGGAATGCACAGCTCTAACTGCTTTAGGAGTGGGACATAGGGGCTTTCCAGCGTGCTGAAGAATGAAGTAATAGAGGGGCTTTTGATTCAACAGGGACTGCCTGGAGGGAAGAGCAGGAGTTGGGTATATTTGCCAGACAAGGGCACTAGCACAGCTGGTGCATGACGGGCCAAGTCACTGCAGATTTGGGAACTGTAACTGAAGGCAGCAGTCACCTGCAGTACTGACCATGTTTTCTCTGGGGCCATTGGAATGTTGCTGAAGCAAGAGATGGGACCTGAAAAATGCAATTCTCTTCTAAAATTTGTAGCATTTGAAACACATACACCTATCATTGTAGATAAGTTCTTTTATGTGTAATATATATGGTAATTTAAAAATATATGTGAAAAGAGATAATCAGGCTTCTTATGCTTTTCTGCTTGGTGCTACATAAATACTGTTTAAAGTAATCTGAAAGGCAAATTATGTTAATAGTAAAAGGATTTAGATTTCACTGTCTTTTATGACAATCTTTTACTTGCCTTTATGACAATGTCTTTTACTTTTATTACAATCTCTGTTTTCAAATATTTAACAATTGAGAAAATTTTCTAGCTTGAAGGGTTCACAATTGTATAATAGTCCTCACATTCTTTGGTAAATATGACTAAATTAGTAAATATGAAGTAAGTAATATACCAGACCCAATAACTGGCAACCAGATTGTTAAATTGTTAAAGGAAATAGAGTCTTTTATTGTTCTCATTGCTTTCAGGATACAAACAAAATTCCAATGTACAGCCAGTAAGGTCTGACATGACCTGGCCCTGGCAATCTCTATAGCCACATTAAGCACCTTTTCACCCAACCCCCTGCAGCCTCACCATAGCAACCACCATTCAGTTGGAGGCCCTTTCCAGCCACAGGGCCCTTGAACATACTACTCCCTCTGTTTGGAGTACTCTTTTTCTCTACCTGTACCATCTCCTGTCAGTCTTTCAGATCTCAGCTCAAGTGTCACTTGCTCAAGAAAGTCTTTTGCAAATCATCAGGAAAAACAAACAAAACACAACAAAAACCTCCTAGGTCAAGTGGTTTTCTTCTCCTTCCTTCTTCCGTTCCTCTTCTTTCTTTTTCTTCCTCCTGTTCTTCCTCTTCTTTCTTTTTTAACGTGTTCTAACAAAATTCTATCCTATTCCTTTTTTCATTCGGTAAACATGGACTTATAGCAATTATTTGGCTGCTCAATACCCTCCTATGCACTGAGAATATAACGTGAGGAAAATAAGAACACTCCTGATTCAAGGTCTCCTTCATTCATTTGAATCACATCTTCTCCTTGACTAGCTTGTAAGTTCCCTGGCATGCAGCAAGGGACAATGTTGGTGTTATTCTCATTGTTGTTTCCCCAGAATCTTGCAGAGTCTGGCTCGTAGGTAGTACCAAATAAATATTTATTCAATAAACTTAAAATGAATAAATAAGAATAAAATGTAAAGTTAAACTACATACTCTAAAAAAATGATTTAAGGGAGTATAAAACTACAAATCCAGAAAGCCTTCAAACCTAAGGCAAAGAGGGCTGTACACTCACCTGAGGAGGCTCTTCCATATCTAGACCTTACAAGTATCCCAATCAGGCACACGGTAAACTCTTACTCAACAGAAGCCAGAGGGAAAAATTCTGAGGCCTTAAGGGCACTAGGAAACACTGTTAAACTTCCCAAAAATAAGTTAGGAAACAGACAGAAAGAGACAGATCCTCTAAATAATGTTTTCTGATAAAATATGCAATGATTAATTTATGTATTTTTAAATTCTTTTATTTTTAATTTTTATGGTTGCAATATAATTGTGTGTATTTATGGGGTACATGTCAAACTTTGATGCAAACATACAATGTGTAATGATCAAATCAAGGTAATTGGGATATTCATCACCTCAAGCATTTTTTTTTTTTTTGTATTAGGGACATTCCAATTCCACTGTTTTAGTTATTTGGAAATATACAATAAATTATTGTTAACTATAATTACCCTATTGTGCTATTGACTACTAGATCTTGTTCCTTCTATCTAACTGTATTTTTATACTCATTAACCGTCCCCTCTTTATCCCCTCTTCCCCACTATCCTTCCTAGCCTCTGGTGACTATTGTTCTACTTTCTATCTCTAAGAGTTCAATTATTTTTAAGCTCCCACTTAGGAGGGAGAACCTGCAAAATTTGTCTTTCTGTACCTGACTTATTTCATTTAATATAATGTCCTTTACTGCCCTCCATGTTGTTGCAAATGACAGAATTTCATTCATTTTATGGCTGAATAGTACTCCATTGTGTGTGTGTGTTTGTATGTGTGTATACACACATAATTTATCACATCATCAATATATTTTGAATATATATATTTATATATAACACATTTTAGTCATTGATCTGCTGATGGACACTTAGAGTGATTCTATATCTTAACTATTGTGAACAGTGTTGCAATAAACATGAGACTGCAGATATCTCTTCTATATACTGATTTTCTTCCTTTTGGATATATACTTAACAGTGGCATTGCTGGATCATATAGTAGCTCTAGTTTTAATTTTTTGAGGAACCTCCAAACTGTTCTCCGAAGTGGTTGTACTAATTTACATTCCCACCAACAGTGTACAAGGGTTTCCTTTTGTCCACCTCCTTGCCAGCATTTGTTATTCCCTGTCTTTTGGATAAAACCCATTTTAACTGCAGCAATTTACTAATTTAATAATTAGTTGTTTGTCACCTTTTATGTCTTAGGCACTCTGTTGATGTTTCAGGAGAAACTGTGGTTTCAAGGAGCATAGCAACACTGCCTTACCTCTCTTTCTCTTAATTCTTAGCATGGATCTACCTGTACGGTTTATTACAGTATGGCAGACCCTCGCAAACTCCTATCACAATGTCTGATACACAACAGATCAATAAAATATTTTGTTGAAAAACACATTGGCAGTTTCCAAAAATAATGCTGGAACCTAACTTTAAGAATATTAAGAAGATTAATTCCGGAAATATTGTCAATTCATTTATCATTAAAGGAGTTTTATCTCTCAGTGAATTTTTCTTCTCTGTTTAGGGATTTAAAGAAAAAAAATTTTTTTTGCCTCCTACTATGAGGTAGCACAAGGGACTCCATGAAAAATCAGATGAAGATCTCTTCTCTGATTGTCTTGCACACAGCCAGGCTCCATGGAGACATGAACCCTTTCTGTCTGTCTTGACCCTTTATTTGTCCCTTTATTCCAGCCACGGCACTATGCCTGCCCTGGCTTAGGGGTCTGTCACCCAGGAATCCCGGCAATCAGCTCTCTACTTCAGAAGGGACACACATTCTCCAGATTTGTGTTCTTTTAGAATCTTCAACTCTTAGTCATTATCTGTTCCACTTTTACTTTTGATAAAAATGAAACCAATCTGAATAAAGATGAAAAAGGAATATCAAAGAAAATCTCTAGACTTACAATAAAATATTAAAAACAAATACTGCTTCTTGCTCTATCCCCAACTCATGGCCATACCCTACCCTTCCATTGCTATCTCTAATATTTTTGTGTTCTTTTTATAATAGACAGATAAGCTGAGCAAAAAACACATTTCTCATGTGTATGCATATTTTGCTACTTGCATTTGTTACTATATTCAAAAATAGTATTTTTTACATTTATTTTTAAATAAAATAAACAAGTGAGGACATATGAAAAAATCTAGTACAAAGTAAAATGAAAAATATTAGATTAGATTAATATTCATTAATTAGAATGAAGTTGACATAAAGATCATGAAAAAAGCAAAAGCTGAATAATGAGTAAATAGCCCATAGAAAATATTATGAAAAATACTTCAACTATATCAAGTACCAAAGGTCAGAATCAAACAAGAGGCTCTCTGAAAAATGACAAGGCCCATTTACTGATAGAAGAGAAATCACAGATATTGTTAAAATTAAATTAATCAAGAAGGACAAAAAGCCAGAGCCAAAAACAGATGTGAGTTTTTTAAACCAGAAAACAGACATGGAAAGTATGAAAATCAGGATCATAACAAACACAGTAATGAAGAATTCAGAAGCTAAAATGCAAATCATTCCCTCATTCAAATCCAAACATTTCTCTATAATACAAAGAGAATAAAACAAAAATAAAGTACCATAGGCAGAAACAAAGCTCTAGAAAGAAATTTATTACTGTATTCTAGCATAAATACGCAAATTTTTGACCACATGGAATTACACAGAAGTATAGAATTTGATTAGAATCATAACAGCTAATACAACAGAATGTTTCTGTGAGTACTGGTAGCATTAGAATAGTGTCTATATCGATAAAGTTCAGCAGTCTTCTTATAACTGGATTTTGCAACCACAGTCTACATCAACACCTACAGGAGATGAAGAATGAACTCATTTTTGATTTGTGCATGTGTGTGTCTCTGTCTGTGAGTGTGTATGTGTGTGTTTAGTTTTTAATTTAAATATATTCACTTGAAAGTTTACTTGATAAACTAATTTCAAGTTATAAAAAGGTCACTTCTTAAATCACAATAAAAATGTGCCTGATAATTCTCCAAGAATACCACTAAACATATCTTTTTTTTGCACTTTTAAAAGTTATTCCCTTGGCAAATTTAGAGATTATCTTTCCCACTTTTCCTTGAAGTTGACTACCTTCTTACTTGAGTAGAAAACCCTTCCCATTATATTTCATGTATTTTCTGAAAAGAGAGGCAGATTTGGAATAGGTTAAATCTATACATGTTCTGATTTATAGTAACTGTAACTAAAACTTCTAAAAACTCATGTATTTTGAATAGGATTTTAACGTATATTTTAGCAGAGAATCATTCAGTTTGCATGAAACAAAAGAAAGAAATGTATTTAATACAAATGCAAGTTTAAGAAAAAAAGATTGTTTCACAAAATAAATTCCTGAGTATTTCATAATAGAGATAGTATATATTAGATCAGACCACGTTGGTCTTGCTGTATTAAAGTCAAAATATCTTCATATTTAAATACAGAGGAGTTGACAAGGAAATGAGAGTAGGGACCTATATTATAAATTTTGTGAGCCTTAGTAAAAAGACCAGAATGATTTTAAGTTATTGAATGCAACTCATAGACTGAGACAAGGCTTGTGAAACGTCAATGAAAGTGAAGTTCTCTAAGTCAATTCTTAATAAAATAATAAACAAAACAGAGAAGGGTATATTTAACCAATATTAGCATAAAAAGCAAACAAACTTTTCTAACTTCAAAGATCACCTTTCCCAGTAGTATTTTCACATATAACAATTGACATATGGAAGGAAGATGGCTTTTACCACTTAACTACAGGAGAAAGAAAAAAAAGATTGAATATGCTATCACTTGACTGAGAATTGAAGAGTCAAAGAATTCAAAAATGCCATACTTTTCATTTCTTAACTAATTTCTTTCCATTTGCTCCAGATACTACTGCATTTATGAGAAATTATAGGAGATTCATTCAAATGTTCCTTCATTATTCTTCAATGACAGATGAGCTACAGGGACATAGCAGAAAGGATGTGGTAAATCTGAGAGAATCATAGATTAGTAGAGAATAAAAAAATAGCACACAGAGTTCCAGAAAACACAGAACAGGTCAGGTCTGACATGGATCCTTTAAGCTGCCCTCAACATGCAAAAAAATGAGATACTTGTACTTAACACTTACAGTCCTAGTTTTGAACCAAATTGTGTTGTGTTTTGCCTTGTGGTCAGTCTCAAATTTTTATTGCCATCTCACTCTTCTAACTACTGCCATCGTTTTCTTAGCCATGATCTTGGCTCTTTGGAATATAAATCTGGGCAGCTCTACAGCTATGCTTACCTAGATCATGTCTGCAAATAGCCTTTAGATTTGTCTCTGCCAAGGGGACCCTGCCTGTCTAACAGGGCCCAACAATGGCAGTCCTACTATTTATTTCTTTATCAAATATTTATTGAACATGTATTAGGTGGCAGGCGCTGTTCTAGCCACCAAAGAAACAAAAGCACCCATGTCATATTTAAAACAGACTAACTATAGAATTAGAGCAAGAACTAAAATTAAATATCTATAGATTTCTTGTCAACATCTAGACTTAATTCACTTCTTCTGTCCTATGTGTTCAATAAAAAAGTAATATTTTGAAAGTGGTTTGCTGGCCATTTCTCAAGAACACAGATAAATATTTATTGTGGATACTAGAATAATAGTGAGAAGTATTAACCTATGTGTTCTCCCATGCCCCCCCACCCACCTCACCTCAACCCAGAAGGCTAGATTATTTCACTTTGGTAGCTTGACAGACCCCAGTATATAAAAGAAGGTTGATTCTTGACTTTTGAACTTCAAAAGCTGAAGTCTTGTCATGCATACCCACATGTCTGGAAACAAAGGTAATACTAACGATATATTTACAAATTGAAAATGTCTTTGATAATATTATTCATGAGTTGCCCAGGTTTCTAGTCCTTATGGGTACCTTGGAGATTTAGAAGATTGTTTACTAAGCTGGATGTTTCTCCCTTGCCTTGGGAGAGGTAAAATCCCTGGATGAAATAATGAGATGTTTAGTTAGAAATAATATCATAAGATGCTGATGAATGATCTTAAATAAGGTTTGAGAGATCTGAAACTAGAGGATACCTGTGCTTAACTTTATAGGAGAAGCCAAGAGAGAGGGCATGACTCATGTTGTCAGGATTTTTGAATTCTTGCCTATTATAGGGTAAAAGCAGTGGATTAAAATGGTGGCATGATGTGATTTGGACAAGAAGACTTCATATTGCTCTATGGATATAAACTTGGAGACCAGGGTAGACTGAACTCAAGACTCTGAATTTACTGAGGGACGTGCCAGTGAGGGGAGTAAAGTTTACTTTGAGTTGATGATGATTTAATTTCTTCCATGAAGTGAAATAAGTGCAGTGTGAAGTTATGTTATAGAAAAATAGGCCTGGCGCAGTGGCTCACACCTGTAATCCCAGCACTTTGGGAGACCGAGGTGGGTGGATCACAAGGTCAAGAGATCGAGACCATCCTGGCCAACATGGTGAAACCCCGTCTCTACTAAAAATACAAAAATTAGCTGGGCATGATGGTGCATGCATGTAGTCCCAGCTACTTGGGAGAATCGCTTAAACCCGGGAGGCAGAGGTAGCAGCGAGCCGAGATCACACCATTGCATTCCAGCCTGGCAACAGAGTGAGACTCCGTCTCAAAAAAAAAAAAAAAAAAAAAAAAGAAAGTTATACGTGAGTTTGTGGTCTGAAATAGCATACCTACAACATGCAGTAAGAATCGTGTTACACTTCACAAGACATTTATAGCTGAATGAAAAAGAGAATTTACAATAAAATGAAGAACTCACACAAACCTTAAAGAATGAGGCATCTGTAGGTGCTAAAAGACCAAAAGTTAAATTAAAAAATGATAACAATAAAGGCGCACTAAAATAAGTGCATATTTTTTGGTGATATAAATTGATACAAACTCCCACAATAATTCGATTCTATTATAAATAATAGAAAATATATACAAATCTGTTTATATGAAAATGTTTATTATGTCATTATTTATAATTACCTACAAATTGAAGCACTATGGATATCCAGCAACAGGGAGCTAAACTTCTATTTCTGATGAGGTATTATATATACAAACATTAAAAATTATGGGTTTTAAAGCTATGAGATAATCATGGAAAACTATTTATTAAAGAAAGTAGTTGAAAATAGAATAAAATATATACTAAGTATATAAGAAACGTAAAATACATACTATATTATATATTTATTATATATGTATGTGTACATATATATATTATATACGTATGTGTACATATATATTCATTATATACGTATGTGTACATATATATTCATTATATACGTATGTGTACATATATATTCATTATACACGTATGTGTACATATATATTCATTATACACGTATGTGTACATATATATTCATTATACACGTATGTGTACATATATATTCATTATACACGTATGTGTACATATATATTCATTATACACGTATGTGTACATATATATTCATTATATACGTATGTGTACATATATATTCATTATATACGTATGTGTACATATATATTCATTATATACGTATGTGTACATATATATTCATTATATACGTATGTGTACATATATATTCATTATATACGTATGTGTACATATATATTCATTATATACGTATGTGTACATATATATTCATTATATACGTATGTGTACATATATATTCATTATATACGTATGTGTACATATATATTCATTATATACGTATGTGTACATATATATTCATTATATACGTATGTGTACATATATATTCATTATATACGTATGTGTACATATATATTCATTATATACGTATGTGTACATATATATTCATTATATACGTATGTGTACATATATATTCATTATATACGTATGTGTACATATATTCATTATATACGTATGTGTACATATATATTCATTATATACGTATGTGTACATATATATCATTATATACGTATGTGTACATATATATTCATTATATACGTATGTGTACATATATATTTAAATTACTTTTATATTATAACTGTATTTCCATCTATTTTTTACTTTTCCATATTTTAGTATCTCTCCCCATACAGACCAACTCCAAGCCTATTAGTTTATGTTTTCATCATTGGGCCTTCTTTTGATATTAAGTGACTTAATGCTATATAAATATTAAAGATATAGCTAATCCATAATTTTATGTAATTTTTTTACTTCATATTCAATATCCTCCTTAATCACAAGTGGTACTGGCTACAGGAATGCATTACTGCACCAGTTTAGTGACACTCAAATCTCTTTATTGCTTCAAACCAGTACCCTAGAATGTTTTGTTTTTCACATAAAATTTAGATTTTTTTAAATCTCCATATGAAACATGCTGAAATTGCCTATGTAAAAAGCTTGCTAAGCCTAGGCCTATGCAGTCAGCATACAGTTCTAAATATCATAAACACATTCTCCCATTTAAAAAGAGGAGCAAATGCTCTGTTCTTGAAATTAAATAAAAGCCACTGTCAGTATCTTCAACAAGGTAATGAAATAATTTGTTACCAGGTTCTAACAAACCTTTAAAGTGTATTTACAGATTGAAGATTAGGCAAAATCCAGCCCACAGAAAACAAATGCACAATAATTTGAACCCGGAGTGATGACATTTAATGTCATTCAAGACAGACTAATCTTTGTCAAGAGAAAAAAAATGGTTTTACATAAATCTGAATGTTCCTGAATGAATGCTGGCTTGAAAACCTGATAAAAATTACTCAACCTTATATAAAGACAAGAGCTTATTGTTGCAAAATCTTACGAAGGAAAAACATGTTTTGAATGATTTTATTGTCGGTACCATGGATTCAGAAGCAACTGTACCATTTTTCCTTGGGTGAAAAACATGTTTTTAAACTTGATTTTTTAAAAATCTCAATTTTTGCTGGGCACAGTGGTGCATGTCTTTAGTCACAACTAATCAATAGGCTGACTCAAGAGGAACACTCGAACCCAAGAGTTCAAATCTAGCCTGGACAACATAACAAGACCCTGTCTCTTAAAAAAAAAAAACAAAACTGATTTTTAAAGTACATATTTATGTAAGAAATATTTAAAGATATATAAAAGCAAAATTAAAATAAAAATGATTCATAATACCACAAAAAAAGTTGTTAACATATTGCCTTATATTTCTAGAGATTTCTCAAAATTTTCTGAACTATTAAATTATACTATGCATACTAATTTATAAACTTTTTAAAGACATCATAAGAGCATTTTCACATATCACTTACTTTTCAGATTTATTTTTAATGACAACATACTTTATATGATATAAATACCTATATAATTTATTTAATCAATAGGCTACATTGAGACATACAGGATGTTACCAAAATTCGTATTTCAAAAAAATAAACATTTTTATGGTTTGGTTATAGTGGTAGTTAATTGAAAATAGAAGGCAATTATTTTAATTTCCCTTATATCATTCAAAATTTCAGACTTTTAGATAAAGCATTATTTAAATTAAATAAATGCCTATAAAACATATTTTGTTAATTCTTTTATCATTCTAGACTCAATAATAAGTGATAATTATGATTTATTGAGGACCTTTTTTGAGCCATTTATTTGTATACATGTGATCACTACATTCCTCAAATTGTTGGTCCATAAACAGAAGCCTCCCATTATCTTCAGAAAGAACTTTCTTAAGATGAAAGCTTATTCTAGCTTTCCAATGGATTTAAGGTACACAATTAAATGGGTCCCATATGAAACTAAAGTTTTGCCTACAAATTTTACTAATTCCTATGCAGAAGTCCATAAACCAGAAGAGGAAAGTATGGAGAAAAATTGTGATAAAGGGCTCAGTGTTTTTTTTTTTAAGATGATATTTTTAAGTAAAGAAAAAAAAGCTAACGAAGATGGAAATTGACTCTTAAAGCTCTATGCCTCAACTTTTTTTTCACTTCAAAGTCCCTTAAGTCTGAAAATTTCACTTTCTACTCAAAATTTTTAAATGCTTTTAGTTTCATTTCTAAGCCATCACAAATTTCAGAATATCAGAAACAGTGATGGACAGGACTGTCACTAACAGCAGAGTCCAAGTAATTCACATCATCCATTCTTCTGCCAGACTTCCAAGGCAAACCCCAGCCTGGCACCTTTGTCATGTCCAATCTATGGCGCCAACTTCCTCCCTTAGGCACACTCCTTCATTGTCCCCCAAAAGTCTATTTTTTCAAATGCCAAGTAATGTGAATGTTTGTTATGGCAATAACTCAATACACATGTTCTGCTTCTCTTTCTCCAGTGTTCCCAAGATAACTTCAACCCCCTTCTAACTCTTCAGCCTTCACACCTGAGACATAGATCTAAGACATCACAAATTTGCAAACTACTAAATTTAATGAAGAAACAGCAGGTAGAAGATGAAAGCTGTTGCTGAGGAAACACAAACCTAAAGACCCAATTTTTCCCCTACCCAGGAAAGTTATTAGGGTAGACTCAAGGAATTTAAAATAGAAGAGAGTTTAGGAATGACAGTGATTGAAAAGGAAAGAAAGGTGCTATGGTTTGAATGTATCCTCCAAAGTTCATGTGCTGAAAACTTAATCCCCAGTGCAATGGTGTTGAGAGGTGGAACTTTTAAGAGGTGATTAGGTCATGAGAGCTCTGCCCTTATGAATGGATTAATATAGTTATCACAGGAGTGGGTTTGTTCTTTTGAGAGTGGTTTTGTTATTGTAGGTTTTTTATAAAAGGACGTTCAGCCCTGTCTTGCTCTCTCTTCATGTGATGCCTTTTACCACGTTATGATGTAGCAAGAAGGCCCTCACAAGATACCAGCTCCTCAGTCTTGGATTTCCCAACATCCAGAACCATGAAGCAAATATGCTTCTATTGTTTATAAATTACCCAGTCTGTTAGATTCTGCTGTAACAACACAAAACAGACTAAGACAAAATGATTATATGCACGGCCTCTCCCATCTCTTCAATAGGTTCCTCGTGGAAAGGGGATCGCCAAGAGAATCTCACTGGATATTGAGGACTGACACTGTATATAAGAAACTAGTCTCTGCTTCTTGTTTCTTTTGCTAAGCCAACCTTACCCAGCACTGCCAGACTTCATAGAGGTAG
Organism: Homo sapiens; assembly: GCF_000001405.40. Classification (NCBI taxonomy): domain Eukaryota; kingdom Metazoa; phylum Chordata; class Mammalia; order Primates; family Hominidae; genus Homo; species Homo sapiens. The sequence continues at coordinate 173,864,109 of NC_000004.12, read as the reverse complement.
CATGTGGCATAGCAAGATGGGAGAGAGTACAGCTCACCCTTGGTTTCCTGAGGTGCCTTGTTTGGTATGGTGGTAATTCCTAGGTCTCTTGTGGGCCTAGAGAAGGCTATAGAAAGTAGTAGAAGGAATAAACTGGCCTGACAGCACCCAACTCCCCAAAAATGCAATACTGTAGAGTAAAGTTACCTCACCAGCATAGTCTGTGGGGTGTAGAATGGATCCTCCCACTGGACAGTACACCACTGTGCCCCTATAGGATCATCCACCACAGAATCCACAGAGGTGAGATGGTGAGGTGGTGGCCATCTAGAAGCTCTAGGAATATCTCATGTGGCAAATTAAATGAACTCAAATCGCACATCATCTACAGTGAAGGAGCCAATTGAGTATCAAGAGTTTTCTGCTCTTTTCTCTGGCCTGCACCTGGTCTTGTAGGCACATGTTTTGCCCACCTCACCTTCATCCCTGTCTTCTCTCCCTTTCTGGTCACTTTGGGATTATTCCCACATGGACCCTGTTAAATTAGTGGTAAGACAAAGATGAAAGGTTAAGACAGACTCTGACAACAAGACAAAGCTCAGATAAGGAACTGTGAACAGACAGATATTTTTCTACTTGGACTGAATAGATGGAAATTAGTCTAATTGGACTGAATAGTTCACCCAAAGAATATTGTTTAAATCAGAAGAGATTAAAATACTTCAGATCATCTCTATGACTTCTACTGATGAGCAGAAATGAAGGCTTGTGCTAGACAGTTTTTAAGTTACCCTCATGATGCCTGCCTCCTGGTGTTCATGCCTGTATGATCCTCTCCTCTCAAGGGTGGGTGACTTGTGACTTGCTTATATCCAAGAGAATACAGCAAAGATGAGGGAGTGTCACACTTATGGTTATGTTACATTATATTACTAACTTGCTAACAGATATTTTAGAGTATCTCTTTCCCTCCATTCCTGGCTTTGAAGAACCAAGATGCCATGAATCCCATAGCGACAAGGAATTGAATTCTGCCAATAGCCTGACTGACCTTAGAAGTGAGCTCTTCACCAATCGAGCCTGCAGATGAGAAACCAGTCATGGGCTACACCTTGATTGAACCCCATAGAAGACCCAGAAACCTGCTCCCACAGAAATTGTGCAATAATAAATGTGTGTGGTTTCAAGCTGCTAAATTTGTGATTTGTGATATAACATAGACTCCTGACCCACAGAAATTGTGCAATAATAAATGCATGTATTTTCAAGCTGCTAAATTTGTGGTTTGTGATATAACATAGAAGAAAACTAATACAAGGCCCATAAATAAAATTTGACGTAAATTATAATAAGAATAGGAAGTTACTTTTTACCTATACCTAACATATTTTTCCAATTTATTATCACTAAACTATATTTAATTCTGCCTTTAAACCTTTAGTCAAACTGTTCCTGTATTCCTTCTGCCTATGCATACTTCATAGTTTCAAAATACCTTAGCCATCCTCAAGTATCACTAATAACACCTAGTAACACCAATCTTCTCTGAACTCCTGATCCTCCAATATAATATTAAATAGCAGTTCTGTGAATGGATATACTAAGCTCATTCCTAATGTTAGGGAGAAAGTATTCAATCCTCTACCATTGAGAAAGATGTTAGCTATAGATTTTCATAGATGCTTTTTTTAAAAAATCAGATTGCAGAAGTTGTCTTCTTTTCCTAGCTTTTCTAGAATGTTTATTATGAATGGTTATTGAGTTTTCTCAAATGAATTTTCTGCATTTTTAAGGTGATCTTTTGCTTTTGCTTTGTACTCTATCAATGTGGCCAATTACACAGATATATTTTCAAATATTGACTCAACCTTGCATTCCTAGGATAAACTTCATTGGCTAGGTTAAATTGATAATATTTGGGAGTATTTTTGGTCTATATTTATGGGCTATATTGGTCTGTAATGTCCTTTTTAAAAAATGTATTTGTGGCCGGGTGTGGTGGCTCATGCCTGTAATCCCAGCACTTTGGGAGGCCAAGGCGGGCGGATCATGAGGTCAGGAGTTCAAGACCAGCCTGACCAACATGGTGAAACCCCATCTCTACTAAGAATACAAACAAAATAAAATAGCCTGGCATGGTGGCATGCACCTGTAATCCCAGCTACTCGGGAGGCTGGGGCAGGAGAATCATTTGAACCCGGGAGGCGGAGGATGCAGTGAGCTGAGATGGTGCCACTGCACTCCAGCCTCAGTGACAGAGCGAAACTTTGTCTCAAAAAAAAAAAAGTATTTGTGAGGTATGTCACTAGGGTTGTTTTGATTTTATAGCATGAGTTGGAAGTGACTTACTATTCTGTCTTCTGAAAGAGTTTGTATACAATTGGTATTAATTTATCCTTAAATTTTGTATAGAATTCAGTGTTGAAACAATCTGGATACAAAGTTTTTTTTGTGAAAAGTTTTTTTATTATAAATTAAATGTCCCCAATAAATGCAGAACTACTCACATTTTCTATTTCTTCTTCAGTAAGTTTCGGTTAGTTGAAATTTTAAAGGAATTTGTCTATTTAATTTACACTCTCAAATTTGTTGTCATGAGGTTGTTTATGATATTTTATTATTTTTTACGCTTATAGGATCTGTGGCTATATTCCTTTCATTCGTAATATTGACAATTTGTATTTTCTTCCTTTTTTTTGGTTATTCAAGAAAAAGGAATGAATAGTTGATAACGATGAGGTAATGAAAGAAGACAAACTTTTAAAGAAGTTTAAAAGTGAAAAGAGAAACTAAATCACAAAGGTTAATGTTTGTTCATCATTTACTATGTGCCAGGCTGTGTACTAAATTCTTACCTTTGATCTCCACACTATAATTATATAAGTGGGTGACATGGTTTGTCTGTGTCCCCACCTAAATCTCATCTTGAATTGTAACTCCCACAATTCCCACGTGTCATGGGAGGAACACAGTGGGAGGTGATTGAATTATGGGGGCGGGTCTTCCCCTCGCTATTCTCATGATAGTGAATAAGTCTCACAACATCTGATGGTTTTTAAAAGAGGAGTTCCCATGCACGAGCTCTCTCTCTTTGCCTGCTGCCATCCACTTAAGACATGACTTGCTCCTCCTTGCCTTCTGCCATGATTGTGAGGCTTCCCCAGCCACATAGAACTGTAGTCCATTAAACATCTCTTTCCTTTGTAAATCGCGCAGTCTTGGGTATGACTTTACCAGCAGCATGAAAATGGATTAACACAATGGGTCTTACAAGTTTCACAGATGCATGAATTTAAGCTTTAAAAAATTAAGTGACTTGCTTTAAATGACTCAGTGAAGAAGCACTGCAACAAGTAAGAGAAATTAGAGTCTTAAAGAAATGTTTTTAAATAAACAAAGGAGTGATTTAATTTGAAAAAATACATGAAAACATTTTAAAAGGTAAATACACCAAATGTTATCAATGTTTTTCTCTCTATGGAGTAGTTTTTATTTTATTAAAAAATTTGTATTTTCCCTTCTACAATAAGCATAATCAAAAAAATTGTCTTTTATAAAAAGAAAACTGTTAAGACAGATAAAATTAATTATGTTTTCATGCAGGGCAGGAAGAAGCAGGGCAAAGTGCTACCATTTGAGGGACTGGGATCAAGAAGCAATAATTTATTCATTCAACAAATGCTTACTGAATTTCTACTTTGTTACAAGGAAGCGAAAAAAAGAGAATGAACAAAAGAAGACAGGATAATTAAGAAGACAGAAGCAATGAGCAATGAAGTAGAGAGAATTCCCATGAAGTGATCTCATTCTCATTAAAATAGAAAGTGAAGTCAGTGGGTAAATGTGAGGGTGGAGGTGAGTCTAGGACCTTGAGTATGTACACAAAAGTGGAAAAGATCACTGTGGTTTGCTTTGAAGCCCAGAAGCAAAAGTAGAGAGGAAAGAAAACAGAGGCTGTCCAGAGTCGAAGAGTGTCAAGATGAAAAGGCAAGGGTCAAGAAGATAAATGAATTTTGAAGCCAGATTGACCTTTCATTTTCTTAAAACTCCAATGTGGAAGTTACTATGGATGGGTGGAGATAAAAGAGAAGATCCTGGAGTTAAATTATAGGATGGGAGTGGAGGGTAGAATCCTGAAAAAAAAAACACTTCGATGCAGGTAGATGCTATGGAGTCCAAAAGAATGCCCTTAAGTGATCATTAATGAGCAACAGTCTGGAAGCTCACCAAAGCTATTTGTGGAAACTGCATTTATTCAATTTATAGAGTTCTAACTTAATTGGCGAGAAGAACATAATCCATCTTTCTGTGACACTCAGATACATTTGAAGTGATCATTTCAGGGCATAATCAGAATTTTTAGACATCTTAGAAATTATATCCTGAAGTTTCAAATGTTATTAACATTCTTGACGAAAGTCTTCCATCTCTAGTGAATACAGTACATTTTTGTTGTTAGGCAAATGGGTGTGAAGCTCACGGCACTCCTCCTGTGTCTCCCATTCTGCTTTAGTTAGCTCATCCATCAATTAAGAGGACACACTTAAACTGTTCAAAGACAATCCAGAGAAGTCCTTAGCCTAGGACGGTCCAGCCAAACTGATGTGCTGCTGTTCCGGCTACAGCCCTTACTCAGACGGAATTCACTCAGTGCCGGAGGTAGAGAGACACTGCCTTATTTGTTTTGGCAATAATTGTCTCCCTGCCCTGAAAGAGGCCCTAAAATTGCTTCTATGTTTAGAAACAAGATTACTCTGTTGAGGCTGCTGGTCAGAGAGTCTCACCTCCTTATAGAAGTCTGTTATTCCTAGGGCTCTATTTCCTAATTTCAGCCTTGGTGGTGCTTGGTTGATGAAGAGGCATTTGTTCCACACAGACAAGGACACAGGAAGCCTTATTAGCATGAGTGCTGGAGGAGGTCACTGTGGCTACTTCCTATGGGAACATTAATCGTGGGGGCTTTATTGCCTCCCAACTACTCTGACTAAACATTATGACAGATTCAAGTTTCTGGTGGCTTTGATTGAATAAGGAGGACAATTTCATTGTTAAAGAAAGTGGACTTCAAGCCAATAGATTAAAAAGTAAATCCAAATTCAATAATTTTCAGTTACTCACATACAGAGGAAAAGATAAGCATTGATGCTTAGTGAGTATCTCTGTGCAGGGGAAGCAGGGGTTTCTTGGTCATCCATGCATGATCTCTTCTCTATGTGTCACAGGAAAACCATCAAAACATTCCGAGCCACCACAGCAGCCAGGACCTCTCTCAGTACACTTCTAAGCCACTCTTCAATCCCTGATCTAAATTATCCAAAAGGTAGTACTTGGGTCCTCAGTAAATACTTTCCATTAATCTAATCTAAGCCCAGAATTTTAAAATCCCAGATAGCTCATTCAGTATTTACATTAACCATATGCTCCCTGACTTTACACCACAAAATCACCCTTGTTATTTAAGGACGGGAGGCAGTTGTATACACAGACTGACTGTAGAGATTTTGTATTTTATCATGACCAATTTCAATTTATTGTCCCTCTAAGTTATGATGAATAAAAGTCATACTCGTTGCCTTAAAGAGAAGATTTGTCTTCCAAAAGAAAATCTCAGCAGATTAATGTAAGACCTTCCATGCCAAAATTAAAGCCAGCTAGATTTGTTTAAACTTTAAAATGAAAAACGCATTGCCTCTTTTTCCTTGCTGCCCCCACTCAGCATGAAAGCTTCTCCTCACACAGTGTTCCTCCATCTCAGTTAATAGCAATTCTAATGTACCAAATAGCCCCAAGGCTATGGAATCATCATTGACGTCCCTCTCCAGTGCAGAAGTCAACCCTGATGGCATTACTTTCAGAATGTGTCCACAGCCTGATGATTTCTCATGACCTCTGCTGGTCCTACCTCAACCTATGCCACCACTCTCTGTGACACACTGGATTCTTCTCAGCATTCTCCAATTTGGTCTTCCTGCTTTCACTTCTTTTCTCTCCATTCCCCTATTGAGCAAGTCATGTCACTCCTCCACCATTCCAAGGGCAAAAGTCTTTCACCAGGTCTCCAGCTGCTCACTGACTTCTACCACTTGCTCTCTGACTCATTCCCCTCCACTCTCATGGCTGTTCCTCAATCACATCAAGTGTTCTTCCCCAGGGCCTTTGCACATGCTATTCTCTCAGCCTGGAATGTTCTTCCTCCAGTTGACCACATGGCTTAATTCCTCTCTTCCTTCTGGTTTCTTCCCAAATGCTAACTCAACAGAAGAAGTCAAATCTCACCGCCCCACCCATATAAGGCAGTTACAGCTGCCTACTACCTTGCACCCTCTCACCTTGCCCTGCTTTATTTTCCCTTTATAGCAATTATCACCCCCTTGACTTATGACATATTTATTTGCTTATTGTATGTCTCCTCCAATACCTGGCCCACAGAAGGCATTCAGTAAACTTTTTTTTGAGTAAACAGTGCTGATAATCATAATAAAGACCTGTTTGGTCCCTGGATTTCCTACAGAGCAGTAGTAAGAGAGACAGCAAGATGCGAACGTAGCATCTTCAACATAATAACCATGGCTGATCACTCAACAGTAACCAAGGACCTCTGTGGAAGCATAAAACAAAAACCAAAATGAGCTACACTAACTTAATAAATTTTAAGCCTAAAGGAATATGATTATTTCAAAACTTGGTGAATTGATTCAAACCTGAAATAAATCTAAATAAATAAATTAAATAATAAATCTATCTCCTACTACAAATTTCAAACATCAGTGCAAACCTGAACCAAGCTGATGCTTGTCTCACCTCTCGAGTAAAATGCTGCAGAGCCTCTGAGAAGACATTCATGGCTCCAATGAAGCAACAAGCATTATACTCGTTCTTTTTAGGCATGACCTCTTATGCCAGTTACTACAATATTTCTCTGTGCCTATTGATATTTCTCTGCTAGAGTGGATTGTTCATGTTTTCTTTCCATTTTTTCTCCTTTCACTCCTGGCCACAATTCAGACCAAGCAAATAGTTATCTGGGGCTCCTCAGTCAAGGGGTTGGTTTTAGCTATGACCTGAGAGACAACAGCACTGGCTAGGGATGAGGATTTCATAGTACAAGGTCTCTGGGAGGTGCTGAGATTTTAACTAAGGGTTGCCAAAAGCCATATCCAGGGATAAAGCAAAAATCAGAAACATTGCTAAGTTCCCTCAAAGTATCAATTGAAAAGAATATGGGGGAAGTAAACTCTTTCAGTTATTCACAAAATACATGTTTGGATTGGAGTTAAAAGGATGAACAAAAAGCATCCCATACCTTCAAGTTGCCCTCAGTTTGGAAAAAGTAGACAAGTACATAGGTGAATATTATATAGAGTAATAAATGCTAGGCTTTATGGGCAAATATAGGAGGGAATGTCATCCAAACAAGGCTTTGGTAGAAGAGACTTGGGTTCTAAAGCCAATTCCTCATTTCCTAACCAACATTTTGGGAAAATTACATAAATCCCCCAACTTTGATTTCCTTAAGGGGGTAGGAGAGGTCTATAATAAAAACGATTTTTAAAGCAGCTAAAATTTGTATTATGTGCTGGGCACATTTGTTTCCTTCTGGTATGCGAAGATTATGTTAAAAGTTGTTATTAATATTCCATTTCTTAACTTTATGAGGTACATACCGAAGATGATATCAAGGAGTTTCCTGATGGAAGCCCATGGCGGGGAAGTGGGGCAGGGATTAGGGGAACTGTCAGGAGATGTGAGGGTGAGAAGTGTGTGATCAAATCACTTTGCCAAGTTCTTCTTTTGCCAGTCTGTATTAATCTGGCCACTCTCCGTGCATCTAGAGTCCTAAGAGGAATCTAGAAAATAAAAGAACTAGTGAATGTGAGATAAGACACAATTTTTTTAACTCACCAAAAATAAGATTCTGAGGTTAAATCCCTTCTTGTCAATGTCTTGAATCCCCTCAAACTGAAATAAAAGCCATAAATGCAACCTCAATAGACGCCCACGCATAAAGCTGGGAAAGAATTCTTCTGGGTCAGCAAATGAGAACTTAGCCATACTCTTCTCTGGAAGACCCAGAAACTCAGGTATCTTGAACTGAAGAAGGAAATGTGGGTACTTCAGGTTGTTTCCTAAGGGAACTCTCTCTAACACTGATTTTATCCATGATAACAGTGTTCCTCACCTCCCTACACTACTGCTATGGTAACAGTAGGGTTAGTATAACAATAGTTACCTTCTACTGAAACAGCTATTATCTGCTCAACAAGGTGCAAATTATTTTATATGCATATTACATTTAGTTCTTGTAATAATGTTATGAAATAAACTTTATTTTCTCCAAGTTATAAGTGAGGATATTCAGCCCTAAAGAAATTAAACAATTTGCCCACGATCACACTCTTATTAGCTTGAGCAATATGAAATGGCCGACATTCCACAATTTTTTAACGAACACACATGGCGGTTTCACCTGGTCAAACCCTGGTGAGTGGCAGAGCCTGTCCAAGCTGGGCCTGATCTGTGTAGTCAGTCACTATGTCAGATACTTCCCGATGAACCAGAGACAACAGAAAACCTGGCACGGGCGTGCATAATGCTACGTTTTAATAAAGTCATTTACGTCTTCATTCTACCTTCTATTACAAAGATATTTGAAAATAATTGATTTTATAAACCGTGAATTTAGAATTTAACCTGCATTTTTATGCAATCACCTCTCTTTGCCCTTACGGGAAATTGAGGTTAAGAAAAATTTCTTGGTAGTGTTTGACAGACTCTAAACATTATTCACCCACATGACATCTATTTATTCAGAGTAATACCATTAAGAATCTCTTACAAAATTCTGTCCCTAAAAGGAAAGTTATGTTCTGTAACAATAGCAAAGAATGCATATAAGATAAGCTGACTGAAGAAATCTCTGCAGATTTATGCCATCGCAACAACTGACAGGGTTTCATTTAATCACTCAAGCATTTCTATTAAGCTGGTATAGGCTGAAAGAATAACTTTTAAAGAAACTCATAAAGTATTTCTGATTTGGAATGGACTTAATTGGCTTTACCATTAAGTATTTTTCTAGTATCTAATATTTTGAAAGATTCTAATGTTCATTGAATACCAAAGCATGATGTGTATCTTAATGTATCTACTTAATAGCATCTGATGATAAGAAACATCTGCCAATAAAAACTGGAAAACTTTACAGGAAAAAACCCAACTTATTCTTAAAGTGGCCCAGAACCTGTTAAAAAGATTACCGTATGAGTCTGCCTGTTATTTTTCTTTCAAAAAACTATTTACAAATTAGAGTATACAAAATTCTTTTTATATAAAGAATTTTACAAAGCAGCTGACATTTGCTCATTTCTATATGTATGTAAGAACTGTTATAAGAATTTTAATTCAATTTCCTTTATTTTTATAACAAATCTGAGCAAAACCACCAAGTGCTTTATGACAGTTGCAGTGGTTTCTAGCCTATGGTTGTTCACATCAATGGGTGCGAGTGGAGTGGGCACAGTGAACAAATATCTATTGCTTCCTGACTGAATATTCTCTGGGATTAAAAATCTGACCTTCCTGATAGATTGTTCAACCTTTCTGCCTGGGAGGTAGGTGTTAACTCCTAGAGAGAGGTCTCTTTACTCTAATTTCCCTGAGAATCCAGTGGACTGCATAACAAACATTATTTCCTGACATAAAATAGGCCTAATTCATCATCTTAAGTTTTCACATGTGAATTTAGGGTCATTTACTTCTAATTTAATAAAATATTAAAATATGAATGCTTAATCATTAGCTAACTGAATTCTAAACACCATCTTAAATGAATAGCTTCTAAGTAGAAGTCCAGTATGGGATAAAATATGATAATTATAGGTGTGCAAATCTAATATAACCAATTTGAATATGAAATCACAGAAAAAGGTAAGAAATTACATCCAAAATTTGGAAAAATGTGTATTTTCTCAGTATGGACCTCCCTAGTATAACCCAACATATTAAAAGTGTTTCAAATTCAATTTTTGTACATTTACAGCATCAACTTCAGGTCAAGTCTGACCCATTTTACAAATAATATGTTTTATCCTGTATTTGATCATTAAAATGAAGCTTCAAAGAGTAATTGAAAGAAAACTACATGATAACATAAGGGACACTTTAAGCTAAAGCTTGCAAAATATAATTTAACACTGTATCATACCAACATTTTCAGTTCTTTTTCTACTGCTATTAGCTGTATCCTAAATAAGCTACAACACAGCTAACTTATGTTATGTCCTAATCTCTATCCAGAGTAGTACAATAAACTTAGATGAACTTGTTTCAGAAGCAGAAATGATTACTTCTAAAAAGTAAAAAAGGAGAAAAATGAAGCCCTCTTAAAAATCTTTTTGTTTTGAATGTTGGCATAGTTACTAAAGAGAAATTTATATTCTGAAGACTTCTTCTTAGATGTTGAATACTGTGACCAATTGTGGTGATGGCTGAAAGAAGAATAAGATTCGTGAGGAATTTCTTTTACAAACATCTTTTCAAAACCCATCCTTGCTATTATTTCCCTTCCACTTATATTAAACTTAAAATTGGCTGTGTGCACAAGTTTATCACTTAAGCTAATTTTAATCATAAAGCTTCATATATAGCTATAGGTTGAATTTAATTTCTGAATGTTCAGCCAAAGTCTAAATTTAAATCCATATTTTAAATATATCTTGTGGTCAAGCTACATAAAATAAATTGCTGAATAATCCTGAGAGTATAAATAGTAGAGAGAACTGTGTTTAACTTAGTACTAGAATGGCATTCTTATTCCTGGTATCTCCAGAATATTATGCTAGAAGAGTTTCTGGTTGAACACTAACAATTCTAGAATATTTCAAAAAGGGGCAATTAGAAATCATTTAGTCCAACAGTCTGTTTTTAAAAATGAGAAAACTGACTTCCAGAGATTTTGAGTGCACTGCATAAGGTCATATGGCTGTTAAATTAAGTGTAGCCTAAAGATTCCTCCTTACGTATTTTAAGTTAGGCCTAAAAGCTTCTCCATACATAGTGAAGTATCACCTAACTGGAAGGGTGAACAGACCGCACCTGATCTTATGACAAGTAGCAGAGTCTCAGCCAATCATAGCAGCCAATGTGATTTTGGCCAATCACAGGCAGCCAACTGCTTAAACCATGTTCAAATACGGCAGACACTGCGCTGTAACTAACCCAGCTCCTTCTTACCTCGCTTTCATTTTCCATATGTCACTTTCCTTTTTCTGTCCATAAATGTTATCTGATCATGTGGCAGTTCCTGAGTCACATCTATCCTGGTTCTGGGGCATCCCGATTTGTGAATCATTCTTTGCTCAATTAAACTCTATGAAATGTAATTTGTCTAAAGATTTTTTTTTTATTTTAACATAGCTAATTAATAGCAAAGTTGAGACTATCATCGAGGTCACCCAACTAAAATTCCATTGCACATTTGGTGGCATCAGGCTTATGTCAAAAGGTTATGAAAATAAATTCATCCCATTAAAGAAGTTTGCAAAGTGTGTTCCTTGGAGCTCTACCGCTCCTTGGAGTGATGTCAGGGATCACAGGCAAAAAGGAAGACGTGCCACTGTATATTCACTTTAACCTAAGCATTTCCTCTGTTTCCCTGTTTTATATAGTGTTCTTTTGAATAGTATTTTATGTTTTAGAAGATTCTCCTACCATAAAAAAAGAAGGTTTGAAGATTAGTTCCCAATCCCTGGTTCCAGATAGTAAAACTAAAACTCTTCCGCTACCAATACCTAAAAGTGACTGAGTAAAATAAAATAAGCATTCTTTTAAGGGGTTATGTAACTTTGTAAAAATACCCTATGTCCAAAACACGGAGAGACTGAAATAAAAGGAATCTCTTGGAAATGATTGTCCTTTCCTTAGGTGTGTAAATGGAGTACCAGAAAAAGAGAACAGATGAGATAGGGAATAGCAATATTTGAGGAATAATGGCTGAGAATTTTTCAGCATAGAAAGTTAGAAAGCACAATGAGTTTTAGGCAGAATTAAAACAAAACAAAACATCAAACCTCAATATATGAGATAAAAACTTCCCAACACCAAAGATAAGGAGAAATTAAGTGTTAGAAAAGACATATAGCTTATAATAGCAGACTTTCTTTTCTCTCTCTCTCTCTTCTTTTTTTTTTTTTTTTTTTTTTTTTTTGAGACAGGGTCTCACTCTTTCACCCATGCTGGAGTGTAGTGGTATGATCATGGCTCACTACAGCCTCCACTTACCAGGTTCAAGAGATTCTCCAGCCTTGGGCTCCCGAGTAGCTAGGACTACAGGCATGTGCCACCACGCCCAGCTAATTTTTATATTTTTTTGTAGAGGTTGGATTTCGCCATGTTGCCCAGGCTGGTCTCGAACTCCTGGACTCAAGGGATCCACCTGCCTCGGCCTCCCAAAGTGCTGGGATTATAGGCAAGGAGTCACCATGCCCAGTCAATAGCAGACTTTCAACAGTGAAAATAAGGCAATAAAACAATGGAGCAATTTTCAAAGTCCTGATAAAATAACTGATATCTGAGAATATTCTCAAAAGTAAGGATAAAATAACCTTATTCTCTACCCAATGCAAACTCAACTTATTTCTTACAAACCTTCTCTGAAAGAAAGGTCATACCTGTTGAAGAAGGAAATTGAATCCCGAAGAAGGAAATTGAATTCCAAAGAAGTGTAGGCAGAAGTTATTAAACGTATGGGTAAATATAAGTATGGTGTCAACCTGTTCAGGCTGTTTTTAACAGAATACCATAAACAGGGTGGATTGTAAGCAACAGAAACTTATTTCTCATTGTTCCAAAAGCTGGAAAGTGCAAGGTCAGGGTGATGGCAGATTAGATATCTGGTGAGGATTTGCTTCAGATTCATAGACAGCATCTTCCCACTGCATCCACACATGGCAGGAGGGGGCAAGGGAACTCTCTTGGGTCTCTTTTGTAAGGGCACAAATCCCATACCTGAGGGCTCCACCCTCCTGAGCTAATAATATCCCAAAGACCTCTCCTCCTGACACCATCACACTGGGAATTAGAATTTCAACATATGAATTTTTGGAGACACAAACATTCTGTCTATAGCTCATGAACTTTATAAAATAATGAGTATAATGATTCATATAATGTTAAAATAATGTTAAATTAAAATGCTGTAAATCAGCAATACAGTAGTCAGTTTTGCTTTCTGCAGATTCTACCTATGGCCAATTGAGGTCAGAAAATATTAAGTGGGAAATTTCAGAAATAGACAATTCATAGGTTTAAGTTGCATGTCATTCTGATGAAGTCTCGTGCTGTCCTGCTCCATCCCACCCAGGACAGGAATCATCCCTCTGTTCAGATATCCACACTGCCCTTTAGTCACTTCGTAACAGTCTTGATTATCACCTCAACTCTCTCAGTATCACCGTGCTTGTGTTCAAATGACCCTTATTTTAATTAATAATGGTCTCAAACTGCAAGAGTAGTGATACTGGCACATTGTTATAATTGTTCTAATTTACTATTGTTGTTGTTAATATCTTGCTGTGCCTCATTTATAAATTAAACTTTATCATAGTATGTATAGGAAAAAACATAGTATATATAGTATTTGATACTATCCAGGGAGGCTTCAGGCATCGCTTGGGAGTCTTGGAGTATTCCCTGTAAATAAGGGGGGACTACCATACATAAAATGAGAGGGTGGTGATCAGAATTCAAGCACTATAAGAACCTTGCATATTTTTAAAGAAGATACAAGTAGTAATTAACATTAGACTTTAATAAGCCAAACATTCACATCAAACATGTAAGGTGTAACCACTGAAAGAATAAAAATAAAATACATAAGCTTCAACCTGGTAAAGAGAGGAAAGTAAAATAAAGAAATGTGAGTAAAGGAAAAAAATAAAGCAAATACAAAACAAGGTAAATAATAATAAAGTAAAAATTTCACGACTCAAACATAAATATTTTAGCAATTAAATAAGTAATCAGACTATACACTAGTTAAAAGATTTTAATTGAAAATATCTAGCTAATGTGATGTTCAGAAGGGACAAAACATAAAGAAACAAAATAGCTGAAACTAAAGAAATGAAAAAGATAAATCAAAAGAATGCTAACAAAGGCAATTTGGAATAGCAACGCCCCTATCCAAAAAAATAAACTTTAATAAAAATATATATAGCGAAAGGAAAAGGTAAACCCTGCCGTGATGGTTAATATTGAGTGTCAACTTGATTGGATTCAAGGGTGCAAAGTATTGTTCCCAGGGGTGTCTGTGAGGGTGTTGCCAAAGGAGATCAACATTTGAGTCAGTCGACTGGGAGAAGCAGACCCATCCTCAATCTGGGTGGGCACCATGTAATCAGCTATCAGCACAGCTAGAATAAAGCAGGCAGAACAAAGTGGAATGAAGTGACTTGCTGAGCCTTCTGGCCTTTATCTTTCTTCTGTGCTGGATGCTTCCTGCCCTCGAACATCAGATTCCAAGTTCTTCAGCTTTTGGACTCTTGGACCTACACCAGTGATTTGCGGGGGGCTCTTGGGCCTTCACCACATACAGAAGGCTGCACTGTCGGCTTCCCTACTTTTGAGGTTTTGGAACTCGGCCTGGTTCCCTCGCTCCTCAGCTTGCAGACGGTCTATTGTGGGACTTCATCATGTGATTGTGTGAGTCAATACTCCTTAATAAACATCCCTCCATATATTCATCTATCCTATTAGTCCTGTCCCTTTAGAGAACCCTGACTAATACATCTACTAACGTTTTTCAAAAGGAAATATTAGCAGGGCGCGGTGGCTCACGCCTGTAATCCCAACACTTTGGGAGGCTGAGGCAGGCAGATCACGAGGTCAGGAAATCAAGACCATCCTGGCTAACACGGCAAAACCCCATCTCTACTAAAAAAAAAACACACAAAAAATTAGCTGGGCGTGGTGGCGGGCACCTGTAGTCCCAGCTACTTGGGAGGCTGGGGCAGGAGAATGGCATGAACCCAGGAGGCAGAGCTTGCAGTGAGCCAAGATCACACCACTGCACTCCAGCCTGGGCGACAGAGGAGACTCCATCTCAAAAAAGAAAAAAAAAAAAAGGAAATATTTACCATGGTATTATAAAAATTATTGTATGCAGGTAATAACATAGCCTCGAAGTATATAAACAAAAAATGAGAGAATTATATAGAAATATTCACAAATTCATATGGCTAGAGATTTCAATGCAACCTTTATGTGAATGTCTTTATAAGGTAAAAAATTAATAAGGACAAAAATATTTTAACACAATTAGCAAGATTGATTGATATAATATAAATAAGCCAGGCACGGTGGCTCGTGCCTGTAATCCCAGCACTTCTGGAGGCTGAGGTGGGAGGATTGCTTGAGCCCCGAAGTTCAAGACCAAGCTGGGCAACATAGAGAGATTCTGTCTCTATTAAAATTTTAAAACAAAAAGTAAATAAATTAGTTCGGCATGGTGGCAGCTGCTTGGGAGGCTTAGGTGAAAGGATCACTGGAGCATGGGAGGTCAATGCTGCAGTGAGCTGTGATTCCACCACTGCACTCCAGCCTGGGCAACAGAGCAAGACCTTGTCTCTAATAATAATAATAATAATAATAATAATAATAATAATACTCATAAATAGATCTCTCCACATAGGAAATTTAGTTGCAAACTTTTTTTCAAAATCTGTGGATGTTATGGGTTGAATTTATGTCCCCTCCAAAATTCATATGTTGAACTCCTAACCTCTAGTACCTTACAATGTGACTGTATTTGGAGACAGAGTCTTTAAAGAGGTAACTGTGGTTAAATGAGATCATTAGGGTGGACCCTAGTCTAATATGACTGGTATCTTCGTAGGAAGAGGAGATCAAGACACAGACAAGATGAGGTTAAGACCATGTGAAGACAGAGAGAGAAGACTGCAATCCACAGGCCAAGGAGAGAGGACTCAGAAGAAGCAACCTGGCTAATACCTTTATCTCAGACTTCTGGCATCCATTATTATTAAACAACAGATTTCAGTTGTTTAAGCCACTAGCCTGTGGTATTTTGTATCATGGCATTTCTAGCAAATACAATGAATAATTTATAACAATTAACCAGGTATTAGGCTAAAATGCAAATTTTCAAATAGAAATAATAGAAATAAATAATAATAATAATAGATTTTTTCTGACCAAAATAGAATTTATAATAATTTTGTAATACAGTGAGAAAGAAAAAATATATTTAAAATTTAAAAATTTAAATTTAAAACATTATTAAAAGACATGCACTTAGATTTTTGGGTTTCAGAAAATATATCACTTTGAACATTAAAATATATTTAAATGTAATAATAATGAAATAATTACAAATCACACTTTGTAGTAAGCAACTAAAGCATTACTTAGAGAAAGATGCATATAAGTTTAGTGTTCAAGTCAATAAGGTAAATAAAGATAAATGAAGAACCAATGAAGTAATAATATAAACAGAAATTCATGATACAGAAGACAAAGCAGCCAACACATGCTTCACGGGCAAGTTCTCATATTTGTGAAGAAAATTGCCTTTCAAGTTTTGAAATAAAATAAGAGAAAGCAGAAAAAGGTCGGGGGAAGAAGATATGGAAATAGTAAGGTCTTACACTCTTTCTGGAATGTTCCATCACACATCCATATCTATCTGTTAATGTCTGCCTTAAGAAATCAAAGTTAGGGCTGGGCAAGGTGGCTCACGCCTGTAATCCCAGCATTTTGGGAGGCCGAGGCAGGTGGATCATCTGAGGTCAGGAGTTCAAGACCAGCCTGGCCAACATGGTGAAACCCTGTCTCTACCAAAAAAAATACAAAATTAGCCGGGCGTGGTGGCATATGCCTGTAATCCCAGCTACTTGGGAGGCTGAGGCAGGAGAATCGCTTGAACCTGGGAGGCAGAGGTTGCAGTGAGCTGAGATGGTGCCACTGCACTCCAGCCTGTGCGACGGAGTGAGATACTGTCTCACAAAAAAAAAAAAAAAAAAAGAAAGAAAGAGAGAGAACGAGAAAGAAAGAAAGAAAGAAAAGTCAAAGTTCGTAAGTTTCTCTGAACTTTTCAAATAGTTACCTACTCTCTATGCCACCATTTTATCTTATAAATACTTTAAATATCCTGTCCAGAAAACTGTATTATAATGATTTGTTTTCATGGTTGTCATATCTCCCATGGTGGCAATCAGAGAAAATAATGCCTTATTTCCCAGTGTTTAAAGAAGTGCTTGGCTTTCAACACATGGTTGAAGATAAACAAATCAATTAATAAATGAAGATTGAAGACTGAGGAAATTTACAATGTGGCCAAATACATACCCCAATACTTTATTTCTTCATATTTAAACTCCAAATTCCTTCAAACATTATTCATAAGACACAATTTATAGAAGCTTCAGTATTCTAGTTTCCCTCCTTTGACGACTATTCTGCTTTATATCACTGATTTTAAAACTATCTCCAAAATATTGTGGCTTAAAACGCAATAATCATTTTATTTTATTTTATTTTTTACTCTCTTTCATGGTTCCTGTTAGAAATTCAGAAAAGGGTCCTCTGGGTAATTCTGGCACAAGATCTCTTTTATTAGTTTGCTGTCAGATGGTGGATAGAGCTGGAGAAGCTGGGAACTGAACAGGCACTCTCTTTTTCTCTCTTTCTGTCTCTCTCCTTCTACCCCCACCCTCCACATGAAATCATGTTGTCTCTCCATAGGGACTAGCAGCATAGCAGCCCCAGGACACTGAAAATGCTTACAGACTTGGTAAGGACTCCAACATGAATTTTCCAGGGAAGTTGTTTTTTCTTTTCTGATCTACCCCCTCATAAGACATGAAGTGTCACCTCCAGCATAATATATTGGTTATAAGGGAGTCAATAATTTGCCTGGATTCAGGGGAAGGAAAATTAGACTCTATATCTTAGGAAGATTGTTGCAATGTTCTAGAAGGGCACATGAGGCAGGAGATACTTTTGCAGTCAGCTTTGGAATATACAATCTGACACAGTCTGTTTTCTAGCCACAAAAAATCACATCCCTCTCACATACAAAATTCACTCAACCCCACCCAAAACCCACGAATTCTCATCCCACTATACTCAAGCTTGTAGGAGACCTTGTCATCTAATCAGATTGTACACTCCAGGCTGTTCAGGTGAAGTTCCTCAGGTACAGCAAGTTGCATATTATTATTCTCAATCTAAAGGCCAGTGAACTAAAAAGACAAGTCATCTGCCCTCCTCTACACACTCAGCATACAATGGTGAGATGGGTATAACTATTAATAAACAGGCCCATTCTAAAAGTGGGGGAGAATGTACTGTGCATGAGGCAATCTGCAATCCAACAGGACATATCTTGCCAGTTCTTTGACGGGGCCTCAGTTCTAATCTCTGGGAATTGTTCTCCATGGTTCCTGGCTCTTCCTTGTGAATTATTCTTTCTTTTCTATACAAAGTGGGCTGATGTGTACCTGAGATTTCTTCTTCCTGTCCTTCATAGGTGGAGTCTAAATGCCTCCTTTAGGTCAAGCTTCTGGTGTTTCCTTTAGAATAATTATTTTAAAATATTTATAGGGTTTTTTAAAATAAATCATATTGGGGGTCACTCTATTACATATAAGCACAATCTCTTTGAGCTAAGACTTTAAGACTCTTAGCAGCTGTATTATTTGTGGAAGGTATGGTATTTGAAAGGCATGCCTTAGGATCCTTAGAGGTACTTTTGTCTGTCTGTAAGGTTTTATAAAGTACCACTTTAGATCTTTTAAAGATCTTAACAAAAACTCCAAATTTTACCTATTCTTTGTTCTGAGGCCCTTTCTTTGAGAACATTTCGCTGGGAAAAAAAAAGACTGTTCTTCACCCTTTACATTATATGTCCTCTAAATTCTACTCGAAAGCTGAACAATATGCCCTTTAGTTCATCTCTCGCTTCTCCTCAGGCACCCTCAACATTCTGCCTGGAAATCTTAGCTGTCACTGAGATGATTAGGTTGATTTCCTCTTTTCCATGTTACTGCAAAGAACAGTCCTGCTAAACTTCCCACGCAATAACAGGACTCTCACTTCCCCCAGCTTCCAATAATATTTCCTTCACTTTCTTCTATGCCTTTACTGACAGCTCCTAAGGCCGTTAGGATTCTAACACTTTTCTGGAGACCCTTCCAATTTTTACTAAAATGCTCTTCGAGATCAAGCTCCTGTCTTCCACCCAGTACCAAAACCAATGCAACATGCTTTAGATTTTTGTTACAGCAGCACCTCACATCCAGGTGTCCAATTCTGTCCCAGTGTATTAGTCTGTTCTCATGCTGCTGATAAAGACATACCTGAGACTGGGCAATTTACGAAAGAAAGAGGTTTAATGAACTTACAGTTCCATATGGCTGGAGAGGCCTCACAATTATGGCAGAAGGCAAGGAATAGCTGGCCATGTCTTATGCGGATGGCAGCAGACAAAAAGAGAGAGCTTGTGTAGGGAAACTGCTGTTTTTAAAACTATCAGATCTCATGAGACTTATTCACTGTCATGAGAACTTCACAAGAAAGACCTGCCCCCATGATTCAATTACTTCCCACCAGGTCCCTCCCACAATATGTGGGAATTCAAAATGAGATTTGTGTCCCCACAGCCAAACCATATCATTCCACCCTTGGCCCCTCCCAAATTTCATGTCCTCACATTTCAAAACCAATCATGCCTGCCCAATAGTCCCCTAAAGCCTTAACTCATTTCAACATTAACTCAAAGTCAAGAGTCCAAAGTCTTATCTGAGACAAGTCCCTTCTGCCCATGAGCCTGTAAAATCAAAAGCAAGTTAGTTACTTCCTAGATACAATGGAGGCACAGACATTGGGTAAATACAACATTCCAAATGGGAGAAATTGGCCAAAACAAAGGGGATCCATGCTCCAGGCAAGTCCAAAATCCAGTGGGGGCAGTCAAATCTTAAAGCTCCAAAATGATCTCCTTTGACTCCATGTCTCACACCCAGGTCACGCTAATGCAAGACCTGGATTTCCATGGTTTTGGGCAGCTCCACCCCTGTGGCTTTGCAGGGTACAGCCTCCCTCCCAGCTGCTTTCACAGGCTGGCATTGAGTGTCTGCGGCTTTTCCAGGTGCATTGTGCAAGCTGTCAGTGGACTTACCATCCTGGGGTCTGGAGGACACTGAGCCTTTTCTCACAGCTCCACTATGTGGTGCCCCAGTGGGGACTCTGTGTGGGAGCTCCAACCCCACATTTCCCTTCTGTACTGCCCTAGTAGAGGTACTCCATGAGTGTCCCCATCCTTGCAGCAAAATTCTGCCTAGACAACCAGGCATTTCCAAACATCCTCTGAAATCTAGACAGAGGTTCCCTAACCTCAGTTCTTGACTTCTGTACACCTGCAGGCTCTACGCCACGTGGAAGCTGCCAAGGCTTGGGGCTTTCAACCTCTGAAGCCACAGCCCAAGCTGTACCTTGGCCCCTTTTAGCCATGGCTTGAGGGGTTAGGACACAGGGTACCAAGTCCTTAGGCTGCACAGAGCAAGGGGCCCTAGGTCTGACCCATGAAACCATTTTTTTCCTCATAGGCCTCCAGTCCTGTGGTGGGAGGGGCTGCCACAAAGATCTCTGAAATGCCCTGGAGACATTTCCCCCATTGTCCTGGCAATTAGCATTTGGCTCCTTGTTACTTAAACAAATTTCTGCAACCGGCTTGAATTTCTCCTCAGAAAATGGGCTTTTCTTTTCTATTGCATTGTCAGGCTGCAAATTTTCTGAACTTTTATGCTCTGTTTCTCTTTTAAAACTGAATGCTTTTAACAACACCCAAGTCAGCTTTTGAATGTTTTGCTGCTTAGAAATTTCTTCTGCCAGGTATCTTAAATCATCTCTCAAGTTCAAAGTTCCACAAATTTCTAGAGCAGGGGCAAAATGCCACCAGTCTCTTTGCTAAAACATAACAAGAGTCATGTTTCCTCCAGTTCCCAATGAATTCCTCATTTCCATCTGAGACCACCTCAGTCTGGACTTTATTGTTCATACCACTATCAACATTTTGGGCAAAGCCAGTCAATAAGTCTCTAGGAAGTTCCAAACTTTCCCACACTTTCCTGCCTTCTTATGAGCCTTCCAAACTGTTCCAACCTTTGCCTGTTACCCAGTTCCAAAGTTGCTTCCACATTTTCAGGTATCTTTCTAGTAGCGCCCCACTCCCTGTACCAATTTACTGTATTAGTCTGTTCTCATGCTGCTGATAAAGACATACCCAAGACTGAGCAATTTATAAAAGAAAGCGATTTAATGAACTTACAGTTCCACATGGCTGGGGAAGCCTCACAATCATGGCAGAAGGCAAGGAGGAGCAAGTCACATTTTAGATAGATGGCAGCAGGCAAAAAGAGAGAGCTTGTGCAAGAAAATTCCTATTTTAAAACCATCAGCTCTCTAACACTTATTCACTATCACTAGAACAGTACAGGAAAGACCTGCCACCATGATTCAATTACCTCCCAAAGGGCCCCTCTCACAACATGTGGGAATTCAAGACAAGATTTGGGTGGGGACACAGAAAAACCATATCACCCAGTTACTGTTGTTACATAACAAACCACTCCAAAACTCTGTGATCTAAAACAGCAACATTCAGTGTATTCTCTCTCATGGGTTCTGTGGGTCAAGATTTGGCAAGGGCTTATCTGTGTGGTTCCCAATCAGATTTTTTCATTAGAGAGACAAGTTTGGACGGAGCTTGTGCATCTCTTTATGTAATCTCAGGGCTTCTTCTTTGGTCTATTGTTTTGGTGGTGGGGGTGCTAGTTTGAGCTTCTTCATGTCATTGTAGCCTCAGGGCATTGGAACTGCTTACATTGGTGGCTCAGGATTCTAACAGTCTAGAAGCAAGGCAAAAGTTTCATTGTCTTTTCTGACGTAGCTTTTAGGTCATGCAACACCACATCTTCCACATTCCATTGGTTACAAATGAGACAGAGATCCTCCCAGATATGGGAAGAAGAGAATCAGCTTCCACCTCTTGATGGAGGAGTGTAAACATTCTCAAATAGGGGTCAGGAAACTAGAGCCTATGGGCCAAACTTAGCCTGCTAGCTGGTATTGTAATGAAGAGTTATTGGAATACAAACAGTCTTCACTCATACATTTATGTATTGTCTATAGCCACTTTTGTATTGCAGCAGCAAAGTTGAGTAGTTGCCATAGGCACCACGTGGCCCACAAAGCTTAAATATTTACTAGCGTTGTTTTTTTTGTTTTGTTTTACAGAAAACGTCTGCTGACTCCTGTTCTAAAAGAATAAGTGGGACAGGAGATATTGTTACGGCCATTTTTGAAAGATACAATCTACATTAATTTCTTAAGTTTCATAAACGTATTTCAAGAGTTAAATGAGTGAAAGTTACGGAATTAAGGATTAGGAAAATATTAATATAAATTGAAATATGTCTTTAAAAATTGTCATTCATTAACAAAATTCAAAGTAGAATATATACTACTCAAAGCTTTGGAATAAACAAATGCAAATAAAATGGATCCAAGGAGGCATATAAGACCAAAAAAACTACATGTACAATAATTTAAGGAACAAAGGTAAAATTAAATATCTATTATAGTAAATATTAATGGGCTAAACATCCCACTTAAAATATAGACTTCAACTAGAGTTTCAAAAAGCCAGCTAAAGATATCTAATAAGAAATACACCAAAAGACAAGCACACAGAAGTTTTAAGATAAGGAAGCAATGTGTCAAAGTAATTCACAGTCCAAGCCTTTGCAGTTAGACAGTTATTTGAATTGACACTACCAACTATATGATTTTGGACAGTTTGCTTTCTCTGACATTGTTTCCTCATGTGTAAAATACGATAAGAATATCTACACCATATGATACCGTGACGATGAAATATGATGTATGAAAAATGCTTAGCATCATAACTGTATTACTAAATGTTAAATTAATTATGTATTTTTATCATAAAAAGTTAAGTAAAAAAATATGTTGTATATCTTTACTTTAGCATACCGACTGTATTTGCAAAGTTTCTGAAAAGCTGTTTGGCAATACACATCAAGGGCCTTAAAATTCATGCCCTTTGACCTGATCAAAGGAATATATCATAGAGAAATAACAGAAATGTTCTCAAGTATTTGTATCCAAGGATATTAGCCACAGCTTTATTCGTGATAGCAGAGAGACAGACATCATCCTAAAGCTCCAGAGTCAAGCCATTGTAAAATTAGGACACAATTAATAAAAATAATGTTCCCAAATATTATTTTATGGCCTAGACTCATATCAGTTTAAATCAATTTTACCCTTTCAGTTTTACAGGCTACGAAATTTGGATTCATCCTTGACTCCTCTTTTTCTTTCTGATTCCACATCTTATCTGTTATCCCAAATCTGATATTCCTTCAAAACAGAGTGGGTCTGACCACTTCTTACCATTTCCTCTGCTACCACCCTAATCCAAGCCACTTTGATCCCTCCTGGATTAGGGCAGTAGCCTCCTAGCTGGTCTCCCTGCTTCTGCTCTTTCTCCCTTTTCTCTAAACTGTAATCAGGAACTGGTACAGTGATCAGTGATCAGTACTGCTAAAACCTAAAACCACTCATGTCCTTCCACTGCCACAATATCCAGTGTCTCCCCATCTCAAGCAGAGTAAGAGCTGAAGAACTTGGAAGACCCTAACTGTATCCCCTATTACTCCTTTTATATTATATCCAAAAACCTGCCAGTTGCAATCCAGCACTTTGAAGACTTTCCAGAGAAAACCCCACTCCACTTCAAATATATAACTTGCTATGTGTGAGGCCATATTACTCTGTGAGTAGGTACCTGTTTTCTCTCGTTTTCTTAAAATAGCAGTGGGAAGATATTTACTCAATTCCTTATTTTTCATATCAACAAAGAGGACAGCTGCAGAGAGCAATCCAGAATTATTTATTTTTATATTGAGAGTTGTACTTGTGGTTTTGTATTAACATATGAACAAATGCCTGGAGGTCAGTCTGAGAAGTAGCAATATTCAAAACTGAATATTGCATCCATACCGTGAAGACTTTAGTCAGAAGGTAGAGCATTAAATAGAATTTCTGTACTTGCTAGGATAAGATTACATCACGTCTCAACTGATGCAAAGCATGGAACTAAGAGTGAAACTTTAAAAATATCAATTATATGTCTTTATTATATACATGCCATGCATGGAAACATTGTTTAGGTTTTAGTAATTTCTCATCTTCTCACTCTACTACCAAATGAAACACTGCATATAGAATTAACAATAAGCAGAAAGATACATTTTTAGTGATTATAGTTATGACTTAATTATTATAATTATGCAAGATGTAATAAAGCATAACAAATATTTATGTTATGCATTTAAAGTTATATACTGAAATAAAGATGATCAGGAACCAACTGACATGTCACCAGGGTAATCTGTGACATCTGATTTCCACCACACTGCTTTCTCACAACTTTATAGTCGTTACTCTAAGCCTTGTAGCTCACACAGAGAGAGAAATAACAACTCTCTATCCAGACAGCAGTTTGGCTAATTATTTTGCCTAATGATTTCTTAGATCTCACATCATATAATAAATGGTTGATATTAATTTCAATATGTTCTCCAAAGTTCAGGCAAGTTTCATAATGTTTTGAGTTTTGCTACTAATAAGTGCACTAAAAATGCATAGTAAAGACTTACTTGGTGGATAGAACAACAGTTACCAAGAAGGTCTTTAGCCTGGGATCCCAGATATTTTTAATTCAATGTCACCATGGAGCCCCCATTCGATGTCTTAAAGCCACTCTGAGGCCCATTGAACACTGGAAAATTTTCCCAGTGGATCAGCCCGTTTGCAGAACCAGGTGTTTCTGTAATTGTGACGCTGTGAAAAACATTCACAGTGCTCTAAGGTCCTTTAAACTCTCCTTCCACCTGTGCTTTTTGGTTGAGTTCAGTGGCTGCTTATGCTTTTCAGGGATCTACTTGTTTATGTAGGTGCGTTTCTTTGTTTCTGAATTTATTTTGCTACATTTTAAAGAGGAGAATTTATAGGAAAAGATTTAACAAGCTGGTGTTGGGAGTCGCTCACATTTCAACCAGGTGCACTCCTAATGTGCAGGTGTAAACCATTGAACAGGTAAGGAAAGCATGATGTGAGCAGCAGGTTCTGAAGGATTAATTGTGTATGTCCGTAATGAATGTATCCCAAGGTGCATTTTAAACATCTGTTATAAATTGAGGCATTTTCCTCCTTTCTCCCCTCTAACTCTTTCCAGTTTCCCTGTCACTTATATACATAGAGTAAGCATAGCCTATATTTGTATATCATGAGAATAAATGTCTCTTTTTATTATTATAAAATTTAATTTCATAGGAATTTTAATTTGGGGGTAACAAAAACATCTTTACTGTTCTAAATAACTGATTATTTATATATTTGCAAATAGTTCATTTCTCTTAAATACTACTTCGTTAGGACACATTTTCATTTCTTAATCTTCATTTTTTTCTGACATTAGATAGTAATATAATCCCTTCATCCAGGTCTGTACCTTAAAAGTTTTTCCAAATGGGACAATTTTTCATTTGTATTACTCACTTTTCTTACTCTGAAAGAAATTGAAAATTTTCATTATTAAAATTCAATTTCTAATCAAAATAACAACGTCTTCTTGTGATTTATTCCAAATAACATATTGTGTTTTCTGCATTGCATGCTCAAGAGCATGTTAGCTACTTACTTTTTCATATAATTTATAATAAAGTAATATTTTGATTACTTTTAATACTGTATAGTCATGCTGATAGGACTTTTTTGGTGTCTATATTTAATTATCTTTTTATTCTTATAATGCAATGTTCTAGATTTTGTTTTAGCTCTTTTAAAATGCCATTTTCACAACTAAGTTTAAATTATATAATTAGAAAACAGGTATGGAAAAAGTATAATCTTTGGGTGAAATTAAATATAGTACAAAGTCTAAATAGCAACATTTCTTCTCATATTTTAAATAAAAGTTTGTGTTAAATTATCATTTTTAAGAAAAAGATTGCATTTTTGTTATATCTTTTTGAAAAATTTTAACATTTATGTCTACATCCATTCAATGTTTGTCATTAAACAGTAAAAGGAAATATTTTAATCACACTGAGATTTTCAAACATTACAGTATTTAGTACCAACCATTCATTCAATAAATGTATTTATGTCCTAGCATATGCTATATAAGAGCAGACATTTAAATGTCCATATAATTGGTTTCTTTACATCGAAATATTTTGAACTTGATATTATGGATGATTGGAATGTTACTGGCTTATGGGAAACATGACGTAATCAGTATCTGATCTTTTGAGTGGAGGAGGCTGTGGTTGTTTGCCCCATTTTGGCTTAAACGACAAACTTTTATTTTCTCACAGTTGGGGAAGCTGAAAGTCCAAGATCAAGTTGTGAGCAGGGCTAGTAATTCCTGAGGCCCCATTCCTTGGTTTGCAAATGGCCACAGAGAGAGCTCTGTGGCCTCTTCTATGTGCAAAGTCCCCTGGTGTCTCTTTTTCTTCTTATGGATACCAGTCCTACCAAATTAGAGCCCCACACTTAAGACTTCATTTAACCTTAATTCCCTCTTTAAAGGTCCTGTCTCTAAATACTATCACATTGAGGGTTAGGGCTTCAACATATGAATTCGGAGACGGGGAGACACAATTCAGTCCACAGAGTAGGTTGACTGAAAAGAAAACAAGACTGATATTAATATTTAGAGGGGATGCACACTACCAGCTTCATGCTAATGGGCAAATCATGTAATTACTCTAAGCATCTCTTTTCCAATTTATAAAATGGTAACTATAATTGATTTATATCAAATTATTTGTAAAAACTTGTGGTTGTTATATTTGGCCCAACCTTTCTATTGTTTATTGCAACGTTTCTATTGAGGGGAAGTAATAGAAAATGAGGATCATTTCTCAGTAAATTAAAGTGAAATGTCATTAAAACTTCAGAATTTAAATCAGAGGGTTCAGATTTTGGCAGCCCATGGGCCAGAGATAGTTTGCAAATTGGTTGCTGGTCTGCACAGTGTTGAAAATTTTAAATTAGTTGCCAACCTTTAAAAGTTGATTGAATTCACATAAAAATCTGGATTTCCAACTTAGCTTCCTTCTAAGCATGGTAGTAATAGACTGTCCCTGGGTTTACATTCCAAGATTGCCACCAGGGATATAGTTTTTCCAGCAAGCCACAATACCTGTTGTGTCTGTGCACCAGCAACAGCAATTTATTATCACATTTGTGCTGTTGCTGATGGAAATATAATGTGACTTATACTGGGGCTCTAGGTTGTTGCCTCTTGATCAACCAATTATCTTAAACTATAGGTTGTTGAATAAAGAAGTAATAAAAAATAAGTCTTTGTAGTTTATTTACGGGAAGGGATGAAATGAATAAAAGAAGTCATATGTGAAGTTATAAAAAGAGACAGAATGAAAATAAAAAATCCGCTCAATAATAATACATGTAAATAGGGGATCGCTGTTCATACTTACGGATATTTTAATCCTCATAAAAATAAACTGCACAAGCTACAGGAGCACACTCACTACAAACACCCTTTCACTCCACATTGATGTATTTAAAGCCTCTATGTTAGAACTAACATTCTTCTACCAGTTTCTTTAGCTGATTTTTTTGTTTTTGTTTTGTTTTGTTTTGTTTGATTGAACTATTAGCTCTGCTCTGTGAACAGTAGTACCACTGAAATCCCCCTTCATTCACTTGGAAATGAAGATGAATGCTTGGGAGAATAAGGCTGACTCTGATGGACTTCACAGAAATAATCAGCATGAGGCACGCAACCTGAACATTAGAGGCTGAATGGCTGGTTTGGAAGGAATTGAGAGGACCAGAGCTCCCTGGCTGCCCTGCACTGAGTCATAGCTTTTAAACAAGGCCTCGAGTCAGAGCTATCAGGCTAGGGCTGCCGTTTCCCTGGCTCATGATAAGCCTGTCTCTTTTTATCCAGAGGTTGGGCCTGTGATTTAACATAGAAATGACAGCGATAGTTATCCCCCAAAACATCCTTAACAACTCATTTCTAATACAAATCACTTATTCTTTGCAAAAGATGAGTGAGTCATGCAAACAGCAGACTGCCCATCAGTGGCACATTGTTAATTTGCTCTTTAATTAGTTTAGTGGCATATAATTATTTGAGGTCAAATAATAATTAAATTTTTGTACACTCCTTTTTTTCCCTGGTAAATTACCACTGGACCACCCTCCATGATAAAGGATCTCTAAATAACACACAGGATGCTTGCTGTGTAACACAAGGAAGTGTGTGATTTTTTCCCCACAAAAGTCCCCTTTAAAGAAAACTCTTCATGAAAAGAATCATGTTATCGTCCTTGTTTAGAACTCTTCTCTTAAGAATAAATATCATGAGATATAAACTTAATAAGCCTTATTCATCTAATTGAGTTGTCTTTTTAAAAAATATAAAATACATCAAGATCATAACTCACAAATTTATTTTCTCATTTTGAATTAGGAGTTATAGAGAAACTACATCCATAACAATATTAAATATTTTGAATTATATTAAAAGAAAATGTGATTCTGAAAATGTAATTTAGGAAAAGCAAGATTAATGTCATATCAGAAGTATTGAGTGACTGAGAAAGGCATCTTTGGATTAAAAAAAAGACTTTGTTAAATGTTTTCAGTTTTTCACCCATAAAATTATATGCTTGAAATTAAAAACAATGTTCCTATCATGTTGCACTCATTTCGTATCCTTGAGCTAATTGATTAAATTCTGGATTATTCCAGAATTGACCCAAGAAAGAAAATACCTCACCTAAAAATATATTTTTAGTATATTAATATCTGTAGAAAAATTTCAACAGGCACTTTGGTAAAGTTTACCCTTACTTTACCAAAGAAAAGGTCTACCAAGGTAAACCTTGGTAGATCTTGTCACTTGGTTAGAGAAACAAAAGTCTCAGGAAGAAACCTTACAAAAAAAGGGTATACCGCAGCCACGTGTAGTCATTAATTATTACATGTTCCTTTAGTAACAAAGTACTTTGTGATTTTTTTAAATTAATGTAGACTCCTTTTCACAGATTTGGCATGAATTAATGAGAATTCTCAATAAGTACACACACACACATATGCACACACACATATACACATGCACACACACTTATATTTCCAGAAATAATTGTCTACATGTGGAATTTGCCCATTTACAGATAAGTCTGCCAAATGGAAAATAACCCTGCTGGCCCTGCTTGAGTTGAGGCCAATCTGAACTATCATGAATATTAACTTTGACAAAATGAACTCACCCCTGAGCAAGGAAAAGTTAATTTTGCTGTTTTTCCTGCTTTCGTGTAATCAGAGCAAAATTCTCAAAGCTTAACAGATTTCTTCCTTAGCCTGTTCATCATAAATCAGAAATAACTGTAACAACTTTTTTAAAAAAACTGGAATTAACATTTTGAATAATTTTCAATGACTCTAAATCAACTTTTACTTTAAGACAAAGCTGTTCTAGAAATTTTCCCAAGGGAAAATTATGATCCTGTATATAGGCCCTAACAAGCAGAAATATCTATTACTCATACATGCACTATTCTTTTTAGCTAAGTGGAGATTGTAAAATTTTGTCAACTCATTCTTGCAATCAACCCACTATTTTGATCATCGTTCAGTATGCCCCCTTCAGGTTATATACAGTGTTGTCAACTGTTTTCCATCCTATGGCTTACATGGAAAATGACAATATATGTATGACACACTGGGGTAAAGACCAGGCTACCTCAGGCTACCAGGGACAACCTGGGAGCTAGCAGAGATCTCTCCCTTTCCCCACCTGTAATCTATTTGTTCATCAGTTATGAAGCTATGATATTGATCCTCATAAAGCGGCACATGTGTGATGTCCATAGATAGAGATGACAGTTTTTCAATAACCAAGGGGACCCAGTACTTCTGGTCTATCTGTAGATCAAGACTTCGATTCTACTCCCCACATTGCTACTCACTTGCTGGTCGACTGAACTGTCCACAGTTATCCAACAAACACTTATTGTATGCTTTCTATGTGCTGGGCATCGTGTTATATTCATGAGACCTAAGGAAAAAGCATATATCCTTATCAAGTCAAACTCATGTTATTTAGGATAGGAGGATCTCATGATCAGTTAAGAAAAAGTGAATAGAACTGCATTAATAATACAATGTCGTAACTGCTATGACGAGTCCATGTATAAAATGCCTTAATTATGTTTAAAAAGACCAGGGAAAGCTTAACCAAAGTGACACCAAGATGAGTTTCCAAGGATCAAAAGGAATTCACTTAATAGATAAGAGGGTGCCTGGGGAGTAAAACCAAGAATAGTTTAAAGGGTGATGACGAGAGAAAGTTGTCATTAAAGCAGATAGTGGCTATATTATTAGTATTTTGACTTTATTTCTATAAGACTTCTATAGTATTAACATACGAAGAAAAAGTTAGAGAAAAGAAAATGAGAAGGGAAGAGGAAAAAAAAACTTCTTATACCAAGGTATAAGGTACTCCTGCCAAAACTGCATCACCTAAATTGTTAAACTCTTTGATGGCTTTCCCATCGTCTTTAAAAAGTAAATGCAGATGATTTACCCAGCACCTCATGATCTGGCTCCTGCCTACACCACTAACTTTATCTCATGCCTCATTCCCCTTGTTGGTTTGACTCCAATTGCACTGACCTTCTGCTGTCCCCAAATTGGAGGCAAGTTTGTTCCTCCTGTAGGATATTTGCATTCACAGACCCCTCTGTCTGGAACTTCTTTCTCTAAACCTCAGCTGACTGTCTCTTCCTTTTCCTTTTGGTTCAGCCTAAAAGTAACCTCCTTAAAGCGTATTAATTGGCCATCCCAATCTAATGGGACCACTGTTTCCAGACCACCCAGCAATTCCTGCAAAACACCTGCTAGCTGACATTTTCATATTCTTGTATTTGTTTGTTGGAAATCTTCCTCTCTTAAATTAGCAAAATATGTTTATAAGTCATCTTTAAAACTAAAACACATTACTTTGCTTTGGAACAGTGTTAAATTAACTCAATTTAATGACCATGATAAGTCATATTAACAGTAAGTCCCATTCCATTTGTAGCCTTTGAAGAGTTTCACAAATAAAAAGGGAAAATAAGGTATTAATAAAAACTATAAAATATTTCAATGTATAGTGTCCAAAGAAAGTAGAGGTATAATATGTTGTTCTTAGCCATGAAAAGTTTAAATGAAAATGTTTTAACACTGTTTTAAAAAACACTGATTTGAAAGAAACTGACATCAGTAAAAAACTGGTGCCTTTTGCTAGATTTTCAGGTTAACAGAGTAACTGGTTAGAAAGAGAAGTGCATTATCCCCAATCTAAACCTGCTCATCAGTAGGAAGGGTGAGAGAAGGGGCTATGTTGAAGAAGGAGTTCTATGTAACATGTATAGAATTTTTATTTTTATTCAAGTTGTACATATTTATAGTATAGAAGGTCAAAAGTTTCCTTAAGTCTACATGAAAACTAGCCTTGCCCTACCACTTCCCTACCACAATCCCATTTCTGCTCCCCAGAGACAAAAAACTTCAACCTGCCCATCCTTTTATTTTGATCTTCATTTCATATTCCTAACTAGCATGCTTATAATTCATTTCTTGATTTTTGAATCTTAGATACCTACTAACTTCCTATTGTGGAAATAAAGAAAGTTTCATCTGATTGATAGCCCTCCCAGCTTCCCCACTTATATGTGCACACCTGCCTTCAGTGTCTCATCTTTCTGCCTTAGCTATGTCTTCATTCTCAGTTACATCTGTATCCACTCTTCATGTTACTTTTTATGTATGAATGTTATTCATGAGCTGAGCCATGTAGTTTAACATGATTGTTTTTCTTGTACAACTTTCATTATTTCCTTCAGTTAATAATCACCTTAATTTTGCTCCTCTTAGTTTCCCATAATCATAAATGATACAGTTTGGGTGTCCCCTCCAAATCTCATGTCAAGATGTAATTCCCAGTGTTGGAGGTGGGGCCTAGAGGGAGGTAACTGAATCATGGGGGCAGATTTCTCATGAATGGTTAAGCACCATGCCCTTAGGTGCTGTCTTCACAATAGTGAATGAGTTCTCTTTAAACATGTGTGGCATCTTCCCCCTTGCTCTTTCTTGCCCTGCTCTTGCTCTGTGACCTGCGTGCTCCTGCTTCACCTTCTGCCATGAGTAAAAGCTCCTTGAGGCCTCCCCAGAAGCTGAGCAGATGCAGGCGTTATGCTTGTGCAGCTTGCAGAACCATGAACCAATTAACCCTCTTTGTTTATAAATTACTCAGCCTTCGGTACTTCTTTATAGCAACACAAGAAGAGCCTAAAACACTACATATTGCTTCAAGAGGTTAAAACACATTGGGTATTTATGTATTTTGTCCTCTTGAAGACAGCCTACCTGAAGCTATCTAGCCTGCTTGAATCTAGACTACTTGCCTTCTAGATCATCCGCACAGCTATTGTTGTAGAGCCACATTTCCTCATTCATTCTGTGGCTTTTCTTCTATATTTCTATGTTGATTTCCCTATTTTCTGGATACCAAGGCATCCTGTTTCTGGGTTTTGTTAGATTTTTCAGAGGCTCTCTAAGCAAGGTTATATAATAGGTTCATTTTGAAGCTTTCATGTCTGAAACTCTTTTCTGTTCTCTCATACTTGACTCCTAGTTTGGGAGAATATTTCTAATACGCACAGATTCTAGGTTGAAATAACATTTGAGAATTTTGAAGCCTTTGCCTCACTGTTCCCCTTCTTCCAGGGTGGCTGTTGAGAAGTCATCTGTCATTTTGATACATGATTCCTGTTTCTCTCTCTCTCCCCGCCCCTCTCCTGACCTCCTCTAATCAGCATTTAGAAGTTTCTCCTTCCTCAGATGGTCTGAAATTTTACACGCTGTAGCACAGATCTTTCTTCATACAGTGTTCTAGGCAATTGTTGGGCTCCTTTAATTCAATGCTAGTACCCTTCAGTGCTGGAACATTTTTAAATTATTTCTTTAATAATTTTCTCCCTTCCTTATTCTGTTCTGTCTTTCTAGAATTTCTTTTGTCCAAATTTTTCACCTTCTGGATTCTTTCCTACCTTTCTATCTTTTCTATATTTTATTTCCTTATCTTTCTATACAAATTTCTAGAATATTGCTTCAACTGTACATTCTTATTTTTTATTGAATTTTTCTTTCATTTATCATAATTTTTAATTTTCAAGAGCTCTGTTCTTGTAATATAAATGTATCCTTTTTCTCATTATGATTTCATAAATGCATTTTCTCTTATCATTTTTAAATATTAACAATAGTGTATTAGTACATTTTCATGCTGCTAAAAGAAATGCCAGAGACTGAGTGATTTATAAAGAAAAGAGGTTTATTGACTCACAGTTCTGCATGGCTGCGGGGCCTCAGGAAACTTACAATCATGGCAGAGGTCACCTTTTCAATGGTGGCAGGTGAGAAAATGAGTGCCAGCAGGGGAAATACCAGACGCTTATAAAACCATCAGATCTCATGAGAACTCACTCACTATCATAATAACAGCATGGGGAAAACTGTCCCCATGATTCAATTTCCTCAACCTGGTTCCACTTCTGACATGTGGGGATTATTACAATTCGAGGTGAGATTTGGGTAGGGACACAGAGCCAAATGATATCAGATAGGGTTTCTTTGTTTTTGAGATTTTCTACTTTTTGTATTAACATTGACTTTTAAGTTCTTTTGTAAAGAACTTAAAACACTTTCCAGATTTCAATATGAATATTCACCATCTCCAATATTTCCGGAGATAAAGAGATAGGAGTAACACCTAATCTGAGCCTGCGCCTCAGGCCTCAACAAAGGAAAGACCCCAAGCCAGACAACAGGTTCTGAGACAGGAACAGGAATCACATACGCTGTAAACACCACACCGTGGGGATCTTTCCTGCCTCTGCAGGAACAATGCGACAAGAACTGTAAGAAAGCAACTGGATTAATGAACAGTCTGAGGCTGGAATCAAACTCCAGTCCCTGAGGTGAGAGTAGCACAAGAGAGTTAACATGAAGATTACAAGAGACAAAAATAGATCTGCAAACACATGGAATGCCTAAGTGCAATCATGAGGAGTTTCAATGGAGATTACAAAAATGGGGCATTCCCTCAAGCTGAAATTACTAAACTCCGTATTCAGCCACTTTGCAACTGTGTCAATAATGTAGAGCATCTCTTGACTAAGTTATGCCCAGGTGTGTTAGTCTGTTCTAATGCTGCTAATAAAGACATACCTGAGACTGTGTAATTTACAAAGGAAAGAGGTTTAACTGACTCA
Source organism: Homo sapiens (assembly GCF_000001405.40). NCBI lineage: Eukaryota > Metazoa > Chordata > Mammalia > Primates > Hominidae > Homo > Homo sapiens. The sequence continues at coordinate 173,829,661 of NC_000004.12, read as the reverse complement.
TAGTTCCACATCGCTGAGTAGGCCTCACAATCATGGCAGAAGACGAAGGAAATGCAAAGAGACATCTTACATGGCAGCCGGCAAAGAGAGAGCTTGTGCAAAGGAACTCCTGTTTATAATACCATCAGATCTCTTGAGACTTATTCACTACAACATGAACAGTATGGGGGAACCACCCTCATGACTTAATTATCTCCTACTGAGTCCCTCCCACAACACGTGAGAATTATGGGTGCCACAATTCAAGATGATATTTGGGTGGGGACACAGCCAAACCATATCACCAGGCATCCAGTTACATTTCTGTCTGGACACATTTTACACTGGATTGGCATAGTCAAATAATTAGTACACCAGGACACATGTAACCACTACCATCTATCCAAGAAGTTTATGATATTCCAGGTATACTTCTGGGTGTGCAATTTGCCACCAAATCTGCTCTTGGTGACCATTGTGGAGTATCAGAGTTGAGAATGCCATTTCAAGTGACCTCAATTATGTTATGCTACAAGCCATCCTCGAGATCTCATAATTAACTGAATTTTTTTGGGGAAAAGGAGTAATTATATAACTCTTTTTCCTTGTGATTTAATTTCACCATAGGCATGCTAAGCATTTCATTGGAAGGGATGGGTCCACCAAGGTTTACCTTCATTAATATCTCCTTTGTTCAAAAATAAAAATTCTAGTTTTTCACTAAGTACATATGAATAAGAAAGTAAATTTCATAAATCCTTCAGGATTTAAAAACTATGCACTCAGAAGGCACTGATTATCAGACTTCAGTGTATATAACAAGTAGCTGGAGAGACAGTGTTAAATGCAGAATTCCAAGCCCCATCTCCAGAGATTCTGGTACAGTAGATCTGGGGTAGGGTCCAAGAATGTCCATTTTTAATAATTATCCCAGGTGATCCTGATACAGATGATCCAAGAGTGCTCCATGAGAAACACTACCGACTAATGAAAAGACAGCTATGTCTTGGACATGTTACAGCCTGATGACTATAGTCTACTATTCCTCTATAGGGTCCTTCCATGATCATTGGAAAACTGAGCAAGGCAGCTGTGTGGAAATTGTCGTATACCCTGTTCTAGGAAAAATGAATGATCCCCTTTCCCTCTGCCCTACAGAGATCTATTTTCTCAAAATGGACTAAGATCTCTTCTTTGAAAATAAAATTGGTGATTTTATTAATATCCTTATTGTATCATAATTCCATAACTAATGAAAATGACCTGAGAACTTTATGAAGCATGATGGTGAAAAAGGAAATTAGGTCCATTGATGTTTTCAACAGATTCCACTTTCTACTTTGCATCCTGTCTTAGAGTTGAACTTTGGTGGCTAAATGTCCTGAACTTCAAAGAAAATCCTAGCTCTTAAAGGCTCAACGTTTTCAGGGTCATCACTAATGGCTACTGTTATCATTGCTGATGTGAACTTATGAACTACTAAATAAGCTTGACATAATTCATATTAATCAAGATGTCAGATAGGAGCACTTATCCTATCTCCCATTTGACTTATGTGTCTCATACGTTCTTCCCTTATGAATGGTGCCATCATATCAGTTGAACATTGAACTGCAGCTTAAAGTCAAGTGGTTAAATCAATTAAAGCTATCCTTCGATGTTTAAGAATACAGTGGTCAAATTATCACCTAGAAACTAGTGTATCATAGTAGGAAAGCTGACACGACCAGGAGTCCATAGAGGATCATATTAAAAACAAACAGAAGGGGGCAGGAAAGAGAATGAAAGATGGGAAACACAATATAAGGTACTGTGAAGGCAGAACAGAAGGGAGTGTAGGTAAATTACTGACTTGGGAAGATATGGTGCATGGTATTTAGTAGTTGTTCAATGTATTTTTGTGGAATTTAAAAAAATCACAAAATTTTCTTAAGGCTTTCTTAAGAGGCAGCTAAGAAAACAGGCAAATGACTCTATTAACAGAATTTTTTAAAAGAAGGTAAGCTGAAAGGAAATCTGGTAGACCTAAATGTAGACCCACAGAAATTACAACTATGCCCAAAGAAATTTAATGTATGTTATTTTCTATTTATTTCATTGTACTTTTGTTCCCAAAGGACTTAACATATTTATAACCAATAGAGGCTGTATTTCTAATGCCTAATAAGAAGAAGTGATTAAAGAGAAAGCAAGAGAGTGGCACGGAAAAGAGCGTACATTCTTGTACAGCAAACCAAATTTAGATTGATCTCATCTTGGAGAACAGTTTTAAATACCAACAAAGCAGAATACAATTTATCATGAATCTAATGAAGCTTAAGCTTCAGAGCCCCTCACTTGAATAGGTTCTTTCCAAGCCCTTTTTCTTAAGGAGACACTTCAAAATTGTGTAAGCTCTATTACCCAGACATGTATATCTGTTTTACATGTATAACTGATTATGGAAATGGCAAAGCTGACCAAACTAGATATGAACACTCTAGTACAAAAACGCAAAGTAAGTTCTAATGCTTTTGAAATATAGTGAAAACTAGTCTGTGGCTACCAAAATAAAATTTCCTGCTGTGAAGCTATTGCTTAACTTATCCATATTAGTTGTTTCAGGCTTTGCAAGTTAATTCTGAAAAAAAAAAAATTCAAATTACTTCAAATGTTTTCCCTATACTTTTCAAATGTAACATTTTAGGGAGTGAAGCAAATGGTAGTGTACCTATACATACAAGAGGAAAACCTTCAGATCATCTCTATACTTTGCTTTTATAATAATGATATTAATAAAAATAAGATAACTAACAATTATCATAGGATTACTACATGCCAATCGCTATGCTAAACTACTTCACATGTATTACTTTATTCAATCTAATTTTTTAAAGTTATGCTTTACCTTACTTTGTTTTTATAATAATGATATTAATAAAAATAATAAGATAACTAACAATTATTGCAGACTTACTATGTGCCAATCACTATTTGAAACTACTTCGCATGTATTGCTTTATTCAATCTATTTTTTTTTAAGTTATACTTTACCTTAAGAAGACAAATGCCACAACACTATCAAAAATGGTTCTGTCTCTATATTCTACCTGTCACTAATGTCAATCAATTAGTAGACCATGAACAACTTAAGGGCAGTGTGGTCTTATTCATATTTGTAATTTTCAGCAGCAGCAAGAAATAAGAATGTGAATAACTGAATGGTTAAATTTATTACTGTAATTGTGCTGCTTATCCTCTACCCAGTTAATATTGGATACTGTGGAATACATAGAATTATAAAATATTCCTTTTTTATTGTGTGATTTTGTGTAAAATAATCTGGAATAAATGAAACTTATAGCACTGTAGCAAGCAAAAACACTGTGGTACAAACCCTCTTTATTCAGTGATCATTTTGTATTTTTAAAAATATAATTTTTAGGTCTGATAAAATATAACTTTTAATACTATATCAGTAAGCAAAGATAGAACCAAATAATTACTGAATAGAAATGTTTGTTGAAAACAACATGAACCATAGATGACTTTGAAAGTATTATATCAAGTCAAATAATTAAAATTATGTATAAAATTATGATTAATAGATACAGATGATATTGCTAATCTCAGATCACAAGATTGCACATGGGGACAAAACTCGTGACTGGCATCTACTTCACTTTGTAAGCCTAATTTGGATTTCTTCTTAATATTGCTTGACTTTTAAAATAATAATAATAAAATACATAAAGAAGGAGAATATGATAGAATGAAAATTTTCAAAATAGTTAAAAATATGGCAAAGTCAGACATTAGAATTAAACAGTCCCAGCATCTTGTCTCAACCTTAATAGCCATACGCAAGTTTATTTCAAATTCTCCAAGTCTCCATTTTTTCACCAAAGTAATTTTAATTATTTCTTACTTCCTAGCAAATAAATCATAAATTCAAAGCAGATCACTGGAGAGGGATAGATGGACCTTTTCTGCTTCTCTTAGATACTAACTGTAGATCATTATATTGTGTCATATTGTATACCTTTTTCATCAGATTGTTTCATTTCAGCTGCTATTACAGCTGTTTTAAAGTCCTTGTCTGCTGATACCAACATCTGGCTATCTATGGATTAGTTTTGTTGGCTATTTGTTCTTTTGATTACGCATCATATTTTCCTGACTCTTCAGGTGTCTTGTAATATTTTATTGTTTGCTGGACATTATGCATAAAATAAAAAAAGGAGACAAGTAAATAAATGATCTTTACCTCCAGGAAAGGGAGCATCCCTTTCTCTGTCAGTCCTCTACTCTGGGATGGTGCAGGGTGTAGGGTGGGAAGTGACAGTCAATCCAATCCATAGTTGAGATGGTTCTGGGCTTTGTTGCAGCTTTAGTTAGCTCCAGTTTACCACTGGTTTCATCTTTTCCATAGGACTTGAGATCTAAGCACCAGTGACACATTAAGACCTCTCTGTGTCTTATAGCCCAATCCTTAGCTTTCCAAATGGCATGAGGTTGCATCCTGCCGCCCTGTCCTCTTTCATTGGGATGCTATTATGTACTCAGGGAAAGTATGGTGCACCAGGTGTGGTCTGGGGGCACCTGTTTGAGCCTTTTGCCCTGTGTCAGTCTTTGGCTCTTTAGTTGTGTGCTCTCAGTAAAAGTCCTGGGGGAAAGAGATGGCAGGTGGGTGTAGACTCACTGTAGGAGGATGCTCCTTGGCGATCTCATCTACCACACCAGCCCACGGGTGGCTATTAAGAGTTCATTAAAAATGGAGCTGGTTTCCACTTACCCCAATCTGTGGCATATCGGCTCTGTATTTATAATGCCCCCAGGGATAAAAACAACTGGGTCGCATCTCTCTTGGAAAGGTCTATGACTTTCTAGAATTTAGTTTATTTCTGTTTCATTTTATCTTCAGCACTCTGGTAAGTTTTGAAAAACTATGGTTTTGTAGCACATCTGGTTTGTTCTTATTGTTAGTCAATGGCTATTTATTAAGAGGCTGGAATGTTGCAGGTAAAATCGGACTTCCACTGACTTCTCCAAGTCTTCCATTCACTGTTCCCTCTCTGGAACTTCCTAGCCCTTGTCATCCTTATCCACTATTCAGTCTTAAAATATTTCCCATCCATTCCCCCTCACTGTGCCATCTCTTCAACAGGAATTGGCATCTAAGTACCAGTGAGACACTGAGACCTCTCTGTGCCCTATGGCTCAATCCTTAGCTTTCCAAACGGCGTGGGGTTGATCTCCATCCTACTGCCCTGTCCTCTTTCAGTGGGATGCTATTATGTACTTGGGGAAAGTTCGGTGCACCAGGTACGGGCTGGGGGCACCTGTTTGAGCCCCTTGCCCTGTCTCAGTCTTTGATTCAAAGTCTTACACAAAGCCAATCTGTCCAGCAAGGTGTGCTGAGAATCATCACTGTCCACAGGCACTTTCCCTGATCTCACACACCGATACCAGTGTCATGTGCCAGGAGAACACCACTCTGCATAGAGCAGCACTGCCTTACTATTAACATAAAAAATGCATACATCTGATCTTTCCAACAAGACCTAAGCCATGTGAAGTCAGGGACCATCTTGTGTCAGCTCTCTGTCTCAAAACATTTAGCAAAATGCCTTGCACAAATACATGCTGATTGAATCCTCAGAGAATCAACATCTCCAAATGTTCCTTCCCACTTGACCAAATCCTAGGCTCCCATTTCTTGGACTTACTTATTTTCACAGAAGATGGCCAGTCCTATTCCCTATGCATCAAAGTTTCTATTGCGACCTGTTGATTAGGAAAAACAAACTGTTTTTCTTTACTCACTCTACTCTCACACAACATTTCAGATCTCTGGATGTGTGAGGAGGGTTTCCACAATAATTCAGCTCGGTTCTCTGGCAGACACCAATTGGCTATCCCATAATTAAATTCAATTCTGACCCTATATACTTAAGGTTAGCATCTGATCCCACAGGTTACAGGCTAGCCCCACAAGACTGCCCAACTTCAGATGCCAATCGCAAGTGCAGGTTAACACCTGTGCTTCTGACTGAGTGGCGATACATCAGACGCTCCCACGGCCTCTTCCTAGGGTTTGATCATTTGCTTGAATGGCCCACAGAACCAGGAAAAGAGTTTGTTTACTAAATTACTGGTTTGTTAAAAAAAGGATACAACTTGGAAACAGCCAGCTAGAAAGATGTGTAGAGTAAGGTACATGAAAGAGGATGTGGAGCTTCCATGATCTCTCCAGATGCGCCGTCCTCCCAGAGCCTCTGCATGTTTAGCAACCCAGAAGCTCTCCAAACCCCGTTTCTGGGGGGTTTGACATAGGCTTCATTATCTAGGCATGGCTGATGAAATTACTGGCCAGTAGTAACTAGCTCAGTCTGCAGCCCCTCTCTTTTCCCCAAGTTCTAACCACAGGGTTGGTCCCCTTGTCAATCATCTCCCCATCAAGTGATGGGGGTTTCTGAAATCACCTTATTCACATAATCTCAGTTGTGGTTGAAATGGACTTGTTATGAATAACAAAACGCACTCCTTTCACTTTTATTGCTCTAGAGCTTTGCAGGAGTTGAAGGCAAAAGGCCAAATTTTATAACAAAAAAATACCCCCACCACTCCCATTACTCATGAAATTATAAGAGTTCTAGGAACTCTGTGCTAGGAATGGGGATGAAGACCGAATACATATTTCCTATGACAAATCACAATATCACACTGCTTTTCAGGTTAACATGGCAGAGTGATGACGTACAGCAGGTTGAAACTGGCCTTTCTCTGGTGTGTGGGCCTCAACACTCACAGGAGTCCTCTGGACATGATCCCTCCAGTCTAGCTGAGTACATCTGAATAGCACATAGATTGATGCACATATCAGGAAAAGTACAAGAAAATTCACAAGACATTTCTAAGGAACATATTTACAGCTCTTGTGGCTGTACAATTAGAAGTCTGCTGGAAATCATATATCTACCTCATTGCAGGTAGAATACAGACTACGTTAATAAGCTAACACTTCTGCTGTCTTAGAAATAATTTGAAGGGCACAAAGATAGACCTTCTAAACCTCAAAATAACAAGTAAAGCAGGTGAATGCATAAAAAGCATCATATAGCTACCACCTTCAGAGGAAAAAAGGGAATGAGAATTGGAGGTGTAATCCTTCACACATCCTTAGGAAAAGACACAGTCATGTTTTTTTAAATCATACGATCTATAAAAACTAACTTCAAAAATATACAGTTAATAATTGAGGCTCAGATCTATGAAAAAGCTGGGAAAGCAAGTGGCTTTCATTATTTCCAGCAGACTCTATGTGCTTTAGGATTAAAGAAATTGATTCCAATTCAGTTAGGTGCCCCGACAAGCATAAATGGTAAGTCACCCTGTATGTGTTGCTAAATTTTCTAATTCTGCATTTAATAGTGGGAACTTGCATGGTGTGTCTTATAGATTTGTACCAATTTTTTTCTAAAAGAATTTTAGGTATGTTGAAGAATTCCTGCTATTTCACCGAAAAAGCCAGCCACATGGTCATTAAAATTTTCTGTGGCATTTAAACTTAATATGACTAAGACTTGGTTATAAAATAAAATAACACTCCATATTGGGAAACCTTTTAAAAAGCTGAATGAACCTTTTTATTCTACATACATCAGACCCTTAATGGCTTTTCAACAGTTTAGGCCATTTTGTGAAATTGCCACAGCTGCTTCACATTAGCAGAGAGGTTTTGTTATAAAGGATCGAGTACAAGTTGCTAAGTCAAACTCCATAGCCCCTAAGTCGATTTTGTTATTCCTTGTGGGTCTTATGGTTTGTTTTGTTTTCTACTTAATGAAGACTTTCCAGGAGTATTCTAAAGTAAAAACAAAAAGAAATCTACATTATGTTCTCTTTGATGAAAGTACCCAAACAATTCAATTCAATTATTTATTGAGTGTCTAATCATAGCTGGCAATAGTCCTATTAAAATATCAAAATATATCCTCAGAACTTCTGAAATCCCAGCTTGTCATTTCCCTGAAGTTGTAGAAACAAGAAAAATACTCCAGGATAAATACATTGTTTTGTAAACGAGAAAATTTAATATTGAATATAGCTCTTGTTTTCAATTTTAACCTCAGAATTAGAAAAAATACTTGAGCAAAACTAGTTTTGTTATTAGTATTCAGAGCACTGCTTTGAACTGGATCCATAGTAACTATGAACTGGACCACTTAACAAGTAGAAAACTTAAGGAATCCCTTGCTACTTTTTTTGTAGACCACATAGCATTTTACATGCAAAGCCAAGGAAAACGCTTACAATGGCTTAATATGGGCTTAATAAGACCTACAAGGTCTTGTTATTTCTTCATGCAGAAAAAGCTCCCTACTTTTAACACAGATCACTTTGATTTAAAATTATTTCAATCATTGGGGAAAAAAGTTAATAAATCAATTTTAGTAATGTGACTAAGTCCTGACTCAGATATGTCCTTAAATAAGTAAATAAACTTGTGGTTCTAAAGTGTTGTAATTCCTGAGAAAGCAGAAATTTGTTTAAATCTATGTGCCCTCAGTTTGGGAGCAGGATGGGAAATGGCTCCTGGTAACTATAAAGTAGCCAAATGAGTTCTTTTTTTTCTTCCTGTAGAATTTAATTCATTGGTCTACATTGATAATATTACCTAAACCTAACTACCTAATCTCTTTTTAATTTTGTATTTTCACTCAAAAAAAAAGACTACAGTTCAGAATATTTTCATAATTGGCAAATTATGAAATTATGGCCAACAATTTAAGATTACATATTTCACACATGAATCTCAAAAGACTTTCACTAGCATTAACTGATTTTTCTACTGGCCACTGGAATAAGAAAATAGAGTGAGTACTCAAGAAATATTTGCAGGGTTTGTTTGTTCGTTCGGAGATGGAGTCTTGCTCTGTCACCCAGGCTGGAGTGCAATGGAGTAGTATAGGCTCACTGTAAACTCCGCCTCCAGGTTCAAGCGATTCTCCTGGCTCAGCCTCCCAAGTAGCTGGGATTACAGGTGCACACCACCACACCCCGCTAATTTTTGTATTTTCAGTAGAGATATGGTTTCACCACGTTGGCCAGGCTGGTCTCAAACCCCTGACCTCCTGATTCACCCGCCTTGGCCTCCCAAAGTGCTGGGATTACAGCTCTGAGCCACCACACCCGGCCATAATTGCAGGTTTAATGTCTGTTTTATGCGTAGTAAAATGACTTTGTTTTTATCTATTAAAAAAATCAAGTTGGGAATAATTTAATGAGTGTTTGGGATTATCTAAACCTATAACTTAGATCCAGCACATGACCAAACATATCAACAATTACAAAATGTAATGGAGGAGGTGAAGGTGATGAGAGAAAGAAAATAAATGAAGAAAAAAGGAAAGAATGGACAAAAGGCAGGATGGAAGGAAGGGCAGGAAGGAGAGAGAGAGGGTTGGAGGGAGGGAGGGAGGGACGGAGGGACGGAGGGAGGGAGGGAAAGAAGGAGGAAATTGATTCTGAAATTATAGGCTCCCAGTAGACATTGTCTCAGAAAGGCAAGAAGCTTATAGTTTCCTACATTTAGGTATGACTAGTTACAATTTCCCACCTTTGCCTATTATTTAATTATACGTTAAAAATATACTCTATAACATCTATAATGATATCATTACATTAATATACATAAATTCAGCATCCTTTCTTTCCTCTAACATTTATACAGGTGGGCAAGGAAAAGGTAATATGTATATAAAACCCAACATTCCTCAAAGTAAAATTTGAAAAGATTTTTTTTATTTTGGTTATCTGCTATTTTAAACCATAACAGTATAATTCTATTTTTTAAAAATTGCTATAAGTCAATTCTAAGTTTGGCTATTCAATTGTATAAACGTAAGTGCTTTCTGAAGTCTTGTTAAAGATTTGACTAGAAAACACTTTTTGCTGAGGATGAAGCTGGAAGCCATCATCCTCACAAACTAAGACAGGAACAGAAAATCAAACACTGCATGTTCTCACTCATAAGTGGGAGTTTTGAACATTGAGAACACATGGACACAGAGAGGGGAACATCACACACCAGGGCCTGTGGGGGGGGCGGGGAGGTTAGGGGAGGGAACTCAGAGGACAGGTCAATAGGTGCAGCAAACCACATGGCACACGTGTACCTATGTAACAAACCTGCACTCTCTGCAGGTGGATTCTGTTTTTTATTTTTTTGTAGAAGAAATAAAGAAAAAAAAAGGAAAATTTTTTTGCTACTAAAAATTCTCATATTTGATACATTTAAACAAAAAAGTGTGTATTGGGTCTCCAGAGAAACGGAACCAGTAGGATATATACTTGTTTCTTGGTATCTGCAAGGGATTGGTTCCAGGACTGCCCTGTGGATCCCCAAATCCTGGGATGCTTAAGTCCTTTATATAAAATGATGTGGTATTTGCATATAACCTACACATATCCTCCTATATTCTTTAAATCATCTCTAGATTACTTATAATAACTAATACAATGTACCTGCTGTGTAACAATGTTATACTTTATTGTTTTGTGTTATTTTGTATTGATATATTGTTATTTTTTATTTTTTTGAAAATTTTTGATCTTCAGTTGGCTGAATCTGCAGATACAGAACCCATGGATGGGAGGGCGGGTTGTGTACAGATATATAGAAAGAGATTTATTATGAGGACTTGACTCATGAAAGTATAGAGGCTGAGAAGTCCCAGGATCTGTCATCTGCAAACTGGAGGCCCAGTTCCATTCTAAGCCCAAAGGTCCATGGACAAAGAGCACCTGGGTTTGAGGTCAGGAGAAGGTGGATAGTCCAGCTAAAACACAGAGAGCTGGCCCTTCCTCAGTCTTTTTGTTCTGTTTGGGTCCTCAATGGATTAGGTGATGTCCAGTCACACTGGGGAGAGCCATTTGCTTTACTCAGTTCACCAATTCAAATGCTAATCTCTCTGGAAACACCTTCACAGACATGCCCAGAAATAATGTATCGGCAGCTGTCTGAGTATTGTCCAGCCCAGTCAAGCGGACACATTAAAACTACCACTGACTGTGAATTAAATTAGTACATATGTGTATCTGCAATATCATAGTGTGACAATTTTTTGTCAGTAGAATACTTATGTTTGTTGTCTACAAATAAATTATCATAGAACACAATTTCTAGAATCATATTGTTTTAAATTACAAAGACTATATAGAAATTTTATATATTTTGGGGGTTTGATTTTTATTTTTCTTTGTGATATGTGTTGAAATTATCCTTAAGCAAAATACAGACATATAATGATCTTTTCAGTCATGCCAAAACTTAAAAAATAGAAAAAACAAAAGAGCTCCTCTCTGTGATCACATCTATTAAGAAGAGGTTTCTTGGAACATTTCAATCAAAATTAATCAATATTAATAGTCTCAGAGCTGAGTCATTGAGAAACTGAAGCCAAATGTTAATTTAAAAAATGCCTAATGATAATTAAAACCTAATTAAGCATAGAAATTTTGTCATTATAAACAAAGGCTATTTTAGTCCTGCAAAGATTAGTTATATTTGTAGTAATTGGCAAGCATATTGTTCATTTTATAAATGTAATATTTAATAAGTAATTATTGTGATAAGCAGAAACAGTTTGTACTCTCCAGATGTTCAATATGCAGAGACCAGTATATTTCATTATTTATGAGGTTATTTTTTGTGCTGTTACCAGTACTATCTTTTCTATTCACTTTTCATTTCTTTAAATAATAAACGGGTAGTGATATTATCAATTCGATGATTTTTTTTGCCATTTGTAAGGAGAATTTAGAGATGGAAAGGGAAATCATTTGTAATGCAAACAGGCCTGCATTATCAAAGCATTCTCAGCATAAGAATAAATAAATATAAAAGGAGAAAAGGGAAGAAGGAGAGAAGGAGATTGCCTTGAATTAAGCATCCACTGTGTGTCAGAGATGAAACTGTCTCTTTGCAAAATAAATTATGAATCACATAATAAAATTTGACTTTTGTATCCACTTGTACTTTTTGTACTTTTACTTTTTCTAAGACCTACAAATGTGACTCTTACAAATAAATGTAATATTTATCGTTAACATGAAAGCTTTAAATTGTTTAAAATATTTTGTTATACATATAGTAAAGTATGTACATCTTAAGTGTGTAACACAATGACATATATAAAATAGTTTTACATATATATCTCAGATATAAATAGTGACATACACAGGTATATATCTTTACCAGTATTCAGAAAAAGGAAGAGATCATTTCCAACACCCCAGAAGGTACCTCATGCTTCCCAAGGTCAGTAACCCCCAGCGGGAGCCATTTTTCTGATTTCTATCATCACCGATTGTTTTTATGCTTACTATCATAGTTTATATAAAAGGAATCATAAAGTAGGTATTCTTTTGATTTTAGTTTATTTTTTATTTTTAAAAAAATATATAACCATAATTTAGTAGTCTCTAATATATTCATAAATGTGTGCAGGCATGAACCACTACCTAATACCAGAATATTTTTATTACCCAAAAAGATCCCGGTACCTTTTAGTAGTTAATTCTCATTATCTCCTTCCCCCAGCACCTAACAACCCCTAATCTATTTTGTCTCTATAGATTTGCCCATTCTAGACAATTCGTGTAAATGTTATCATACAATATGTAGCCTCTTGTGCCTGGCTTCTTTAATTTTGCATAATGTATTCAAGGTTCATCCACGCTGTAGCATGTATCAGTATTTCATTCCTTTTTATGACTGAATGGTATTTCATTGCATGAAGAAAATATATTTTGTTTATCCATTCCTTTGTTGATAAGCATTTGGGTTGTTTACACTTTTTGGCTATTATGAATAATGCTGCTATGAACATTTGTGGTACAAGTTTTTACGAAGACGTATGTTTTCAATTTTTTCTTGGGTAGAATTCTACCTAGGAGTAGAATTCTTGAGTCTTATGGTAAGTCTGTGTTTACTTTTTGAGGAATGCCAAATTGTTTCCTGAAATTACTGTTCCATTTTATATTCCTACCAGCAATAATAGAGGGTTTCAATTTCTTCCCATTCTCATCAATACGTTATTGTCTGTCTTTTTTATTATAGCCATTGAGTGAGTGTGAAGTGATAACTCATTGTGGTTTTTGGTTTTTATTTCCCTAATAACTAACAATTTTGAGCACCTTTTTAATGTGCCTATTAGCCATTTGTATATCTTCTTCAGAGATATATCTATTTAAATTTGTTGCCATTTTTATTTGTCTAACCCAAGGTCATCAAGAGTCACTCCTATGCTTTCCTCTAGAAGTGTCAGGGTTTTTAGCGGTTACATTCCTATCTATCACTCATTCTGAGTGAATTCTTATATACAGTGCAAGGCAGGGGTTTAATTTTATTCTTTTGCGTACATAGATCTAGTTGTTCCACAACAATTTGTTTATTTTTCTATTCTTCCCTCCCCTTTGTTGATCTATATGTCTATTCTTATGTTAGCATCATACTCTTAATCACTGTAACTTTGTAGTAAATTTTGAAATCAGGAAGTGTAAATTCCCCAAATTTGTTTCTCTTTTACAAGATTGTTTTTGCCAATTTGGGGTCCCTTGCATTTCTGTATAAAGTTGTCAGCCAATATTTTGATAGCGTTTAGGTTGAATCTGTAGATTAATTCGGGGAGCATTGCCATCTTAACAATATTATCTTCTAGTCCTTAAATATAGATGCTTTCTATTTGTTTATGTCTTCTTTAATTTCTTTTAATGATGATTTATGTTTCAGCATGGAAGTCTTTCATTTATTTTGTTAAAGTTATTTCTAAAAATTTTATTGCTTTTTATGCTATTATAAATGAAATTGTTTTCTCAATTTTATTTTTGGATAGTTTATTGCTGGTATATAGAAATATTGACTTCTGTATATTGATCTTATTTACTAAGATCAATATAGCAACTTTGCTAAACTGGTTTATTAGTTATAATAGGTTTTTATAGTCAATTTCTTGGGATTTTCTGTATACAAGATCATGTCATCTACAAAGAGAGATGGTTTAACGTTTTCTTTGCATCTGATAAGATGTATTTCTTTTCCTTGACTAATTTCCTGGCTAGAACTGCCAGTAAAATATTGAATAGAAGTAATAATAGTAGTCATTCTTGTTTTGAGTTCTGCTTTTGGGGGAAAGCAACCAGTCTTTAACCACTAAATATAGTGTTAGCTGAGGGATTTTTGTACATAATTTTTATCAAGTCAAGTTCCCTTCTACTACTCTGAGTTTGTTAAGTGTTTTTTTGTTAATCATGAAATGATACCAGATTTTGTGAAATGATTTTTTACATATTAAAATTATCATGTGTTCGTGTTCTTTATTCTGTTAATGTAGTGTTATTACATTGATTGATCTTCACATGTTCAACCAACTTTGCATTGTTGAGATAAATCTCACATGCTCATGATATGTATTCTTTTTTCAATGTTTCTGGACTCGGTTTGCTATTATTTTATTGAGGACTTTGAGAACCAGTTATTGGTTTCATTAATTTTCTCTATTTTTTAACTCTCTATTTCATTTGTTTCGACCCTAATCTTTAACATATCCTCTCTTTTGCTTGCTTTGAGTTTAGTTCTCTCTTCTTTTTTTACTTTCTCAAAATGAAAGTTTTGGTTATTGATTTAAGATCTTTCTTTTTTAATCCAGACGTTTACAGCTCTAAGTTTTCCTGTAAGCACTGATTCAGTTGCATTCTATAAAGTTTAGTATACAGTGAGCCCTGAAACAACACAAGTGTTAGGGGTGCCAACCCCCTGCGCAGTAAAAATTCATGTGTAAGTTTGACTACCTGAAAACTTAACTACTAATGGCCTACTGTTGACCAGAAGCCTTACCGATAACATAAACCATTCATTAACACATATTTTATGTTATGTGTATTATGTACTGTATTCTTACAATAAAGTAAGCTAGAGAAAAGAAAATATTATTAAATTGTAAGAAAGAGAAAATATATTCACTATTCATTAAGTGTCAGTGGATCATCATAAAGGTCTTCATCCTTGTCGCTTGCACATTGAGTAGGTTGAAGAGAAGGAGGAAGAGAAGGGGTTGGTCTTGCTGTCTCAGGGGTGACGGCAGCACAGGAAACTCTGTGTCTAAGTGGACCCATGCAGTTTAAACGCGTATTGTTTAAGGATCAACTGTATTGTGTTTTTTGTTTTCATTTATCTCAAATGAATTGTTTTTAATTTGCTAATTCCTCTTGTGATTTCTTCTTTAATATGCACTCTTTTGTTTCTGGTTGCTTTGTTCATCACTATGTCTGGTGAGATTTATATAAGTTGCTGCTTATAACAACAGTTTATTATTTTTATAGGTATTTCATATTGTTTAATGAGTATATTGCAATTATCCATTTTACTGTTGAAGGCACTGGTTTTTTTTTTCAATTTTTCTCTTTTAAGTAAAATTCCCATGTGTTTTGGTGTACAAACAAAGCCATTTGTCTTGGATATATTTTTCAGAGTGAAAATACTCAAGTTAAGCTTAGTTCTAATGCAATGTCATGAGTCTATGATTCCTATTGTGGAACTCAATAGATTGAATTCTAAGTAAAAAAGAAGTCATACGAGTTGCTGTACATAAAGTAGTTGGAAGGTTTTATCTAAATGCTTCTACTTTACTTGCTTAATATTTTGGGGGCATAATGCAATTAAGTTTTTATATGTATGTGTAATTGGTCTGCTCTTGTGAGAGTTTTGGGTGGGTCTTTATTCTTAGAGTTTTCATTTTTTCATTATGTTCAACTATTTTAAATAGTCAAATTAACTTTATAAACTTAAAAGTGAGCAGTGCAATACATGCTTTTAAGTTTGATGCTAGATTGAAAGAAAGTGAAGAAAGGAGCTTGGGTTAACAGATAGATGCTGGTTTTATTTTTAATCATTGTCCATCTGACATGATAAAATATTAATAGACTTATGGGATAAATATTCAGAGTAGTAAAAAATATTAGAACAAGAGTGCAATATCAATAAACATAACAAGTTTGATATATGAGGTAATTGGATCTTATGTTTACATAAAAGCAACAGCAATATATCAAAGATATATCTTCAAACATACTTATAGAAAGCATATATGTGAAAATATGAATTTAACACTCACTTTGCCCTGAAGACCAAGGTGCACTTTAAATGTAATGAGTTGGGAGCAAGAAAAGTTCTAGTTTCCTATGTTTTCCTGTTGAAAATAATATGAATGTGAGTGAAAGTTTCAAGTTTCAGTGTATCTGAAAGTTCATTTAGGTTCCACTACAAAGTAAGCAGATCTCTAGAGATGAGAGCTGATAGAAGGAAGCATACAATTAAGGCTACCCCTAAGTTATCTTAATGATTGCAACTTTTTTTCAGAAGCAACCCTTCAGGAAAAGTCTCTATCTAATCACAAAATCCAAATGGTCTCTTTTCTTGTACTCTTTTCTTCGTGACCAGGAGTGTGTGTGGGAAAATAACCAAAGTGTTCCTAGGAAGCAGATCACTTAGTAGAGAAAAATAAGTCTTTTCAGGCTACCTTCATATTCTTACACTCTCTTGTTTCCTTTAGGATTATTTTGAAGACACGTCTCACACATTCATTAAGAAGTAATATACTTAATGTTTTACTTTGCATTTGTTAATAATTTTAGTGTTTCCCTTAAAAAGACTTTTGAAATTTGCCCTGGATTGCAGCTCATTATTTGGTAATTACGACTGAATAAATTGTATTCCAGTCTTCACTAATTTCATTGGGTTTTCTACTATAAATGTATTTTCTGGAAAAAAAAATGTAGAATAAATGAAAAAAAGAAAGCAACCCAGGGAAGACAGAAATTTTAAATTTACCTAAAGGCAGACCAGCAAGGGTAGCTTTCTAAAACCTTCTTCTCTCAGCCATGGCACAGAGTCTTTATGAGGACATGATATAAAAATGCAGTTCACGATCAACAAGTCTTAATAGTAGTTCTGTTCTTAAGAGGGGTAAATGAATAGACTTTGAGATACACAATTTTTTTTTATTAATTGCCTATTACATAGATAACAAATTTTGTTAAAACATTTATTCTTAAATCCAATAATGTTTCATCTAACCAAGTATGAGATGATAAGACACATCATCATTGTTGTTGCCATGTATTTTATTATAACCTTCTCTGTAATTATCAACAATGGCATTTGTTTATATCATTAGAAAATATTAGAGAAAATAAAAGTAATAAATATATTAATAATAATAAGCATTGGTTTTTATTGCCAATATCTGTGTGTTTTTAGAGTGTTAATGTTTATGCCAGGAGAAGCCTGGTCAGGCTGTATTTCATTTCTATTAAAATATTTAATATTTTATTTCATTTCTACTAAAATAAGGCTTATTTTGAAAGTGTGTTACTTTTCCAAATTTAGATTTTCTTCAACCTAAAGCCTCATTTTGAAGCATCCTAAATATTTTCTGAATATTATTGCAAAGAACAACAAAAAAAGTATACCCAATTAAGTAAGACTTTGCTGAAGCCTGATAGTAACTTGTCTGATAGCATATTAATAAATAGCAAATGTGCTCTGGAAGTCCAAGCCAAACTGGGCTTAGAGCAGAAGAAGCAATTTTAAGTTATAACTTTGCCAAATAATATCATCCAGAAAATTAATTCTTATAATTGTGCACAAATCATAATTTATTTTGCTTCTAAACATCCTGTTCAAAGAAGTTTGTAGAAGCTCAGAGTTGAAAAGCACCAGAGAGTTCATACAGTCCAGTTACCACTTAACACTGGAGAAGCAGTTATCCAATCTTGGTTCCCACACTTGTGGCAATGGAGAGCTTACTATTTATTATCAATTGATAATTTTAGAAACATTTTTCTTATATTAATTTCTTATTAATAAATTTATTACTGTATTCTCATACATATTAAGGGCAATCTCCTTGTAATTTACTCTCTTTGATATTGTTTCTGCTATCTAGAATATTAACAAAAACAACCACAGGAACTCTCACTACCACTTGCTGAGGACTCCATATGAGCCGGGCATGACAACAGGCGTTCCACCTAGGTTTCTTCACTTAATCTTCATGACTAACCCGAGCTGTTGTTAGCTTCTATTATCCCTATGTTTTCTTGATAATAAAAAGGGCTGATAGAGATTAAATAACTTGCCTGAGAGCACATAAATAGCAAAGCTGTGTTTCAAACCCAGATTTGAAAATGTTAAGGTTTTTGTCATATTGCTATATCAAATAACAGCCTTTTACATATTTAAAGTAGGGGTCATATCTGTATAAGTCTACTCTTTTTCCCACTAACTGTACCCAGTTCCTTCCATTATGCCTCCTATGTTAGTCCTTCCGTGATTGTACTATTTTATTCACTCTGCTCTGCATACATTGTTTGTCAATATCTCCATAAAGCAAACTACCCAGAAGTAAGTGCAATGTTCCAAGTCTTGTCTAGGCAAACAGAGAGGCATATGAAAACCTCCTTTTCTCCAGATGTTACTGCCTCTTACAATGTAGACTAAAATGGCATAATTTTAAAAGCCTTATTATAGAATTAAATATAGTCAACAAAAATTCTGAAATCTCTTTTATAGATTCTGCCGCTTAGTCTTATTACCCCAACTTGTATCTATAATTAATCCTTTAAGCAAAAATATAGGTCTATATTTTTTCAAGTAAACTTCTATTAAATTTTATATTTGTCCCTATTGATCTATTAAATCTAACTTGTGGAAATTATTTAAATAATGAAAATAGTATCTACTGTTTTTGCTATCCCTCATAGCTTGCAGTTATTCTACAATTTAACAATGGGCCATCTGTGTCTATATTGAAAGAAATGCTTGAAAGTGAACAGGGCAGCTTATATAATAGAATAAAATAAAAGGGAATCCTTATAGAGATCAATTCCATAGCTTAAGACATGATCATTTTAAGAAGAGTAATAGTGTAAGCTACCAAGACATTCAAAGAGTTGACCAGATCATGAATAATCAATGGCTGTATGGATGAATGGATGGATGGATGGATGGATGGATGAGAGATAGATGGCTAATAGGACTTCGAGGGAGTGACACTTTGTTAAGTAAAGTGATGAGATGCAAAGACAGTAGCCCATCCTTAGCGTCAATGTGGCATCTGAGGAAGACCCTCCGTGTAAGGCCCTCTTCTCTCTGGCAAATATTGGTAGAGAAAGAAGCTACAAAGAGAAAAGTTACAGAAATTGTGCAAATCGTTGTGCCTCGGATTGGTCCAAATTTCTGGATGATGAAATGTGTAACATTTCATGCACCGAATAAAGTTTTTGACCAAGAACTACAGATCTTCCCTTCCAAAGTAGTCAGCAGGACTTTACCATCAAACTTTCTTGTCTCTCCCTCCTGTTCAAGTAAAACAGGACTGTAAAAAGCCCAGTTCTTTATTTCATTCCCAGAATGTAGGTGTGTGTGAGTGTCTATTTTCCTCTGGCACCTTTTGTGCCTCAAAACTCACTAAAGCATAAGGTTAAATCTGTGCTGCCCTTTTCCAGCTGCAAAAACCCAACCTTTGGGCAAAGCTGTAATTTGAAAGTTATGAAATAGCATAGCTTCCCAAAGCACAGAAATAGGATCCACGAACAAAAATTTTAGAAAAATAAGTTTGACACAACTGAAGGAAGAGTTTTTAAATATTTGAAAGGGAAATAGAAATTATTGAACACCTGGTTTGTGCCAATAAGTTTAAATGTAGAACCAATTGAGTCTTGTGTTACTAAATAGATGATGAAAAGAGAAGAGACTCAATTACACATTTCCAGCAGCATTTTTGTTGTGAGAAACAGACTTTAATTTAAATATTAAGATAAAATTACTCATTTTTTCCTAGATAAACCACCCTAATAAATTTTTTATATGTTAAAAACTAAGTAAAAACCATCTTCTAGAAGAAAAATTGTGACATGTTACCTAAGCAGTTAAACCACTCTGTGTAATGCAGGAAAATTGGCCATTTTCTTAGTGATTGATCATTCCTCTGAAAGCAGAAGGAAAAACAATGATCAGAGTACAGTCTTCACCTTAAAGTGGTGATTACTGACATTATTTTAAAGAAATGTTTATTTCATAAGTATCAATTTTGAATTTTCTATACTCATATAAGTGTGTCAAGGAGTGAGTATGGGTATATCTGTAAAATTAAAATAAAATTAGCAGGAAAAAAATGTAGGCCTGGTGTTCGCCTTGATATAGAGGAAAGACTGACTTCAGGGAAAATATTAGCATTAGAATATTATATTCTATAAGAAATCTATGGTCCACATTACTGAGGGAACAGAGGAATGTTAAATTTCCCCCAGATACCATAGAAGTTTCCACAGTTCATCATCCTAGGTACAGTTAAACTCTGGAGCAGAATTGAGGACTTTGAGACTCAGGAGAAAATAAACATCTTCTCACCTCAAAGTCACAAGCAGTTAAGGCACTAAACTGGAAATAGGTGAGAGTAAGGCCTGCCCTGCTGGGAGTGGTAGGGTGGCCCTGAGACAGGACAACAGGCCAGGAGCAAAGGTGGGAGTTTGGGGTCTGCCTTTGAGAGGCAAGCCAGAATCTTGGTAGAAAGGCCTCCAATAGGAGAGCTCTGTCATGTGACTCAGTCTTGTGTATTTCAAAACAAGCATTTTTAGACGTTAGTTTCAAATTTTTTATTGCTAGGATTTCCATCCGTTTCCCCAAGTCTCCAGTGATGTCTCATTAAAACTTGTAAGCTTCATTCTGCTTTTGTCATGGAGAACACAGAGAAGGCTCTGTGTACCATGCTTGTGGTGACATTATATTTGGGAAGGCAACAGCCTCCCGAGGGAAGTCAGTGTGACCCCTTCAAAAGGTAGTAATGGCACAAGGCTGGAGCACAGCAGACAGAAACCCAGAAAATGACACTTAGAATGGGTCTGCGGAGCATCAGACCTACTGTATTGCTCAAACTCTTCCTAGTAAGAACATGGGATAACATGGTTAAAGGCCAAACAACTATTGTCAAGTGAAAGGCAAAACTCGAACTACTGCAATTTGTATTAAAAAAGAAATGTGGCCGGGCATGGTGGCTCACGCCTGTAATCCCAGCACTTTGGGAGGCTGAGGCGGGAGGATCACGAGGTCAGGGGATCGAGACCATCCTGACTAGAACGGTGAAACCCCGTCTCTACTAAAAATACAAAAAAATTAGCTAGGCGTGGTGGCGGATGCCTGTAGTCCCAGCTACTTAGGAGGCTGAGGCAGGAGAATGGCGTGAACCCGGGAGTCAGAGCTTGCAGTGAGCCGAGATCGCGCCACTGCACTCCAGCCTGGGCGACAGAGCCAGACTCCGTCTCAAAAAAAAAAAAAAAAAAAAAAAAAGCGACTGCAGTTTAGTAACTTCTGCTAGACTGGAATTAAACATAACATAAGCTATTTTTCAACACTTTGAAGTAGATATTTAAATTTTGTTTCATAGACAGGAAACTGAGATTTGACTACATTTCTTGCCCAAATGCAATATGGCTCCTGAATATCAACTCCAGGTTTCAGATTGTGTTATTGACTCAAAAGGTTCTGTTTTGTCTTTGAACACACTGCTTCCCTAAATGTGAAACTGGCTGTATCAGAGAGTAATTAAGATCTTTGTTAATAAAAGGATTCAAGTGGAGATTCTGGGGATAATATAAAGAAGATGATGTGTGTATATGGAGATTGAAACATACAATTCCAAAGTGTTGTGATTCTAACTTTTTGGCCCTGTGTTAATTATATGCCACAAATCTAATTTCTTCTGGTGATTAACAAGGCAGATATCATGGTACATTATTCTCTAATTTTTCTATTCCCAAATAAATTTAATAAACCAAAACAAAAAACTCTAACCATTATTTTAGAACAGAAGGGGGGACACTGGACCTTCTGTGACTTTTTTTAAGAAAACAAATGCCACCTGGATGAAGCTTCACTGTTTCCAAGACTGTTGCAACATCAGCAGTCAGCAGCAGGGTCCAATGCAATGATTTTAATGACTTCAGTCGAGTGCTGGCGTGGAGCTATGCACAGTCTCCAAGACTAGAACAGAACACAAAGGGAAAAGCCCACTTTCTGCCAATGGAATGAAAACATTGCAGATCTGCCAGGGTTAATTAATAACACAGTGAGAAGACCTTGTTCACCAATGGTCACTTGGAGTTGAACCAAGGACTTTGGGAGTGAAGCTGGGCTGCCTGCCATACTGGTCATCTCATAAACTACAATTATTGGGTGTAGAGAGTCAACAAAAATATTTTGTCTCAGCCTGTTTGTGCAAAAAGCCTTCTTTTCCTTCTTCTGAATACATGACTCAAATAGAGAACAGAGAGACCCCAAATCTCCCAACTTTGGCCTTCAGCTTTGCCTAGATTTTTCTTATTCTGCTTTTATTTTACTTAATCTGGAGACCTAATGCCGCGAAAAGATTAATTACAATAGTTTCATAAAAATTGTCCTTTAAAATCCAAAGGAATATATGTAAATATTTATGATTTTTAAATGGCAGATGCAATGGACTTCCATCCGCCCAAAAAGCCATTTACAATGGCTGTCCTCCATTGCCTCCCTCTGCACTAAATAACCCAATGTCTTCAGACACCCGAACATCTTCTGTAATCAGCCCTCAAGAGCTATTATCTCCACATTTACATAAAATAAGAGAACATGTTTCTGGGAAGGATAATTTCTGAAAACATAAAAATGTCTAAGAGTTTTGTTTTTTGTTATGTGGGAGATTTACAAATAGATTCTTCACTAAATTATTTAGATTTTTTTTCAGAACTATGTGGTCCTTCCACATTCCAGAAACTTTCTTGAACATACTGCAACAGATGAAGACAAAAAATGAGCAGAAACTCATTTTGTTGGTTAACAAGTGCCATAATATTTCCTAACAAATAGCAAAATAAACCAAAAAATGGACTGCACTCCAATTGTTATCCAGCTAAGATCATTTAAAAGTGATCTGAAGGAAATAAAATACAGACAGGCTATTTTACCTCCATGAGAGGAAAATAGGAAAAAAAAACTTTATTTAAGTTATAGTTACTAGAAAAGACTTACTAAACCCTGTGCTATGATTTTGCTTTCTTTTGAGGTTGCCCAGTAAACTAGTTCTGTTAAATGAGCCAGGCTGGGACTAAGATTAGGCAAGTGAAGCGTTTGCCTTGTCCACAAAATTCAAAGGAGTGACAAAAAATTGGGGAAATAAGATAATCTTTTGATGCAATAATTTTTTTGAAAATCAAAGTGAATGCAAGCACCTATGATGGACAAAGTATCAAATTTTAAATAATGGCAGGATCCCTTAACAGGTGTGAGCTAAAAAGCCAAAGAGAAAAAGAAATTTTCTGAAAATTGATAGTGATCCATCAAAACCTCAATTATAGAGCAGAAATTATGCCATGAGGGGAAGAAAAAGACAGGGTGATACAAAAGCTGACATCAGAACCCATTTTAGGAAAGAAAATGCCCTCCGCTGGAACAGGCACCTTGCTCAGCCTTTCTGGCTGTAGGATGACAGCCCTCAGTGCATGCATGGCCAGTGTGGGCTGGAGTGAGATCAAAAGAACTGAATGCCTGCTCAATATCCTCACTACAGAGGGAACAATTTTCATGGTCTCCAGGCAGGCCAAAGGAGAAAAAAAAAAAGAACAAGACAAGAAAGATGGTGAGCTAGGTCCCTAGGAAGAAGGACATGAAATTCCTTAATGGCTAATGATACCCCAGGTGCTGACATTTAACACAGCATACTGGGTAAGAGGTGGGTACTCAAAAACTAGACCACTTGGTCTTCATCATGGCTATCCAGTTTATTAGTTTATTCATTTGGGATGACTTGGAAATGATCTGTCCCTTTTCTTCTGCATATGTAAAGTAAAAGAGGCAGATTAATAAAATAGAATATGTATGCATATGTGTATATCTAATATACTTTTCTATGCCTTGAATGAAGCATCTCAGACTAAGAAATGAAAGAAAAATTAGTAAAAGATGCTAACAATGATTTATATTATTAGAGAAAAATATCAAATCAATTTAAATTATTTTAACAATATGTATAAGAAATCTTTATCTTTTTGTAGGTCATTATTTCTATTCTAGTAAAAAACAAACAAATGCAAAACTCTGTGTAAAGATTATTTTTGCATTATTTGGTGTGCACATACGGAAACTTATTATATTGTAGAAGATTTAAAGTTTAACATAATGAAAGCTCCTCAGTGACAAAGATTTTCATCTTTTTTGTTTATTGATGAAAAGAGTACCAGGGTCACCACAAGCACACCGTAAATATTTATTAAATGAATGAATAAACTTTCACATTTTAAAATTTGTGATAATCTCATGAGTTTACTTTGTAAGTATAATTTTGTTTCATTTGATAATTTTTTCCTTTCTAATTATTATAATTTTTATTTTTTCAAAATTCTGATCTTCCACAATAATGTTAAATAACAAACATAATAAGAAAAAATTTAATAACAAAACTAATAATAGAAAACTTTGTTTTTTTCCTGATTTTCACAGTAATCCCTCTATTGATTTACTGTTAAACATAATGCAATATCCTTCTCTTGAAGAATTAGAAATACACACCATTCAAGTCATAGGCACAGGTGAAGATTTCATGACAAAAACGTCGAAAGCAACTGCAAAAAAAGCAAAAACTGACAAATGGGATCTAATTAAACTAAAGAGCTTCTGCACAGCAAAAGAAACAATCATCAGAGGGAACAGACAACCTACAGAATGGGAAAAAAGTTTTTCCAATCTATCCATCTGACAAAGGGCTAATATCCAGAATCTACAAGGAACTTAAATTTACAAAAAATAAAAATTAAAAAGCGGGCAAAGGACATGAACATAATGAACACAAACTTCTCAAAAGAAGACATTCATGTGGCCAACAAACATGAAAAAACAAGCTCACCATCACTGATCATTACAGAAATGCAAATCAAAACCACAATGAGATATTATCTCACACCAGTCAGAAGGGCGATTATTAAAAAGTCAAGAAACAGAAGATGCTGGCAGGGCTGCTGAGAGATAGGAACTCTTTCACACTGTTGGTGGGAGTGTAAATTAGCTCAATCATGGTGGAAGGCAATACAGTGTTTCCTTAAAGACCTAGAACAGAAATACCATTTGACTCAGCAATCCCATTACTGAGTATATACCCAAAGGAATATAAATCATCCTATAATATTATAAAGATACATGCATGCTTATGTTCATTGCAACACTATTCACAATCCCAAACACATGGAATCAACCCGAAAGCCCATCAATGATAGACTGGATAAAGAAAATGTGGTACATATACACCATAGAACACTATCCAGCCATAAAAAGAAAGGAGATCATGTCCTTTGCTGGGTCGTGGGTGGAGCTAGAAGCCATTATCCATAGCAAACTAACACAGGAACTGAAAACCAAATACTGCATGTTCTTCCTTATAAGTGGGAGCTGAACAATGAGAACACATGGACCCAGGCAGGGGAACAACACACACTGGGGCCTGTTGGTTGGAGATGCAGGGAAGGTGGAAGGAGGAGAGCATCAGGATAAATAGCTAACGGATGCTGGGCTTAACACCTAGGTGATGGGTTGATAGGTGCAACAAACCACTATGGCACACATTTACCTACGTAACAAACCTGCACATCCTGCACATGTATCTTGGAACTTAAAATAAAATAAAATTAAATTTAAAAAAAGAAATACTCATTGCCATGTTAAAGTCTCTAATAGGTCAAGAAAAATAGAAATCCATCTTTGTTAATGCTTAAAATGTCTAATATTTAAATATTATAAAATATTTTGGTACACTGGAGTACTTTGGAGCAGCTTGTGAAATGCTGACTCAAACTCATCTTAATTTTCTTCTAGTTTCAGTTCATAAAAATATTTTGGATGAAAAAAATCCAAAAATTGATTTCTCACTTTTTAAATTGTACAGATGCTCCACATGTGTTTTTATTTAATTTATTTTTTAATGTGGAAAAGTTCACTTTGAGCTCTGTGCACGTTATCTATTGCTTCTTGCAAAACACTTGCATCCAAACACTCATTTTTTTAATTTAAAAGAAAAATCTGTTTAAATAACAGATTTGGTAAATAATATATATTAATTGCAGAACATGTAAAACAGTACGAAGAAGAAAACATTACTCTTAATTTCATCATTCAAGGATAGAAAGGCAAGATACATGTCTATTTATCTATCTTTTTATCTAAGTACATTTAGAATTATATTGTATTTGTAGGTCCTGCTTGCTTCTTCCAACATTATCATGCACATTTTTAGATGTCATTGTATATTCTTCAAAACCATGAGTTTCACAGCTGTAACAATCTACTATAAGGACATAAAGAAAGACTTTTTACCAAATATTGAATATTTAGGGTGTTTCTTAGCATTAATTGTGTAAGTAACACTGTGAAGAAATATGTGTACATAAATCTTTGTGTAAGAATCATTTATTATTACTCACATAGAGGAAAAACTAAAGAAACTGTGAGATCACAGAAAAGGACCATACAAGGTCATAAGGTTTCTGTTACAATTCTATTGGCATTAAATGAAGTGTTCTGAGATCCCACCTCTTTTAGTTGCTGTGAACTATTAATATAAAGATAGAATACTGTCATTCTCATTATCAAAAGACACCAGAAAAAAATTCTGCTTCATCATGATACTGGGGAAAGGCTATTCTTGACCAATTTCATTTGCAAGAGTGGCACAGTCCAGATGCTGATTAATGCTGAGGAACCCTGAAGAACACAATGCAAGGAGTTCTGACAATGTATCAGAGAGCAGTCCTGTTTGGAAAGGAGACTGCAGTGCAGGGATGCTGTATTAATATTGCCATTTGCTGAATGACTTGCTGCTAACCCTTTCAATCCTGCAATTCCTCCATCATTGGGCCTTTATGTCCCTTAAGAAATAATACAATGTCAAGGACAATGGGTAGAAATCAAGCGAGGAAGAGGTATGGAATGTGTCTTTATTACTTGAAGAAAATTATCAGTGAGATGAGACAGACTCAGTTCCTGGGAAGCTTCCAAATTTATTGTTTATCAATTGATTCATCTTAAAAATGGAGCTGTAAAACATCAGGACCCAGGATGGTCTTGGTTACTAAATCTGTTCCCCCACCAGGGTAGCATTATACACTTCCAAAACTTTTTAGGCCTCCTCCAAATGACTCAAGAGATGGGAATTTCACCACCTCTTCTGGGAGATTATTTTATGGCCTCTTAAATCTCACCCATTATGAAAGTCTTCCTGATGAAACCATTTTCTTTCTCTTCTTCCGTTCATTCATTACCCTTAGATAATCCCCTAAGGACCACCTTCACAATCCCTCTCCTTTTGGGGGGCTTATGCCTTCAATTATCTGCAAATGGCTATCAGATCCCCACCTCACACACAGGCACACACACTCCTTAGCTCTTTAGCCAACCTACACACATGTAATTCTTTTAATCTTTCCTCATACATCAAAACCTCCAGCTGCTTAATCATTTTAGCTCCTCTAATGAGCAGTGAATTTGAAGGGGGATTATAGTTTCCTTCTCAAGCTTTTCTCATGTCAGCTGTATCCCTTCTCCTCGACCACATGCCAGGTTTCTGTATGCCAACAGCCATTCATCAATAGAAATGAGGTTTTTCTGGAATGCTATGTTCCATAGTAAAAAAATTTTCTTAAAGATCCCTCCTACCCATAACTCATTTCTAGGGTGAATCAATATTTACAAAAGCTACAAGAAAAAAAATCTGAAAGAAATCTGAATCTAGCCTAAATTTCCAACCCACTGAGAAACTTTTAACTATAAGTAACAATTTTAAAATAATATGTTTCCCTTACACTTGGATTATGAACTAATGAAGGAGATTCTATCACCTTTCAGTAAAGGAAGCATGAAAGGACTGAGTACTCATTTCTTTGTCAACAAAAAGTTAATTTAGATGAGTGCCCTCAAGTGAAAAGAAATCCTCCTTTTGTTCTTTAACCACTCTCTGAATAACTGGTAGCTTCTGTGGTTCCTCAGGGGATCCTAATCCTTGACCATAATAGAGATCACCAGGTGGGCCTCACTCTCACTATGCAATCTCAGGCCTTCCCCTCTCCACGATTTTCCCCAAAATGCACTAAGAACCAGCTGGCTACTGCCCTATGAGCATCTCAGACATCTTCAGTTCTTCAAGACCCCAGTATCATTCTTCTGCCTAAAAGCAATCTCTTCTTTGCCAAACATCCCCATTCAAACATGATGTGAATCTTCCTCCCCAAAACTTATCTATCCATCAAGATCTAGCTTCAATTCCATTTCCTCCAGGGAAGCTGCCCTTACCTCTGAACTTCATAATGTTTAATGTATATATCATTAAAACATTCTATCTTGAATATTCATGCCTCCATTTGCTTCATGTTTGACGATTTTACCTCACTATTGATTTGCAGACCCCCTTATATCCTGTTTTTTCAATATGCCTTCAAAGAACCTGTATTAGTCCATTTTCACACCGCTAGAAAGATACTACTCAAGACTGCGTAATTCATAAAGAAAAGAGGTTTAACTGACTCACAGTTCCACACGACTGGGGAGGTCTCAGGAACTTACAATCATGGTGGAAGGCGAAGGGGAAGCAGGCACCTTCTTCACAAGGTGGCAGTAAAGAGAAATGTGTGTGAAGGAGGAGCTGTCAAATATTTATAAAACCATCAGATCTTGTGAGAACTCACTATCACGAGAACAGCATGGGGGAAATCACCCTTATGGCCAAATTACCTCCCTCCCTTAACACATGGATATTACAGGTTCCTCTCTCAACATATATGATTGCAATTCAAGATGAGATTTGGGTAGGGACACAGAACCAAACCATATCATAACCAACACACTGCTGTTCACAAAGTGGGTGGTTAATAAATATTTCCTGATCTCTGCAGTGAGAACCTCCTAAGAAAGCTTCCAAACATTGAAAAATTTTTAAGCATTTATAAAATATAATAGTGTTCCCCTTATCCACAGTTTCTCTTTCCATGGCTTCAGTTATGCTTGGTCAACATCATTCTAAAAATATGAAATGGAAAATTCTAGACATAAAGTTTGGATAAAGGACATTCAAAAATAAATCCATGCATATCCAGTCAACTTATTTTTGACAAAGGCACCAAGTACATACATTGGGAATAGGACAGCCTCTTCAATAAATGGTGCTGGGAACCCTGGATATCCATATGCAGAAGAACAAAAGTGGACCCCTATCCCTCACCATATACAAAAATAAAATCAAAATGGATTAAAGGTGTAATTGTGAGACCTGATACCATAAAACTACTAGAAGAAAACATTGCAAAAAAGCTTCAGGACCTTGGTCTGGGCAAAGGTTTTATGAGTAAAGCTTCAAAACCACAGGCAACCAAGGCAAAAATGGATAAGTGAGATCACATCATACTAAAACACTTCTGCACAGTAAAATAAACAATCAACAAAGTAAAGAGACAACTTATAGAATGGGAGAAAATATTTGTAAGCTATTCAACTGACAAGGAATTAATAACCAGAATATATAAGGAACTCAAACAACAGGAAAAAAATAATAATAATCCAATTTTTAAAATAGGCAAAAGACCTGTAAAGATATTTCTCAAAAGAAGATATACAAAAGGGCAATAGATATATGAGGAAATGCTCAATATCACTAATCATTAGGGAAATGCAAATCAAAGTTTCAATTAAAATGGTAACATCTCACACCAGTTAAAATGGCTTTTATCAAAAAGATTTTTAAAATTCAAACGCTAGCAAGGATGAAGAGAAAGGGAAACTTTCATACTGTTGGTGGGAATGTAAATTAGTACAGCCACTATAGAAAACAGTATAAAGATTCCTCAAAAAACTAAAATAGAACTACCATGTGATTCAGCAATCCCACTGCTAGGTAAATACCCAAAAGAAAGGAAATCGGTGTACTGAAGACATATCTGCACTCCCATATTTATTGCAACATAATTCACAGTAGCCAAGATATGAAATCAACCTAAGCATCCATCACTAGATAAATGGAACTTTGGGAGGCTGAGGCAGGTGGATCATCTGAGGTCAGGAGTTCAAGACCAGCCTGGCCAACATGGTGAAATTCCATCTCTACTAAAAATACAAAAAAAATAGCTGGGAAGGGTGGCATGTGCCTGTAATCCCAGCTATTCGGGAGGCTGAGGCAGGAGAATCGCTTGAACCTGGGAGGCAGAGGTTGCAGTGAGCTGAGATAGCGCCAGTGCACTCCAGTCTGGATGACAGAGCAAGACTCCTCATCAAAAGGAAAGAAAGAAAGAAAGAAAGAAAGAAAGAAAGAAAGAAAGAAAGAAAGAAAGAAAGAAAGAAAGAGAGAGAGAGAGAGAGAGAGAGAGAGAGAGAGAGAGAGAAGGAAGGAAGGAAGGAAGGAAGGAAGGAAGGAAGGAAGGAAGGAAGGAAGGAAGGAAGGGAAGGGAAGGGAAGGGAAGGGAAGGGAAGGAAGGAAGGAAGGAAGGAAGGAAGGAAGGAAGGGGGGAAGGAAAGAAAGGAGAGAGAGAAAGAAAAAAGATATGGTATACATACACAATGGAATATTATTCAGCAATAAAGATATGGTATATATACACAATGGAATATTATTCAGCAATAAAAAAATAATAAAATTGGCAACAGCATGGATGGATGTAGAGGGCATTATATTTAGTGAAATAAGCCAGGCACAGAAAGACAAATATTACATGTTTCTCACTTGCATGCGAGGGTTTAAAAAGCTGATCCTCCATCCTGGCTAACACGGTGAAACCCTGTCTCTACTACAAATACCAAAAAAATTAGCCGGGCGTGGTGGTGGGCCTGTAGTCCCAGCTACTCCGGAGGCTGAGGCAGGAGAATGGCGTGAACCCAGGAGGCGGAGCTTGCAGTGAGCCGAGATCGCGCCACTGCACTCCAGCCTGGGCGACAGAGGGAGACTCCGTCTCCAAAAAAAAAAAGTTGATCCTGTGGAGGTAGAGAGTAGAATGACAGATACCAGAGGCTAGGAATGAAAGGGACAACGAAAGGATAAAGATGGGTTGGTTAATGGGTACAAAAATACAGTCAAATAGAAGGAATTAGATCTAATATCTGGTAGCACAATAGGGAGACTATAGTTAACAATAACCTACTGTATCTTTCAAAATAACTGCAGAGAATATCCACCACCTCAAACATTTATCATTTCTTTGTGTTAGAAACATTCTGATTCCTAACACAAAGAAAGGATAAATGTTTAGGTGATGGATATCCTAAGTACCCCAATTTGATCATTGCACATTGTATGCTTGTATCAAAATACCACATGTACCCCATAAATAGGTACAATTATTATGCATCAATAAAAATAAAAAATAAAAAAGAAGCATGTTTAGATTTCTCTTTAACAAATTCATAAAATACAATAGTAAGTTTCCCTTTCACAGTTTAAGTTAACCTCATCCACAACGGTCCAAAATATTAAATGGAAAATTCCAGAAATAAAAGTTTGGATAAACCTCTATTCAAATTCTTAAGTTTTAAGTTGCATGCTGTTCTGAGCAGCATGGTGAAATCTCACATTGTCCCATACTATCCCACCTGGCATGATTTGAATCAACCGTTTGTTCAGCATATCTATGCTGTATATACTGCTTGCCCCATATGATGTAATTGTATTAGGAAAAGACATAGTCTCTATAGGGTTCTAATCTATCCACAGTTTCATGCATACACTGAGGGTTTTGCAATGTATACCCTGAGGAAAAGGGGAGGCTACCGTATTACATTTATTTTTAAATAGAAATAGCTCCACATTTAATGTTCCAAAACTGTTCTCCTGTGTCTCAGTTTCTATTATTGAAGGATAATAAAAATCAACAAAGCCAACAGATGCATATTCCACCTGGGATATCCAAACTTTCTTTTCATGTTTTCTGGAATTAAGTCAATATCTCTTATTCCCTGTAAAACTCAGTCTTTTTCTCTTTCTACTACTAGTTCATACTTTCACCCTTCCCAGAAACTTCTCTGCCTCTCTTCTGCATTCCTTTGCTCTTCCCACTCACCAAAGAATTAAAAACAAGAGGACATCTATCCAAATTGTCGTAAAACCTACCAATCAGAGATCATCAGCAAAGTATTGTTCATCATCATGTGTTATAAAAGTCTGCCTATGTTACTCCTCACTTTTCATCTTTAACTATTGAACAATTAGCCTGGAGTTAGTGTAACATTCTGTCAATGTCCAGCAGATCAGAAAATCACAGGTACAAATTTTTTCAATAAAAAGAATGGTCTTCTTTTCAAGTGTATGTGCCTCTTCTTGTTGTCACACAGTTTTTTAAAGCTGTATTTCTTGCAGCAGATCCAGACTCCTGCCTCAGAATGGTATCTGGCATCGTAAGTGACATCTCAAATTCTCTAAGGACTCCACCAGGCCAATCTGGCTGCTGAAAACTCCTGCATGTGCAAGTAGAAGACCAGGCCCCGTATTGACTCCAAACAAGCACCACAAGCAACAATTACTGACCTGCAAACAATCTTCTGGGCCTCACTGTTTTCTTACTGAAGTGAAAATACACGCCTTATGCAAGAGCATTCATGATCATTGCTTCTAGAGTGTTCTCAGTATCACTATAGAAAAAGGGCCCATAGACACAAGCTGACTTCTAAGCCCATATGGCAAGTTTCTATGCACTGAAAGGTTAAACAGACATGGGTTCTCCAGGCAGGTCTTTGCCTATCCTATGAACCCTTCTTATGCACTTCTGATGGTCTATAACCTCTTCTTTCCCCAATCTGATTTGTCAACCCCTGTGTGGCATAGTAAAATGGGCTAAAATTTGAAGTTAGAGAGACTCAGTTGAAAACTTTTTCCACCATTTACTCTATTTTGGACAAGTTACTTGTTTTTTGTGAGTCTCTTTTTTCTTCCTTGTATAATGAGGACACTACTGACCTCGGTAATACAGTGGTTAGGAGTGAAGGCTCTAGAATAACAAACTCAGGGTTTGTCTCTTACCATTGGTATATTTTAACTGAATACTCTTGGGCAAATCATAACCTCTTTAACTCTTGGTTTCTTTGTCTGTAAAATGGATTAATAACTGTAAAGTTTATGTGAGAATTAAATGCAATAACATACATAAAGCGACTTGGAAGAGTATCTGATACACAGAATATGTACTATGTACCATGTTCAATGAATATATACTTCCTTTCATTCTCAAGTATCAGGCACAGAAATAGACATTAATAAATCAAAGTAATTAAACCAATACACCAATTTCTAAGATTAGTGTTCCAAATGCATAATTTTACTGCTATATCTTATATAAATGTATTGCTTAAGGCATAGCATTTTAATCATTAAAATAAATACACATAAAAATTGTTTTAGAAAAAAGTTATTAATGAAATATCTGTTTATTAAGATTACTGGCTAGGCACAGTGGCTCATGTCTATAATCCCAGCACTTTGGGCAGCCCAGGTAGGCAGATCTCTTGAGCTCACAAATTTAGGCAACATGGCAAAACCCCCGCCTCTACAAAAAAAAAAAAAAA
This sequence comes from Homo sapiens, assembly GCF_000001405.40. NCBI lineage: Eukaryota > Metazoa > Chordata > Mammalia > Primates > Hominidae > Homo > Homo sapiens. Next base: position 173,796,030 of record NC_000004.12, on the reverse strand, counting down.
TTAGCTCAGCATAGTGGCATGCGCCTATAGCCCCAGCTACTTGGGAGACTGAGGTGGGAAGATCACCTGAGCCTGGGAGCAGAGGCTTCAGTATTGCATTTTTTTTTGTTAGTAAAGGCCATTAAGAATTTCCAGGAAGTATCCTACATAACCACATATTCATTCTTCTTAAGAGGTTTATATTTTTAACCTAGATTTTTAAGTATGTTTCAAAAGAAAACATAAGGCGAGTAATTTTCTCACAGGGCTTTTGAATAATCAATCTAGAAAATTTTTTAAAAATGAATTTGAATGTAACAATCGCTAACTACAATACATATATTACAGCTGCAATGCAAAAGAGAACTGCTACTGAAGGTTAAGAAACATCATCTCACCCTTAAAATCAGGAAGCCAAATGCATAAATATAGTGACTCCTGCTTTTCTTTTACTGCCATAAAATTCTATGTTTGAGAGGAAACTTTGACCATATTTCACTTTCACCAAATCTTCATTTTACCCCATCAGCCCTAGGAAAAAGAGAATCGCAGGCATTAAAAAATGTTTTGAAAGAGAATGGGTACCTTAGGAAAACGTGGCTTGACTTTTTCACATGTGTAGAGCAATTGCTGAAAGAGTGGTACCAATTTATATGCTGTTAACTATATTTTGAACATTTTTTTAAAAACTCAAAATGATGAAAATGCATTTAATTTAAAAAGTAAAGAGAAAATAGCATTCACTGCTTACTCAAATGAACAACAAAAGAGTTCCTCTTAAAAATATCTGGGGTCAGGGGCTAGGGGAGGTAGGGATAGCATTAGGAGAAATACCAATACCAAAAAAAAAAAAAAAACCTGATTTAGAAATAGATACTAGACTTAACAAATCTTCCAAATAAATAAGAATGCCTCTACTTACATAAGTAGAGAATCTACATTATTCTCATTTTAAGTATGGATACTTATGTCACTAAAAAAGTACATCTTATTTTTTAACCCATCTTCAAAGTCATCATACATTTAGGAGTGTATTTGGACTTCCAGGATTCATACAGCTTCCTCCATAACAACTTTCTCTTCCTCCATAACAACTCTCCCTCTTCTCTCCCTCCATAACGACTTTCTCTCTCTCACCACACAGTTCTACACTTAGAAACCAATGGGCATTACTATACTCAGAATTTAATCCTTTTATTTCTTGGAGACACTGACTCACTTCCTTAGTGTAAGTCATTATTCCACAAACTTTCAGTAGAACTGGATTTCAACTATAAACACAGGAAAAAGTAGAGATTACAGACATAAAGATTAGTCTCTAAAATGAACTGGCCTCTCAACTGACTCAATATGAAAACTTCAAATACGTTGGACCCCAAAATTCCTTATGTGAGTACACAGAACATTGCAGATTATTTGATTACAAAATGTATAAGAAGACACTTTAAATACACTGAGTATATATAAATATTTGTGCTAGCATCTTCACAAATTCTTTTTTAGTACAGACAGAATAAATGCTAAAAAAAAGAAAAGAAACTAAAATTTTGGTGAAGAATTGGGTTCTCTTCTTTATAACTGTGGTTTGTATCTGCATGCTAAGACAAGAATAATATGTAATCAACATTTACATTTTCATATAAAAAACCCTCATTAACTTCAAATCAGCAGAATAAACCATATTTTATTTTAGTTGTTCCTTTCATACTACATTAAGATCAGTAAAAATTCATTCAGTCGGCCAGTCAGCTCGTCAGAACTGGAAAATCAGTAGTATGTTAGTCATGGTGTTACTATAAACATGCTCTTAACAGAAAAGTTTTGTTTTACGTAGTCAGTAAAGAATAAAACTGTGGCAGTAACATTTCAGATTTTCACCCCTCCTGATATATTGCCATAGATGTGGAGCAGTACTGTCCAATAGGACTTTCTTTGATGACAGAAATTTTCTACTTCTGCATTATCCAGACAAAAACCTCTGGCCATGTGTGGCTTCTGAGCTCCTGAAATGTGGCTAGTGCAACTAAGAAACTGAATTTTAAATTTTATTTCATTTTAATGCCTTGAGTGATAACAGAAGATAAAGCCCATAATGAAAGCAGAAATCTCTCCACCTTCAGTGATTCAACCGTTTCCAAAAGTTCCATTTCATAGACTAAAGTTATCATTATTAATAATTGTGAAATATATTATGAGGAATTTATGGGCCATGTAGTTGCAGAATTGCTTCAAAATAGATGTCTATACTGATAGAAGTATTGTTTCTCCAAGGGAAAATGAAATGAAAGATCTTTTACTTGCATTACTGTAAATCAAATCAATTTATAGTCTCCTGTTATTCTTTCCTCGTTTTCAAACTCCACCGCAATTCAGGGATTGAAGGATATATTAAGTTCTTCCAGGAAAAGAAAATCTAAGCAGCTGGGAGGAACTATCTTGCTTACTATAATTCCAGTTTGCTTGCGACTGTCTTTTGAACCAGGGCCCTCAGTTTATTTGACCTTAACATAATTTCCAGTCATTAAACAACATTAAATGGCCCCTTGTTGAATTAACATCACTTGTGCATTAGTAGATTTCTCCCCCTCCCGAGATTTTCATAACTTCATGCATCATTGAAGCTGCATGAGTGACATTAAAACAAAAAAATCCATATATTTCTGGTCAGAGTTCTGCAAAAATATTTTCATATTGCTGAGGCAGGTCATGATGGGGGAACTTGGTAAGTTTCATAGTTTGTTTAAAATAAGTATAAAATCTTAATATGAAAATTAAACTGGTACAAGTAGAATTGTATTTTCTTCTGTTTTCCAACCTCAAATGAAGATACTATAATGGCCCCTAAAAGGGTGAAAAATATTCATCCACAGGTCTTACATCTATGGAGCAGAACCAGTGTACACGTATAAGTTATGAGGTAAGAAGGGACCGAGAATATTCACTTTATGCATGATACTCTTTTACATTTCTAGGTTTGTTTATTTGGTTTTTTTGGGGGAGTAGAAATGAGCAAAATATGTTTTCTTTGTTGTGCCAGATGCATAAACTAGTTTCATAGTTTCAGAAACACTAATGATATATAGATGGTATCAATTATGGTCCACAAATTCACAAGTTGACAAGTAGTACAATATTCTAAATATTTCTCATTTTGTTGCTCAGCAAAATTTATATTTTTCTTCCCCATTCTATCTGGATGGCACTAACCAAATCTCATTCAATTGAGGTAACCACCCATCGTTTTCCAGAACTAAGGCCTAGGAGAGTACACAGCACCAAAGCCTGGGAAGTGGGTGCCATCTGATCTCTGATATCAGTTATCTACTGAGACATGTTCTGTAATGTTCACTGTTCCAGGGGGTCCTCATCCATCACTCCACTCGGACACTGTTCACATGTCCTCTCTAGCCCTGGGATCCCTTGGCCGTGTGCTGCCGTGCTGGCTGGCCTCTTGCTTGGGAATTCTGCAAGGCTATCTGTGATCCTATATGCCTCTACTGAACCCACTCTGTCCTGTGTTCTGCCTGTGTCCTCTGGGGTCCTACCACTTCCTAGGGATCTGTGAATCCCCTCTGCCCTCAAAGCCCACAGATCCATCTGTGGTTTTTCCAAATCCTATGGATCTAACTAGGCTTGAGGTACCGAGCTCCTCTCCCCAGAACCCACCGAGGTCTCTTTTCAAAATACACCCCTTTCTTCTCCCCTCCCATTCTACAGTCAAGAGAAATGCTTTCTGGTTTGAGCAAAACCCCTAATTCCTCAAGTCTTTAAAGTTTTTGACTGTCCCTCAAATCTTTTCTGTTCCCCTAGGCTTTAAGAAACTGAGGTCGAAAGAGATCTTTGCTTTGTCATATCTCTGAGACCACGAGCACTAAATAAATGATTTAACTATTCAAATTTGGGTCTGAGGCAATACCAGATAAATGGAAAGAATATTCTAAGCTACCAGGAGACAAAACAAAAACCAAATGGTTAACGAAATAAGTTTAAAAAATTCTTTATTATTATTATTATTATACTTTAAGTTTCAGGGTACATGTGCACAACGTGCAGGTTTGTTACATAGGTATACATGTGCCATGTTGGTGTGCTGCACCGATTAACTCGTCATTTAGCATTAGGTATATCTCCTAATGCTATCCCTCCCACCTCCCCCCATCCCACAACAGTCCCCAGTGTGTGATGTTCCCCTTCCTGTGTCCATGTGTTCTCATTGTTCAATTCCCACTTATGACAGAACATGCGGTGTTTGGTGTTTTGTCCTTGTGATAGTTTGCTGAGAATGATAGTTTCCAGCTTCATCCATGTCCCTACAAAGGACATGAACTCATCCTTTTTTATGGCTGCATAGTATTCCATGGTGTATATGTGCCACATTTTCTTAATTCAGTCTGTAATTGTTGGACATTTGGGTTGGTTCCAAGTCTTTGCTGTTGTGAATAGTGCCCCAATAAACATACATGTGCATGTGTCTTTATAGCAGCATGATTTATAATCCTTTGGGTATATACCCAGTAATGGGATGGCTGCGTCAAATGGTATTTCTAGTTCTAGATCCCTGAGGAATCGCCACACCGACTTCCACAATGGTTAGACTAGTTTACAGTCCCACCAACAGTGTAAAAATGTTCCTATTTCTCCACATCCTCTCCAGCACCTGTTGTTTCCTGACTTTTTAATGATTGCCATTCTAACTGGTGTGAGATGGTATCTCATTGTGGTTTTGATTTGCATTTCTCTGATGGCCAGTGATGATGAGCATTCTTTCATGTATTTTTTGGTTGCATAAATGTCTTCTTTTGAGAAGTGTCAGTTCATATCCTTCGCCCACTTTTTGATGGGGTTGTTTTTTTCTTGTAAACCTGTTTGAGTTCATTGTAGATTCTGGATATTAGCCCTTTGACAGATGAGTAGGTTGCAAAAATTTTCTCCCATTTTGTAGGTTGCCTGTTCACTCTGATGGTGGTTTCTTTTGCTGTGCAGAAGCTCTTTAGTTTAATTAGATCCCATTTGTCAATTTTGGCTTTTGTTGCCATTGCTTTTGGTGTTTTAGACATGAAGTCCTTGCCCATGCCTATGTCCTGAATGGTATTGCCTAGGTTTTCTTCTAGGGTTTTTATGGTTTTAGGTCTAACATGTAAGTCTTTAATCCATCTTGAATTAATTTTTGTATAAAGTGTAAGGAAGGGATCCAGTTTCAGCTTTCTACATATGGCTAGCCAGTTTTCCCAGCACCATTTATTAAATAGGGAATCCTTTCCCCACTGCTTGTTTTTGTCAGGTTTGTCAAAGATCAGATAGTTGTAGACATGCAGCATTATTTCTGCGGGCTCTGTTCTATTCCATTGGTCTATATCTCTGTTTTGGTACCAGTACCATGCTGTTTTGGTTACTGTAGCCTTGTAGTATAGTTTGAAGTCAGGTAGTGTGATGCCTCCAGCTTTGTTCTTTTGACTTAGGATTGACTTGGCAATGTGGGCTCTTTTTTGGTTCCATATGAACTTTAAAGTAGTTCTTTCCAATTCTGTGAAGAAAGTCGTTGGTAGCTTGATGGGGATGGCATTGAATCTATAAATTACCTTGGGCAGTATGGCCATTTTCATGATATTGATTCTTCCTACCCATGGAGCATGGAATGTTCTTCCATTTGTTTGTATCCTCTTTTGTTTCATTGAGCAGTGGTTTGTAGTTCTCCTTGAAGAGGTCCTTCACATCCCTTGTAAGTTGGATTCCTAGGTATTTTATTCTCTTTGAAGCAATTGTGAATGGGAGTTCACTCATGATTTGGCTCTCTGTTTGTCTGTTATTGGTGTATAAAAATGCTTGTGATTTTCACACATTGATTTTGTATCCTGAGACTTTGCTGAAGTTGCTTATCAGCTCAAGGAGATTTTGGACTGAGACAATGGGGTTTTCTAAATATACAATCATGTCATCTGCAAACAGGGACAATTGGACTTCCTCTATTCCTAATTGAATACCCTTTATTTCCTTCTCCTGCCTGATTGCCCTGGCCAGAACTTCCAACACTATGTTGAATAGGAGTGGTGAGTGAGGGCATCCCTGTCTCGTGCCAGTTTTCAAAGGGAATGCTTCCAGTTTTTGCCCATTCATTATGATATTGGCTGTGGGTTTGTCATAGATAGCTCTTATTATTTTGCGGTACGTCCCATCAATACCTAACTTACTGAGAGTTTTTAGCATGAAGGGTTGTTGAATTTTGTCAAAGGCCTTTTCTGCATGTATTGAGATAATCATGTGGTTTTTGTCTTTGGTTCTGTTTATATGCCGGATTACGTTTATTGATTTTCATATGGTGAACCAGCCTTGCATCCCAGGGATGAAGCCCACTTGACCATGGTGGATAAGCTTTTTGATGTGCTGCTGGATTCGGTTTGCCAGTATTTTATTGGGGTTTTTTGCATCAATGTTCATCAAGGATATTGGTCTAAAATTCTCTTTTTTGGTTGTGTCTCTGCCCGGCTTTGGTATCAGGATGATGCTGGCCTCATAAAATGAGTTAGGGAGGATTCCCTCTTTTTCTATTGATTGCAATAGTTTCACAAGGAATGGTATCAGCTCCTCCTTGTACCTCTGGTAGAATTTGGCTGTGAATCCATCTGGTCTTGGACTTTATTTGGTTAGTAAGCTATTAATTATTGCCTCAATTTCAGAGCCTGTTATTGGTCTATTCAGAGCTTCAACTTCTTCCTGGTTTAGTCTTGGGAGAGTGTATGTGTCGAGGAATTTATCCATTTCTTCTAGATTTTCTAGTTTATTTGCGTCGAGTTGTTTACAGTATTCTCTGATGGTAGTTTGCATTTCTTTGGGATCGGTGGTGATATCCCCTTTGTCATTTTTTATTGCATCTATTTAATTATTCTCTCTTTTTTTCTTTATTAGTCTTGCTAGTGGTCTATCAATTTTGTTGATCTTTTCAAAAAACCAGCTCCTGGATTCATTGATTTTTTTGAAGGGTTTTTCGTGTCTCTATTTCCTTCAGTTCTGCTCTGATCTTAGTTATTTCTTGCCTTCTGCTAGCTTTTGAATGTGTTTGCTCTTGCTTCTCTAGTTCTTTTAATTGTGATGTTAGGGTGTCAATTTTATATCTTTCCTGCTTTCTCTTGTGGGCATTTAGTGCCATAAATTTCCCTGTACACACTGCTTTGAATGTGTCCCAGAGATTCTGGTATGTTGTGTCTTTGTTCTCATTGGTTTCAAAGAACATCTTTATTTCTGCCTTCATTTCGTTATGTACCCAGTAGTCATTCAGGAGCGGGTTGTTCAGTTTCCATGTAGTTGAGCGGTTTTGAGTGAGTTTCTTAATCCTGAGTTCTAGTTTGATTGCACTGTGGTCTGAGAGACAGTTTGTTATAATTTCTGTTCTTTCACATTTGCTGAGGAGTGCTTTACTTCCAACTATGTGGTCAATTTTGGAATAGGTGTGGTGTGGTGCCGAAAAGAATGCATATTCTGTTGATTTGGGGTGGAGATTCCTGGATACCTGTGTTCAATTCCTGGATACCTGTGTTCAATTCCTGGATATCCTTGTGAACTTTCTGTCTTGTTGATCTGTCTAATGTTGACAGTGGGGTGTTAAAGTCTCCCATTATTATTGTGTGGGAGTCTAAATCTCCTTGTAGATCTCTAAGGACTTGCTTTATGAATCTGGGTGCTCCTGTATTGGGTGCATACATATTTACGATAGTTAGTTCTTCTTGTTGAATTGATCCCTTTACCATTATGTAATAGCCCTCTTTGTCTCTTTTGATCTTTGTTGGTTTAAAGTCTGTTGTATCAGAGACTAGGATTGCAACCACTGCCTTTTTTTGTTTTCCATTTGCTCGGTAGATCTTCCTCTCTCCCTTTATTTTGAGCCTATGTGTGTCTCTGCACGTGAGATGGGTTTCCTGAATACAGCACACTGATGGGGCTTTACTCGTTATCCAATTTGCCAGTCTGTGCCTTTTAATTGGAGCATTTAGCCCATTTACATTTAAGGTTAGTATTGTTATGTGTGAATTTGATCCTGTCATTATGATGTTAGCTGGTTATCTTGCTCGTTAGTTGATGCAGTTTCTTCCTAGCCTTGAAGGTCTTTACAATTTGGCATGTTTTTGCAGTGGCTGGTACCGGTTGTTCCTTTCCATGTTTAGTGCTTCCTTCAGGAGCTCTTTTAGGGCAGGCTTGGTGGCAACAAAATCTCTCAGCATTTGCTTATCTGTAAAGTATTTTATTTCTCCTTCACTTATGAAGCTTAATTTGGCTGGATATGAAATTCTGGGTTGAAAATTCTTTTCTTTAAGAATGTTGAATATTGGCCCCCACTCTCTTCTGGCTTGTAGAGTTTCTGCCAAGAGATCCGCTGTTAGTCTGATGGGCTTCCCTTTGTGGGTAACCCGACCTTTCTCTCTGGCTGCCCTTAATATTTTTTCCTTCATTTCAACTTTGTTGAATCTGACAATTATGTGTCTTGGAGCTGCTCTTTATGAGGAGTATCTTTGTGGTGTTCTCTGTATTTCCTGAATTTGAATGTTGGCCTGCATTGCTAGATTGGGGAAGTTCTCCTGGATAATATCCTGCAGAGTGTTTTCCAACTTGGTTCCATTCTCCCCGTCACTTTCAGGTACACCAATCAGACGTAGATTTGGTCTTTTCACATAGTCCCATATTTCTTGGAGGCTTTGTTCATTTCTTTTAATTCTTTTTTCTCTAAACTTCTCTTCACGCTTCATTTCATTCATTTCGTCTTCTATCGCTGATACTCTTTCTTCCAGTTGATTGCATCGGTTACTGAGGCTTGTGCATTCGTCACGTAGTTCTCATGCCATGGTTTTCAGCTCCATCAGGTCCTTTAAGGACTTCTCTGCATTGGTTATTCTAGCTATCCATTCGTCTAATTTTTTTTCAAAGTTTTTAACTTCTTTGCTATTGGTTCGAACTTCCTCCTTTAGCTGGGAGTAGTTTGATCTTCTGATGACTTCTTCTCTCAACTCGTCAAAGTCATTCTCCGTTCAGCTTTGTTCAGTTGCTGGTGAGGAGCTGCATTCCTTTGGAGGAGGAGAGGTGCTCTGATTTTTAGAGTTTCCGGTTTTTCTGCTCTGTTTTTTCCCCATCTTTGTAGTTTTATCTACCTTTGGTCTTTGATGATGGTGACGTACAGATGGGTTTTTGGTGTGGATGTCCTTTCTGTTTGTTAGTTTTCCTTCTAACAGTCAGGACCCTCAGCTGCAGGTCTGTTGGAGTTTACTGGAGGTCCACTCCAGACCCTGTTCGCCTGGGTATCAGCAGCGGTGGCTGCAGAACAGCGGATATTGGTGAACCGCAAATGCTGCTGCCTGATTGTTCCTCTGGAAGTTTTGTCCTAGAGGAGTACCTGGCCGTGTGAGGTGTCAGTCCGCCCCTACTGGGGGGTGCCTCCCAGTTAGACTACTCGGGGGTTAGGGACCCACTTTAGGAGGCAGTCTGCCCATTCTCAGATCTCAAGCTGCATGCTGGGAGAACCACTACTCTCTTCAAAGCTGTCACACAGGGACATTTAAGTCTGCAGAGGTTATTGCTGTCTTTTGTTTGTCTGTGCCCTGCCCCTAGAGGTGGAGCCTACAGAGGCAGGCAGACCTACTTGAGCTGTGGTGGGCTCCACCCAGTTCGAGCTTCCCGGCCGCTTTGTTTACCTGCTCAAGCCTGGGCAATGGCGGGCGCCCCTCCCCCAGCCTCACTGCTGCCTTGCAGTTTGATCTCAGATTGCTGTGCTAGCAATGAGCGAGGCTCCATAGGCATAGGGCCCTCTGAGCCATGTGCAGGATATAATCTCCTGGTGTGCCATTTGTTAAGCCCGTTGGAAGAGCGCAGTGTTAGGGTGGGAGTGACACGATTTTCCAGGTGCCGTCTGTCACCCCTTTCTTTGACTAGGAAAGGGAATTCCCTGACCCCTTGCACTTCCCGGGTGAGGAGATGCCTCGCCCTGCTTCAGCTTATGCATGGTGCACAGCAACCACTGTCCTGCACCAACTATCTGGCACTTCCCAGTGAGATGAACCCGGTACCTCAGTTGGAAACACAGAAATCACCCGTATTCTGTGTCGCTCACGCTGGGAGCTGTAGACTGGAGCTGTTCCTATTCGGCCATCTTAGCTCCACCCCCAAGTTTAAAAAATTCTACTACAGATAATTCCATCTGCAGGAGAAGGAAGACAATGAGAATTGATAATATCATACTTAGACACCTACAACTGATGAGGCCAAATACAAATGGTCGCAGTGTTGATAATTTCTCCAATAGATTTCCATCTCACACCCTGAGCATCTTCCTAGGTACCCATTTTCCTGCAACATGGGATAATAAAACAAGGACTTACATTTGAACATTCTTCTACTATAACTAAAAATTCTCTCTTAAGATCTGTGGTAGGGATGCCACAGAAGAAACTCCTACACTAACCAGATGGGGAGTGAACTAAATGAGAGCTATGTCACTTCCAAGCCCTATTGTAAGTGGTGGTCCTGCTTTCAAAAATACAAAGAAAAACTCGTCTTAGATATTTTCAAAACACTGACTGATTCTAAATTTGGCTTTCTAAAAAATGTGCTTTTTATCTGCCTTCCCTTGGAGCAAGGCTTGGGGCGACACCTAGTATTCCAATTGCACCCTTCATTCATGTGCCGTTTCTCCCCTCAGGTTTCTGTGGCCTTTACCTTTCAGGGGCCTGGGGGAAAAATCTTCCTCCTTGTTTCATGAGTCTCCTTTCCTCGAGTACTGTTGTCAAACTTTTCTCTAGGAATTCTTTTATTCATTTACTCAAAAAACATTTATCAATCTCTTCTTTGTACAATACCAGACACTAATGATATTAGGAAACAAAAATGACCATCCTTCTCAGGAAGAATTTACAATCCAATGCTGGAACCTTCTCTATCTCCTATCTCTTTCATTTACTCCTCTACATACTATATTTTTACATTTCTTGTCAATATTTTATGATCTCTTTGTAATTTTATACTATGAACACCTCTAAGATGAATAATGTTTTCTGCTCCTTCTACCTCTCAAAACATTTGTCTATATCATTAAATGTGATTTACCAACTGCATTATCCTTACTAGAAGAAACACATTGTTGCAAGAAAAATGCAGTTTCAAAATCCAACATGAAAATAGTGAATGCTTAATATTCCTATCCAAAAATGAAATTTAAAAGCCATTGTGCTGAGAAGACATGGATGCAGGGAGGGAAATATCATAAGCCGGGTCCTATCTGAGGGCAGGGGCAAAGGGACATTAGGACAAATAACTAATGCATGCAGGGCTTAAAACCTAGATGACAGGTTGATAGGTGCAGCAAACCACCATGACACATGCTTACCTATGTAACAAACCTGCATGTTCAGCACATGTATCCCAGAACTTAAAGTAAAATAACAAATAAATAAATAAAAGCCATTGTGCAAGAAAAATATAGCAACATTATAATTTTGTTTATAAATGCTGTTCACTATGGTAGCTTAATTATAACAAAGGTTTTTAAAGCAAAAGGTTAAACTTTCCAATATTGTTATTCATTATGATTTTACTGAATATTTTCACTATTCCTTGGTTGTCCATAAATTATATTTGTCACTTTCAGATTTAAATCTCTTTTTTTTCATAAACCTAATGTAAGTACTTTTATAAGAACATGAGTTGGTGCAGTTAACATAAATGGGATGCTGGCTTATCTATAGAATGTTCACATTATTAATTCAAATGTTGAAAAAATTATACATCTTCACACATATACAAAACCATTGCTACTTGTTTCATTTTCTAAATAAGTAAGCCATCCAGATGGTTTTACACACATTTTACAGCAAAAATCTAGCCCAAATATATGTCATGCTTCATCTAGCAACTCTTTCTTAACTCATTCCTGTATTATGAGAGATGAGAGTATTAGACAAAAATTAAATATATATACGAGCAAAAACTTATATTTATTATTTCTACTTCAGGCATGTACGCATGCTCCTAAACTATTTCTAGCAAACTACTGACATTTTGCTGCATGACAATTTAATTTCTACTTTGGCTTGAAGTTTCTACTCGGCTGATCTTTGGAAAAATGCACATGTTGTGGTTTATTCACTTTGGAAATTATTCCAGAGTGAAAAGTGGCCTCCAAAATGAAGCTTGTTCTAGCCACACATAATATTTTCCCCAGAAGTGCCTATAAAGTCTACCAAAATAAGAAAGTGCTCATTATTTTTGATAAACAGTAAAGACTGGAAATTCATATTTCATTTTAGGACCCGAAGTGTAGAGTTGAGATACAGTAGCGTTCTTTTTCTGTGCAGCATAATTGCCTATTATTTTACGAATTACTATTTACACTGTGTCTGTACTTTAACTCTGAGTAAATTCTGCCTTTCTTCTCTTGCTAGCTAAGTGGGGAGAAAAAAATTACCTCAAACCCTACCAAGTGTCAAAGCGGCCTTAAAATATTGGTATTTAAAGGAGGTATAATACCAATAAGTCTGAAGTGATTAAGAGGTCTGAGTGAGGACATACAGGGCTGTGTTATGTAGTTTGTGACAGAAATCTTAAATTAAGACGGCAACATAGATGGTGTAACTTACTCGCAGACCTGAAAAAAAAGTGCTGTCAACCCCTCAACTCATGGTGATGGCACTTAGTGAGCATTGGTCTAATAAAGGGGCAAAGAGTGTATGAGTTTCTCCAATTCTGATTTTTTTTTTCTGGTCAGAACTTTGAAGTTTTTAAAGCTTTGTTCTCTTCCTCTCTTTCAGGCCAATAAAAAGAATTATTATTACTACCACATTTGTGTCTCTTGGATTTTATTTTTGGCTAATGCAAGCACTTTTACAACATGATCTTGGTTGAAGGAGCAATTAGAATTAAGGAGCCTTATCCAACAATTACAGCACTTATTGCAATTATAATAGTAACTGGGTAAGTTGACAACTTACTGAGTTACCCCAATGCTACATTTTTATTTTGCTTTTAAAGTTATCAAAAGCCTGATGCTGGAGGTTCATAATGACTTTGTGGTAGCCAGATTTGAAGTCTGAACCCTTGTCTGCCACACTGTTAGCCATCAAAGGAGGCCTGTCCCACCAAGCTCTCTATTTTCACAACAGGATATCTGGTTTCTTTTATGAGGATACAGCTATGTTAATTTGGTTTAGTGGTTCGTTGGAGGTAAGCAGGCTCTTCACAGCACAAACACCAAAATCCCCTTAAAGCAGTTCCTCGTTAATATCCAAGGTCTGATTGGCAGATTTGCATTGTAAAGTGTGATTTGGTTGGATAAATATGTTTAGTCTAGTAAGCACTTTAGTGATTGAGTGTCTGTTAATGGATAAAGGTGGATTATGGGGAAACCTCTACAGGCTGTCCCTGGGTACTTAGCATTGTGAGATGTCAAGGGGAATGGAAAGCAAACTGGCACTACAGAACAGCTGAAGGGCTATAAAATGTTTAAAATATTTGGTGCTAATGTTGGGCTTTCAATTTTCAAATATTAATTTCAATAGAGGAAAGAGACCATTAAATTACATGGCAGGGATTTTGTGCCCCAGCAGTGACAAAATGGGGATGTCCTATCCATGTTCCTAAAAGCTGGCATCTCTCATAGGATTAAAAACTCAGAGAAAGCTGACATACAGGAAATTCAGAATAGTTAAGTGGTATCCAAGAATGAATCCAACTCCTGCTGAAATCTTTGCATTCTAATATACTGCAGAGAGAACAGGAGTCTAGGAGGAAAAGACTTTAGATTGATTGCTAAAGAATGTTGACATGTCTGTTCATAGGTATGTAAGTATGTACATAGCATGTTTTGAAACAATACTGCTATAAGAATTACAGATACTGATGTACTACCTCCCTCCCATCTCCAAGCATCTGGCAATGAAGAGTTTTCTGTTTCTTCCTTTTGAGAGTACTGGGATACTTCATGAAAGCCACTAGAAAATGTCACTTTTTTCTTCTTCTCAGGTGAACATGCAGAAGTACTTTTATGAGGTGAAAATATCAGCTTACTTCAAGGATCTAAATGGTATTTTAACATCCCAGGCTCTGAAAGAGGTATGTTGGAACGTCTGCTCCTAGCCAGTCATGAATTGCTTAAGACTTCAGAAACTATTATATTTTCACAGATTGGCTTTCTGACTAAACATATTTCGACCATTTTTCTTCAAGACACTTCCAGAGACTACTGTGGGTTCACCAATTTTTATAAGCATTAAGGTCTGAGGCATTTATCAAAACACTACTGTTGAAGCCTTTGCAATTCCAGTTGTTCATCCATTACTCTTGAGCAGTTGCATTCCCTAGGCCAAGTGGCATCAGAATACAGATTTTGTGGGTTCATTTGGTTCCAGACTGCTGAAATAAAGCACATATTGCAATAAAATTAGTCCCATGAATTTTTGGGTTTCCCAGTGAATGTAAAAGTTAGGTTTACACCATACTGTAGTCCATTAAGTTTGCTAAAGCATTACGTCTAAAAAATGTACATAACATTTAAAAAATCTTTTATTGCTAAAAAATGCTAACAATCATTTGAGCAAGTCATAATTTTTCCGCTGGTTGAAGGTCTTTCTCCATGTTGATGGCTGCTGACTGCTCAGGGTAATGGTTGCTGAAGGTTGGGTTGGTTGTGGCAATTTCTTAAGACAAGACAATGAAGTTTGTTACATCAGTTGATGCTTCTTTCACGAAAGATTTCTCTGTAGCAAGGAATGCTGCTTGACAGCATTTTACCCTTTGAATTTCTTTCACAATTGAAATCAATCTTCTGAAACCATGTCACTGCTTTATCAACTAAATTTATGAAATATTCTAAATCCTTTGTTGTCATTTCAACAATGTTCACAACATCTTTACTAGGAGTAGATTTCATTGTAAGAAACTATTTCTTTTTTTTTAGTTTTTTTATTTTATTAATGTTATACTTTAAGTTTTAGGGTACATGCGCACAACGTGCAGGTTTGTTACATATGTATACATGTGCCATGTTGGTATGCTGCACCCATTAACTCGTCATTTAGCATTAGGTATATCTCCTAATGCTATCCCTCCCCCCTCCCCCCACCCCACAACAGTCCCTGATGTGTGATGTTCCCCTTCCTGTGTCCATGTGTTCTCATTGTTCAATTCCCACCTATGAGTGAGAACATGAGGTGTTTGGTTTTTTGTCCTTGTGATAGTTTGCTGAGAATGATGGTTTCCAGCTTCATCCATATTTCTTTTCCTTATACATGAGAAGCAACTACTCATCCATTCAAGTTTTATCAGGAGATTGCAGCAATTCAGTCACATCTTCAGGCTCCACTTCTAATTCTAGATCTCTTGCTATTTCCACCACTTCTATAGTTAATTCCTCAACTGAAGTCTTGAACCCCTCAAAGTCATCATGACAGTTGGCATCAACTTCCAAACTCCTGTTAATATTGATATTTTGACCTCCTCCTATGAATCAGGAATATTTTTAATGACATCTAGAATGGTGAATCCTTTCCAGAAGGTTTGCAAATTATTTTGCCCAGTTCCATCAGAGGAATCACTATCTACAGCAAATATAAACTGTATTTCTTAAATAATAAGACTTCAAAATCACAATTACTCCTTGATCCATGGGCTACAGGACGGATGTTGTGTTAGAAGGCATAAAAACAACATTAATCTCCTTATACATTTCCGTCAGAGCTCCCGGGTGACCAGGTGCATTGTTAATAAGCAGTAATACTTGGAAAGGAATACTTTTTTCTAAGCAGTAGTTCTCAACAGTGGGCTTAAAATATTTAGTGAGTCAAGCTGTAAACAGATGTTCCATCATCCAGGCTTGTTGTTCCATTTCTAGAGCACAGGCAGGGTAAATTTAGCATAATTCTTAAGGATCCTAGGATTTTTGCAATAATAAATGAACATTGGCTTTGACTTAAATTCACCATCTGCATTAGCCCCTCACGAGAGAATTCGCCTGTCCTTTGAAGCTTTGGCATAAGGCATTGACTGCTCTTTAGCTGTGAAAGTCCTAAATGGCATCTTCTCTAAACAGAAGTTTGCTTCTATCAAAATCCATTTTTCTGGTGTAGCCACCTTCATGAACAATCTTAACTACATCTGGATAACTTGCTACAAATTCGCCATCAGCACTTGCTGCTTCGCATTGCACTTTTATGTTATGGAGATGGTGTCTTTCCTTAAACCTAATTAACTAACCCTAATAGCTTCAAATCTTTCTTCTGCAGCTTCCTCACATCTTGCAGTCTTCATAGAACTGAAGAGAGTTAAGGCTTTGCTCTGAATTAGGCTTTGTACTCAAACTTTCTCTGTATCAGCAATAAGGTTGTTGTTCCACGTTCTTATCATTCATGTGTTCACTGGACTAGCACTTCTAATTTCCTTCAAGAAGTTTCCCTTTGCATTTGCAGCTTGGTTATTTGGTGCAAGAGGCCTAATTTTTAGCCATTCTTGGCTTTTGACATGCCTTCCTCACTTAGCTTAATCATTTCTGGCTTTTGATTTAAAGTGAGAGATGTGCAATGTTTCCTTCCACTTGAACACTCACAGGCCTTATAGAGTTATTAATTAGCCTAATTTTAATATTGCTGTGTATCAGGGAATAGGGAGGCCTGAGAAGAGGGAGAGACATGGGGGGACAGCTAGTCAGTAGAGCAGTCAGATCACATACAACATTTATTAAGTTTGTGGTCTACTATGGGTATGGTTTGTGGAGCCCCAAAACAATTATAATAGTAACATCAAGGATCACTGACCACAGATCACCATAGCAGATATAATAACAATGAAAAAGTTCTAAATATTGCAAAAGTTACCAAAATGTGACACAGAGATACTGTTGGAAAAATGATACCAAAAGGCTTGCTTGATGCAGAGCTGTCATAGATCTTCAATTTGTTTAAAAAAAAATCAGTTTCTGGATTAGAGGGGAAAATAGCAGACAGGAGGCAGGACTAACTTGCAACTCCCACTTAGATGGACAGAACGGCATGTGGAGAACCACACTGTGAACATTTGCTCCAAGAACTACCTCAGGAACATACCAGGAAAATTGAGAGAATTTGCAGACACTTTGAAAGAAGGAGTTTGCCACTGCAAACTCTGTGAGACAGCCAAAACACTGTGAGTACCCAAAGTGTAAGAGGAGGAAGTCTGCCCCCAAACACACATCCTCACCTAGGAGTCTGAAAATCCAGATCACAGAAGAAGGATTTAACCTTACCTAGAGCTGAAATGAATTTAGAGAGCTGAGTGAAATATAAAAGTAGAAGAAGCAGTGGGAAGAGCCCTGTAGGCACTCTCAGTCCCCAAAGCGGCCCAGGGAAGCCATTTCTGAGTTTATCTCACAGGGGTACTTGAGGAGGGTTGCTAGTGGAATTAGGGAGAGGTCACAGAGAGAAAGAAACGTCCAGCTGAACTTAGTAATAATTTTGACAGAGTGCAAATTTTCCTGGGCAGAATTTGGGATGGGGGTCAGGAGGTGCAATGGAAGTGCAGATATGAGCACAGACACCACGGCAGGCAGGGGAGGGTGAGGCTTGAGAGCCCTGCTTGCTTTCTTAATGGGGAGGCTTATAGCAACGGACAGGATCTCAGCCCTGCACAGCAGAGGCCTGGATATAAACTTGTCTCCGTTGGCTGTTGGTGGAGCACAGCAGGAGTGAGATTGTCCTTGCTGGCTATGTGGGAGCTGAGTGAGGCCTGTCACTGCTATTTTTCTCCCACTTGCCTGATGACTGCCTGACACAGGAGAGGCAACCATAATCTCCCTGGGAACATAACTCCATTAACCAGACAACCACACCCCCATCCACCACAGTGGCCATAGCAAGTCCCACTCAAGGGCATTCTGTGCTCAGACCCACCTAACCCTGCCCCCACCTGATGGTTTTTCTTTATCTGCCCTGGTAGTCAAAGACAAAGGACATAATCCCCTGGGAACTCTACGGCCCCACCCACCTCCTGAGAAACCCAAGTACTTATACAGGCAACCCTAGGGCAAGCTCGTATCTCCCCTATACCACCACAGCCAATGCTCTCTTGAAAGCACCACATCCTGGCTGGAGACCAACCAACTCAAACCATCAGAGCAACTCATAAAAGAACAACCTTACTCCAAGAAAGGAGAAAACAACAGCTAATTCCACCACCTGTAACATCCTGGCTAACCAGAGGTCCTGAGTCTGTCCACATGACAACTTCACTTCTAGCACAACCAGCATTTGAGAAAACCAAAACCGGCAAACTAAAGAAAACTATAACCAAGGACTCTCACAGAGTCCACCTCATTCCCCTGCTGCCTTCACTAGATCAGGTGCTGGTATCCACAGCTGAGAGAGCTAAAGATGAATCACATCACAGGACTCTTTGCAGACATTCCCCAGTACCGGCCTGGAGCCCAGTAGCTCCACTGGGTGGCTGCACGGAGAAGGGGAATAACAATCGCTGCAGTTCAGCTCTCAGTAAGCTCCATCCCTAGGGGAAGGGGGACAGCACCACATCAAGGGAGCACCCTGTGGGACAAAAGAATCTGAACAACAACCCTTGAGTCCCAGATCTTGCCTCTGACATAGTCTACCCTGATGAGAAGGAAAACAATTCTGGTAATATGACAAAACAGGGTACTTTGACTTCTCCAACAGATCACACTACCTCACCAGTAGTGGATTAAAACCAAGAAGACATTTCTGAATTGCCAGGAAAAGAACTCAGAAGGTTGATTATTAAGCTACTCAAGAAGGGCCCAGAGAAAGGTGAAAACCAACTTAAAGAAATTGAAAAAAAAATACAGAATATGGATGAAAAAAATCTCCAGATAAATGGAGAGCATAAGTAAAAAATAATCACAACTTCCTGAAATGAAAGACACACTTAGATGTGTCTTTTATTTGCAAAATACCCTGGAAAATACACTGGAAAGTCCAAAAACAGAATCAAAGAAGTAGAAGAAAGAACTTCAGAGCTCAAGGACAAGGCTTCAAATTAATCCCATCTGACAAAGACAAAGAAAACATAATTAAAGAAATGAACAAAGCCTCCAAGAAGTTTGGGATTATGTTAAACGAACAAACATAAGAATAATTGATGTTCCCAAGAAGAAGAGAAATCAAAAAGTTTGGAAAACTTATTTGAGGGAATTATTGAGGAAAAGTTCCCTGGCCTTGCTAGAGATCTAGACACCCAAATACAAGAAGCTCAAAGAACAGCCAGGAAATTCATTGCAAAAAGATCATCACCCAGGCACACAGTCATCAGGCTATCTAATCAAGATGAAGCAAAGAATATTAAGAGCTGTGAAGCAAAAGCATCAGGTAACCTGTAAATGAAAACCTATCAGATTAAAAGCAGTTTTCTCAGTAGAAACCGTCCAAACTAGAAGGGATTAAGGTCCTAGCTTTAGCCTCCTTAAACAAAACAATTATCAACCAGGAATTTTGTATCCAGCTAAACTAAGCTTCCTAAGTGAAGGAAAGATAAAGCCTTTTTCAGACAAAAAATTGCTGAGAGAATTCATCACTACCAAGCCAGCACTACAAGAACTGCTAAGCAGAATCCTAAACTTGAAACAAAACCTTGAAATGCACCAAAATAGAACCCCCTTAAAGCGTACATCTCACAAGGTCTATAAAACAATAACACACAAAAAAAGTATTCAGGAAACAACTAGCATGATGCACAGAGTAGTACCTCACTTCTCAATACTAACATTAAATTTAAATGGCCTAAATGCTCCACTTAAAAGATACAGAATAGCAGAATGGATAAGAATTCACCAACCAAGTATCTACTCTCTTCAAGAGACTTGCCTAACACATAAGGACTCACAGAAACTTAAGGTAAAGAGGTGGAAAAAGATATTCCATGCAAAAGGACATCAAAAATGAGCAGGAGTAGCTATTCTTATATCAGACAAAACAGACTTTAAAGCAACAACAGTTAAAAAAGACAAAGAGGGACATTATATAATGATAAAAAAGACTAGTCCAACAGGAAAAAATCACAGTCCTAAATATATATGAACCTAACATTGGAGATCCCAAATTTATAAAAAAACAATTACTAATAGACCTAAGAAATGAGATAGACAGCAACACAATAATAGTGGGGGACTTCAATACTCCACTGATGGCAATAGACAGGTCATCAAGACAGAAAGTCAACAAAGAAACAATGAACTTAAACTATACTCTAGAAAAGGGGACCTAACAGATATTTACAGAACATTCTACCCAACAAATGTAGAATATACATTCTGTTCATCAGCACATGGGACATTCTCCAAGATAGACCACATGATATGACACAAAACAAGTCTCAATAAATTTAAGAAAATTGAAATTATATCAAAATCAAATACCCTCTCAGACCACAGTGGAATAAAATTAAAAATTAACTCCAAAAGGAGCCCTGAACACCATAAAAATACATGGAAATTAAATAATCTGCTCATGAATGATCACTGGGTTAACAATGAAATTAATCTGGAAATTAGAAAATTATTTGAACTGAACAATAATAGTGACACAACCTATCAAAGCCTCTGGGATACAACAAAAGTGGTGTTAAGAAGAAAGTTCACAGCATTAGATGTCTACATCAAAAAGTCTAAAAAGCAGAAATAGACAGTCTAAGGTCATACCTCAAGAAATTAGAGAAACAAGAACAAACCAAACCCAAACCCAGCAGGAGAAACTAAGTAACAAAGATCAGAGCAGAACTAAATGAAAGTGAAACAAAA
Source organism: Homo sapiens (assembly GCF_000001405.40). NCBI lineage: Eukaryota > Metazoa > Chordata > Mammalia > Primates > Hominidae > Homo > Homo sapiens. The sequence continues at coordinate 173,775,290 of NC_000004.12, read as the reverse complement.
AAAAAAATACAAAAGGTAAATGAAACAAAAAACTGGTTCTTGGAAAAGATAAACAAAATTGATAGACTATCAGCGAGATTTACCAAGAAAACAAAACAGAAGATCCAGATAAGCTCAATTGGAAATGAAATTGGAGATGTTACAACCAACACCACAGAAATACAAAAGATCATTCAAGGATACTATAAACACCTTTATCCACAAACTAGAAAACCTAGAGGAGATTAATATACTCCTGATGACAAAAACCCTCTTAGATTATACAGGAGGTAATATACAACCCTTCTAGAGTAAACCAGGAACAAATAGAAACTCTGAACAGACCAGTAAAAAGCAGTGAGATTGAAATGGTAATTTTAAAAATTGCCAAGAAAAAAAGAAGTCCAGGACCAGACATATTTACAGCTGAATTCTATAAGACATTCAAAGAAGTGGTACCAATCCTATTGAAACCATTCCAAAAAATAGAGAAAGAATGAATCCTCCCTAAATCATTCTATAAATCCATTATCACCCTAATACCCAAACCAGGAAAGGGCATAACAAAAAAAAAAAAAAAGAAAACTACAGACCAGTATCCCTGATGAACATAAATGCAAAAATCCTCAACAAAATACCAGTTAAACAAATCCAACAGCATACCAAAAAGATAATCCACCATGATCAAAAGGGGTGCATACCAGGGATGCAGGGATGATTTAACATATGCAGGTCAATAAATGTGATACACCACATAAACAGAATTAAAAAGAAAAATCACATGATATCTCAATAGACGGAGAAAAATCATCTGACAAAATCCAGCATCCCTTTGTGATTAAAACCCTCAGCAAAATCAGCATAGAATGGACAACCTTAAGGTAATAAAAGCCATCTATGACAAACCCACAGCCAATATTATACTGAATGGGGAAAAGTTGAAAGCATTCCCGCCGAGAACTGGAACAAGACAAGGATGCCCACTTTTACCACTTTTGTTCAATGTAATACTGGAAGTCCTAGCCAGAGCAATCAGACAAGAGAAAGAAATAATAAAAGGCATCCAAATAGGTAAAGAGGAAGTCAAACTGTCACTGTTTGCCAATGAAAGGACCTTGTACCTAGAAAACCCTAAAGAGTCATACAAAAAGCTCCTAGATCTGATAAATGAATTCAGTAAAGTTTCAGGATATAAAATCAATGTACACAAATCAGTAGCACTGCTGTATACCAACAATGACCAAGCTGAGAATCAAGTCAAGAACTCAACCCCTTTTACAATAGCAAAAACATAAAATAAAACACATAGGTCTATACCTAATCAAGGAGGTGAAAGACCTCTACAAGAAAAACTACAAAACACTACTGAAAGAAATCATAGATGACACAAACAAATAAAAACACATCCCACACTCATGGATAAGTAGAATCAATATTGTGAAAATGACCATACTGCCAAAAGCAATTTACAAATTCAGTGCAATTCCCATCAAAATACCATCATCATTCTTCAAAGAACTAGAAAAAACAATCCTAAAATTCATATGGAACCAAAAAAGAGTTTGCATAGCCAAAGCAAGATTAAGCAAAAAGAATAAATCTGGAGGCATCACATCACCAGACTTCAAACTATACTGTAAGGTTATAGTCACCAAAACAGCACGGTACTGGTATAAAAATAGGACATAGACCAACGAACAGAATAGGTAACCCAGAAATAAAGCCAAATACAGCCAGCTGATCTTTGACAAAGCAAACAAAAACATCAAGTGGGGAAAGGACACCCTATTCAACAAGTGGTGCTGGGATAATTGGCAAGCCACATGTAGAAAAATAAAACTGGATCCTGATCTCCCACCTTATACAAAAATTAACTCGGCCAGGCGCGGTGGCTCATGCCTGTAATCCCAGCACTTTGGGAGGCCAAGGCGGGTGGATCACAAGGTCAGGAGATAGAGACCATCCTGGCTAACACGGTGAAACCCCGTCTCTACTAAAAATACAAAAAGAAATTAGCCAGGCATGGTGGCAGGCGCCTGTAGTCCCAACTACCCGGGAGGCTGAGGCAGGAGAATGGCGTGAACCCAGGAGGCGGAGCTTGCCGTGAGTCGAGATTGCACCACTGCACTCCAGTCTGAGTGACAGAGCGAGACTCCATCTCAAAAAAAAAAAAAAAATTAACTCAAGATGGATCAAAGACTTAAATAAAACCTGAAACCATAAAAATTCCAGAAGATAATGTTTAAGAAAACACTTCTAGTCATTGCTTAGGCAAAGACTTCATGATCAAGAACCCAAAAGCAAATGCAACAAAAACAAAGATAAATAGATGGGACTTAACTAAAAAGCTCCTGCACAGCCAAACAAATAATCAGCAAAATAAATAGAGAACCCACAGAGTGGGAGAAAACTTTCACAAACTATGCATCTGACAAAGAACTAATATCCAGAAACTACAAGGAACTCAAACAAATCAGCAAGAAAAAAAATAATAATTCCATCAAAAAGTGGGCTAAGGACATGAATAGATAATTCTCAAAAGAAGTTATACAAATGGCCAGGAAACATGAAAAAATGCTCAACATCACTAATTATCAGTGAAATGCAAATCAAAACCACAACGTGATACCACCTTACTCCTGCAAGAATGGCCACAATTAAAAAGTCAAAAAATAATAGATGTTGGCATAGATGTGGTATGAAGGAAACACTTTTACACTGCTGGTAGGAATGTAAACTAGTACAACCACTATGGAAACAGTGTGTAATTCCTTAAAGAACTAAAAGTAGATCTACCGTTTGATCCAGCAGTCCCACTGGTGAGTATCTACCCAGAGGAAAAGAAGTCATTAATGAAAACGACACTTGCACACGCGCGTTTATAGCAGCACGATTTGCAATTGCAAAAATATGGAACCAGCCCAAGTGCCCATCGATCAACAAGTGGATAAAGGATATGTGGTATATGTATATACCATGGAATACTACTCAGCTATAGAAAGGAGCAAAATAATGGCATTCACAGCAACCTGGATGGAGTTGGAGGCCATTATTCTAACTGAAGTAACTCAGGAATGGAAAACCAGATATTGCTATGTTCTCACTTATAAGTGGGAGCTAAGCTAGAAGGAAGCAAAGGCATAAGAATGATACAGTGAACTTTGGGGACTAAGGGGCATGGGGTTGGAAGGGAGTAAGGGATAAAAGATTACACACTGGGTACAGTGTATACTATTCAGGTGATGGGTGCACCAAAATCTCAGAACTCACCACTAAAGAATCTATCCATGTAATCCAACACCAATGGAGTGTCTGTAAAGTGAAATAGTGTAGTGCAGTAAAATTAGGTATACTTGCATGAATCAAGGATAACATTATGCAAAATTGCATTAAAATGAAGCTAAGCCTTTTCAAAGGCAGGCCTTGTTAAGAAAAATGAATTTTCTATATTCTTTCATCTTCCTGTTTAATATATCAAGAGGCAGTCCTGGTAGTTTTGATGATAGCATTGCACATAAAGAAGGGTAAAATCAGACAGGAAGAGGAAGAAGGAACTCCACACACACTTATCCCAGGAAAGGAAGGGACAGATTTCTGAAAGTTTGAGTATTTTATATGACTCATCCAAGCAGGAACTGGGCTACCTGATTTTTTAAATGTTTGCACCTTATTAAGTTTATCAGATTAGATTAAAATTTTGTGTTTTTGCAATAATTTTAAAAATCAATTCCTTCTTTAAAATTTCTCTCTAATGTATTATTTATAGATATTTGCATTTATTTATACTCATTCAACAAACATGTCTTAAGCATCTACCATGTACAGGGTCATGGGAAGGCAGAAGTGAATTAGTACAAATAAGGTCTTTGACTCATGCAACTTACTTTCTAGTTGGAAAGAAACAAAATAAACAAGTAAATAGAATGTCAGACTGCGATTCGTTTTATGAAAGAAAATAAATTAGGTGCCATTTCCTAGTCCTCCTGCTCACTCCACTTCAACAAGATTGTGTTCTGTTCTCTACACTCACACCATCTCTAATTCATCTCTGTTTCTGCCATTAGACTAAAGTTCCTAAACGACTGCCTGATCCCATCACTTTCCCTTTTAAGCCCTGCAGTGGCTCATATTGCCTGATTCTCCCTTACAGTCTTCCAACTCCCTCTTCAACCTATTCCTGGACATAAAGCCTCCCTTCCATTATGCCGACCCTTCCAAAGTCCCACCATGTAGCACTTCTCTGTCCACTCATCCCAGAATACATACTATTCCTTCTTCTCTTCCTTATTTTTCTGAGTCAACTCATTTATTAGGTTCTGACCAGTTTTATGCATGCCTTGTTTCAATAAGCACCCAGCCTGCACTGATATCTCCCTTCCCTGATCTTTCACAACAAAGAAAGACAAGGAAGGAAGGAAGGAAGGAAGGAAGGAAGGAAGGAAGGAAGGAAGGAAGGAAGGAAGGAAGGAAGGGAGGGTGGGAGGGAGGGGAGAAAGAAGAAGAAAGAAAGAAGAGAGAAAGAAAGAGAGAAAAGAAAGAAAGGAAGAGAGAGAGAGAAAGAAAGAAAAGAAAGAAAGAAAGAGAGAGAGAAAGAAAGAAAGAGAGAAAGAAAGAGAAAGAAAGAAGGAAGGAAGGAAGGAAGAAGGAGGGAGGAAAGGAGGGAGGGAGAGAGAGAGAGAAAAGAAAAAAAAAGCAAAAGCAAAGCTGAGCCTTTTGTTTTGTTTTCTGGTATTAGAGGTAAATATTATTCTAACACAAACTAAACAAAGACCAAGTAAAAGACTAGAGTCTAGCGAGCCACTATCTTATTAAATGACATAGAACAGGTTACAATCTCTATGAGTCCCAGTTTCAAAGATGCATGGCTGATATGACAATGACAATACCAATTCATTTCTATTAATGAAATTGAACAGTTACACATATATAGATCCTAAACCTAGCATTTCAGTAAGCATAACTTTCTTTATTGTTGTTCCACGAAACATCTCTGTTTTGATTTCCCATCCCACTAGGTGAAGAAAAATATACAGTTATACAAAACTCTAAAATATAACTATCTTAGGGTCTCTCCCTATCACCCAATTCCTGTAATAATATCTAAGCCCCAGGGCCAGAGAGTATGTTGTTTGTACGGGAGGGGACACAGAGTGTCACGTGCTTGTACCTCATCTGCCCTGCTATTACACGTCACTTTCATCTGGTTTCTGGTTCCTGATTCATACAGATCACAGACCATTCTCCAAGTATCAGTCAAGATCTGTCTCAAGTGCTTCTCTCGGGTATGTGCCCATCTCACTGGGGCACATAAAAACCTGCATCTGACTCCAGCTCCTCTGTCTAGACACCTTGATGCAGTGATGCCTGCTCTGCTGCCCCTGTGCCATATTGGCCAGAAGATTCATCTTGCTACAAACAGCTAGGCAAAGCACAGTTCCTCTCTGCCCTCAGAGCCCTTAAACTCATACCAGATTTTATTCCATGACCCCACACAAGTGAGTCCTGGTAGGGAACTTAATAACCTCAGCTTTCTTGTATACATTCCATTCTCTCTTTTTTCTCTTTTATGGACACTTTTTTGGTCTCAAAGGGGATAAAATTAGGTCTGATTCATCACATAGTTTACAAAGAAACACAGGGAGACAAAATTATCAGAAAAGCACACATCCATTAATACACCAATGTGTTGCCTGATGACAAACCAAAGATGATGCTCACATCGGCTGTGGTTTGCACATAATTCTATCACTGTAGTAGTGACCTAAATATAAGATGTTCGCACTGATATTGGCATCACACAGTTGACGCTGGGTATGAGGGTGTCCACAAATTCTCCAACTGGCCCTTCCTCACATCATCCTGGTCCAACTAAGTATTGATTTCTGCTCTTACTTCCTTACACTGCTTCCAGAAACTCAAAACACAACAAATAGTCTTTTAAAACATGTCTTTAAAATTTAACATTTTTATTTGTATCATATAAATTTATATTTAAAATTTTTATTAAAAAATTGGTATAAAACTACCCCATCTGTGGCTTGCAATGTGACCTGGGTCAGTTTGCATTAAATCTCCAAATTTCAATTTATAAATTTATAAAATGAAGACACTGAGAATTTTATAGGGCCAGTGTCAAATTACGTGAAAGCTTACACTCTAAGATCTTTGCATGTAAGTTCAACATACAGTTAAGCTCTCACTAACTACTAGAAAATAAATGCTTATCTACAATGAACTCCAACAAATTTACAAGAAAAAAACAACCCCATCAAAAAGTGGGCAAAGGATATGAACCGACACTTCTCAAAAGAAGACATTTTTGCAGCCAAAAGACACGTGAAAAAACACTCATCATCACTGGCCATCAGAGAAATGCAAATCAAAACCACAATGAGATACCATCTCACACCAGTTAGAATGGTGATCATTAAAAAGTCAGGAAACAACAGGTGCTGGAGAGGATGTGGAGAAATAGGAACACTTTTACACTGTTGGTGGTACTGTAAACTAGTTCAACCATTGTGGAAGTCAGTGTGGCGATTCCTCAGGGATCTAGAAGTAGAAATACCATTTGACCCAGCCATCCCATTACTTGGTATATACCCAAAGGACTATAAATCATGCTGCTATAAAGACACATGCACACGTATGTTTATTGCGGCACTATTCACGATAGCAAAGACTTGGAACCAACCCAAATGTCCAACAACGATAGACTGGATTAAGAAAATGTGGCACATATACACCATGGAATACTATGCAGCCATAAAAAATGATGAGTTCATGTCCTTTGTAGGGACATGGATGAAGCTGGAAACCATCATTCTCAGCAAACTATGGCAAGGACAAAAAAACAAACACCACATGTTCTCACTCATAGGTGGGAATTGAACAATGAGAACACATGGACACAGGAAGGGGAACATCACACACCAGGGCCTGTTGTGGGTTGGGGGGAGGGAGGAGGGATAGCATTTGGAGATATACCTAATGTTAAATGACAAATTACTGGGTGCAGCACACCAAAAAAAAAAATAAATAAATAAAAAGAAAACCAATGCTTATAATATCTAGACTAGGTTTTTAACTAATCCTAGATACAAACTAAAAGGGACTGGTCTTTTAAAATCTTTAAAAATGAGGAGACAATCTGAGACCGTACTTTGACTGCAGATCCAGCAAATGAAGCCTAGTTGATGATGGCCTTGGAAAGGATACTGCAGGTCCTCTAATAACGTCATCTGGCTAACATCGTTTCCTTATAGCATTGATAAGGAAAAAAAAATCACTTCCTGCCAAGGACACTGCGTGGAGTTGGCACATTCTCCTCACGTCTGTGTGGGTTTTCTCCAGGTACTCCAGTTTCCTCCCACAACTCACAGTTTTGCATGTGAGATGAAGTGGCCCATCTCCATGGTCCCGGTGTGGGTGAGTGAGGGTGAGTGTGAGGCACCCTGCAATGGGGGGGTGGCTTGGCCAGGGTAGATTCCCGCCTGCCACCCTGAGTCAGGATGGGCTCTGGCTACCTGGACCCCTAAGTCACTAAATAGTTATCTTAATGGTTTCGATTAATCTTTCTTAAATGTATTTATCACATTTATTTCACTGTTTAATATTAGAACTATTCTGGTCTTTATTTAGAAGCTTGGTAATGATTTTGTGACCAGAAATATGACATAGGATGTTAACTCTTGTTTATATCAATTAGCCTAGGGGAAGATTGATTTCATTAATATGTTGTTTCACTTAAAATCTCACTTTCAAATAACTTATCAATTACGTTAAGTGAGCACCTACTATATAACGCTTTTGGGTGCAGAATTGGCACTTTGTTATAGGTTGACATTTAGTACTGTGTTCCCCAAAAGGTGTAAAGATCAACAATCCAGTGATGTAACACAAATGTGTGGTGTTTCATTATTTAAAATTAGAAAGTTGTATAAAGATATGTATAATTTAGTTCTTAATCAAAATGGCTCCTAAAGGTGCTACAACACCATAGTGCTTTAAAATAAATACAGTTGAGACTTATTTAGAAACCATTTTTACATGTACAGGCTCATATATAAATGAGAAAGTGTGGAAGTCGACTACCTTAAAGTCATCATGCAAAACAAGTCCCACATCCACCAGTTAGTAAGCTTCCAACTATCTTGACTCAAGTAGTTGCAGATTTTTAAATCAGCATGTGTTTTTCCATTAAAGAGATAAAGATTTGTACCAGGAATTGTGTAAAAGAGACCTGCAACCACAGCTAATGATGTCTGTTTCCCATATCTGCATTATATATTTGTCCCTAAATCATTAAAAGTAACTGAAACTTGAAAAGCAATAGTTAATTACTACAAAAACTTGGGATATTATAAAATAGTACATACGACATGATTTTTGTAGACTTCCATGTGGAACATACATACATTTTTTATGAGTTTCATTCTTTAGCCCTAGAGCATTACATTTAAGAAATATCTTCTGCCTAAATTATATTTTTAAAATCTTATTTCTCTTGATTATTCCTCCAGAAAAGAAAACATATGCATTGTTTCATTGCTGTAAATATTTTATGTCCAAAAGAAGTGGCCAAGCGGAAAAAGACAAGGTTATAGTCACATCCGTGGAAAAAAAAATCGGAATTAGATTTTTGTAAAAAAAAAAAAAAAAAAAAAAATAGGTTGTAGTCAGATATAGGTAGGTGCTTTGTTCGTCGCCCAAGTCCTGTCTAAAGAGAATGCAAAACACAAAGCCCTGTATGCATTATCTAGAGGAAGCAGCTGCAAGAGTGATACAGGGCTGATTCTTATAAACAAAGAGCACCAACAAATCTGTTTGAGCATGAATATTAGATTTGCTGAGTTCTGCTGACATCACCATGGGAGATAAACATGTTAGGAAGAGTGGGGCAGCTTGCTGTTGGAGAGGTTGCCAGAAGAGATAAGTGAGCAGCAAAAGGCAAGTGAAGACATGATGCCCATCTTGACAGTCTTGTATATGACTGAGTGAAGTGCCATGTTAAACACCACTAGTCTAGAACAAGTGGATCAAAATGAACTCTGAACCTTTGTTTCCTTAATAGCAACGGACTAACAGCTGTCTGCATCTGGAAACTGTGTGAAAGTTCTATACAGCTGTATCATAATAAACAAACTAAAAAAAAAATCTCACAATCTACTGTTCCTTTTACATTCTTGCTCCTTCTCTAGCCTCATTAACTTGTAATTTTACATCTAATTATGTTTTATTAATTTATTATTTCTGGACTTGAGAAATAAATTGAAAACACATTGAAAAAACAAGTAAGTCTCCAACAGTTGTTCTATTTTTCTTGTATTTGTAAGTGCATGATGACCAGGACCTGAGAAGTATGGGGCTGTCAGCTTACATGATGTGAGCTTTTGGCAGTAAATGGAGCCAGCGGTTGGCTTATGGAGTGGAGTGGGGGTGCGGGCGGACGGGGACCAACACATTGAGGCTGTGGAATATGATTTACCTGCTCTGGAGCTCTGGGGTCTACAATTTCATAAATATAAGTGACAAATTATCAATAAATCACTCTTTGGTTCACCATAATGCATACTGTTTATTGAAACCCAGGTCCAATAAATATGAGTCGCCCTTTTTAGCAAAAGCACAAGAAACAAAGATGACAGGAATTACAAACAGAAATGAAAAATGGGAAATAAGCCCCTGGTCAGCAGTGAACCTTTTTCTCTTCAATCCATTCTGAGACCACTGGATTCTAGAAGAAATTTTTATATGTGCACACTTGTTTCAAAATATCATTTAGTTTTCATTTTGACATAAAGAGTTTACAGAGTGGGGCAATGTAGGTAGTGCTTGGCCATGGAAAGGTTCTACTATTTTTTAAAAATCATTTCATATACATAAAATTCAGTGAGATTCTGCTGAAATGGCCATAGCATGAATTAAATCTTTCACAATGTTTCTTGGTTTTCATATGCAACAATGTCACCGTTATTTTCCCAAGAAAATGACCTATAGTAAAATTAAGAAAAAAAGCAAAAACACTTACTTAAATAAATGCAAAATTTTCTACTGAAGAATGGAAAGATGTAAGATAAACTAACACTGAAAGCAATTGGTGATTCACCTTTAAAACTTTACATACATGTTTCAGCCTTTGTTTCACACATATTTCTCCAAGACCAGAGAGGGGATTACTTATTATTTATCGTTGTTATTCTTTATTTATTGCTTATTATTTTGATACACTTTTACACACAATGTGATTTATCTCCTATGTTCTAAAAGTGAAATTAAGAAGTGTTGCAGTCAATGTTGTTATAATGCCCTATAACTTTACAAACTCATTCAGCAGCTGGAAGCAATTGACACAGGGTAGCATTTGACTTGAACAACACTTTAAAAAGTCAACTTGAATCTTAATTGAAATACTCTACATTTCACATTGGATATATGACCCAATTCTAATCTTTTGTTTCCTTTTAAAAAGCAAAGGCAGTGAAGTATTTTGCTGTTTGTGAGATTGTGTATTCTTATTAAGTGACAATATTTAGTCTAATATGGAGTTTTTTAAAAAATCAACTCTCTGAAACATACTTCTGTGTTATCATCAGTTATGTATTAGTAATTTATTTATATATTATATAATATAATAATTTTATTTATATAATAAATTACTAACACATAAGTGATTACAATAACTATTTGCAAATATATTAATATAGTCATATTAATTTTCCTTATGGAAAAACAATATAATAAATTTTTAATGAGCAAAAATGAATCATAACCTGGACAGCATATAAAAATAATGTTTCGTCTTTTGTATATTATAACTTTTGAGCCTTTCTCTCATATGTGCTTATTTACATAACTGCTTCTAACATTCGTTATACTTAAGGGCTCAATATATTTACTTACATATTTGTGATGCTACATGTTTTTATCTAAACCGGCCAAAAACTATTACGTTAAAATAACTTTAAATGTGATCGAAAAGTTAACGAATTAACAACAATTCGTTACTAAGAGCTAATGCTCATTATGTGCAAACCACTGTTCTAGCAGCATGAGCCTTCTATACCCAATATCTATATGGTAATTACTATTATCGTGTACATTTATCAGATGAGGCAGAAGAGGTTAAGTAACTTGTTCCAGGCATCATGCAAAATAAGCAATAGTGCCAAGCTAAGAGAAGGGGTTCTACCAAATTTCCCTTATTTTAACTACTATGGGTGTTTCTGAAAGCGTATATGCCAATCGAATGTTTAAAGTGGAATGGCACATTAAGTGCAAACTAAGTATTTAAACAAGCAATTGGTTTTATGATAATAATGTCCCAAATTTATCCGTTTATAAATATGCATTTTATTTTATTATGTTGAATTATTCAGTACTCTTTGGTTGTCTAGTGACAGAAATGGCATTCAATTTCATTGAAGCAAAATAGAGAGTATTATTGACTCCTGTAACTACAAAGCCACTTCAGGCATGACCAGATCTAGTTCCAAAAAGGTGCTAAGCCTGCAGTCTCTTTCTCTCCCTTGCAACCCGGCTTTCTTCTTGGCTAGTTTCATTCTCAAGCAAGCTTGGTGTTCACTGGCAAGTCCTCATTTAAATTGTCCCTACAACAGTGATACATAACAAAAACAAATAAACAGCTTTCCCAGCAGCTCAAGTAAAATTCCCAAAAGATAATCCTCATCCGCCCCTGTTGTGTCACATGCCAATTTGTGAATCATCGCTGTGCCCAGAAAGAGAAGGTCCTTTGTCGTCCAGGCCTGAGTGTGGCATCAGCCTTACCCAGACTGAGACAAGGGATGGGGTGCTTCTTCAAAGGATATGGCTACCAAAAGAAAGGAGGAAAATTGGTGGTCAGAAAAAAAGTCCACAGAACTCCCAGACACAAGTTCTCTCAAAATGATTTTTAGCTCATTAGAGAAATCTCTTCAGTGTAAATATAACATATGGTACTGAGTCAGGTAGAGTTCAGTTGCAGAGAAGAAAATCTGCTCTAGCTAGTTTAAGCAGAAAGGGATTTATTACAGGGTTTTAAGATGTATGTTTTTCAAGGCAAACAAAGAAACGGAGTTTCTTTAAGGTCATAGGAAATATGCTAAGAGAAGGTTAATCTTTTTAGTGTAAAAAGGTTGTTTTTTGTGTAAATATTCCATGCGGCGTTTGGAATACTGCATTTCCTCTTTCTTCTCCTTTTAGGGTGACCAGTGAGTCCTGGTTTTTCTGGGACTTTCCCAGTTTTAAAACTGAAAATCTCACATCCCAGGAACCCTTCAGTCCTGGGCACACTGAGATGGCTGGTCACCTGCCTCACCCTGTCTCTTCTAGTAGTGACACCAAATAGACTCTATTGGCCTAAACAAAAACCTGAAGCCAAGCAGAAGTCATAGGATCCAAAAGGGGTAGGTCAGGGAACAAAAAGATTTAAGAAAACTAAAGCTATTTAGTAAAGATAAAAATGAAGAGACAGAGGGTCCAAAGTGACTAGGTCTCCTCACAGGGCACATCAGAGGCCACTGCGTGGAGCTGAGAGGTCCCAAACCTGTTGAGGAGTCGAAATCCAGTAAAATAGGAGCTAAGCCCAAATACCCATACCCATGGGATCTGTGTGGGTTGGAAGGCTCAGCTAGACCCAAAGATCTGCTGTGTTTGATTTAGTAACTCCAGACTCCAAGCATATGATGGCCAGGCTGATAGGAATCTTGTCTGATAGTTGGTTTACGTCCCCTTCCCTTTTAGTATTAAGGGGGAAGCATTAGATATACACCCCAACTTTGCACAATTGGAATCATTTCTGATATTGACTACAAACCCCCCCACCTTCAGGATATAAGTGAAATCCTTATGAAATCCCTCCCTGTTACCCAGCCCCCAGTCATCTCCTGTTGGGCATCCCATCCAGGGAAACTCTGACTTCCTCTCCCCACCTCTCAGATTTGGGGGATTTCTCTGGATTGGAGGGAGGGAAGGAGAGAAAGACAGCAAGGGTACACTTTAACTCTTCCTGGCCTCCATCTAATTTTACTGTACTCCTAAAATCCTTCTTTCTCAGGGAAGAGGCTGATGTACTTCAGCATAATAATTAAGCAAGAGATAACTAAAAGTAACTTTCGTGCTGCCCACTGGACATAGGAGCTAAATATAGATGCTCATATCCTCCCAGAGTTCTGCTCTTGGCCCTCCCCTTCAATCCATCACTTCAGTGTTCCTGTTAGCCGTTAACTGCCATGCTCTTTACAACTTACACCCTGGTGACCCCCAAATCATCTCGCACCCACCACGCTTGCTCTTGAATTATCTTAAGCTCCTCAGGTTGCCAGACTCTGGAGCTCATGCAGAGTCTACCTCCACGCTCTCCAAAACCATGTGTGATCCTTTCCCTCTTTCCTCAAAATCCCTCTCTGAGACAGCTTCACAATAGAAAGGACAGGTACTCCTATCTCCTAATTTTACCAAGAAGGGAAATAAAATCCAGAATGTTGAAGTGACTTGTCCAAGGCCACATATTTAGTCAGCGGAAGAGCCATCCTAGTAGTTGGGATCCATAGATCCCACTTGATCACTCTAGTACTTTAGGCTGAGTGAGGTCTGGATCTTACGACACCCAAAGACTGTTCTTAAAATAAATTCAGTTTTATTACTTTCAAATATATATCATAAAATAAGGGTTTTTCTCAAGTATCTGCATATAAAAGGCATAATATTAATTTATAAATACAAGTAATTGAATTCCACATTATTTATGTTCTAAAGCCCAGCTAATTTTATCTTGCAATATTATTAACACTGTTAATGTGCCAAGCGCACATGAAAATTGGGCCAAGGGGAGAACCAAAGAGTGACGATTTGCACAGAGCTGGCCAAAACCAAGTCAGAGCTGGCGTACCGCACAATACAGACAAGTTCTCAGAGGTTTTTCCAGGGTCAATCCCAGTTGCTCCTCCATTCAGACAGATTTTCCAGTCATGCTTACATGCACCAGTGCTTGGTGTGGGAGATATTTTTTTTCCTTCTTTTTGTTTTTTCCCCCCAAAGACCCGTGGATTTCTACAGGACATCCTTACATTGAAGAATGACACTCATTTCTCTCTCTGAGATGGATTAGTAAACTAGTCCTCCACTAAATGTATTTAAGTCGAATCGTAGTGAAATTTAGTTATATTCTGTAATGGAGTGATTTTTAATTCCATTAGACATGCACCCACCAAATTCTAAACAGTTTCTAATCATATTAGTATAAAGTAATATAAATTTCCTACAATAAACCAAAGGTAAGTTCTTAAATCATCTGAAGCCATACAAAAACATTTTATGTTGTTTCTTTGGATTCCACACGTTTTTCCCCCCTTTAGAGATTTTCTAATGATTTTATGGCATTCTTCCTTAAAAATATTTATAATGCATGGCACAAGATGAATGTGTGAAAAAATATCCTTACGTGTTTGTTAACAGAATTTTCAGAGAAACCTTTTTTCTGCAAGGCATGACTGTAGAAATTAATTCCCTGACAATCACCACTACAGCCTGGAGAGCACCCTGCTTGATGCGACTCAACACCTGTTACGGCATGATGCTCAACTATAGTTTTGGTCTCTAAATCCCAACTCTGTTAATGGAGGTAACTGTCACCATTTCAAATCACCTTCCTGATCTTTTCTTCTTTTACCCTGCTTGTACAGGGGCCACCCTGAGGCAAAATTACCAATTGGGCCCAGCACTTTGGGAGGCCGAGGTGGGAGGATCACCAGGTCAGGAGATCGAGACCATCCTGGCTAACACGGTGAAACCCCATCTCTACTAAAAAATACAAAAAAATTAGCCGGGTGTGGTGGCGGGTGCCTGTAATCCCAGCTACTCAGGAGGCTGAGGCAGGAGAATGGTGTGAACCCAGGAAGCGGAGCTTGCAGTGAGCCGAGATTGCGCCACTGCACTCCAGCCTGGGCGACAGAACAAGACTCTGTCTCAAAAAAAAAAAAAAAAAAAAAATTACCAATTGGGAAATTTTGTCTCTGGGTCCCCACCTCCCCTGTAGAACCATTTGCTTCTTTTTGTAGCCCTTCATGTAGAGGACTACACTACAATTTAAATGTATATCAGCTATACATCAAGCAGAGTGGACAAAGAGGGCTAGCAGGTCAAATTAACCGCACAGTCATGTTTTGTTTGACCTGTATAGGATTTTTAAAATAAAACTTTGGAATGTGTTGCCAACATTTCAAATTCAAGAGATTTCCTATTAAAATCCAGGTTTCCAATATCTTGTGATGTTCGATGTTGGAAACGCACACTTGCATTTCCTTCTGACAACTGGTTGAAGATGAAGGGCTTTCTCTTCACGTGTCTCCAGTCTGCCACAAAATTCACCATGTTTACTTCTCAGGTACCTTGGGGTCTTCACTCCTATAGCTTTTGAGTTTGTTACTCCCACGGCTGACCCAGAGGCAGTACATACCAGGATGACAAAAGTGGTTGGTGAGAGTTGATCATTAACACATCATTGGTAATGGCCACCACCCCAAGCTCTATGAATACCATCCTGGTTGCAGGATGAAGGAAAAAGAAAGTGTGATAGGCTCATCCAATGACATCTGGTAGGTGACAGCCAGACTAACACACTGCTGTTGCATTCTTTTATATATTAAATGCAACTGCTGTTGCATTCATTTATATATAAAACCACCTGCAACCAAACATAGCAAAATATTTTAACTAGCCATACTTCTTGAAATTAAAACAACTTTTTTCCTCCATCAGACTGTAAACTTGGGATAAAAGAATTAATAATTTATTTTCATTTACAGCTTTAGAACTTACAATATGTCTTTATATATCTTCATACATATATTCATTTCACAAATGTGGGCCTGGGTTTTCATTTGACTCTCACAGTAACTCAGAGTGTCAGAGAGTACAAGTTGTCATGCCCATTTCACATACATGGAAACTAAGGCTCAGGAAGGTGAACTGCTTACTCAAAGGCAGAACTAGGACTTGAATTAAATTCTCCTGTCTCCCAGTTCTGAGAATGCCTGAGATTATTTTGCATTCATTGCAACACTTTTCATGTAAGAAACATTGTCCTGATTTGGTCAATGACAAAGCTCAGGCTGCATTTTGCTGGGCTATATGTTGTTAGCATAGATGATGAAAAGACAGCAGTTGTAAGTTTTCTGCATCAGAACCACTACACTTTTGCCCTTAAGTCTTTATTTCCTATTATGGAAAAGATTATACTGAACTACGTTTTTTTTTTCCTTTGAGAGAAGCAAAGTAAATTTTTCAAATGCCTGTAAAACTCACCTTCAGCTTTATACATTCTGTAAACTTCATATGTTCATTTCAGAATAGCTTATGTTAACCTCTAGGTTACACAATTTTTAGGCTGCTTGGTATATTGTGTTTAATTTTTGGCCTAATTTCATCTTGAGTGTGCCATATTTAGATCAGAACATTTAACTGTTTATATTAGTAGTATGTCTTTATCTTGTTGACATTTTCCTCCAATGTTTTTTTACAGAAGATAGCTCATAAAAACAATTTCCAGTTATTATAATGTATGTTCTCTCTCCTACTCAAAGTATTTTTTAGCTTAAATTTTTAGCTACTTATGTTTTGACAGTAACAGCCTTTTTAAAATATAATCAAAGCAATACAATATTTACCAAAGTCCTAAAATTACATCACTAAATACTTCCCTAAATAATCTTAAAGACTTTTGACAAGGCATTTGAAATAGTTTCCGACTTTAATATCTGGTGTTGATTTAGAATCCTTAAAAATACATGAAGTTATTTGGCCTGAAAAATTATACAAAACAAAATTAGAATCTAAATGGGATTCAAGTCCAGCTCTTAATATCCTTATTTGATTAAAGTACTAAGCTCATTCATAAATGTCAGTGAAAGCCACTTGATGCTAGTTTATAAAACATTCTCATGTTGAACACCATATTAAAACAATCTTTAATAGTAAATGCTGATTCAGTTAATATTGGATTTTTATGTCTCATTTTAAGAGCATAACTATAAGACAAAAATAATAATGCAAATGGAAATGGAAATAAAAACTTACTAACCAGTCATACCACTAAATAATAAAGGTCAAATTAACGAGTTTATACCTATACTATTACTCCTTTGGATAACAAGTCTGCAAGTCTAATAATGTAACAGTCCCTGGAAATCCCCACTTTGCTTATTTTAGGGGGCATTCAATAGGTCAAGGGTGAGAGAGTGCAGGGGAATATCAGTGAGTAGTACAGACCTAAGCACATTACTACATACCATTTGTCATAAAATGAGTTCCTTAATCATAAAGAATGTTGTACGGGACACATGATGGTGATTGAGATAGAAAGTCTAAAGATGGTAATGCTTACAAAAGAAATATGAGCAAGAAAGGCAAACCCACATACAGAGGAAGACTCTATTCTAGTGATAATAAATCACCACGCTTTTCAGGATGGAAGGAGTCCACAGTCCAACTTCCCATGGGTAGCTATCTGTCCCCCTGGGGAATGGGGCCACACTGAGGGCTTAGTGTAGGCCTCATTGCCTTTCTAGAATTCCATCAATAGCTGTATCTATTTTAGGATGGCTTCAACAGGATAACCAGATTGAAGACCTCAGATTGGCAGAAATCAGTTCACACTTGGTGAGGGGAAGCCCATGGTATTGAAATCATGGGACTTCTATTGCTACTGTTTTTTTCATGAGCCCAAGAGTCCGCTCTAGAGTTGTTGGGAAAAAGGCTCATTGGATCATCCTGTCCACCAAGTTATTTAAATTATCTTCCATAAGAGAGTATCTTCACATACGCCACTATTCTAGAAGCCAATTCATAAATCTTTTCCCAGATCTACATCCCATCAATCTTCCAGCATTTATCCTGAACACCCAGCCAACCTGTAAGGTGCTATTTATTAATTCCTGTAGATCCTTACCTCTGGCCCTCTCTCCTTCCAAGCAAAGTAAATACTCAAATGCACTGCTTGCTACTTTTCCTACTGGGAGGGTTTTTCCTATTTCTCAGTGTCCTTCTGGGCCACCTCTGAGAGGCACTGTAATGTTTCCTCAGTCCACCTCTAGCTAGTGCCAACATGCTGTACAAAACCACCTACAAACTTCACTTGAATTTCTGTATTCTTAGTCAACCAATGAAAGAAAACTTCCCATGAGACCAGGTATGGGTAGGGGGTATGAGATTAGAGCAGCAGAAGTAGACACCAAGATAATTAGAGCCACCTGCTCAGACAACCTATTGTGCCTTCAGTAACTTCTTGAGCCCTATATCTTGTATACCACCACCACTTGATAATGGGGTGCTTCTGAACAAACCCAACCCTATGATATTTTGGATCAGATGGACAGTTCAGGTCAAATGTTCACTTGCAGCATCTTAGCCAGGTATTCAATGTCAACAAGGACTAGCAGCAAGTCAGGGACAGGAGCTGTTTCTCAAAGAGAAAATTGATTTGTTTCCAAAATGCTAGTGGTCTTCTGTTAGAGTTTGTCAGGGGCTGCATACAACATTCTATTTGCCAGAGACATTTTGGGTGCCATTGGATCTGCCTAATCATAAAGCCCAAGTAGCACAGTACCTTGTGCTTCAGCCTAGACCTGCTGCAGAGCCTTCTCTTGCTCTAGGTCCCATTTAAAACTGACAGCTTCA
The DNA here is from genome assembly GCF_000001405.40 of Homo sapiens. NCBI lineage: Eukaryota > Metazoa > Chordata > Mammalia > Primates > Hominidae > Homo > Homo sapiens. The sequence goes on along the minus strand of NC_000004.12, from coordinate 173,756,639 downwards.
GGGCACGGTGGCTTACTCCTCTAATCTCAGCACTTTGGGAGGCTGAGGTGAGAGGACTGCTTGAGCCCTGAAGTTCGAGTTCAGCCTAGGCAACATAGTGAGACCCCATCTCTGCAAAATTTTTCTTAAAAAATTAGCCAGGCATGGAGGTGCGTGCCTTGAGGTGCGTGCCTATAGTCTCAGCTATTCTGGAGGCTGAAGTGAGAGGATCACTTGAGCCTGAGAGGTTGAGGCTGCAATAAGTCATGATTGGAGCCACTGCACTCCAGCCTGGGGAACAGAGCGAGATGCTGCTTAAAAAAAAAATCTTGACAGCTTCTTGGTGAATCAATAAACAGGTCGACCCAACACATACAAATGTGGTTAATGTTGCCACCAGAAACCACTTTTTTAGTGAAAAGAAAAACGGTGCTCCAGAACTAAAAGTTAATCAACTTCACTGGTAAACATATGTGTATGTGCACATATATGTATATTAATGTTGTTTCCTAATGAAATAAGTATAAAGTAATTTGTATATAATATTTAATAGTTCCTTCTACCTGAATCAATAAAGTATATTTTAGTCTAGTTAAAGGCAAAATCCCATAACATGCTACATTCTATTTCAAAATCTTACTATAACAGCAACATGTTATTGAATGCTTTGACCATTTTCATTTATCATTTCTCCTGTTATTATCATTAGGTATGATTTGAAGAATGTACCATTGCATAGAACTAGCAAATGATTAATAAGACTTCAATTTTTTGAAATTAAAGAAATAAGTCAAAATGTAAACTATTGTTGCCTCATCTGGTCTCATTCGTGCATGCCGAAGTTATGATATATATGCATCATTTTCTCTGATTCATATTCTTCATTACTGAAAAAATAAAATTTTTTTAACTATTCAAAAACTGTGCATGTTAGTGAATATTCTGCAGAAGAATTCTCTATTGATTATTGATATCACAGGCTGATTCATCTGTCCTTTTAGGTTGAACTCATTAGTCCTTTGTTAATGAAAAGGAAATAAACAACTGGTTTCTACTCAAAGCCGGATGATCCGACCATATACAAAATTAAAGATAACTGAAAGAGGACTAGCTAGGCCTCAAAGTCCCACAATCCTATTGCAACTAATCATTTTCACATATCAGTCTCCCAATCTCTGTCCATATGCATACAGATTTTCTACCTTATTTATTCATTTATTCAACATTTACTGAGAATCTACTATATGCTGATTCTGCTATAACAAACGCATGTGCAATTTTGTATTTGCTTTACAACTGAATGAGAGAATATACATTTTTATCATATTCCTACCAATATTAACTTTTAAATCACCATTTTACCAAAATATAAGTGTCACGTTAAATATAACTGTTATAATATAGAGATGTATGTTGGTGCACCCATGTAGTCCCAGCTACTCAGGAGACTGAGGCAGCAGGACTGCTTGAGCTCAGAAATTTGAAGTGAGCGTGGGCAACATAGTGAGACTCTATCTCTAAAAGAGTTAAAAATAATAAAAATAATAATGAATAAGCAAATAAATAAACTATAGATGTAGGATTTTCAGTTTTCGCTTTCGTAAACGATTCTTCTTTACAAAGGAGTATAATACAGTAAGCAAGGTTTAGGCTCTGGAGTTAGGCAGATATGGTTCTAAATTATGGATTTGCCACTAACTGTGAGAACTGGGGAAAATTAACCTCTCTAAGCCTCATTTGTGGAATAGTGATAATATGAGTACTATGTTCTGTGGTTGTTTTGAGGATTAAATGACATCATATGCATAAATTCTTAAGACGGTGCCTAGCACAAAACAAATGTCACTTGTACTATTTTTATTTATCTCTATTACCCATCCTGTGAAAATGCTTATTCTCCCATGTTCTCTCCTTCATGAAGCTTTTCCTGATCTTTCCGATTGAATATGCTCTTTTTTTCCAACGATCTTCCAAAATGTTGTGTTTGTATTGTTTTTATAGCACTTGACACTTTATATTTTACTTTCAAAATGTGTGTATATTTCTTTTATCCACATTGTCAGATTATAAACTCCTTGACAATTCCTTGCTAACCTTTGCCTCTGCTGTTGGTGCCTACCACAGAGTCTTACACATTAAATACATACTCAAGGCCCAGCACAGTGATTCACACCTGTAATCCCAGCGCTTTGGGAGGCCAAGACAGGAGGATCTCTTGAGCCCAGGAGTTCGAGACCAACCTGGGCAACATGGCAAGACCTTGTCTCTATAGATAGATAGATAGATAGACAGACAGACAGACAGACAGACAGACAGACAGACAGATAGATAGTAAATATTTACTGAAAAAAATAGTTGAAAACATTGTGAGTTACAACTACATTCTGCAGATGGAATAATAATGATACAGATACTTGATGTGTTTTCAACTAAAATGCTTTCAGTTGATTTCAGTTTTCAATTAAAAATGGTGTATTCCCTTTGTATGTTACTCTTATGTGTGAATTAAAGGCTATTTTCCTACACCAAGCCCCACCTTGTTCTTGGATAATTTCACTACTTTTCTTTTTTAATTACATTGACCACTTGCAACTTTTTATTTGAGGTAAGTTTCTGTTTCCCCTGGAAACCTATAAATATGTCATCTGGCCTGGTTACAATTATTTTCGTTCCCCAAACAAATGACCGTTTCTGAAAATCCTATTCTAATATTCTAGCTTATCAATGATCCCTTACTTTTTGCTAAATTTAGTTATGCTATTTTTATAAAGTATCAGAATTATTTTGTTCTTTTTGCAGATTGCTTTTCTCTATTTACAAGTGTATGCAATATCTATAATCATGTTAATTAAACTTATGAAATAGTTTCTACACACCTTTTCTTTAACTATGTGAGAGATTTAAAAATGAACAGTGACTCACAGCTCTTTTAGCATGACTTGAATTCCAGAATCTTTGTTTCACATCCACATGTTAACCATAAGTAACATAATTATAAAATAATTTGGGAACACGAAGCAATCTGATTGGCCTCCAGCCATCAGTTTATGAACTTATCAACATAATTTCATTCTTATCTCTAAATTGATGACTATGAATAATGACTTTAAAATGAAATTGTAATTGTATTAGTTATGATTATCTTTAATGAATGAATAAATGCAAAAATTATTACACTACAGAGACACACATTAATATAATCAGTAATGTAATGATATAGCACAGTAATTCAGTGCTTTTATGTAGCCAATGTATAATATATAGACACATCATTAAAGAAAATTTAACTCAAGTTTTTGCAAAGATCCACAAAACTCTGCAAGTTATGACAGAAAAACTAATAAAAGTGTGTGTCCTTTTGAAAACCTCCAAATTAAAATAAAATTGCCTCAATTAGAGAAAGTAAGGCAAACTATTATTTCTGTTTCTAAAACTAATAAACATCTTTTCATAATTTATCTCATGATTATCTTTGGCTTCACAAATTTTCTTTTATCAAATATCCCCATCATAGTTAAAAGTGAAGTTAAAGCATCAACATTAAAACTATTATTTTCCTACTTGCATGGTACTTTATAAATCTGAGGCCATTTCACTTGCATTATCTCATTTGAAAGTCATTTTGCCTGTGTCAGCCTTCAATGGTACTGAAAAACCTTGTGTTACAGTGTCATTTGGTTCCTAGAGCCTCCTTGTAAATTCTCCCTGTCACAAGTAAACTCTTGGCCTTCAATTTTACCAATCATGTTAGTTACTAAGCTATTGCCCCCCAGCCCCAAACCCTTTCTTCCTGCTTTTGGGGCCTTGCAGCTCCAGTTTCCGCATTGCAATCAGCTTTCTTTAGGATCTGCCAAGAGGGGGCGCTAGAGAGACTGAACGGCAGAAGGAGGGAGAAAGGACTTGTTCTCATTTGCAGGCGGTCTCCCCTTTCTTGCCTCAGTAACCACCCTTCACCCTGGAACGTGATTCCAGTCTCCAGCCCATTTTGCAAGAGCCCCAAAACCAGCTTCGTTGTACCTTCAGAGGTGCAGTCCCTGCCAGGCAGTGCCCGCTCCTCAGAAGAGTCTCCAACCTTACGGCACCCCTTCTGTATGACTTTAGATTCTTTTGTCTTTTGATTTAATTTGATTTTCATTTTGATTGTCAGTTATGTAAAACAGTTATGTAAAACATTACATAGCTCCAAAGTCATCCCTGCCTTATAGGTAACCTCATGCTAATTCTTTTGAAAACGTAAGAAAATGCTATACACTTTTATCACTCCTTGACCCTCTGTTACACAAAAAGTAGCTCACTCTACACGCTTCTACACTCTGTTCTGTACCTTACTTTTTTCCATTAAAGATGAATTCTGAATGTCATTCAAAAGGAGCATGCAGAAATCTCTCTGATTCTATTCTATGATGAATCATACCATATGCCCTGCAGAACATCCCCCATTAATATTTTCTACCTTTCGATTTTTAGTATCCCAAACTGTAAGTTTTAGCATTCAAACCCACAGACACCTCTCCAATACAACTTTATTTTTTGGCCAGTTAATACAGGTAGAATACATATTCGTGTCCTCAAACCTCAATACAACTTTTTAAACAAAATGATGTCAGATAAAGTCTTGAGTCTCCATACACAGTTGTCAAAATGGCAAAGCCTACATGGACTTTCAAAAGGGCATATGCTTCAGGAAGGCTGCTGCTGAAGGTAAGAAAAGGCACTTTCCCCGGAAGTCGCCATATAAGGTGACTGTTAACAACCACAGTAATTGGTTATTAAGAGGTGGATTTTTTAGGCATTTTACATCTTTACATGATCATTTATTACATATATGTTATTCACTGTGTTTTAGGAAATTGGTTGAGGCTTTAGGTTGATAGATAACCATTCTAATGACTCCTTTTAATATAATGAAAATAACAAGCATTTCAGACACCTTTGTTAAGCAAAAAAGGGCCTGTGTTCCATGTGTCAATGTTCTCTAGTTTATTGAACCAGTCTCTTATCGATATTTAAGCTATTTCATCTTTTAGTATTATAAGTAATTCTATGAGGAACAGTCTTGACCATATGTCACTTTGCATTTTTGGAACAGATTCCTAGAATTCATGTTGCAGGATTGAAGGGTAAATGTATATGCAGTTTTGCTCAATAATGCTAAATCCTCCCACCCCCAAACCCATTGAAGCTGATACCACTTTGCATACTTATTTCATCAAAACCTCTACAACAGAGTATAGTTTACAAATTTTGGGATCTCTGCCAGTCAGGTGGGTGAGAAGTGTTATCTCAGTGTAGTTTTAATTTGCATTTCTCATATATTCAGTATATTTTTCTATGTGTGAGGGTCATTTTTATTTCTTTTTCTGAGAACTATCTGTATTTTTTCCCCATTTTCTCTAAGGTTTTGCCTTTTTTCTCAATTCTTTGAAGCATTTTATGTGTTCAGAATATTACTCTGTGTCAAATTTATCACTTTTTTCCTTATTGCTCCTGAAATATTTCATGCATTTAGATCTCTGATCCATTTGGATATCTACCATATGGTGTGATAAATGGATGTAATTTTATCTTTTTTTCATATGGTTATCCAGGTGTTCCAAAGCCATTTACTGATTAAGAACATACTTTCCCTCTATTATCAGAGGTTATCTTTATCAATATTGTATGTTAGCTGCTTTACCAGATTTTCTGTGTGGTTCCATTGGTCTTTCTGTCTACTCATGTGCCCATACCACAACCTTTTAATTATAGAGGCTTTTTAATATATTTTAGAAAAAGAAATACATTGCTTCTCTTCTTACAAAATTTCCTGATTGGTATTGCGTGTTTATTCTTCCATATGAACTTTATAACCAATTTGTGTAGCTCCAGAGGGGAAAAACTTCTGCTATTTTTATTGGAATTGAATTAAATGAATAACTAATTTAGGAAGAATTAACATGTTTCTGAGGCTGAGTCAGCTTGCCGTGACTAATTTTATATCTTTCTATTTAAGGACATATTTATGTCTTTCAGGCATGTCTATAGTTTTCCTCATATAGGTTTTAAACATTTGTATTAGTTTTATGCCTAGGAATTTTATTTTGCTTTTTTCCTTTTATTCTATTTTATTTGTTATCATGTATGGAGTCTGCTTCTCCATTATATACAAATAGTAAGACTATTGATTTCCCACAAAAACTATTGATTTTATGTTAGTTACATATCTTGCTATTTTATTAAATTCTCCTATTTGTAGTTTTTCACAGTTTTTTTTTGTTTTCAAGATATATAATCATAACATCTGCAACAGAGGTAGTTTAATCTCTTCATTTCCAATGCTCATGCCTCCAATTTCTCTTATCTAATGACATTGGCTAATACTTCCAATTCAAAGCTAAATAACAATTGAGATACCCACTGTCCTTTCTTGGTCTTGACTTTATGTTCCTCATCAGTTAAGATGTTCATTTTGGTCTGATGGTTATGTGTACTATCATATTAAATTCTCTATCAATTCCTAATTTGTTGTTTTTAACATGAATGGGTATTAATTTTTTTTAAATGTCATTCAGCATCTATGTAGATGATTATAGGATTTGGCTCCTGATTTCTAATCATAAGATGACTTTTATTAATAGATTTTCAAATAAGGAATCACCCTTAGGACTGCCACGTTGGGAGAATGAAACATCTATTTGGTAAGAACAACGAGTATGATCAGGGAGAGGTAAGATAGGAAACTGGGAAATTTGTCATGGGTCATATATTTTAAATGGCATCATATTATTTGTGTAAAAATTTGTACTTCATCATAAAAGTAATGAGAAACCACCCATGAAGTATTTTACTAAGAGTCTTAAATTTTAGAAAGGTCTCTCTAGCAGCAGAGAATGTCAAATTAGTAGTTGTAAGAGGTATTATAATGAGCCAGGTGAGAAATGATAGGGCCTGAACAAAATAGGGTGGAATTCAGAGATACTGAGGAAATGTAATAGTCTTAACTGAGTGAGTGAAGAGGACAAGCAAAAGGCGAGAGTCTAAGATAACTTCTAGGTCCCTGGCTTGGGCAACTAGGCAGACGGTAGGGCATTCATTAAGATAAGGAGTATAGGAAGATGCGTCGTTTTGGCAGGAAACAAGTTTGTGCTGAGTTTTAGATGCTTGTGGAAGTTCCAAATGTATACATTTTTTTCTAGAGGTTGGGAGAGATGTAAGGAACATAGGTACAAATTTTGAAATGATCTGTGTAGAGATGGTAATTGAATCTATAGAAGTGGATGAAATTTCAAGAATGTGCATAGTGAGAAAAGAAGAGGCCAAGGACCCAAAGCCACCTTACCTACCTTAGAGAATTGCAGGGAAGATCAAATGACATAACAGGTGTGAAAATACTCCATCTCCATATGGTGCTTATTACATTCTTCCTAAAATGCTTCGTATGGTTTACATGGTTGAAGTAAAGATGGCTTACAGAAAACACAGGCAATGACTCACGTTCATATAAGTATATGTAAATATCAAATAAAGACTAAAATTCCCAATCCTACCTCTCTTCTGGAAATAATGCTGAAAAAATTACATAGTGGACCCCATCTTGACACTTACCGATTTTCATTTTCTACCTGTAAATGCAAATCCTATGTTTTTATTATAAGTGGATTTTAAAACCTCGCTGGAAAAAAAGCCACTTATATTTAATAAATCAATACATAATATTCTAATTACAATAACAATTGGCACAAAATAATATCATTTAGTCTTTCTTATCTTATTCCAATACAATTCTGCTGTTAATTGTAGAATCATAGTGTGTAGTGAGTAGAACTTTTAAAACATACAGGTATAACTTGAATCTTATTTTCCAAACATTGTTTAATATCCATAAATATTTTAAAGCATTTTGCCTCTCTATTCAGTGTCCTTTCACCAATTAAAAGTCTACCATCCTGCATTCATTTTATTTACAGATTTATGACTTTAGAAACATCACCACAACACAACTGGAATGCTTAACCCTTATAACCTGTAAAATGTATGTTGAATATCTCACAGAGATACTCAGAGAAATGAGTGAATTAGATTCTTGTGAAGTTTAGTAGAAAAGCTACAAGACAACAATAGGTGGTGCTGCTGGGATGGAATACTGAGTATGTACATTTAATTCAACAAATGTCATGGAAAATTTTCCTGAACAAAATTACTCTGCTTATTAAATTAAAGGTTGGTTTGAGAGCAATATTAAAGCCTGATCACGATGAGACTTTGGGGGAGAAAAAAGCTTCAAACAACTTCTCATACTAAAAAGAAAGTTGTTTCCACCAGTGGGAGCTAATTTTTGTAGCCCAATTTAAATTTCAAGCAGCAAAATTCCACATTAACTTCTTACAGCCAGGAGCAGCTTGAATCTTCCATGCTTATACCTGGCAGACAAAACGAAGTTACAACTGACAGCATTCCAAAAAGATACTCGTAAAAGCTATTTAACGTAACTGGATTTTGCGGATTTCTCTCATTCTTATCCAGAAATTCAAGTGGAAGGAGATATAAAATCTGGATTTCCCCCTTGCTTGAGCAGTTTTGACGCTCAAGAGACTTGAGCCTGAGCAGTGTTCATCAGATAAGACACAGGCCTTTTTCAGGGGACCACAGGATTCGTCGAGGTTTTGTAGAGTTTCTACACACCTGCTCTTTGCTATGGCTAAATGGTTTGAAGTATCATAATAAATTGACCGCAAATAAATTTTCAAAGGAAAGAAATGGACCTCCCTACTCAATTTTCCTAAAAACACATCCAATCTTTCAATCAAAGCAATAGATTTTTCCTCTTCTTATGTCTTTAAAAAAATCCATATATGCCAATTGTGATAGAAATGTAATATTCACATCTCTCTTTGTGGCTGAGCACCAGCTGTGGGGTAGGTAATAACCACAGGTTACCACCTCAGCACATGTACTTCCTTAGCTTGGCCCTTGTCAGTCTCCAGAGTAACAGGTGTAAATAATTGTTTATTTCTCTATCTTCCTTGAAAATCTGGTCTACCTTTATATCCCCAGTCTTTATCACAGTGCCTACCACATATCAAGCACTTAATAAATATTCGTTAACTTAATGCATAAACTCCCACCACTTATACACTGGGTGCTTTTTTAAAAAACAAACAAACCTACATATTAACTTCTGGTTGTGACTACTGTTTATTTAATTACTGGTTGGTACAATATGATGCTAAGTTTGCACTCCCTATATCTTATTTATTATTGACTTCCTCCCAAATTATTAGAGACAGAGAACTCTGACCCTATGACTCATCTCTTTATACTCTTCATGGAAAAAGAAGTTGAAGAGAGAAGATCCAACTCTGCCACCTCTGGGAATTATAGCACAATGGGAAGTATCCGTCCAACCTGACTGTGGAATGAGGCAAATCTTAAGCATAACACCAAGATATCGCCTTTTAGATGGACTACTTTAAGTCAGTAAGTTATTAACCAGGAAATTATCTTCCATGCTTTAAAGGCTTATTTCATAAATATGTAGCATCTTGTATTTGGAATAAGGTAAAAAGCACATCTGTCTTTCTCTACTCACCCAGAAGTATCATAATGTTCAGGCACTTTTCTCAATGAATTTCAGAAGAACAGCATACGTGCCACAGATCTATTTTATAGCTGTGAGATATGTTATGAAGTCTCTTGTAAAGGCAAGCTTACTCTCTCTCTACGGGCCTCTTTTTTGGCAAATCCGTTTATGTGGAATAATTGGCATAGATTAGTCAAAAATGCTTTCATCTTCTTTTGTTGCCCACATTGCATTTTAAAATAATTAAAATCCCAGATTGTTTCTGCTTTTCACCTAAGTTTACTGGCACCCAGCAAAGAAGCCTACACTTTGATTTTAATCATGACCAGACAATATAAGGCCCCTGTCTCAGAAGCAACAAGGGCAGCGAGCAGAAACCCTGCTGGGTAATTTCAAAGCCATGTACTTCCTGCTGCTAGCCCTACAGTATGATTTCTGTTCTGCCAAGGGCACCAGTAGAAGGTAACTTCCAATTTGCACCTCACACATAAATTCACATTATGCCAATAGGTTTCGAAGGAAACCACAAGCTACCCAGCTCAGCCGTCAGAGGTCTGTTAACAGACCTTTAACTATGATCTATTGTGCAGCAGGACCTGAAAGACGCACACGGAGTCCCGCTTTATAGAGCCTGCACTTGCCTGACACCGTTTTTCTTGAGATAATTATAAGTGTTTATTTTGGCTTTTAACAACTTTAATCACATTATTTAGCATGTTGCTGTTTTGTCATCAAGTTAAACGAATACAGAGTTCTCCCAAGAATTTCCCAGAAACTTACACATAGGGTGGTTTCAACAACGACAGAACCTAACATCTGAGATGGAGGTGGTCAATTACATCAAAGCTTCACGGATGCAAAGACGTTTTCCTCAATAAACAAGTAAGCAAACAAATTATATCATGCAACAGAGAACTCCTGAATGCATAAGGTGTGATCTTTCTAATGAAAAATAGCATGGCCGTCCCTTTGCTTCGAGGTTCTATTTTCAGTGTTTTGATGGTAAAAGAGATTCACAGTGAAGCCAGAGTTATGGTATGCAATAAATCCTCGATGCCAAATGTTGCTGAGATTACCATGTGGAATATAGAACAGCACTTCTCTGAGTTATCTAGAATTAGGTTTAAAAATAACCTTAGCCAATCACTAAGGGTTCTACAATCACTGTTAACTTGGAGCAACTGTGGAAACATCATGCTGTGCCAAATTGCATCTGATGGCCCAGTAATAGCAGAACTGTAATATACTTACATACATTCTAAAAAGATCTTCCCCCAATGGATACTGATTTTACAAATCCAAAAAGATGACAGTTCATCTTATACCTAAATGACCCTATTCAGTGTCAGTTAAATGAAGAATAGGTCTAGATCATTCAATAAATATATTTTAAAAGTAATAAAACCTATGTGCCATTTTTATCTTTAATTTTTTATGTGATGCTACTCATTCTGTTATTAATTATACTAAAGTAGCAAAAGAAAACTTTTCTCTCCCTATAATTATGTATTTCTATTACTTAAATTAGTCACTTTGACTCTCCTAAGAAACAAATGATGAACATTACTGTGTTTACTTGGAAATGTTTTTCTGCACAGTGCTATTAAGTGGACATGCAAGGCTCTGAATATAATAACAACTGAAATAAGATGACACATGAGGGGAAGAATTTTGAAATGGCCAATTTCATCCAACAGGCATCATCCCTTTAAATCATCACATTTCTTTTGCAGGAAGACCTGCAGGGCAACTTGCAATATGACCATCAGATTCGTGCTTTATTTGAAAACTCCAGAAACCAATTAATTCATAAATAAAAATCCTTATTGGGTATAATCTCAGTTTCAAATTCAGTAAATTCACAGCCAACAGATAACTCCCAAAGAGATTGGTAGCAAAAATATGGAAAATAAACAGAAAAATTGAGTTTGTAGTGTAAATAAGTTAAGTATCACTGGGAAGGAATAGAGACTCCAGAGTTTGTGTGTGTGTGTGTGTGTGTGTGTGTGTGTGTGTGTTCATATATACTACATACATACCACTCAAATATAGGTAGATAATGATTTTTAAGAGAGCTTAATATTTTTAATAGTTGAAAATCCCAAGCCTAGCAGATCAATAGAGAGAACAAACAAATCTCAGAGTAACTGTGCATTTTAGGGTGGCTTTGCCCCTAGAGATTTAAACAACTGCCAAGGTCCCTTTATCATTTGAGCAAAAGGTCCAAGTTTTTCTTGTAATAGCAAACCCTTTCCAAAGAAGAATTCCAAACATCTTATAATTCAGACACCTGGCTTATGTTCTTACTTCTGCTATTGACAAAGTGGTTTATTCCTTAACCTGCTTCCCATTTAGTAGTAAGAATTTCTTATTTATAATTTATGTCTGACTTTAGTGCTCACTTATTAAATTATACTGATGGAATAAAAAGATGAAATTTAGTTTTCTCACTTTACCATATCTAGTAAGAACATATTACAATGAAAATAATAGAACATAAAAACACAAAAACAAGACCGGGCACAGTGGCTCATGCCTGTAATCCCAGCACTTTCGGAGGCCAAGGTGGATGGATCAGTTGAGCTCAGGAGTTCGGGACCAGCCTGGGCAACATGGTGAAACTCTGTCTCTACTAAAAATACAAAAATTAGTCGCACGTGGTGGCACAAGCCTGTAGTCCCAGGTACTTGGGAGGCTGAGGCAAGAGAATCGCTTGAACCTGGGAGGCAGAGGTTGCAATAAGCCAAGATTGCCCCAATACACTCCAGCCTGGGCACGAGAGAGAAATTCTGTCTCAAAAACTAAATTAATTAAATAAATAAATATATAAATAAATAAGACACAACAAAATAGTTTATATGGAATCTCAAAAACATCTAATCCATTTTTGCTGTGATACATATCAAATGAGGTTTTTCTTAAGTATTTTTTAGCTGAGAGGATTAGACTGGCCTCTGATTCCTCATCTACAGCAGTGGATATCAGAATATAATGAGTTATTTTAAACTTACAATTCTATACCCAGCTAAATTATAATTCAAATTAACAGGAAAAAATCACCTTCAGTCATACAATGACTTGAAAAATTGAACCCACAGGCACACACTTTCTAAAAAAAAATTCATGAATAAAATGTTAATAATTCCAACCCAGTAGCAAATTTTAAGAAGAACACACAATGAACAAACAGGTTTATTTTTGGAAACTAAAGATGATTTAAATTTAGAAATCTAGCCATGTAATTCACTCTATTAATATATAAAAAGAGAAAAACCCATAAAATTATTTTATAAGCTGCTGGTAAAGCAGTTCCTACAATTCCTATTGCTGATAAGAAGAGAATAAAGAGCCCTGGAAAAGTTCTAAAAACTTGAAAATTATGTCAAAACCTGTTACAAATACCATAGTTAAGCATCAGCAAATAAGATCATGAGCTAGGCAAGTATGCTCACTATCTTTATTGTTTTTCAAGCTAATCCTGGAGCATTCCTGTCAATGCATTAAAATAAAAGTGAAATGTATGTACTGGAAGGAAAGAAACAAAGCAAAACTGCCTTTATCTGCATATTATATATATTTGCCTGCCTAAAATCTCCAAGACAATCACTTGAAAAACTGCTAAAACTAATAAGAAGGTACAGTAAGGTAGCCAGATAAAATATAAATATACAAAATCAATGATCAATTATAAACATAAGGGAAAACAAAAATTAGCTAGGTGTAGTGATAAATGCCTACTACTACTACTTGAGAGGCTGAGGTGGGAGGATCGCTTGAGCCCAGGAGTTCAAGGTTATGAGAAGCTATGATAATGCCACTGCACTGTCGCCTAGATGATAGAGTCAGACACTTCTCTAAAAATATGTGTGTGTGTGTGTGTACCTATGTGTGTGTACATATATTCATATATATGTAAGAAAAAACATCTAAATCACAAGAAAAACAAAAAGCAATGAATAAAGACAAGGTTAACAAGAAATATTAACGTGTACTTGAAGAAAACACTTAAACTAAAGAACCTAGGAAAGGCCTGAGTAAGTAAAAAGCCAACACTTTCCTACATGGGAAAACACTAAAATGTGACGATGGCTATATTCATTTGCTAGGGTTGCCATAACAAAGTACCACAGAATGGGGAGGATTAAACAATACAAATTTATTTTCTCACAGTTCTGGAGGCAGAAGTCTAAGATCAAGGTATCAGCAAGGGGAGTTTCTTCTGAGGCTCTCTCCTTGGTTTGTAGATGGCCATCATCTCTCTGTGTCTTCACTTGGTCTTTCCTCTGTACCTACTTATGTCTAAATTTTATCTTCTTAGAAGGACTAATGTCCCATTGGATTAGGGCTCACCCTAATTACCTCATTTTAATTACTCCTTTAAAAGCCCTGTCTTCAAATACAGTCACATTCTGAGGTACTGGGAGTTAGGACTTCAACATAAAAATTTGGGATATTGTGGAAAACGATGCAGTTCATAACAATGACATTTCTTTCTCAAAATAATATAAAATGTTGAAGCAATTAGTGAAATCGCAACAGAACTATCTTGAAATCTAAGATAATTATAAAACTTACTCATAAAAGTAAATGCATAAAAAAAGTATGAGATAGAAGAACACTGAGGCTCAACTTGCTCACAGAATTTCAAAGCATTCTTATTTATTTATTTATTTATTTATTTTTACTTTATTTTACTTTTTTTGAGACAGAGTCTCACTCTGTTGCCCAGGCTAGAGTGCAGTGGCATGATCTCAGCTCACTGCAACCTCTGCCTCCCAGTTTCAAGTGATTCTCCTGCCTCAGCCGCCTGAGTACCTGGGACCACAGGTGCGTGCCCCCACGCCCAGTTAATTTTTGTATTTTTAGTAGAGACAGGGTTTCACCATGTTGGCCAGGTTGGTCTCGAACTCCTGACCTCAGGTGATCAGCCTGCCTCGGCATCCCAAAATGCTGGGATTACAGCCATGAGCCACCTCAAATTTCAAGTTATTCTATAAACCTGTGGAAAGCAATTGTGGTATAGTGCTTACCAGCACTGACCTTGGTTCAGTAATGCTGGGGCTCCATCTCAGCTCAGCTGCTTGCTTAGCCCAGTAACCTGAGCAAGTTACTTAACCTCTTTGGGTCTCAGTTTCCTGATATGTAAAATGGTGATAATAGTATTAATTACTGCATAAGTAGTTGTGAAAAAAAGAATAGTGTTTAATACATATTAGAGACTCAATAAATATTAGAGATTTTTATTAAAGGTGGCTATTACACAGTTAAACTAATACAAAGAATACACAAATAGGTCAAGGGAACAAAATAAAAACACACAAAATACAGTGATGTTGGCATAGGAATTTAGGCTATGAAAATGTTGACACTAAAATCTGTAAGCAAAAAGATGAACTATTAAACAAAGTGAAAAGAAAGCCACTTCTGTAAAAAATTATTTGCCAGTACCATGCTGTTTTGGTTACTGTAGCCTTGTATTATAGTTTGAAGTCAGGTAGCGTGATGCCTCCAGCTTTGTTCTTTTGGCTTAAGATTGACTTGGCGATGTGGGCTCTTTTTTTGGTTCCATATGAACTTTAAAGTAGTTTTTTCCAATTCTGTGAAGAAAGTCATTGGTAGCTTGATGGGGATGGCATTGAATCTATAAATTACCTTGGGCAGTATGGCCACGATATTGATTCTTCCTACCCATGAGCATGGAATGTTCTTCCATTTGTTTGTATCCTCTTTTACTTCATTGAGCAGTGGTTTGTAGTTCTCCTTGAAGAGGTCCTTCACATCCCTTGTAAGTTGGATTCCTAGGTATTTTATTCTCTTTGAAGCAATTGTGAATGGGAGTTCACTCATGATTTGGCTCTCTGTTTGTCTGCTATTGGTGTATAAGAATGCTTGTGATTTTTGTACATTGATTTTGTATCCACAGAGCCCTCAGAAATAACGCCGCATATCTACAACTATCTGATCTTTGACAAACCTGGCAAAAACAAGCAATGGGGAAAGGATTCCCTATTTAATAAATGGTGCTGGGAAAACTGGCTAGCCATATGTAGAAAGCTGAAACTGGATCCCTTCCTTACACCTTATACAAAAATTAATTCAAGATGGATTAAAGACTTAAACGTTAGATCTAAAACCATAAAAACCCTAGAAGAAAACCTAGGAATTACCATTCAGGACATAGGCATGGGCAAGGACTTCATATCTAAAACACCAAAAGCAATGGCAACAGAAGCCAAAATTGACAAATGGGATCTAATTAAACTAAAGAGCTTCTGCACAGCAAAAGAAACTACCATCAGAGTGAACAGGCAACCTACAAAATGGGAGAAAATTTTTGCCACCTACTCATCTGACAAAGGGCTAATATCCAGAATCTACAAAGAACTCAAACAAATTTACAAGAAAAAAACAACCCCATCAAAAAGTGGGCAAAGGATATGAACAGACACTTCTCAAAAGAAGACATTTATGCAGCCAAAAACCACATGAAAAAATGCTCACCATCACTGGCCATCAGAGAAATGCAAATCAAAACCACTATGAGATACCATCTCACACCAGTTAGAATGGCAATCATTAAAAAGTCAGGAAACAACAGGTGCTGGAGAGGATGTGGAGAAATAGGAACACTTTTACACTGTTGGTGGGACTGTAAACTAGTTCAACCATTGTGGAAGTCCGTGTGGTGATTCCTCAGGGATCTGGAACTAGAAATACCATTTGACCCAGCCATCCCATTACTGGGTATATACCCAAAGGACTATAAATCATGCCGCTATAAAGACACATACACACGTATGTTTATTGTGGCACTATTCACAATAGCAAAGACTTGGAACCAACCCAAATGTCCAACAATGATAGACTGGATTAAGAAAATGTGGCACATATACACCATGGAATACTAAGCAGCCATAAAAAATGATGAATTCATGTCCTTTGTAGGGACATGGATGAAATTGGAAATCATCATTCTCAGTAAACTATCACAAGGACAAAAAACCAAACACCGCATGTTCTCACTCATAGGTGGGAATTGAACAATGAGAACACATGGACACAGGAAGGGGAACATCACACTCTGGGGACTGTTGTGGGATGGGGGGAGGGGGGAGGGATAGCATTAGGAGATATACCTAATGCTAAATGACGAGTTAGTGGGTGCAGCACACCAGCATGGCACATGTATACATATGTAACTAACCTGCACATTGTGCACATGTACCCTAAAATTTAAAGTGTAATAATAATAAAATAAAATAAAAATAAATAAATGGATTAGAATGATGGAAAAAAAATTATTTGCCACATAGCAGATACAGATTTAAAATTTATAATATATAAAAACTTAAATTACCAAAGGAAATTGGGCAAAAGTTATGAACTGGCAGAAGAGGAAGTACCAAAGACTGCTAACGATACAGAATCATGTTTAATATCATAAGTAAAAAAGGAAATGGAAATTTAAACAATAAGATATGTTTCCACCACTAGATTGGCAAAAACTTGAAAGCTTTATGATATCCAGGATCCATAAGTTTCAGGAAATGGGAACTTGATATATTGTTAGTATAGACTTTGAAAGCACAATGCAGCAATATCCATCAGAATTATGATGTACAAATTACTTGACTCAGCTTTTACTTATAAGAATTTCTCCTACAGAAATAGTAAGAGAGATGGTTGTACAGAATCTTTATTCTTTGTGTAGTGAAAAATTGGAAACAACCTAAGTATCCAGAGAATAGGGGGGAATATGAAACATTCATACTATGGTATGCCAAAAAGAATGAGTTAAGCATATAAATTGAGGTGGGAAAGTGTCTATCAGTTATCAAGTACTTGTGATTTCAAAAATGTTTATGCCTAAACATTCATAAATGGCTATTTTTAAAGTCTGGAGATACATACATAAACAATAGTTATCACCACCCAGGGGAGAAGGTTGGAAGAGAGAAAAAGTTTTAGGGAAGCTTACTTTTATGTATCTGAATCACTTGTAATTTTTAAGGTTATCAGGTATTAGTTTTATATTTAAAAATTGAAATATAAGATACCAACAATTCATTATAAGTCTGAGACTACAGGTGGATGATCTCTGCCAGTTGCTCACCAGAGAGGATGAACTATCAACTGTAACACTGGCTCTGTAATTATGCTCTGCTAGCTGGGGAAAGCACAGTACTATTGCCAGGGAAAGGACATATGAAAAGAGAACTGTTGGAAGTGCTATAGGAAGGCAACCAGGGGAGCTTACATTCCCCTAATTTACTGTTCCCCTACAGTAAGAGATTCATTCAAAGAACACTTCTAGCTTATCTGCCCCTATGCCAATTGTTTCCTAAGGGAAAAGGATAGAATTAACTAACTGATGGGTTTGGAGTAGAAAGTAAACAGGCCTGGATCAGCATTTTTCCTCATTCTCTTTAGGATCTGACCACATGCAGATGTTCTGATCTACTCTTGCTCATGTCACAGACTTAGTGGTCAAGACTCTATACCTAAATAGGAAGGTGGCCTGTGGTTGTTCAGAACTGCCTTGACTGAGAAGGTCTTGTGCCCAATTCTTGGGTTCCACTAGGAAATGTCTTATAACCACATAAGTCATGTCCCCCAACCAAGCCTTTATTAACTGTAACAAAGCTGTCATTTTGATTTTGACATGCCTGTTTCTTGGTCCCATCTCTCAATTAGTTCCAAACTCTGGAAGATTAAAGCAACTTAATTTATTATTAATGACAAATTCCAGATGCTTCTAGAGAGACATTATACAGTTCATATCAGAGTTTCATTCTTTTATTCACTTATTCAGTCAGCAAACACTGAGCTAGGCTCTGGGGATATAAAGGTAGAAAGAACAGAGAGACTACACTTAAGGAGCCCACAGTGTGTTTGGGAGAGAGTCATATTAAACAAATACAGCATTGTCTTCAGGCAACGGCAAGGTCAGAAACAGGTATGTAGAGGAGGTGATATAAGCTTAATTTTCAAACTGAGAAGATTACACTATGTTGGTGGGGGCAGTAATGAGGATATGGCACATCCGGCAGAGGGAAAAATACAAGTGAAGGCAAGAAAGTTCAGGAGAGCTTGGTGCGGTCAGGGCGCTCTATGAAGTTTGGTGAAAGTAAAGTGCAGTGTGTATATTGGGATGATGGCGACTGAAACTGAAAAAAGTTGATCAGATCTGCATTATGCAATACTGTGCATATTATGCTCATCTTGAATTCAATGGAGAAATCACTGAGGAATTTTTAACACTGAAGTAAAATGGCAAACTGTATTTTTGACAGATCATGCTGATGGCATGTGAAAGATAATGTTTCTTCATACCTTTAAAACCTTGACTTCTAATCAATTGCCATGTAAGTTCCCATGAAAATGTGGCAATTAAAGAAGATGTGCAAAATTAGCTACTGCCTCCTGAAAAATTTTGGCTGTAATTAGATATCATGTTGGAATCACACTGTTCTGCCAGCGTCTCAAACATAATAATAATAAAGATTGATTTTTCTACTTTTCATTGTATTCATCTTCCAAGGAGCCTCAAAAGCAGGTTGTAATTATTACTTTCTCCATTTTATATGTGACAAAAAGTACCCATAAAGGGATTAAGGGGTTATGCTCTAAGCAACAAATCAAAAAGTGAGCCTAAATTTTTAAATCTGATTAAGGCTACATAATGGTGGGTGATTTTCTTCCATATTGCAAATTCTTCCCATTATGATTTTCATTTTACTGTAACCATAACAATTAATTATGTTTGGAACATAAAATCTAACTATTTTCCCCTAAGCATGAATCCAAATTCAAAGTAAAATGAAATAACTAGTATAAAACAGGTTTTTGCAAAGGAATGAAGATAATATTTACCCCATATTTAATTCTTCTCTGAAACATTCCTAAACTACTTTCCTTTAGTGTAAATAGTTCATTTTGGTATTCTGTAAGGAGATCACACTGTCTTGTAACTAGCCTAGAACACTGGATGTCAGGCTAAATATAGCAGTACAAAGGTTTCAATAAACTTCCTGCATTGTGTCATGACTTCTACACATTGAAAGAGCCATACCCTACCAAACTGTTTGAAAGTCAAGAGATTCATGCACCACAGCCTTGCAGAGCTGATGGTCCCATCACTTAACCCTTTCCCAGGATTTGTACTTCTTTGCATTCCTGGTGTATACATAAAGCTTTCAAAAATAAACAATGCCGGGCAACATTTCAGTTCTTTGCTGTCTATTCTCATAATTGCACAACACTACTGCCTGCAGTTCTCTGTCACACTTTAAATATGGAAATATGTAGTGCCATTATTTTATACGTTTTAGTAATTTTTAAAAGTCATATCCAATAATTCTATTCTCATTCAATGAAAAGAATGGGGAAGATATCCTTTATGCTTCATCTAAGTGAAGTGCAGTGTGCATATTGGGATAATAGTGGCTGAAACTGAAAATATAAACACAATATCCCAATAGGTTCAACTTCTGAAGGGAAATATAAACATTACCTCTATAAAATGCTCTGGAGGGAGTTTATATCTCCCTCCAGAAGTCAGACCCTTTGGGATATTGTGGATAGTTGCAACTATCACCATATTTGCAATGTCTTATTAATTTGAATTAAATTATAATTTGGGTATCTGACCACATGTTTCAGTTCAGAAACTCAACTAATTGATATTTTTATGGTACACGCAATAAATATCTAAGTGTTTAAGTGGTAACATTATTAAAAGTAGCTGATAAAATTAGACAAAAATAAGCTGCTATAGATTTTTTCAGAGGAAATATTTAATCCAGTGTTCACAGAATTGTTAATGTATACTTCTCAGGTCTTTGGATGGCCATGGAGTATTTCATTTCCCTGGATGGAGGTTAAACAGTTATCTTTCAGTAAAATGTACATGAAACCCACATAATATCCTGATACTTTTATTTCCCCTTTTATCTACTCTTGATGCCAAGGAATTCTAAAGGGAAAGGATCCTAGCCACACACCATGTGTGCTCCCTGCATGTGAAGAGTGATGACTGGAAGCTAAAGCTTTGATTCTGCAAATGTTAGAGCTGAAGGGATCATCCAGGGATAGGACAACCTTGAGACAAAACCTAGTGAAATAAAACAAAAACAATGAGTGGTTTCCTAGATATTCCTAATAGTCCTTTATGAGATTCTAATGTGTTTCGTTAACGTGAGCTTGTTTTTCTGTTTTGAGGGGTTTCTGTTTTGGTTTGGTTTGGTAATTTCCGTCTTTGAGCCACTCCACACTTATTGGTTTTGGCTGGAAGTGCTGGTTCTGAAATACCATCATAAAGCCAGTTCTGGAAGCCATGCCAGCCAAAAGTCTAGACTTAGGAGTTTCAGATAAGGGTAATACATTTACTCATTCCAAAGTTTGCTAGATTGTAAGTGCCTTGAAAATTAACACCATATTTTTTGCCGTAAAATTATACATAGAAAGTGTTAAGTACCTCCTTCAAGTGCCATAGACTTCACATTAAATAGACAACAACTAATAATTTGAATATCATTAAATGAATAAAGGAAACATACCCTTTTATAAATGTTGCTGTCATTTTCTTTGCAATCTTCTCCTCATTTATCATCAAAGCACTACCTGGAATGGCACATTCAAAACTTGCCACAAGCAGCTTTCTTTGCTGAATTAATTGTTGGATTCAAATATGTCCATATGGCCGCCAGCCATGTTCTATTGAAGTGGTTTGCCTGTAAAAATGGAAAAAACATATTTCTATCCCCAGGGGAAGAAAAAGAAAAAAAACTTTTAAGGAACAAAACAAAATATAAAAGGCACAGAGAAATCTATCCTCTTGCCATGTGAGTCATACCAATTTAGAGGCATGTCCTAACATAAGCTCGTGTCCACTGGGAGAGAGGCTCTAAATCTTCAGCCCTGCTATGTGCTTCTTCCTCTGCATTTATTGCAGATGGCACCAATCACAATGATAGTAATCCTTGACATTACATAGCAACAAATGTAATGCACCGTTGAAGGTTCTTTCTAAATTAAGTAAAAGATCAATGTAAACCTACATTTACTTAGAATATTTATTTGGGGAAAATAACCCTGAGTAAATGAAACCTACATTTACTTAGAATATTTATTTGGGGAAAATAACCCTAAGTAAATGAAACCTACATTTACTTAGAATATTTATTTGGGGAAAATAACATGGAATCCTCTGAATATTTTAACAGGAAGCATCCAAATTGGGGCAGCTACAGTTGCCTTGAGTATTCCTCTAACATTTCCACAGGAATCCAGGGAGAGGGACAGGGTAGAGGTTCACTTCAAGTGGAGGCCGGAGAGCATGACCTAAATTTCCTCAGAGAGAAGCATATATGCACATAGAGCACCCACAGTCTCTGCCTTTAGTTCTTCCTGCTTGATGTCACGGATTGTGTGCTATGTATGTCTGGAGCCCCAGCAGCACTGTGCATGCCATGCACTGGGTGAATAAGAGTTTGATGAGTGAATAAATGAATGAATGACATCAATAACCTAACCACTGACTCAAATGGGGGGGGGGGGGAAGCCAACAGATCTATTAAATTTAAAGCTTTAATCTCTTGATAATAGTCTCTTAGGTTATTTTTTCTGTGGAACATCAAATACCTATAAGATATCCGTATGCCTGGATCCAATTCTTTTTCCATATGAATGATACTTCTTTTTCTCCTTGTAGCTCCAGAGTTAGGGCTGACACAATAATTGGCTTGGTTATGCTTAGAACACTTCTAAATGTGCTATATTTATGGTCAGGGCTGACACCAATATTGTTCAGTTACACTTGACCACATTTACTTTTCTATTGATTTTTCTCCTACTATATTATACAGGTAGCTAAAATTAGGAGCACATAACTATAGGTTATTTCTTTAAATACCCCCAAAATTCTTTGCCACTTTTATCTGCATCACCTGATGAACAGATAAACTGAATCTCAGACCTGGTGAAATGAACTGAAAGTTTATAACATGGTTTAATGAGTATTCATGTGTGACGTTATTTTAATGATTTTGTTTTTCTACCGAAGTAGAGTACAGTGTATGAGAGTCACGCCAAAAGGGCATACTGACCCCTTCTAATCTCTAGCGGATCTGTTATTCTCCTAATAAGGATCTGGTGCTGGACATTTGGTGATGGCATGGTATAATTTTAGGACTGAACATTTGGATGTGCAGAGTAAAAGGACAAAAGAGAACAGGCAATGACAACTTAATAATGCAAAAATAAAAAGCAGGCAAAATGACTTAGCACATTCAAAAGCTCATCAATTTTGCATTCATTTGGGATGCTAAACTGAATACATCACAGATTCTCAAGCAAATATCTATAATTCTATGCTCAGAATTCCTCTCAAGGAAAGGAAAAGATAATCAAATATATAGAAAAATAAGAGAAAACTATAACATTTAATATTTCTCATAATCTGTCCAATACAGCCCAATGCTTATTAACAAAACAAATAATTATACTTTCCTTGTCAACAGAATAGACAAAAAATTTATAGGAGAATAGGTTATGACAGTGAAATACACTATTTAATCACAAGCACATAAATTACATATTTATTGAATGTCTACCGGTTTTGCTTTATTTACATTATAGTTTTCATGTATTTTCCCAGGTAATTAGTAATTCCAGAATCCTTATATGGCCAAAGGTTGTCAAAATATAAGGCACCACAATATCTGCAAGGATAAACATTATATTTAGAGTTGAGTGGGGAAGACACACAATTCAGAAATTCCAATTCAGAATGATAAAATGCAATGAGATTCTCAGCAGGGACACTAACTCACTGGAGGAGGAGACAGGGAAGCCGCAGAAGGAAGATCTGGGAAGTCCTGACAGAGAAATCACAGCTAAATTAGGTCTACAGGCTGAATAGGAATGATTCGATAAAGTGAGGGTGGGGTGGGGGGGAGTGGGGATGAGGGTATAAAGGGAAAGGGGTCAGGAAAAATATTCCAGACAAAAGGAACAGCATCTGTGAAGGCCTAAAAGAAAGAGCAAAGCATGAAACGGAGAGAAACAGAAATAATTCATTATCAGTGAACATAAAGTTAAGAGCAGAACATGAGGAGAAGACTCGGGATGAATAGGGTCCCAATCATGAAGGGTCTTATAAGCCATGTTAGAGACACTGGAATCAATCCCAAGGACACAGCAAAGCTAGATAAAGGTCATCAATGAAGACATGTCAAGATCATATTAGCCCATTTTGAAATGTCATCCTCACTGCCTTGTGAAAGTGGATATACAGAAAGAGCAACCAGAGGTGAGGGAGAGGAGGGATGAGTTAGGAAGCTGTTCACAGATCTACCCAGGAAATGTTCATGACCTACTTGATGACAACAGCAACAGGATGGAGAAAAACAGGTGGCTGTGAGAGGTTTTAGGTGTTGAAAAAAAAAAAAAAAAAGCAGGATTTAGGGATTGACTATATGCGTGAGTGAGGGAAAGAGAAGATGCCCAGGATTTCAATATGGGCAGCTAAGCGGGTGGTCACATAGTTCCTTGGTATAGGTTGAGACAAGGAAGAAGAGATATGGGAAGAAAGGAAACAGGAGGAGGAGTTAGTTCACTATGTTTTGGAAGTTTTAATTTTTAGGTGTCTGTGAACTGTTTAACTGTAGATGTCCTGAAAGCATTTCAACCTAAAATTCTGGAGCTCAGGACTGAGGTCTGGGATGGGGATACAAATTTGGGATTAATCATTAGGGATCAGGGATTTTTTTTTTTTTTTTTTTTTTTGACAGACTCTTGCTCTGTCATCAGGCTGGAGTGCAGTGGCGTGATCTCAGCTCACTGCAACCTCTGCCTCCCGGGTTCAAACAATTCACCTGTGTCAGCCTCCCAAGTAGCTGGGATTACAGGCATGGGCCACTACACCTGGATGATTTTTCATATTTTAGCAGAGACAGGATTTCACCATGTTGGCCAAGATGGTCTTGATCTCCTGACCTCGTGATCCTCCCACCTAGGCCTCCCAAACTGCTGGGATTACAGGTGTGAGCCACCGTGCCAGGCCTGGGATCAGGGATTCTTAACCGGCAGTTCATGATAGGTTTCAGAGGGTTCCAGGATCACAAGAAATTACATGCAAAATGTTGTGCATATTTTCCCTTCTTTGCCTAGTTTGTTAAGGTGCAACATATTAATTTAAAGCTCTATTTTTTTCTGATATACAATATTTTACATATTTATGAGTTATATGTAACATTTTGTTATATGAATGGAGGGTGTAATGATCAAAACTCTATGTTATTTTCTAATGTGAGTATTTAATGTTATCAATTTCCCTGTAAGCACTGTTTTAACTACAGCCTACAAATTTTGGTATTTTATGTTTTCGTTGTCATTCAATTCAAAAAAATTCTGATTTCCTTTGAGATTTCCTCTGAGATTTCTTCTTTGATCTGTGGATTATTTAGAAATATCTTGTTCTATTTTTGAATATTCAGATATTTTCCACATATTTTTAATTGATTTCTAATTTAATTCTGTTATGCTCATATACTATATGTAATTTCAGTCTTTTAAAGCTTATCAAGACTTGTTTTATGACCCAGTATATACCTAACCACAGGAAAGTTCCTTATGCACTTGAAAGGGATGTGTGTCATATCATTGTTGGGTGTAGTCTTCTCTAAATGTGAAATAGGTCAAATTGGTTGTGGTGACGTTCAAGTCTTCTAAATCCTTTCTGATTTTCTCTCTTGTTCTATCAGTTACTGAGAAGTGTTGAAATCTCCAGATATAATTGTTGAATCATCTTTTTTTCAGTTCTGCCAGTTTTTGCTTAATATGTCTTAAATCTCTGTGTTTAGGTGCACACACATTAGGTTTGTTTTGCCTTCTAGATGAATTGACTCTTATAATTAAGGAAAGGTTGTCTTCATCTCTGGTAATATTCCTTGTCCTGAAGGCTGCTTTGTGTAATACTAATATAGGCAATTCAACTGTTTCCTTTTTTTTTTTTTTTTTTTTTTTTTTTTGAGACGGAGTCTTGCTCTGTCACCCAGGCTGGAGTGCAATGGCACAATGTTGGCTCTCTGCAACCTCTGCCTCCTGGGATCAAGTGATTCTCCTGTCTCAGCCTCCCGAATAGCTGGGATTACAGGAGCCCGCCACCACACCAGGCTAACTTTTTGTGTTTTAGTAGAGATGGTGTTTCACTGTGTTGCCCAGGTTGGTCTCGAACAGGCAATCCACCTGCCTTGGACTCTCAAAGTGTCAGGATTACCCGCGTGAGCTACCACACCCGGCCGAGCTGTCCCTTGCTTAGTGTTTGCAGGGTATGTCTTTTACTTCCAAAGTATTTATTCTCATATTTATAGTGCTTTTCTTCTAGGTAACATGTATTTGGGTCTTATTTTTCTTAAATCCATTTTGATAATCTCTGCCTTTTAATTGGAGTATTTAGATAATTTACATTTAATTTTATTATCAATATGGCTAGGTTTGAATCTATCACCTTGCTATTTGTTGTTTTCTAATCCATTCTTTTTTTAGGGGGGGTGGGGATGGAGTTTCACTCTTATTGCCCAGGCTGGAGTGCAATGGCATGATCTTGGCTCACAGCAACCTCTGTCTCCCAGGTTCAAGTGATTATCCTGCCTCAGCCTCCTGAGTAGCTGGGATTACAGGCATGCGCCACCACACCTGGCTAATTTTTTTGTATTTTTAGTAGAGATGGGGTTTCACTATGTTGGTCAGGCTGGTTTCGAACTCCTGACCTTGTGATCCGCCCACCTTGGCCTCCCAAAGTGCTGGGATTACAGGCGTGAGCCACCATGCCCGTCCTTCTAATCCATTCTTTATCCTTTTTTCTTCTTTTTCGTTTGATTAAGTATTTGTTAATGTTCTATTTTGTCTCCTCTACTAAACAACATACCTCCTTTTTAAAGCGACTTTGCTAGTGTTTAAAATATGCATCAACTAATCACAGCCAATCTTCAAATAATATATCATTAAGTGTAGTATGAAAACTTTAAACACTATAAATTCCATTCGTCCCTTCCATCACTGTGCTATCATTTTCATTCATTTCACTGATACATTTGTTATAATGCCATATATTGTTCTTAATTTTTTAATTATCATGTAAAAAATTTTAATGAGAACAAATATCATATTTGCCTACAGATCTACCACTTTCAGTGCTTTTCATTTCTTTGAATAGATTCGTTTCCATCTGATATCATTTTCCTTCAAAATGAAGAATATTTTTTAAACTTTCTGATATGCAGGTCTCCTTGTAACAATATTTTTTGCTTTTGTTAGGCAGAAAATATCTTTATTTTGCTTCATTTGTGAAAGAGATTGTCACTTAATATAGATGCTATGTGAACAGGGGTTTTTTTCCCCCTTTGGCATTTCAAAGATGGCTTGTATTGTTTCTATTAAGGAGTCAGTGATAACTCTTATCCATATTCCTTTTTATTTAATATGTCTTCCCCCATGTCTCCTTGCACTTAAGATTTTCTCATTAATTTTGTTTTCAGCAATTGATTATGTTGTACCTTGGTATGGTTTACTCTGTGTTTATTCTTCTTGAATTTGTAGATTTATAGTATTCATCAAATTTGGATGAGTTTCAGGCATCATTCTTTAAATATTTGTCCCGTTCCTCTTTTACTTGGGCTTCAGTCTCACTATATTAGAACATTTTGTATTATCCACGGGTCATAGAAGCTCTAGGCTTTTTTTCTCAGCCTTTTTTTCTCTCTTTCTTTGTACTATTTTTTTTTTATGGTTTCTATTATTCTTACTTCAAGTCCACTTATCACATCTTCTGCATCTTTAATCTACTGTTAAGACTATCTATCGCATTTTTAATTTCAGATCTTGTATTTTTCAACTCCAGAAGTTCCATTTGGTTCTTTTTTATAGTTTCCATTTCTTTATTAAATTTATGTTTTACTTTAAAGCCCAAGCACGTTTATAATAGCTATATTAAGGTTTTTGTCTTCTATTTCTAATATTATTTTTATTTCTGCTTCTGCTTCTATTGACTTATTTCACTGGTTATGGGTCATATTTTTCTTTTTCTTTGTATGTCTAGTAATATTTTATTAGAGGTGAAAATTATAAATGTTACATTGTTAAATGTGGTTGCTAATTTTTTTGTGTCTACTTGACTGGGCCACTGGGTGCCCAGATATTTGGCCAAACATTAGTCTGGGTGTTTCTATGAGAGTGTTTTTGGATGAGATTAAGATTTAAATCAGTAAACTGAGTAAAGCAGATTGCCCTCCATAATGTGAGTAGGTCTCATTCAATCACTTAAAGGTCTGAACAGAAAAAAAGCCCAACCCTCTCCCAAGTAAGAGAAAATATTCCTGCCTGACAGCCTTTGAACTGGGACATAAGCTCTTTCTGGTTCTATAGCAGTATGCGGCCTTTGGACTCGAACGGGACCAAGGGTTCTGCATATTTCACACTTCTAGGCATAATAAGTCTCTCTCTGTTTCTCTCTCCATACACACAAACACACATTACACACACACACACACACAAATCAGCTCTGCTTCTTTGAAGAACACTAATATATTGTATTTGGATCTTGTTGTCTTCCTTTAAAGAGTGTTGTTTTGGAGGTAGTTAAGTTCCTTAAGAATCAGTTTGACAAATTCCCGGGCAAGATGGCTGAATAGGAACAGCTCCAGTCTGCAGCTCCCAGCGAGACCAATGCAGAAGGCAGGTGATTTCTGCATTTCCAACTGAGGTATCTAGCTCATCTCATTGGGACTGGTTAGACAGTGGGTGCAACCAACAGAGGGCAAGACAAAGGAGGGTGGGGTGTTGCCTCACCTGAGAAGTGCCAGGGGTCAGGAAACTCCCTCCCATAGCCAAGGGAAGCCATGAGGGACTGTGCCGTGAGGAACAGTGCATTCTGGGCCAGGTACTATGCTTTTCCCACAGTCTTCACAACCTACAGACCAGGAGATTCCCTTGGGTGCCTACACCACCAGGGCCCTGGGTTTTAAGCACAAAACTGGGTGGCCATTTGGGAAGACACCTACCTAGCTGCAGTTTTGTTTTTTTGTTTTGTTTTGTTTTGTTTTTTTGTACCCCAGTGGCACCTGGAATGCCAGCAAGACAGAACCATTCACTCCCCTGGAAAGGGGGCTGAAGCCAGAGAGCCGAGTTGTCTTGCTCAGTGTATCCCACCTCCAGGGAGCCCAACAAGGTAAGATCCACTGGCTTGAAATTCTCGCTGCCAGCACAGCAGTCTGAAGTCAACCTGGTATGTTCGAGCTTGGTGGGGTGATGGGCATCCACCATTACTGAGGCTTGAGTAGGCGGTTTTCCCCTCACAGTGTAAAAAAAGCCACCGGGAAGTTCGGACTGAGTGGAGCCCATCTCTGCGCCTCAAAGCCACTGTAGCCAGACTGCCTCTCCAGATTCCTCCTCTCAGGATAGGGCATCTCTGAAAGAAAGGCAGCAGCCCCAGTCACGGGCTAATAGATAAAACTCCCATCTCCCTGGGACAGAGCACCTTGGCGAAGGGGCAGCTGTGGGCACAGCTTCAGCATACTTAAATTTTCCTGCCTGCCAGCTCTGAAGACAGCAGCAGATCTCCCAGCACAGTGCTCAAGCTCTGCTAAGGGACAGACTGCCTCCTCAAGTAGGTCCCTGACCCCTGTGCCTCCTGCTGGGGACAGACCTCCCAGCAGGGGTTGACAGAAACCTCATAGAGGAGAGCTCCAGCTGGCATCTGGCAGGTGCCCCTCTGGGATGAAGCTTCCAGAGGAAGAAGCAGGCAGCTATCTTTGCTGTTCTGCAGCCTCCGCTGGTGATACCCAGGCAAACAGGTTCTGGAGTGGACCTCCAGCAAATGCCAGCAGACCTGCAGAAGAGGGGACTGACTGTTAGAAGGAAAAGTAAAAAACAGGAAGCAATAGTATCAACATCAACAAAAAGGATGACCACTCAAAAACCCCACCCGAAAGTCACCAACATGAAAGACCAAAGGTAGACAAATCCATGAAGATGAGGAAAAACAAGTGCAAAAAGGCTGAAAATTCCAAAAACCAGAATGCTTCTTCTCCTCCAGAGGGTCACAACTCCTCACCAGCAAGGGAACAAAACTGGACAGAGAATGAGTTGATGAATTGAAAGAAGTAGGCTTGAGAAGGTGGGTAATAACAAATTTCTCCGAGCTAAAGGAGCATGTTCTAACCCAATACAAGGAAGCTAAGAACCTTGAAAAAATGTTACAAAAACTGCTAACTAGAATAAATAGTTTAGAGAAGAACATAAATGACCTGATGGAGCTGAAAAACACAGTACAAGAACTTCATGAAGCATAAACAAGTGTCAACAGACAAATCGATCAAGCAGAAGAAAAGATATCAGAGATTGAAGATCAACTTAATGAAATAAAGCATGAAGACAAGATTAGGAAAAAAAAGAATGAAAAGGAACGAACAAAGCCTCTAAGAAATATGGGACTATGTGAAAAGACCAAACCTATGTTTGATTGGTGTACCTGAAAGTGACGGGGAGAATGGAACCAAGTTGGAAAATACATTTCAGGATATTATCCAGGAGAACTTCCCCAACCTAGCAAGACAGGCCAACATTCAAATTCAGGAAATACAGACAACACAACTAAGATACTCCTCAAGAAGAGCAACCCCAACACACATAATCGTCAGACTGACCAAGGTTGAAATGAAGGGAAAAATGTTAAGGGCAGCCAGAGAGAAAGATCAGGTTACCCACAAAGGAAAGCCCATCAGACTAACAGCAGATCTCTCTGCAGAAACCCTACAAGCCAGAAGAGAGTGGGGCCAATATTCAACATTCTTAAAGAAAACAATTTTCAACCCAGAATTTCATATCCAGCCAAATTAAGCTTCATAAGTGAAGGAGAAATAAAATACTTTACAGACAAGAAAATGCCTAGAGATTTTGTCACCACCAGGCCTACCTTACAATAGCTCCTGAAGGAAGTACTAAATATGCAAAGGAAAAACTGGTACCAGCCACTCCACAAACAAACAAAAATGTAAAGACTATCAACACTGTGAAGAAACTGCATCAACTAATGGGCAAAATAACCAGCTAGCATCATAATGACAAGATCAAATTCATACATAATGATATTAACCTTAAATGTAAATGTGCTAAATGCCCCAATTAAAAGACACATACTGGCAAATTGGATAAAGAGTCAAGACACATCAGTGTGCTCTATTCAGGAGACCCATCTCACATGCAAAGACACACATAGGCTCAAAATAAAGGGATGGAGGAATATTTACCAAGCAAATGGAAAGCAAAGAAAAGCAGGGGTTGCAATCCTAGTCTCTGAGAAAACAGACTTTAAACCAACAAAGATCCAAAAAGACAAAGAAGGGCATTACATAATGGTAAAAAGATCAACGCAACAAGAAGAGCTAACTATCCTAAATATATATGCACCCAATACAGGAGCACCAGATTCACAAAGTAGGTCTTAGAGACCTACAAAGAGACTTAGACTCCCACACAATAACACTAAGAGACTTAAACACCCCACTGTCAATATTAGACAGATCAATGAGACACAAAATTAACAAGGATATTCAGGACTTGAACTCAGCTCTGGACTAAGCGGACCTAATAGACATCTACTAACTCTCCACCCCAAATCAACAGAATATACATTCTTCTCAGCACCACATTACACTTATTCTAAAATTGACCACATAATTGGAAGTAAAACACTCCTCAGCAAATGCAAAAGAACAGAAATTATAACAAACAGTCTCACAGACCACAGTGTAATCAAATTAGTACTCAGGATTAAGAAACTCACTCAAAACTGCACAACTACATGGAAATTGAGCAATCTGCTCCTGAATGATGGCTGGATAAATAATGAAATTAAGGCAGAAATAAATAAGTTATTTGAAAGCAATGGGAACAGAGACACAACATACCAGAATCTCTGGGACACAGCTAAAGCAATATTTAGAGGTAAATTTAAAGCATTAAATGCCCACAGGATAAAGCAGGAAAGATCTAAAATTGACACCCTAACATCACAATTAAAAGAACTAGAGAAGCAAAAGGAAACAAATTCAAAAACTAGCATACAACAAGAAATAACTAAGATCAGAGCAGAACTGAAGGAGATAGAGACACAAAAAAACCCTTCAAAAAAATCAGTGAATCCAGGAGCTGGCTTTTTGAAAAGATTAACACAATAGATAGATTACTATCCAGACTAGTAAAGAAGAAAAAAGAGAATCAAATAGACACAGTAAAAATTGATAAAGGGGATATCACCACTGATCCCACAGAAACACAAACTACCATCAGAGAATACTATAAGCACTTCTACACAAATAAACTAGAAAATCTAGAATAAATGAATAAATTCCTGGACACACACACCCACCCATGACTAAACCAGGAAGAAGTCGAATCCCTGAATAGACCAATAACAAGTTCTGATATTGAAGCAGTAATTAATAGCATACCAATGAAAAAGAGCCCAAGACCGAATGGATTCACAGCCAGATTCTACCAGAAGTATGAAGAGGAGCTGATACCATTTATTCTAAAATTATTCCAAGCAATAGAAAAAGAGGGACTCCTCCCTAACTCTTTTTATGAGGCCAGCATCATTCTGATACCAAAATCTGGCAGAGACACAACAAAAAAAGAAAATTTCAGGCCAATATCCCTGGTAAACATCAGTGTGAAAATTTTCAATAAAATGCTGGCAAATCGAATCCAGCAACACATTAAAAAGCTTATCCACTACGATCAACCGAAAAAGAGCCTGTATAGCCAAGACAATCTTAAGCAAAAAGAACAATGCTGGAGGCATCACACTACCTGACTTCAAACTATACTACAAGTCTACAGTAACCAAAATAGCTTAGTACCGGTATGAAAACAGATATATAGAACAAGGAAACAGAACAGAAGCCTCAGAAATAACACCACCCATCTACAACCATTTGATCTTTGATGAACCTGACAAAACAAGCAACGGGGAAAGGATTCCCTATTTAATAAATGGTGCTGGGAAAACTGGCTAGCCATATACAGAAAACTGAAACTGGACCCCTTCCTTACACCTTATACAAAAATTAACTCAAGATGAATTAAATATTTGAATATAAGACCTAATACCATAAAAATCCTAGAAGAAACCCTAGGCAATACCATTCAGGACATAGGCATGGGCAAATACTTCATGACTAAAACATCAAGTGCCATGACAACAAAAACCAAAATTGACAAATGGGATCTAATTAAACTAAAGAGCTTCTGCACAGCAAAATAAACTATCATCAGAGTGAACAGGCAGCCTACAGAATGGGAGACAATTTTTGCAATCTAGCCATCTGACAAAGAGCTAATATCCAGAATCTACAAGGAACTTAAACAAATTTACAAGAAAAAAACAAACAACCCCATCAAAAAGTGGGCAAAGTATATGAACAGACAACTGTCAAAAGAAGATGTTTATGTGGCCAGCAAACATATTTTTAAAAACTCATCATCACTGGTTATTAGAGAAATGCAAATCAAAACCACAATGAGATACCACTTCATGCCATTTAGAATGGTGATCATTAAAAAGTCAGGAAACAACAGATCCTGGAGAGGATGTGGAGAAATAGAAACACTTTTACACTTTTGGTGGGAGAGTAAATTAGTTCAATCATTGTAGAAGACAGTGTGGCAATTCCTCAAGGATCTAGGACTAGAAATACCATTTGACCAAGCAATCCCATTACTGAGTATATATCCAAAGGATTATAAATCATTCTACTATGAAGATTCATGCACACGTATGTTTATTGCAGCACTATTTACAATAGCAAAGACTTGGAACTAACCCAAATGTCCATCAATGATAGACCTGATAAAGAAAATGTGGCACATATACACCATGGAATACTATGCAGCCGTAAAAAAGGATGAGTTCATGCCCTTTGCAGAGACATGGATGAAGCTGGAAACCATCATTCTCAGCAAACTAACACAGGAGCAGAAAACCAAACACCACACGTTCTCACTTATAAGTGGGATTTGAACAATGAGAACATATGGGGACAGAGAGGGGAACATCACACACCGGAGCCTGTCAGGGGGTTGGGGGAAAGGGGAGGGATAGCATTGGGAGAAATGCCTAATGTAAATGATGGGTTTATGAGTGCAGCAAACCACCACGGCACATGTATACCTGTGTAACAAACCTGCACGTTCTGCACATGTATCCCAGAATTTAAGTATAATTTTATAAAAGGAGAAAAATAATCAATTTGACCTTGTTGAGGGCAATTTTTAAGATTTGTTGGGGTGAACCTAGAGTACTTTTCCTTTAGATTTAGATATGCTAATTTTTCTGGGATCTCAATGGAACGCCTGGGTGTTCAACGAGGTCAATGCATTCCAGTTGGTTGAAAATCAAACTTCCTCAGTTGTATGTGAGCCCTAAGAACTGTTTCACTTAAAGATCCTAGCATGTATTCTCTGACCCTGTGGATCTTCAAATTGTGAAAGTGCAGTTTACCATTTGGGCAAAAACTAAAGGGAAGACCTCTAGAGATGTTTGTTAGTTTGTTTGTTGCTTGATTGGTTAGTTGGTTTTCCTCAGCACAACTCCCTCATCTCTGCCCCACAAATTACAAGAACCTCAGTCTCCCAACTGTTGGTATCCATCTTCTCACTTTAGCAAGATCACTGCGCTCTGTCTGTGTCCCCACTCCCTGTACTGAGGTCCAGAAAATGCCTCCACACAGATAGCCAGGTCAATTATATGACTCATCATATTTGCTTCTTTCCCTCAGGAATCACAGCCCTGTATTTCATATTGTCCAGTGTCTGAAAATTGTTCCACATATTTTGTCCAGTTTTTTTTTTTTTTTTTTTTTTTTTGCTGTTTATAGAGAAGAGCAAGTCTAGCTGCAACAACTCCCTCATGGCCAGAACAGCCAACTTAGGGTGTTTTGATTTACTTTTGAGTAATCTTATTTGGGACTTTAGAGGGCATCTTCACAGATGCTTACTCAACTGTGAAATAAGACCAAGGCATTGTCACATAGATGCCAAAATATTACCTTTATCCTTTATAAAGTTTTATTAAGAAAAAGCAGACAAGTGACCTTCATAATGCTGAACTCCAAAATTAGAAATAATTCTCCATTCCTGACACAGGCACTGCCTGGGGACCTACCTGCCTCTGTTAGTTTTAGGACATGGAATACAGAGGACAAGGTTCTCTGTGGGAAGCTCTCTCCCTAGAGGAAGGGAAAAGGGAAAATGCTGTTCTTTTCCTTCCCACCTCACCAATAAAACAGGTCACTCCATCTCCCCCAAGGGCAGAGAGACTGAGAGTAGCCAAGAGGATTATTCTAATAGAGTGTCCTTCACATGGAAGAAACCTCAGGATGAGGAAAACACACATCCCCTCCCAGAAGCCTGTTTGCTTTACAAATTTTTACCTAATTTCCCTGTCCTTCCCAACCACATTCTTCTTACATATGTTCTCCTACTTTTCTATTAATCCTTACAGCTTTTCATCCCAAAATTATATCCTAAATACATCAGGTAAACTTTTTAAAGTTAGGAAAACAGGAAGATAGTATACTAGCCATCTGTTTTTGCCTTACAGTGTGTGCTCAAGTTCAACAGCCAGCTAATATCCTTCCATATATCTCTTGAAGGGACAACTACCTTTGTTCCAGCAGGTAGGCAGGCAGACAGGAGCAGGGCAGGAGAAGGCCCCACTACCACCAGGAATGTCAGGCAACCATGAGGTGATGATCAGGCAGTCGTAAAGCTGTCTCTCTAAATAATAATTGGTCGCAGCCGGCGCCAGGAAAAGGCAGTCTGGTGGCATGATGCCTCCAGCTTTGTTCTTTTTGCTTAGGATTGTCTTGACTATACAGGCTCTTTTTTGGTTCCATATGAATTTTAAGACAGTGTTTTTCTAATTATATGGAGAATGTCAGTGATAGTTTGATGGGAATTGCATTGAATCTATAAATTACTTGGGGCAGTATGGTCATTTTCGTGATATTGATTATTCCTATCCGTGAGCATAAAATGTTTTTTCATTTGTTTGTGTCCTCTTGGATTTCCTTGAAAAGTGGTGGCTTGTAGTTCTCCTTGAAGAGGTCATTCACTTCCCTTGTTAGCTATATTCCTAGGTATTTGATCCTCTTTGTAGCAATTGTGAATGCAGGTTTATTCATTATTTGGCTTTCCGCTTGTCTGTTGTTGGTGTATAGGAATGTTTGTGATTCTTGCACATTGATTTTGTATCCTGAGACTTTGCTGAAGTTACTTAGATTAAGAAGCTTTTGGGCTAAGATGATAGGGTTTTCTAGATTTAGAATCATGTCGTCTGCAAACAATGACAATTTGACTTCCTCTCTTCCTATTTGAATACGCTTTATTTCTTTCTCCTGCCTGATTGCCCTGGCCAGAATTTCCAATACTATGTTGAATAGGAGTGGTGAGAGAGGGCATCCTTGTCTTGTGCTGGTTTTCAAATGGAATACCTCCAACTTTTGTCCATTCAGTATGATATTGGCTGTGGGTTTGTCATGAATGGCTCTTATTATTTTGAGGTAGTTTCCTTCAATACCGAGTTTATTGAGAGTTTTTAATGAACTTTATTGAAGGCCTTTTCTACATCTATTAAGATAATCATGTGGTTTTTGCCTTTAGTTCTGTTTATTTGATGAGTTACATTTATTAATTTGCATATGTTGAACCAGCCTTACATCCTGGGGATGAAGTTGACTTGATCATAGTGGATAAGCTTTTTGATGTGCTGCTGGTTTCAATTTGCCAGTATTTTATTGAGAATTTTTGCATCAATATTCATTAGAGATATTGGCCTGGAGTGTTGTTGTTGTTGTTGTATCTCTGCCAGGTTTTGGTATCAGGATGATGCTGGCCTCATAAAATGTGTTAGGGAGGAGTCCCTCCTTTTCAATTGTTTGGAATAGTTTCAGAATAAATGGTACCAGTTCCTCTTTGTACCTCTGGTAGAATTCCGCTGTAAATCCATCTGGTCCTGAACTTTTTTTTTTGGTTGGTATGCTATTTATTACTGCCTCAATTTCATAACTAGTTATTGGTCTATTCAGGGATTCAACTTCTTCCTGGTTCTGTCTTGGGAGAGTGTATGTGTCCAGGACTTTATCCATTTCTTCTAGATTTTCTATTTTATTTTCATAGAGGTGTTTACAGTATTCTCTGATGGTTGTTTGTATTTTTGTGGGGTCAGTAGTGCTATCCCCTTTATCATTTTTATTGTGTCTATTTGATTTTTCTCTCCTTTCTCCTTTATTAATCTAGCTAGTGGTCTATTTTATTAATTTGTTCAAAATAACAGCTCCTGGATTCATTTATTTTTTAAGGGTTTTTTGTATCTATCTCCTTCAGTTCCTCTCTGATTTTGGTTATTTCTTGTCTTTGGCTAGCTTTGGGGTTTGTTTGCTCTTGGTTCTGTAGTTATTTTAGTTGTGATGTTAGGACGTTGATTTGAGATCTTTCTAGCTTTTTGATGTGGGCATTTAGTGCTATAAATTTCCCTCTTAACACAGCTTTAGCTGTGTCCCAGTGATTCTAGTATATTGTCTCTTTGTTTTCATTAGTTTCAATTAGTTCAAAGAACTTCTTGATTTCTGCCTTAATTTTATTATTTCCTCAGGAGTCATTCAGGAGCAGGTTGTTCAATTTCCATGTAGTTTTGTGGTTTTGAGGGAGTTTGTTAATCTTGAATCCCAATTTGATTGCTCTGTGGTCTGAGAGACTGTTGGTTATGATTTCAGTTCTTTTGCATTTTTTGAGGAGTGTTTTACTTCCAATTATGTGATCAGTTTTACAGTAAATGTGCCATGTGGTGCCAAGAATAATGTATATTCTGTTGTTTTGGGGTGGAGAGTTCTGTAGATAACTATCAGTTCCATTTGATCCAGAGCTGAGTTCAAGTCCTGAATATTTCTGTTAATTTTTTGTTTTGATCATCTGTCTAATATTGACAGTGGGGTGTTAAAATTTCCCACTATAATTGTGTGTGAGTCTAAGTCTCTTTGTAGGTCTCTAAGAACTTGTTTTATGAATCTGGGGGCTCCTGTATTGGGTGCATATATTTAGGACAGTTAGCTCTTCTTGTTGATTTGAACCCTTTATCATTATGTAATGCCCTTCTTTGTCTTTTTGGATCTTTGCTGATTTAAAGTCTGTTTTATCAGAAACTAGGATTGCAACCCTTGCTTTTTTCTGCTTTCCATTTGCTTGTTAAATTTTCCTCCAACTCTTTATTTTGAGCCTAAATGTGAGATGGGTCTCTTGAATACAGCACACCAATGGGTCTTGACTCTTTATCCTGCTTTCCATTCTTTGTCCTTTAATTGGGGCATGTAGCCCATTTACATTTAAGGTTAATATTGTTATGTGTCAATTTGATCCCGTCATCATGATGCTGGCTGGCTACTTTGCAGACTTGTTAATGTAGTTGCTTCACAGCATCATTGGTCTGTGTACTTCAGTGTGTTTTTGTAGTGGCTGGCAATGGTTTTTCCATTCCATATTCAGAGCCTTCTTCAGGAGCTCTTACAAGGCAGGCCTGGTGGTGACAAATTCCCTCAGTATTTTCTTGTCTGAGAAGGATTTTATTTCAACTTCACTTATGGAGCTTAGTTTGACTGGATATTAAATTCTGGGTTGGAAATTATTTTCTTTAAGAATGTTGAATATTGCTCCCCAGTCTCTTCTGGTTTGTAGTGTTTCCACTGAGAGGTCCACAGTTATTCTGTTGGACTTCCCTTTGTAGGTTATCTGGCCTTTCTCTCTGGCTGCCCTTAGCATTTTTTCCTTCATTTCAACCTTGGAAATTTGATGATTATGTGTCTTGGGGTTAATCTTCTCATGGAGTATCTTACTGGGGGTCTCTGTATTTCCTGAATTTTAATGTTGGCCTGTCTTGCTAGTTTAGGGAAGTTCCCCTGGATGACACCCTGAAGTATGTTTTCCAACTTGGTTCCATTCTCCCCATCTCTTTCAGCTATCCCAATCAGTAGTAGGTTCAGTCTTTGTGAGAGGTGACTACGTGCTAGCAGCCCTCACTTGCTCTCAGCACCTCCTTGGCCTTGGCATCCATTCTGGCCATGCTCAAGGAGCCCTCAGCCCACCACTGCTTCACTGTGGGGGCCCCTCTCTGGTGCTGGCCGAGGCCAGAGCCAGATCCCTCTGCTTGCAGGGAGGTGTGGAGGGGAAGGTGCCAGCGGGATCCAGGGCTGCGCGTGACATTCACGAGCCAGCGCAGGTTCTGGGTGGGCACGGGTGCAGCCAGCTGGCGCCTGCTGGACTTGATGGGGGACAGGCTCCCTCTGGGCTGCCAGAGTGCGCAGGCTGGGTGCTGCAGAGTCCTGCAGCAAGTGCCAGTGAGAGGTGAAGCCAGCTGGGCTTCTGGGTCGGGTGGGAACTTGGAGAACTTCTGTGTCTAGCTAAAGGATTGTAAATGCACCAATCACCACTCTGTGTCTAGCTAAAGGATTGTAAAGGCACCAATCAGCACTCTGTCAAAACAGACCAATCAGCTCTCTGTAAAATGGACCAATCAGCTCTCTGTAAAATGGACCAATCAACTCTCTGTAAAATGGACCAATCAACAGGATGTGGGTGGGGCCAGATAAGGGAATAAAAGCAGGCCACCTGAGCCAGCAGCAGCAACCCACTCTGGTCACCTTCCAGACTGTAGAAGCTTTGTTCTTTCACTCTTTGCAATAAACCTTGTTGCTGTTCATTCTTTGGGTCTGCGCTGCCTTTATGAGCTGTAACACTCACCATGAAGGTCTGCAGCTTCACTCCTGAAGTCAGCGAGACCACGAACCCACCAGAAGGAAGAAATTCCAGATGCATCTGGACATCTAAAGGAAAAAACTCCAGACACACCATCTTTAAGAACTGTAACACTCACCACGAGTGTCCGCGGCTTCATTCTTGAAGTCAGCGAGACCAAGAACCCACCAATTCTGGACACATTTGTACATAATTTCATAGTTCTCAGAGGTTTTGTTAATTCTTTTTCATTTATCTTTTTCTAATCTTGCCTGCCTGTCTTATTTCAGCAAGACAGACTTCAGCTCTGAGATTGTCTCCTCTGCATGATCTATTCAGCTATTGATACTTGTTTTTCAGTTTCATCAGGTCATTTATGTTTCTCTCTAAACTGGTTATTCTGATTAACAGCTCCTGTAATGTTTTACCATGGTTCTTAGCTTCTTTGCATTGGGTTAGAACATACTCCTCTAGCTCAGCAAAGTTCATTATTATCCATCTTCTGAAGCCTACTTCTGTCAACTTACTCATCTCAGCCTCAGCCCAGTTCAGTGCCCTTGCTGAAAAGGTGTGATCATTTGGAGAAGAGGCACTCTGGCTTTTTGAATTTTCAGTGTTTTTGTGTTGATTTTTTTCTCATTTTTTCTCATTGAAGGTTTACTTACCTTCGATCTTTGAGGCTCCTGACCTTTGAATGGGGTTTTTGTGAGGTCTTTTTTGTTGATGTTGTTGCTGTTGTGGCCCTCTGTTTGTTTTTCTTTTAACAGTCAGGTCTCTCTTCTGCAGGGTTGCAGGGCTGCTGCAGTTTGCTGGGGATCCACTCCAGACCCTATTTGCCTGGGTCCCTCCTGCACCTGGAAGTATCACCAGTAGAGGTTGCAGAACAGCAAAGATAGCTGCGTGCTCCTTCTTCTGGAAGCTCCATCCCAGAGGGGCACTGACCTGATGCCTGCTGGAACTCTCCTGCATGAGGTGTCTGGTTACCCCTGTTGGGGGTCTCACCCAGTCAGGAAGCACAGGATCAGAGACCTGCTTAACAAAGCACTCTTTCTGCCCCTTGACAGAGTGGGTGCACTGTGCTTGGGGAAATACCACTCATCTAGACTACCCCGCCTCCTCAGAGCCAGAAGGTGGGAAAGATTAAGTCTGCTGAACTGGAGACCACAGCCACCCAGCCCATCAGGGACTCCATCCCAGGGAGATCAGAATTCTCTCCATAAACCCCTGGCTGGAGTTGCTGAAATTCCCATGGGGCGGCCCCACTTGGTGAGGAAGGATGGATCCAGGTCCCACCTAAAGAGGCAGTCTGGCCACAATCTACCACAGCTGCTGTGCTGCACTTTGGGGAATTCCTCCCACTAAAAACCGCCCAGCCTCCCCCCAACCAGGAGGGGAAAATGGCTGACTGGAGCTGCAGTGATGGCAGCCGCCCCTCCCCACTAGTAACTCGGTCATCTTAGGCTGTCTCCAGCCTGCTGTGGCTGGCCACAAGGAAAGTGGTCATGAAGAGTCTGCACAGTTCTGTGCTTGGGACCGAAGGCCCTGGTGGTGTGGGCTCAGGAGGGGATCTCCTGATCCACGGGTTTCACAGATCCATGCAAAAGCATGGTTTCCCTGGCAAGGTAGCACAATCACTCACCACCTCCCTTGGCTGGGGGTGGGTGGGAGCTCCCGTTTCCCTGTGA
Source organism: Homo sapiens (assembly GCF_000001405.40). Lineage (NCBI taxonomy): Eukaryota > Metazoa > Chordata > Mammalia > Primates > Hominidae > Homo > Homo sapiens. Next base: position 173,715,569 of record NC_000004.12, on the reverse strand, counting down.
AGCTCCTAATTGGGCCATCGCTCCACCCTGCTTTTCCTCACTCTCCTTGGCTCACAGCAACTGCCTAGTCAGTCCCATTGAGAGAACCTGGATACCTCAGCTGAAGGTGCAGGATTTACTTGCTGTTTTCGTTCTTCTAGGTTAAGGCTGCAGACCAGAGCTGCTACTTATCAACCATATTGGCCCCTCCCCACTAAAGCTTTTTAATGAACCTTCACTCCTGCTTTCCAAAACTTGCCTTGTTCTCTCACTCTGCCTTATGCTCCTCATTGAGTTCTTTCTCCTGAGGAAGCAAGAATTGAGGTTGCTGCAGACCCATATGGATTCACCGCTGGTAACATTTTTGGCCAAATACGTAAACCAGCAAGCTGATAATTATGCTAGTTTGCCAATCATAACAAAAATGTATTGTTACAACCCTGGCTTAGGTACAGAGGTTTCAATGATTCCCAGGAAATGGCGAATGAAAGGTCAAGACATCAGTGAGTGAAAGAGGTTTTTTTTTTTTTTTTATATGAATGTGCAACTGTTAATGAATGAAGCTGTATCCCCCAGTTCCTAGGAAAGGTAACAATTCTATCAATTAGGTGAAAGCCTCTTTCAAGTATATATTCATTTTCAGGTATCTATTATAAGCCTTAGCATTAATCCAAACATCAACAGCAGTGTTTTAATCATGGTGTGCTGATACATACTTCCCAAAATAGTTATAATAAAGAGAATAAAGGCAGAAAATCGGACATGATCTGCTGGTGGGGAAAGCCAAAATAAAATAAGCTTCCAAGTAAAATGAAGGCTGCCATGGCTTTGAAGCAACATAAATAAAAACCACTGGCTACAGAGCCTTTTTCTGCAGAAGACAGAAAGCAGTCATATGGCCAAACAAATTAAGGCGCAATGGATCGGCCAAAACAGTCTTCATTCAGCACTAGAGTGGTTTCTGCCAAACAAAAGGTATGTGGAACGTGACTCAGTTTGGCTTATTGCAAGCTTTAGTGAAAAATTATAATTTGTGATAAAGAATGCCAAATGGGCAGTTTTGTGACGTAAATGATACATTAGGGAAATAAGGAGAACATGAACAAATAATTGAAATTGTTAGAATCCAAGCATTTAAAGGGTGAATCAAGGCAGTAATCTTTCACTAACTTCACACATTTTGCTTTTCTCCAAGTTGGAGCCACTTAAGAAATTCCAGTTAGCCAATGTGATTAAGAAATAAAGTGTCACTCTGTGATTTGGTTTGGTTTGTTTGTTTGTTTCTGGGGTCTGGGGTGGCATTGCAAATCACTGCTCCCTCAGCTACATCCTCAAGATAGTCCTAACTAAATAAAGGCCTTTGGTAATTACAGAAGTGTTTATTTTCAGCAGTGCCTGTACCTTTTCCTTTAGTTAAATCATCTGTAGAGGTCTCATTCTTTAGTCTAGACCGTGCTATGTTTTAAACAAATTGCAGTACCTACATTTGAGAGGACCTTGATTATCCTTTGCATTTAGGAGTCCCTAGCCACACTTCAGGCTCCCAAGCTACCTTTGAAGGGAAATTTATGTTTTTTAAGTACAATTTGGCATACAGAAACCTCAAGAGGAGATTGTAAACAGAGACTAGATAGAGGTAATTCAAGTATTTCACTCTGACAACAACCAACACATAGTCATGTGAGTCCTGAAAGACTCAACATTATTAAGAAACCCTATTGGGTGCAGTCCCCCAAGCCCACCTCAAAGGGCTCAGACTACCAATACACACACACTGTTTATAGGGTTTATGACTCTTCCTTACACTCAGGCACTAAAACATTCAGAAAGCATACCAATGGTGTGGCTCAAATTCTCTTTTTTACATTTGACAAGTGAATTCTGGAATATCAGGTTGACCCAGCAATGTAACTTCTAAAAATAGAAAGATATTAAAACTAATTTATAAGCTTGTAAAGATATATTTCTTTTCATTTAATTATAAATAATGCTTTCAGCAGATTATTTTTACCAAAATTAATAGAAATAACTTGTCACTAGAGAAAAAGTAAAACCTGCCTCCATTGTATTTAAATTCCTCTTCCAGAGGCCCTCTAACAGAAGTTAAGGTGTTTGGTTTATCCTACTACTTTGGGGTAAGATGCTTCTTTTTCAATTTCATTGGGAAATTCTGTTAGAAAAGGGCATTATGCTTCTCTCTCTCTCTCTTTCTCTCTGTGTTCTACATTTTTAAAAAGATGTAAAATCAGGTCTCCACAGTCCAAATAAAATGAAGTATTATAGCAATTATCCAGGTCATTCAGGGGAAAACAGCGTGTTAGAGGTGATTTGGGAAACGTTTTCTTTTTGCTTGAATTACGTACAGGATTGCTTAAATTACTTTAGCACTTTGGCATATTATTTGCTTTGGAGTCATTGTACAGTTAGTCTAAGGCCAAAAATATCATATTGAAAATCATTCTTATGTCCTTTTACATACATGCCATTTATAAACTTAAAAAACTTAGCCAGTTAAACACTTTAAACACACATGCATACGCAGATACGTATATTTCCCATAGAAGTTTGAGCTTTTCTCTATAGATTTCTATTCACCCTCATAATTATTTATAATGAATTGTAGTGTTTTGCATATTGTTTCCTCAGATGGTTTCTAGTCAGTAATTAAAGGAAGGAACTTTCACTCCATCTAAATTTCCAGCTAGGAACTGATGGCTTCTCCTACCACAACAATTCCCAAATTAAAGTTGAGAGTTTACAGAATAGAAATTTCTGGTTTAAGGAATATTCTGGCATTATAATGCTCAGTCTGATTAGAATTTACATAGCAAAAAAAATTAGTTGATTCAACATATTTGCTCACTTCTTTACTATTTAGGATTTATGCAATGCCACGGACTCAGAATCATTTAATTCAGCTCTGCTAACTGGTTGTTAGTTCCATATTGTACTTTCTTCTTCTAGTATATTGTATCACTGTAGTATAATGTAGTATAATGATAGCTGTCATTAAGTAGCAGCAGGACCACTGGCACAATATCAAGTTGAGAGAAGAAAAGAAAACCTTTTGTATATGAGTCACAAAATTATTTCACTTATAAAAGTTACTTGGTTCTAAACCACAAATGTCCAACAATAATAAATAGGAGAACAAATTTTACAATATGGTGTTATAAGAAAAACAAAAGTGTCCAAGGATGTCATCTCTCTACTATTAGGTCGGTGCAAAAGTGAATCCAATTTTTGCTGTTACTTTTAATGGTAAAAAACATGATCACTTTTGCACCAACCTAATAAATATTCATAAATGTTAAACACTAAATATAAAAGCAATATGTGAATATTATGAAAATTTTAGAAAGTATAAAAGATATTTGGAGGATGTAAAAATCAGCGCTATTTCACTACTCAGAGAAAACCACTGTAAATATTTTGGTGGAAGTCTTTTCAGTTTTTTTCTATGTATGTAGGTGGGCTATGTGTGTTATGCATAATTCATATAATGTGTGATTTATTCTATAACCTACTTTTTCTTCTTAGTATACAATGAGCATTTATCTTTGTTGTGAAATAGTCTTCAAAAACAAGTAATCACATCACATAAATATACCATAACTTATTTAACCAATTCCCTACCACTGTATTTGTAAGCTGTTTCTAATTTTTCTACCTTTACAAATACTGCTGCAATAAATATTTTAGTATCTGGCTCAGAATATTTCCTTAGGATACACTCCTAGATGCAGAATTACTCTTAAAAAGCATATGCATACTTTAAGGCTTTTGATAGACTGCCAAAATTCAGTCTAGAAAAGTTGTTCTAATTTACATTCCCACCAATATTTTTGAGGGTGCACATATACTAATCTTTTAAAATTATTGCCACTCTAAAATATTAAAATTGGTATTTCATTTTAGTTAGTATTTACTTGATTACTGCTACTAAAGTTCAGCGTGTGTTCCGAATGAACTTCCTTGGTGACTGGCCTTTTTATATCTTTTGTCATGTTTCCGCTGGGGTAAAAAAAAAAATGTTAAGTAAATTCCATTTATTTATTTATTTATTTACCTATTTATTTTTGAGACAGGGTCTCACTCTGTTGCCCAAGCTGGAGGGCAGTGGTGCAATCACAGCTCACTGTAGCCTCCACCCCCTGGACTCAAGTGATCCTCCTGCCTCAGCCTCCTGAGTATCTGGTACTACAGGCATGCATCACCACACCCAGCTAATTTTTTATGTTTTGTAGAGACAAAGTCTTGCTGTATTGCTCAGGCTGCTCTTAAATACTTGGCCTCATGAGGACCTCCAACCTCAGCCTCCCAAAGTGCTAGGATTACAGGCATGAGCTGCCACGTCCAACCTAAATTTCTTCTTAATACCTCCTAAAATATGAGACGAAAGCACAATTCAAGAGATCTTACCTCTTCTGACTCAAAAGGGAAATAGTGGATCCCAGCTTTATTACTTGCAATATTACAAAACTAAGGTAATTACAAGTCTAGGGTATTGGAATATTTCACAGAAACAATGTTTTTAAATAATCATCAAGCTAGATCTTGTTGTTATTCTGCAACTCTGTATACTTTGTATTCCACATCTCCACTTGAATGTTTAATAGGAATCTCAAACTTAAAATGTACAAACAGAACCCCTGATTCCTCACCCCTGCCCTGGCATACTCCTCTTCCAGTCTCAGTAAACCGTTCCTTTCACTGAGTTGATCAGGCCCAAGAAGAGGAGTCATCTTAATATAACCCTTTCCCTCCCATCTCATCCCCCACTTATCAGCAAATCCTTTTGGCTCAAACTTCAAAACATCACAAATCTGACCACCTCCTACCCCTTCCACAGCTGTCTTAGTTAAATCCACCATCAGCTCGACTCCTGCTTTCCTTGTTTCTAATCTTGCCCTCCTAAAATTCTACTCTTCCCATAATGGCAAGGTGGCCTCTTTAGACATAAATCAAATCATTATCACTGTCCTTTACTCAACCTTCCAAAGTTTTCCCAACACTCTCAGGATGAGTGATTAGTATTAGTTATTATTTGAGTGAATTTTGCTCTGCTTTCTCACACAGTTCTCATTGGCAGCTTCATTTTGTGTTAAGTGTGAAAATATGGCCGACTGCCTTGGCTCATGCCTGTAATCCTAGCACTTTGGGAAGCCAAGATGGAAGGATAGCTTGAGCCCAGGAGTTTGAGACCAGCCTGAGCAACATGACGAGACCCTGCACAAAAAAAAACAAAAGTAAAAGTAAGCAAGGGCAGGGTAGCACATGCCTGTGGTCCTAGCTCCTCAGCAGGCTGAGGTGGGAGGACCGCTTGAGCCTGGGAGGTTGAGGCTGCAGAGAGCCATGTCTGTGCCACTGCACTCCACCCTGGGCAACAGAGGGAGACACTTTTGTGATGAAGAATGCCAAATGGGCAGACCCCAAATGGGCCCCAGATAATTTGTTTCCTCTCCAACTCTATCTCCTAGCACTTTCTCCTTGCTCATTCCAGGCACACAGGTCACCTGGCTACTCCTTGAAAACACCATGCTCAATCCCCTTCTCAGGATTTTGTACATTTCTGTTCTATGGCCTAGAACTTGGCATGGGTTCTTCCTCCACTTCATGTAAGTCTTTGCTCTAATGATGCCTCCTCAGAGATGCATCCCCTGACAACTCTCTGAAATATCATTCCTGCCATGACTCTCAGCCCCTTTATTCTGATTCACATATATTTGAAGCATTTATTACCACCTGATACCATGTGTGTGTATGTGTGTGTGTGTGTGTGTGTGTGTGTGTGTGTGTAATGTAGACTCCATGAGGGCTTGGCTTTCTTTGTTTTGTTTACCCATATCTTCAGCTCTTAGAATAATAGTGCATATTCAATAAAAATGTGTTCTTCCCTCCACTTCCATTGACCCTAAAACCTATGCTAGAATCAAGCTGATCCATAGAAAGAGGGCTGTATTATTTTCTATTACATTCTATATGTTTTCCTCAGTTTCTTCCAAAAAGACTTACTCACACTATTTGACAAAATAAGTGCTGGTCATTGGTACAAAAAGGGAGCACAACTCATCATACAGTCCATTTCCCTGGTTTAGCTAGATAATATGTTATTAAGCTCCTTTCACAGAACAGTCAGAGGAATCCCAAAACCTTGTGGCTAATTTTCAGTTGTATTTGAGTTCACAAATGATGATTACTCAGTGATAAGGAGAATTGGGCAAGCCTATTTGTTGTTGATTTTTAACTAGTGTATAATATTATACTATTTTACTTTAAGACACTAATATAATATTTGTAAAGATGTAGGCTTGGCTGGGTGAGGTGGCTCACGCCTGTAATCCCAGCACTTTGGGAGGCCGAGGCGGGCGGATCACAAGGTCAGGAGATCAGAACCGTCCTGGCTAACACGGTGAAACCCCGTCTCTACTAAAAATACAAAAAATTAGCCGGGTGTGGTGGTGGGCGCCTGTAGTCCCAGTTACTCGGGAGGCCGAGGAAGGAGAATGGCGTGAACCCGGGAGGTGGAGCTTGCAGTGAGCCGAGATCACGCCACTGCACTCCAGCCTGGCCCACAGAGCGAGACTCCGTCTCAAAAAAAAAAAGATCTAGGCTTATTTCAAACTATTGAGGGGGAAAATACTGACTTGGTTACTCCATTAGCTATAGCTAATTGAAAAAGGAAAATGTACAAACTCTACAAAGTTATTTTTTTCTTTTATACTTTTCTTAATTCTTTTCCCCATGTGTGACTAATATCTACATAAAGCTCATACCAGAACCCTGAACTCTGAGAGTTGTTTGAAATAGGCAGTTTCTATTCAGACAAGATTTGACTGGCAGAGGCAGCACTCCCTCTCCCACATTCTGTAGAAGACTCTACTAATGGCACACCAAGGGAGAGTCAGGGACAGAGCTAATGCTCACTGACAGAGACATACACCTAAATCCATTCACTACTGGTAAAACTAACAAACACGCTGAGCACAGGAATCACTGGAGCTGGTTTTTAACACATACATAATTCAAGAAGCCATATCTGCACCCTGATGTTCACTGTGACATTATTCACAATAGCCAAGATATGGAATCAACCTAAGTGTCCATCAACAGATGAATGAAGAAAGAAAATGTGGTACATATACACAATGGAATACTATTCAGCCTCAAAACTGCAGGAAATTCTGTCATTTGCAACAACATGGATGAATGTGGAGGATATTATGGTAAGTGAAATAAACCAGGCACAGAAAGATAAATACTGTGTTATCTCACTTATAGTGGAATCTAACAAAGGCAAACTCATAGAAGCAGAGAGTAGAATGGAGGTTACCAGGGGTTGTGAGGAAAAAATGGGGATTGGGAGATGTTGGTGAAAGGACACAAAGTTTCAGTTAGACAGGAGTAATTCAAGAGATTTATTGCACAACATGGTGACTACAGTTAGAAACAATGTATTATATACTTGAAAAATACTGAGAGTAGGTTTTAAGTGTTCTCAACACAAAAAAGTATATGAGGTTATGCATATGTTCATCAGCTCAATTTAGCCATTCCATAATGTAAACATATTTTGAAACATCATGTTATACACCATAAATATATATAATTTTGCCCATTTAAAAAAATAAATAAATTTTTTAAAAGAAACCGTAAGTAGGATTTAGTCCTGGCTGTGACATAAATGTCTGTCTTCACACAGAAAAGAAAATTCTAGTCTTTTGAAGACTCAGCATTTTTATTTTGAAACTTAGAGACCTCACTCTATTCTTTGGTTCCTTAATGTTCATATTCTTCCTGGATATGTGAGTGGGAAAGTTTGTCCTGCATACTTGCCTGGCTCCTGCTGAGCATCGCAGCCCTCCAAAGATGGCAGACATTCACCTTCTCTCTGCAAGCACCCACCCTAGGAGGCCATGTTCCTATTCTATCTGAGCACTGAAGTCTTATGAAGCAAACTTGGTTTTTTCAGAAAGCCACCTACTCGCTAATGAGTGGTGACACACTTAAGCAATCAATCACTATATCTGGTAGTTCCTCGCCAGTTCAGTGGTGAAGGCAGTGGGTGCTGTCATTGTTTTCTTTGTGCACCCTCTGAATACAGAGGCTACCCACCAGCCTAACTAATGAACTACGGTTTTCTCATCCACACACAACCACTGGCTGGTTCCTATTTATTATGAAAATCCCCCTTTCTTGGGTTTACATCTGCCTACAAGTCTAAGAAGCTATTGAGCTTCCTCATCTTAGGCAAACTCACTGGAATGTGGACTCTTCACATTATTTTTAGCTGCTGGTCTGACTTTCCTGTTAGAAAATAACTTACTTCTAAGATAAAGGCAATTAAGTAAAAGTAAGTAATAGTTATTTTTTAAGTTTTTTATTCTTCTACTTTGTTTTTCCCTTTCACTGAGATTGTTACGAACAAGAGAATATTGGTCTCTGGGAGTTCTGAAATCAGAAATACTTTTACGTTTTTTCTCTGATATTATCAAATTCTAAATTTATACTAAAATTAAGGAGAAGGTGCAATTTTCTTCTCAAGATTTGTTTTTCATATCATTGCAATAAAATATGTAATTTTCTATGGAAAATAACTTGACATGATTTTACATTGCAACAAAATGAATGTTTAATGAACAGAGTACAGAATTCATTTGAATATTTAAAATAAAACACCAGCCTCCAAGAACATTACAATTGTTTCAAGCTCAAGACCTACAGTCTAATTAATTTTTTCTCTGGGTGGATTTTTCTTTTTCTCTCCTCCTCCCACACCATCTCCAGCTTCTACTCAAGTATCTAGGGCACTCTATGCTCAGCACCAGAGGTGTGAGGTATCACAGGGCTGAAATCAGAAGCACAGGCTTCTCAATGGATTTGGTGTGTAAGAGTTGAAGTCCTGGGAGAACAAAAGGAACTCAGGGCATAGATGAATATTGGGAGAGAATTTCCATGGCAGAAATTTCAGTTTAAGGGAGTAGTATTTCTTCCTGAAATAAGGTTTTTTTTTTTTGCTGTTTGTTTGTTTTTTACAGTCTAGCCTAATGGAAAAAGAGATATAGTCTCTGAGACAGCAGAGAGGTGGTCATGGGACGAGAACCGATTGTCTCAGCAGCAACCTGGAACCTGTGTTAGGGGCTAGAATGTCCCTACCTCCTCATGCCTCTGCCCTAAGCTCCCAGAACTCATATGCAGCCATAGAGAACAGAGGCACCTACATTTAATCGGATTAAATTTCCCTCACCCTGATGGGAAAAGGGGGAGAAGGTAGCAAGTAGTGATCAAAATTAGAGGAAAATAAAGTTATAGTCTTTGACTACCTCGATGTGAAGACTGTTATTACTACCGATATGTTCACTGATTAAACTATAAAAATATACCTTACGACATTAAAGAAGTTTTTTCTACTATATGCTTAGGACCAGGTGGTATACAGCCAGGGACAATGTGAACAGAATTCCTGCTCTCAAATAACTCATAGCATATTTTTTTTCTTTTTTTAAGATGGAGTCTCACTCTGTTGCCCAGGCTGGAGTGCAGTGGCACGATCTCAGCTCACTGCAAGCTCCGCCTCTGGGTTCAAGCAATTCTCCTGTCTCAGCCTCCCGAGTACCTAGGACTATAGGCACATGCCACCCCACTTGGCTAATTTTTGTATTTGTAGTAGAGACGAGGTTTCACCATATTGGTCAGACGTCTCAAACTCCTGACCTCAGGTGATCCACCCACCTTGGCCTCTCAAAGTTCTGGGATTACAGGCATGAGCCACCACACCCAGCCCTCATCACATATTGAAGACACCTGGCATATATACCAAGAGTTTAAAAATGGATAGAAATTAGCTAATCAACAGGGGGTGTGGGGCATTCCTATCAGACATGTGGCGTAAGAACAGTGCACAGAAGATGTGAGCATGGCAGTTCCACAGTGAGTGAATAAGACTTTGTCTTAGTCTGTTCAGGCTACTATAATAACCAAATGCCTTAGACTGGATCATTTACAAATAACAGAAAATTATTTCTTACCATTCTGGAGGCTGGGAAGTTCACGATCAAGACACCAGCAGATTCGGTATCTGCTCCTCCTAGACAGTGCCTTCTTGCTGCATCCTCGTGTGAAGGGAGCAGGAAACAAGCTCCCTCAGGCCCCTTTCATAAGGGCACTAATCCCATTCATGAGGGCTCCACTCTCATGACTCATCACCTCCCCATCACCTCTCCTCTTAAGTCCATCTCATTGGGGATTAGATTTCGACATATGAATTTCTATTCTGTCATAAAGACTCATATGTTCATTGCAGCACTATTAACAATAGCAAAGATGTGGAATCAATCTAGGTGCACATCAACTGGGGATTTGATAAAGAAAAGGTGGTACATATCCACCACGGAATACTATGCAACCATAAAAAGAATGAAATCCTGCCCTATACAGCAACATGAGTGCACCTGGAGGCTGTTATCCTAAGCAAACTAAAGTAAGAAAGGAAAACCAAATACTTCATATTGTCACTTATAAGTGGGAGCTAAACATTGAATACACATAATTGTACAGATGGGAACAACAGACACTGGGGATCACTAGACGGGAGGGAGGGAGGGGAGCATGGGCTGAAGAATCACCTGGTGGGTTCTATGCTTATGGTCTGGGTGGTGAGATCACTGGGACCCCAAGCCTCAGCATCATGCAATCTAACCATGTAACAAATCTGCATGTGTACCCTTCAATCTATAATAGAAGTTGAATTGAAAAATACATATGAATTGCAGTGGAGCACAAACATTCCCCTCAAAATGCAGATTTCTTAAATTTTTCTAAGATCATTAAGAATTGGAGTTTTCAAACTATTTAATAGTATACACTTTTAAGCAGACAAAAACAATGTAGATGAGGCGAAGATAATTGCCCCAGCTCCCCAAGTCCTCTGACGCACCTGGACAGAAATGCTGGGGCTCTGCAGACCCATTTGGGACAATCTATAATTTTGCCCACCGAGTGCATATTCCACATGAGGAAACTAAGGCACAGTGCTGCGAAGTGACTTCTCAAGATATTCCTGGCCCTACCACACGCTGGCCCGACGCTCAGCCCTCCCTGATATCCAGCGTTTATCCTCTCACTTCTCCTATAAAAAGACTGGGCTTTTTTCCCATTCAAGGCAAAACACCAGAAATCCTGGGTGTTTTGGAAAGAGAAGAAACGTAACTCCCAGTCATCCTCAGCTACTTAAATGAAAGCAGGATTGGCAGGAAAATGTATAAATGAAAAATGCCAAAACGCTAACTTCAAATTAAGTTGTAGGTTCCAAGAGCCTCTCAACCTGACTCTTAAAAGAATTGCTAGCAAAACCACATCCTATCATTCGATTTGCCAGGCTTATGATGGCAGCAGTACAAGCAATAAAATCATGAGAGGGTATGCAAAGAAAAGAAGGATTAATACGAAAATCCAACAGCCTGGTTCTGGATAATTGGGAGTTGACCATAAACACCTCGGCTGTCACACAGCAACTTTGGTCCTTGGATAAAAATATTTTATTGGCAAATTGTTTCATTTTAGGAAAATTATATCTGCTTTCAACAACTGGAGGTTAGTTTCTCAAAATGATTTTCAGGGTGGTAAAGGAATGTGAATAATGATAAGGCACAGCAGAGAGTACACAGTCTCTGCTTGGCCCAGGGCTCTGTACTCGTGGCATTGAATACATAATTTTTAAAGTTTGTTTTAGTTATTCTGTGAAGAATCTCCTACTCCATCGCCTGCCCCAAGAATGAAATTCCGTAGTACGCTTCTTTTCCTTCATTAAAGTAAAGTTTCTGCGAAAGGGCAGTCACATATTTAAACCAAACTAAACTATTAAAATATCGAACAGTGCACACTTGACATTCTCAAAAGCTCCGTTTCCAAAATCCTCACTAATGCTCAAATTGTGGGGTGTTATTTGATGATAAAAGCAAATTTAGAATTGGCTTGTAAATGTGTTTTGTTGGGTGTTCAGAAGACTGACCTTAAAAGGGGAAGGGGGTTTCGTGTAAAAATCTGGATTTCTGGATTCTTTCAAAATTGGAAGACATGGCAAAGTAGCCCACATTCCTACCTGGCGTCCATGAGCTGGAGCTCTGTAAGGCTTCTGCTCCTAAATGGTTACAGGCCCACCAGTTCAACCCATTCTCTACCTACACCACTCCACTCATTTGCAGTTGCTTCCTGGACCCGTTAGACATTTGAGTTTGTAACCCTGGCATGAGAATATATAGTTATTCACTTAAAATGTACAGTCATCATGAGTAGCAAACAAAGCTGGTTTGAGTTGTTGACACTGGCATTTAAGTAGATTCACTCACCAGCTTCTGACTGCAAATCCATATCCACATGGTGGCTGCATAACACACAATTCAAATTCGTGTTTTAGTGAAATTCAACGTTATTTTATTTGGGTTGCTTTCATATTTCTAAACTGCACGTCTTAAATCTGTGAATGGCAAGAATCTTCTGTGTGCTATAAAAATTTCAGGAAGACAGATGGATGTAGGGATTTTTTCATTTTATTTTAGATTCAAGGGGTACATGTGCAAGTTTGTTACATGGACATATTGCATGATGCTGAGGTTTGGGCTTCAGTTGAGCCCCTCACCCAAATAGTGAACATCGTACCCAATAGGTGGTTTTTCCACCCTTGCCCATCTCCCTCTTCTTTTTTGGAGTCCTCAGTGTTTATTGTTCCTATCTGTAGGCCCATATATACCCAGTATTTGGCTTCCACTTATAAGTGAAAACATGTGGTATTTGGTTTCTTGTTTCTATATTGATTCACTTAGAATAATGGCCTCCAGCTGCATCCATGCTGCCGCAGAGGACATCATTTTGTTTTTTTTTTTTTTATGACTATGTAGTATCCCATGGTGTATATGCACCACATTTTCTTGGGATACAGGTTCGAAAAGATTGATTTTAGAAATGTATCAAAGGAAAGTGGAAATTTTCATTGAATCCTATTAGAAATGCTATATTCTGTAGCAGTCGCTGTCAAAGTATTCTTCCCCACCAGTGGCATCAACATCTCCTGGACACTTCTCACAAATGCAGATTCTTAAGCAGCACCCCAGGCCTACCCATTAGAAAGTGGGGATGGGGCCCAGCAATCTATTTCAACAAGCCTTAACAGGGATCCTGACACACACTGAAGTTTGAGAAACCCTGGCCCAGAGCTTTACTACTAGTTTTACTACTAGGACATTCTGAGTGGAGATATTGATCTCCTCAGTCCTCAGGGGCAGAACCAGACCTGGAGTATTCAGAGCCCCCAAGACACAGACGCTAGCATCATGCCATTTCATCTGGGATTGGCACCTTGTATGTTCCCAATTTGTCCCCAGAGACAGTAAGCAGGATGGGCATCATCCAGCGCTTTATCATTCCTCAGTACAAGGAAAGATGTTCTAGCACATGCATGTCCACTTCACGGCGAGCAGCTGTTCTGAACAAGGGCCAGGGAGCTGATGAAGCTTGTATCCCATGTACTAAAGTTGCAGGGCAGAGAGCTCAGTGCAGAGAGCCCAAGAGCTGGTCAGGGGTGGGAACTAGAAAGTCAGGGAAGGACGGCACGGCAGGGGCTCTGGGAAAGCGCAACAGTTTGGGGGTGCAGGGTGGGTCCTGACTCTGAGTCTTCATGTAGGTTGAATTCCTACGCCGGTTGGTAGCCAGTGGTCAATCTAGTGTTGTCCACGCTAGTTTCATGAGGACTCCTTCAACAACACATACACATTCCCAAAGTTAGAGTTTCATGAGTTTGAAATACTTCATATAAAAAGGTTCCATTTGATTTGGAATTCATAAGAAATGTTCAAAGAAAGGAAACGAAGTTTATTAGAGACATTAAAATATTATTTCAGTTCATATATTTTTTGATTAGATGACAAATTATTTTGAATTAAGTTTCTCATCAACAAGAAACATTAAAAAAATTTTTTCATCTACAAGTCTTGAGCAAATCTTTCATGCAGTCATTTCAAGTGTTAAACCCGATAAACTAAAGCAAGCACAAATTTCTCATTAAAGCATCTGCAAATATTTTATTTGGGAGAGCTTTACAAATTCAGTCTTTAATATCTGCCCTTTCTTTGTGTTTTATTTTTCTTATAATTATGCAAAGTTAATGAAATAAATTTTTCACCAAAATCCATATAGTTGCACCCAAAGTCCATGCAGCATGTCCCCAGAATATGATGCAAATATTATTTTTGTGACACTTCATGCCATGCCATGGAATCAGCACATTCTTTGAAGTATTGACTCAAACCTAAGGTGCATCAATTGCCTGACGGTATGCAGCCCTGATGGGTGAGACTCTGTCAAAGGGACTGTGTCCCCAGTAGAGTTAAATCCTCTTGTATCTTTAATCTGGGCTTCATAAATTCTAAGAATCGATGAAATTTTGATAAGGCAAAATGGTCTGTGAAGCTGTTTCTTTTACTATCAGATCATTTAGAAAAATATACAGAAAACACCTCTTCCCAAACAGTGGTTCTTAACACTTCGAGGTTAGGGTGGACCGAGAATCTGAATAAAGATTGGAAAGAAGAGTATTCTAATGAAATTTCAAGGACCTTGTGGACTTCACAGATAGTCACGTCTGTCCACTTAGCAACGCTATCTCCTGATAACATGAGTAGAGATGATAGGGCCCAAACCTTTGTCTCCCACACCAAATGTTTCTGAACAAAGTTTGTAATTATGATATCTCACACATGATAGGCCAGAAGGACTTTCACATACACAGACTCTCTTGATTCTCACACAGCCCTGAGGGGTGTACAAAAGGTTTCATCAGCCTACATTTTTTTATAGGAGAAGAAACTCAAGGTCACTGCTAACATTACCCTGCTTTTTCATCACTTCTTGTAAAACCCGTAAAGCCAATACAAAAACAGACATTTTTTGCATTAGAGCAGAATTACTCTGGGTCTTACTTTTTTATTATACATTATTTTCAACAAGGCTATGATCCTTTCATTATTGTTTTGTTTGCACATTTTAGTCAGTTCTCCTAGAATATAGCTCCTCGCACAGTGGATCTGATTTGCTTGTACTTAACCTATGCTTTAGAATCTTCGTTGTGATTTTTTTCCTAACAATAACTTGACAATCAGAGTAGTAGATGCAACAAAAGAAGGAATAATAAATTCAGTAGGGCCACTTAATGTTGTTGAAAATGCAACATCAACCTCAGACATCTACCAGCCTCCACTATAGGCATACAGTCACAACCACCACCATAGCCAAAAGGGACATTTGATTGCTTCAAAGACAGATAGTTTATTGTGTGATGTTATACTATTTCCTTTGTGGTTATCTAATAGAGCTATTCCGGCAAATTTCAAAACAGGCTCTCTTTTCATTATTATCTGAGACACAATAGTTTTTTAATGTATGAACACATCAGTAATGGGTAGCAATGTTTCTAAATAATTAGCTTTTCTTGAAATAACTAAGCAGTCAACACTGAGGAAAATCATTGAAATAAAAGAATCCATCCAGTAAAACTTTACTGCTGCTCACAATTTTGTGAAAATATGTCATTAGGCTGCAACACATAAATTCAGGGATTTCAAGAAGCAATTTTTCACTGGCGCCTTCTCTGGGAAACCCATCTCCCTATTTATCATCCATTTCCTGCTCCCTTTAACCTTCTACATACTATGGAAACTTTTCCATAATATGGTGTTACATATTTGCCATCCTTTTGAGGGATTTAAATTTATCCTTTAAAGGGATCTTTATATTTTAAGAGAGAATTCTGTAAAATCAAACTTGAATATTCAAAGGAATGATTATTTAATACTGGAATTTCAGGCACTGTCAGGCAGTGGTAGAGAACTTCGCAGGCAAGAGGACCTTCACAGCAGTCTATGTAAATGATTCCTACTGATAAAATGAAACCTAAGTCCCAAACTGCTTGGAAGACATCGAGACCACACAGCACAATGGACATGATTAAAGGACAGCATGAGGTTTTGCAAAGGGAGAACATTCCATTCCTTTCCTTTCCTTTCCTTTCTTTAAACTATAAAAGTCTGAACCTCATGAGGTAAATGTATTTCCAATGGCTAGACTAGACAATGCAATCAAAACGCAACCTTGCATCTCTTTAGGAAGCATATGGAGGAAGATCCTGTGCCCAAAATGACTTTCTAGGTAAACCCTGCTGGGTGCTTATGTGTTCAAGTCCCAGCTCGGTTGCTTATTTGAATGAGTTTCTTAGCAGCTCTGTGCCTCAGTTTCCAAATCTGTGACGTGATGATGATAACAGTACCTACCTCCTAGAGTGAGTGCAAGGATTAAGTTAGTACCTGTTAGTGCTCAGCTTGTAGAAGCCTTCAGCAGATGTTACCTGTGTTTGTTGTTCTTAACCACCCTGTGTGTCTGCTGCTGCCATCCTGCCAACTGAACTTCCTGGCAAGATCCCTCAAAGAAGGACCTTGAGGTCATGATGGGTGAGATCACACTGGCCTCTCCGCACTGGGCTGGCGTCCACAGCAGCCATCCCCAGGGAGCCTTGCCAGATTTTTCTGCCACTATCTCTAATACCACCACCCTGAGTGACACCCCCACTGTAGATGCCGCCAGCACTCCGCCACAGCTGACACCTCGGGGGCTCTCTCCCAGAGTAGAAATGACCCCTCACCTTCTCTGCTTTGGAAAGAAAAAGAGAAAAAAAATAAACCTGCATGCATGCAGATCACACACCTGGATTCCATTATCTCTCTGACTTCCAGCCCAGGGAACCAAGGAAGCCCAGAATCTTTGAGTCACATCCTCTTCCTCTTCTCTGCGGAACCCAGTGGGGCTCTCTCACCAGGAGGAGGGGGTTGAGGTAAGAGGCTTGGGTCAGCTCGGAACCCTGAGCAGTGCATGTCCTCCCTGCCTGGAGGGGAGCACAAGCACACGGCCGCAGACTTAGAGCTGTTATCCTATGGGAAAGTTTTCCATTTCCAAATGCGTGTCCATGCCCCAAACCCCAACTTAGACTCAATTGTACAACCCTTCAGCTGGGGCAAAATCCTCTTGGCACCCAGATGATCAATTAAAAACCGTGAAAAGAAATCTCTCCTTGCCAGGGGCAGATTTGAATTTCAGGCCTGGCAAGGTTGCCTGTGCAATGAACCCTGAATGTGTAGTGTGAGAGAAAATTTGAAATTTATTCCATAATTTACTTAGCAGAACTTTTTATTATGGTTTACCTTAGCTAACAATAAAAATAATTTGCTTAGCCTGAAACATGCAGCCTGTCATCATGCTCTCTCTTTTTCTCCACCTCAAATTTGGCCTCAAATTGCTGGTTCCTTGAACACACCACATTCTCTCTGACCTCTGAGACTTTGCAAGTGCTCTTCCCTCTGTCTGAGAATCTTCTCAATTTGCAACATACACATTCCCTTAACTTGTCCCTCTCATCCTTCAGGTTTCAGATTAAACGCCACCCACCACGTCTACCCTCTAATGCCTTTCCTGGCTCCATAAAGTAGGTCAGATCACTTTGCTCTTTTTCCCCGTAACATCTTGTGCCTTCACTGATGTCAACTTTCAACACAATCTATCGTAAGCCCTTGTACCATGTCTGCAAATTTGGAAAGATGAGGATGGTGTCAACTCTTACACCTGGTGGCACATAGTAGGTGCTCCAAAAATTTTTTCAATAAATGATTGAGTGAATAAGAAGGCACTTTTGGATTAACATTTGCTTAAAACATACATAATATGCAGAAGTAGAAGGTAGATTATGTCTGCATGAACTTCATTGTATATAACCTATACACTGCACGCTAGAAAACTGTTACTAGGAACTTAACAGCCTTGTGGTGAAGTAGAAAACTGCCTTAATCATCTAATCATCATTTGCTAGGCTGTTGAATAATGGGTATTGGTAAGTTACACTATTGCAATACAAATCAGTTACCTTTCTTTAAATGGAGGCTTTGCCTGTATAATGCAGTATTAAAAAAAATAGGTAAAGTTACTCTCTAGATTGAGCGGGTCACTTTAATCTACAAACAACAATTTCTCCTTCCATTAGTTGCAGAGAACAGCATGGGTGACACACTTCACTGGACAAAAAATGGAAGGGCATGACTGAACCTTTATTGGAACAAAATATGGGCTCAGCCAGCTGCGGTGGCTCATGCCTGTAATCCCAACAGTTTGGGAGGCCCAGTCAGGTGGATCACCTGAGGTCAAGAGTTTGAGACCAGCCTGACCAACATGACAAAGCCCCATCTCTACTAAAAATACAAAATTAGCTGGGCATGTTGGCACATGCCTGTAATCCAGCTACTCCGGAGGCTGAGGCAGGAGAAACGCTTGAACTCGGGAGGCGGAGGTTGCGGTGAGCCAAGATCGTGCCACTTCACTCCAGCCTGGGCAACAGGAGTGAAACTCCATCTCAAAAAAAAAAAAAAAAAAATGTGTTCAAGGACCTTCACCCAGGAATGCAAACTTTCTCCTGCTGCTTCCTATGGATACTATTTAAAATCAAATGAAGGGGGCTTTTTTCCTATTATATATAGACTGAATCTATAAAAGGCTATGAAACACCCACCAGAAGGACAACCCAAAAGAAATTTAACAACAAGTACAGATCTACAAGGAAAAGCCTTTGTAATGTTTTCCAAGGCACCACAATTTTTGAACATTACATGCAGGAAAATATTATATGGAAGAAATGTCACTTTACAAGCCTTCAGATGAGGCCTTTTCTATTTTAATGAGTGTCATATATGAGGAAATGTTTGATATAACAGCATTTCACTGAACTGTATTGTTGGTATAAACTGCAGTTACTTTGGACTTTCAGCTTTAATCTTGTGAGAAATAGATTTCTAAATACCTTTGGCAAGATGTTCAAGGTCTATTTCTTTCCCAGTGTGGATTTTAATTCAAAAGATCCAGCCATGCTCACATTTGTGGTATTCCTCAGGTTCACTAAAGGTAAACAAATTAACAAAATATTGAATGAATGGTAAAGATGTTTCCGTTCAATTATTCTTAAACACGGAAAATGGGGTACACATGAATTTGCTCAGTTTTAAATTACCCTTATCATTTAAAAACCACCTGGATGGGTTCAAGAAGTAATGTGAGGCTGAGAAAAATATGAATTAATGAAGAACACATTTTGGTGATAGGCCTATAAATAAAAATTGTTTCTATGAGTATAGTTGGCACCCACAGATTGAACAGTAATGCAGGCAGACACAGCTTTCTACTGTCTTTTTATGTAAAAATTGGTTGGTTTCTGCTTTCTTTGCTATGCTAATAAATGCCAGGGAAAGTGTTAGCTGCATTTTAACTTTTTGTTTACATAGTTGCACACATACTGAGCAAGTTCCCACGGAATACAGCTTACCACACCTACTTAAGGGGTTCAAACTCACACAATTAATCACGCCTTTAAAAAAATGATTTGGTTTCCCACATTCGAGATAATAGGCCTTTGTTATTTTTAACAATTTTGGCATATGAGATATGTAACAACTGCTTGAATATAACAGCGTAGGCTTTGTTACAATCAATCGTTCAATTTAATAGGTCTGGATAGTAAAAGACTGCTGATTCTTCTAGATGGGAAGACATTTCTCCCGGGAAGAATGCAGAATAAAAAAACCCAAAAGCAAATTTCTTTGAATTTTCAACAGGAGAAGCCTACTTACATTGGTTTATTCAAACCAAAGCATCTTTTTCAGATTGGAAAACTGAAGGCATCAAATTAAAAAGAAAATACTAAACAGTTGGAGTGTGAAGCAATAGCCCCACTTCCTAAAAACAGCAACCAAAGACCTCTTTAAAATGTAGCAGTAGTAGAGAGAAGGCTAACAGAAAGTCACCTCATCTATAGTCAATGTGCTTTCACATTTTCTCCCATCTGATGTCCCTCATGATAACCCATGAGGAAGGTGAGGCCAGCCCCGACACCGAGAGGCTGGGAGCAAGACTCCAAATGGAAGCACAGGTGTCTAGATATTTATATTTTACACAAGCTAACAACCTGTTTTTAAAAATATTTGGCTGGGCTCAGTGGCTCACGCCTGTAATCCCAGCACTTTGGGAGGCTGAGATGTGAGGCTCACCTGAGGTCAGGAGTTTGAGAGCAGCCTGGCCAACATAGTGAAACCCCATCTCTACTAAAAATACAAAAATTAGCCGGGCGTGGCGGTGGCGCATGCCTGCAATCCCAGCTACTCATGAGGCTGAGGCAAAAGAATCACTTGAACTCAGGAGGCAGAGGTTGCATGAGCTGAGATTGAGCCACTGCACTCCAGCCTGAGTGAAAGTGAGACTTTTTCTCAAAATAGTAATAATAATAATAATAATAAAAGATATTTAATATGTTCTAATTGAAATGTTTCTAAGACAAAGAAATGATAAATCCTTGAGGTGATGGAGACCTAATTAACCTGATGTGATTATTATAATTGCATGCCTGTATCAGAACATCACATGTACCTAATGAATATAAACACTTATTATGTCCTCAAAATAATTAACTTTTTTTCAAAATTGAAAAATATATGTAAAGCTACAGTTTATAGATAACTGAAAGTTGACAAAATAGCAAAGAAAACTGAATTTAACTTTTATTGTGTATATCTGGGTGTTTATAAAGAGAACTGAAAACAGCAGTATTGTTCAATTTGTCCTAATCTCTCTTCAGTTGAAATGATAACCTGCGTTCTAATGGCCAAAAAAAATAGTCTATTAAATTTAGTTTGGAGACTATTTGTACATGAATCTTTTCCTGTAGAGCCAATGAAACATTTTCATTTCTCCTTGTAATTTCCATGTATTTCAATGGAATGTTGCATATATCACGTGCAGTTTCTTGCAATTTAGAAAAAGCATTTTTTCTAAAGGTATTTATTTAGTTATTTAGTTATTTATTTTAATCCTTTTGAAAATGAAGTAGCCACACACATTTGGAGTGGAGATGGTCATTATCTTTTGTTAATATTATTATGAGCAAGCAACATGGATAGTACATATTCATAATTAAATTCATAATTCATTTTCTAATAAAAACCACAATTTGCTTTTTATTTGAAGAATGTCTCAGTGTGACTTTTGAAATATTTACTTTTTATATGTTTTTCCCCCACTTTCTTATCCAATAAGTTAATGATCTAATTTGAATTCTCCATCCCAGATAGAAGTCGTATTTTTCATTATTTTTAATTCATAACTACATTTTCAGCCATTCTATTAACAAATTGGAAATTATCTCTACTGAATCTAAAAAGCTTTTATTTTTTAAAATAAATATTAATGCTACAATAAGCCTCATTGTGTGTTTTTCCAAATATTATACACATATTATCTTTCAATATTATTTTAAGAACATTATAACAGTATTTTGTATTTTGTTCTATATTTACTTCTTTGCCAAAAAAATCAATTGTTTGTCATTTACTCAGTCTTTTAATTTTCAGTTCTAATATTTGCTAATGTTATATGCATGTAACATTTCACATTCTTTTAATTAACAATGTGTTTCCAGTGACAAGTATCTTCATTCGCCAAAACCAATCATGAACATTGGTTGAGAAATGCATAACAGTAGTGACAAGATACTTTGCCTTTGAACTTAGAATAGAATAACTTCTTTCCCAATTTGAAAGAATTTGGGTTGAAAATGAAATATAAATGTGCTGCCATGTTTATCTAATGGAAAAATTTATTCATTGATTTGAATCAGATTTTGCTTTGCTAGAAACAGTCTCACTCATGTCAGGATATGACAGCCGTTTTTCCAGAATCATCATCCAATAAACAGAGTAAAGTTCCAGGGGTTCTGACTTTCTTATCCAGTTTTCAGATTTTATGAATGTAGTTTTCTTCAATTTCTAATGAGCTGGCCAAAGGTATATTTACCATCTCTGAAGTATGACTTTGTTAGGATTAACTATCTCTTGCATTCTCATTGTTTTGGCCAGTGGTTACACCTTCATTTAATGAAGAATTTGACATTGCAGGGTTGCATCTAAGCCAGTTCTAGTTGTGAATTTCATAAGAATAATATTTTTGCTCATTTTCATTAAATCTTCTTTAAATAAAGAGTTTGTAATGTCCTGCTTGCAAATTTTATATAGGTCACGCTCTACAAAAGTCTGCTCACTTTTCAGCTTCCAGGTATTTAAATTTGAAGCATTAGTTTTAAATGTTTTTGCTTTTTTGCTTTTAAGATCCACTTTGGTATTTTATATTTATATCATGATTTCCAAGTGAACACGTTCTCTGTTATATAAATCAGGGGTCCACAAACTTTATCTGTAAAAGGCCAGTAATTATCTTTAGATTTGTGGGTTATATAGTGTCGATAGCAATTACTCAACTCTGATGTTGTGGAGTGAAAATAGCCATAGACAACATATAAAAATTTGAGCGTGGAGGCATTCTGATAAAACTTTATAAAAATGAACAATAGACCTGATTTGACCCACAGGCAACAGTTTGCTGATCTCTGATCTAATGCATTAAAAACAATTGTTTGTCAAGTGTAAAAAAATTCTAACTGTAACCAACTTGAAAATATTTTTCATTTGTTAATTTTCCTCTAAAATATTCAAAAATATATATTAAAGTTAAAAGATAAAAATTATAATCAATATCAAAATTAAAATCCAAATATATAAAGTTTAATTTTATGTTTGAAAATATAACTACATCATATGAAATATTTTTATGAAAATAAAACCATTCACAATCAAATGTTACATTTCCATCTAGCTGCCAATGTAAAGAATCAATGTCATGTTTCACGTTTTGTCTAGACATGCATATACATAAATTTTAAAGTAATATGAATAATGTAACATTGCAAAATGTTATTCAGATATTGTGTACAATTCTTGGTCATTCCTCACTAATTTATGACTGCCTCCAGGTCCAAGAATTGGAACGCAAATGTATTAGTCCGCTTAGGCTGCCATAACAAAATACCACAGCTGGGTGGCTTAAATAACAGAAATCTATTTCTCACAGTTCTAGAGGATGGAAGTCTGAAGTCAAGGTCTCTGAGAGTTTGGTTTCTGGTGAGGGTTTTCTTCCACCCTGCAGACTGCCATCTTCTCATGCGGCCTTTACTCTGAGTGTCAGAGAAAGAGGGTGAGAGAGAGGGGCAAGAAAGAGCGTGTTCAGGTGTCTCTTTTTATAGAGACACAATTCCTATTGGATCAGGGTCCCATCCTTATGATATGGTTTCGCTTTGTGTCCCCACCCAAATCTCATCTCAAATTGTAATCCCCAGGTGTTGAGGGAGGGATCTGGCGGGAGGTGATTTGATAATGGGGGGTGGTTACCTTCACGCTATTCTCATGATAGTGAGTGAGTTCTCATGAGATCTGATGGTTTTATAAGGGGTTCTGTCCCCTTCGCGCTCTCTCTTTTCTGCTGCCTTGTGAAGTAGGTACTTGCTTCTCTTTCACCTTTCGCCATGATTTTAGCTTTCCTGAGGCCTCCCCAGCCATGCAGAACTGTGAGTTAATTAAACCTCTTTCCTTTATAAATTACTGAATCTCAGGTTTTTTTTTATAGCAGTGTGAAAACAGACTAATACACCTAATGACCTCATTTAAGCTTAATTGCATTCTTACTGTCCCTATCTCCAAGTACAGTCACTTGAGGATCAGGGGTTCAACATATGAATTTGGAGGGACATAATTCAGTTCATAGCAATGAGGAAAATCTAAAAGACAGACATTCAGCACTGTTGGGAAAGATCCTACTTTAACTTGTGTTTCTTTTTCCTGGGCATGCCTTCGACCTTGGAAATAAAACTCTAAATCCATTGAGATCTGCCTAAGACACTTTTTGGTTTACATGGTATTTGGTCATTTGGTCTTAGATGTCAAAATTATTAATCCAAGAATTATTAGTCTTTTTATATGAGGGATTTAAAAACTTCCAGGAAAGATTTCTTCCTGTCAGTAATTCCGTTTCAGGTCTAATAAAAAACCCCCGTCTTCAGAGGAGAAGGAGAATCCTGAATACAGCTTGAAGTTGTGGAGCATATCCAAGCTTTGATGCATTGAGGATTCTACATATCCAGTGCCGACCGCCACAGTGGTGCCAATGGTAGCAGCGCTAGTGCCTATGGAGGGGGCTGTGAGGATAGTAGAGGTGTCATGGGTGGTGTATTGAACCATGAGCACCAGACACAGTTTGAACGACATGCACTGAGACTATTTTTTCACTTACATGACTCTCTTATCACTAACAAGAAAGTCGATGATGCATCAGTTATAAAATTGTCCTATATCACTGAGGAATTCCTCACTTCTTTTTTGGAACTAAGAAAAATATAAAAATATAAATTCATTTGAAGGTAAATTCTTCTACTCACTTAGCAATAACAAAAAATAGTTTAAAGATTCTCAAGTAATCTAGACGATGAAATAATCTGTACAACAAACCCCCATGACACGAGTTTACCTATATAACAAATCTCCACAAGTACCCCTGAACTTAAAATAAAAGTTAAAAAAAAAGGAATCTCAAATAAGACATGGCTTTAAAAAAATTAAATGCTTATGAGAAGAATCATAAGAAAAAAATATTAGAAAAGAGTTGCTTTGTGGTACTAGCCTAGACAGCAATGTAATAGGAAATTACAGCTTTTTGGGTGCTAAGGCATTTAAAAAGAGGCTTCCAAATCACCAGGAACAAATTATCATCATTTGCCAAAGAGAAACAAAAGAGAGAATCAAAGATGTTGCCTCTTGGTGACTCTTGGTTTCTCAATAGTTCACCCTGAGACAGGTCATCAATCACAGCACAAAAATTGCAAATTGTCTCAAATTGTGATTGAGACAATTTGGAAGTTAATCATATTTCCCATGCCATAGTTTATTCTTTTAGGTTTAGAAAATTTAGGTCAAATTCAAATGGATCCTCTACATATTACGTAATTGAATTTGCCTTATAAATGAAGGGACTCATTTCACTAATTGAATAGATTATTTTATTACGTCCTCATTGCCATAGAAAATATCTGTTTCATTGATTTGATTTGATGAGACTTTCAAAAGGATAAATATATCACATGAACTTAACATAAGGGTTAATATTATTTTGGCAGAGTTTGGGTGTTTTTCACTGTTATTAGTTTTAAGACTTTTTTAAAGTAGTTTTTGATTCAGAGCAAAACTGAGAGGAAGGTACAGAGATTTCCCATATAACCCCTAACCCAACACATGCACAGACTTCCCTATTAGCAATGTCCCTCACCATTCACCTACTGAAGGCATCTTGATTGCTTCCAAGTTTGGGCAATTATAAATAAAGCTACTACACACATCCATGTACAGGTTTCTGTGTGGACATACATTTTTAATTAATTTGGGTAAATAGCAATGAGCACATTCATGACTCTTAGTTTAGTAAGCGTGTTTAGTTTTATAAGAAACTGCCTACCTGTCTTCCAAAGAGGCTGTACCATTTTGCATTCCTAACAGCCATGAACGAGAGTTCCTGTGGATCGTCATCTTCGTAAGCACTTGGTGTTGCCAGTGTTCTGGATTTTAGCCATTCCGATAGGTGTGTAGTGCTATCTCATAATTTAATTTGATTTGTTTTTTAAATGTATTTGAATTTTAAAAGTATAATTTATAGTACTTAGATTACCATGTGCTGGTGAGAAATATTTAAATAAGATTTTATCCCAAGAAAAATGTTTCTTGGATTATGTCTTTTTAAATTAAAAGTCACATAAAGTCAATTTTTAAGTACTCCCAAGTACAGTAGGGAAATACGTTTCTAATTGAATTTGTTAAAACTTTTAAAGCCTAAATTTGAATACGCTCTTGCTTTTGCTACTCAAACTATGCCCAGAAGAAAACTTTAAAAGATTATTACTTTTTTTTTATTTTCAGGCTAGAGTGAAGAGTACTGCAAAAACTCTGGACTAATGTAGAGATACCTGCATTCTAGCTACTGATCTCTCGCTAATTATGTGCCTTTTATACTTTTCTATGTATCCATTTTCTCTGCTGGAAAATTAGGTGGTTAAATTGTCAATGAATTCACATGTTCTATATTCTTTAAGGACTCTAATGAGGGGCCTGAGGTACTGTGAGGGAAGAGAGTTTGAGGATTCTGACACCTACCACCCTTCAATCAGACCAACTTCAATTTTAAATATTGGGTGCCCTCTTTCTTGTAAAATGTTATTGGAAGAAATAACTAATATAAAAATAATGATAGAAAGTTACTTGACTAGATGAACACTAAAATCCCCCAAAACAATGTTCTAGCTTATAAACTACTAAGTTGATTTGTAAAAGTATAGACTTCTGGATATGCTGTCCAGATTCAAATCAGCTATGAGTCAGTAAGATTCTCAGTTGCTGACAGCAGAACTCATTTAAGCTAGTTTAAGTAGAAAAGGAGCTTATTTTCATTCATTTTTATTTTTATTTTTTAGAGACAGAGTCTCATTCTGTCACCTAGGCTGGAGTGCAGTGGTGCAATCATAGCTCACTGCAGCCTCAACCTCCTGGGCTCAAGATGTCCTCCCTCCTCAGCCTCCTGAGCAGTTGGAACTACAGAGACACGCTACCACACCCAGCTAATGTTTATTTTTATTTTTATTTTTTGGTAAAGATGGGGGTCTCGCTTTGTTGCCCAGACTGGTCTCAAACCCCTGGCCTCAAGCAATCCTCCAATCTTGGTCTCTCAAAGTGCTAGGATTACAGGCATGAGCCACCACCCCCAGCCAGAATTTATTTTTTTTAAGTGACTTACATAACTCATAAACTCACTGAGAAGGGAAGAGAGTAAAATCTGGAGGCTATACAGCTAAGCACAACTCTCAAAGCCATGTAGAATGATGCCATAGAAAAGCCACTGCTTATACCACCAGACACAGACACTGCAGCTCACACCACTGACACTAGGCAGTGGCTACTAGAACATCTACCACTATTACTGTCACACACACACACACACACACACACACACACACACGGATTCCTCCTGACCTATGCTTTGTAGAGATTGCAGCTTCTGAATCAGAGTATCGTGTGGGTGCATCTGATCGGTGCCCAGGCTGTAAGGGCAGATTGGAAATCAAATATCTGACTTGCCTTCTTGGAGAAATAAGTTTCACAAGGCAAGAAGTTCCCCCACATGCAGGAGTATTAAGAAAGTGCTGAGCAGCAGAGGCGTTTCTCCATTTCTCTTTTTATTCAAGAAATTTTTGCTAGTTCCTACAAAGTATCCGTTACTTTTCTAGACGCTGGGATGAAACAATTTACAAAATCGACAGTGTCCCTCTTTCATACAATTTACATTCTAATAGAGCAGAGAAACAATTAAAAAGTGAACAAATAAATGTTCAATATGTCAGATGTTAAATGCTAAAAAATAAATCAGGATAAAGGGACAGAGAATAAGTGGAGGGGGCTGATTAGACAGGGTAGTCAGCGAGGATTACTAAGATGATTACACTTGAGAAGAAGCCTGAAAGTATTAATAGTAAGGAAACAAGCCATGCCGCTATCTCAGGGAATAGCATTGCAGGCAGAAAGACCAGCTCACGGAAAGTTACGATGTAGGGCAAATATGTTCCATACACTGATAATAAATACACTCAATGACCTTTTACAAAAATATGCAAAGCTCAGAGTCAGCTATTACCTAGCATTACCAAGACCTTGAATCTTTTTCCAAAATTGAGGTTCCCAAACCACAATTATGAGTCTCTGTCTTAGTCCATGTTTGCTGCTATAACAACCGTCATAGACTGGGAAGTTTACAAAGAACAGAAATGTATTTTTCACAGTTCTGGAGACTGGGAAGTTCCAGATGAAGGTGCTGGTAGGTTGACCGTCTGATGAGGTCAGTCCCTGCTTCCATGATGGCACCCGTTGGAATGCTGTGTTAATGACAGAATGCTTCTGTCTGATGACATAAGGAAAAAGAGAAAAAGGGATGAATTCCCTCAAGCCCTTTGATTAGGACACCTAATTCCATTCATGAGGATAGAGCCCTCAGGACTCAATCACCTCCCCAAAGTCACATTTCCCAATACTGTTGTACTGAGAATTAAGTTTCTATATGAATTTTGGAAGGGACAAAAACATTCAAAACATAGTCGGTCCCCAAAGGAACATATAACATTCAAAGCAACTAAGGGCTGACAGAAGGAAGCAGATCTCTAGCCATCAACACAAATTTTGCAGCTGCACACAAAACAGATCTTGGGTCAGCAAGAGCAAAATCTTGAGTTGCATTGCTGGTTCTCTGTTGCAGCTGCTACGGTAGAACATTATAAACAAAAAGATATTTTTACTGCCAGAGACCATAGTCAGAGTGCAGAAGTAAAAACATGACAATAGGTGGAGAATGATTCCCAAAGAAGCTCACTTTGAAGAGTTAACAAGATTATCATGTGTACAAAGCAGCCAATGACCTTCGATCTTATTTGTAATAAATGGGAATAAGTCCTGCCTGGAGTTTAAAGTTATTTAAGTATACATAACACTTCAATTCCCATACAAGCATTAACTTGCTCACTCTATCAAGTAGAAAGCCCAGTTAGGAGTTTTAAGAAATTCAGCTGGAGTTGGACGAAATGAGAAGCAAAGGATATTTAGTAAGGATAATGTGGAATCTCAAAGAAGCCGAGGACAGGAAGAAGTTGGAAAAGGGACTCAAATCTCTAAGCGCTTACTCTCTCCTTCATTCATAACTTCTCCTGTCTTCATCTGCTTCATTTCTCTTTTTCTCCTTACACATTGGATTCTATTTTTCTGGTGAAAAATAGCAGCCAACAGCCCTAAGTCTTACCTTTCACCATATAGGAGTCTAAAGTTGGAAGCTAAAGAAACTGATTTTTTTTCACTCAGTTCTAATACCAGAATTTCCGACGATAGACTCTACTTTCAAGGAATATATTGGATCTTTGCCCCCAGGTCCTGGTACAGAGCTTCAAAAACCCTTGGAATTTCCTGAATAATATGAGTCTTCATTATGCTCATGAAGTGAGTCATTATAGGTCCCTAGCTAGCTTCAGGATGGAGGCTGCTCACCAGAAGGACCAAGGATATGACAAGAGGGGTGGAATTTTCCATCGCTGAACCTGTAGGGAAGGGATGGGTGCTACAGATTGACTGCAATGACATGGCCAATGAGTTCATCAATCATGCCTATGTAATAAGATCCCAACAAAGACTGGACACTGAGGCTCAGAGGAATGTCCTGGTGGATGGACATATTGATGTGCTGGGAAGGTGGGGCACCCTGACTCTGTAAGGAGAGAGCATGGAAGATCCACTCCTGGAACCCTCCAGACCTTGCCCTGTGTGACCTTTCATTTGGCTATTCCTGGGTGGTATCCTTTATAAGAAGACTGTGATTGTAAGCATCACACTTTGAGTTCTATGAGTTGTTCTAGCAAATTATTGAACTTATAAAAGCCTCCAAGTATGTAGCTGGTGAGTCAGAAATGTGAGTGGCCTGGGAATCCCACTTGCAACTGTTGCCTGAAGTGACAGCTATTTTGCAAAGGATGGGGAGTCTGATGCTTGCTAATTTCAGGTAATTAATGCCAGAATTGAATTGCACTTCACCCAACTGGGACTGAAATAGAATAAACTCTGACTAACCAAGCCTACTCAATGAGAAAAAAATAGTGAGATAATGCAATTAGCCTAGCTTGGATCTTCCTCCCACCCTGAACCAATCAACTGTCACATTTAGAAACATGGTGGCACCTATGACAACTGTGTGAATTTAGAGGGGAGAGGCAGTTCCTAGAAAACAGAAGCAGAGCAGACGATATCCTGGTGCTCTACTCCCACTATTTAGAGTTTCAATGACGGACCGAGTGTGTTATACATTTCATTTCTAAATCTAGTCAGATCTACAACTGGCTCTGCTGATGCTATAAATCTATGTAATTGTTCCCTGTGTCTGGAAAATACATGTAATGGTGAGCTTCTAAATGTTAAAACATTCAAAATGACAAATAAAACATTCTTCAGCAGCTAAAACATCTGATATTAAAATTGAGAGTTTATAAATAGTAACTTGATCTTATAAACAGCCAGCTTTAAATTCCATGTATCTCGAAAATTATTCAGTGTTTTTCTCAAGTGTATATTTTCTTTGGCCCAATAGATAAGTACCCTCCTAAACACAGCCCTGGAAATAAACGTAAGATCTAGGTTCTGGCATTACATGTGCAAAAGAGAGGAGTAGCTTCTCATGTGGTACAGTGGTAAGCTATGATATGGTTACAAAGAACTAAAGCCTTGTGGATCTAGCAGAATAAAGATGAACAGCCCGGGTGCGGTGGCTCAAGCCTGTAATCCCAGCACTTTCGGAGGCTGAAGTGGGTGGATCACTTGAGGTCAGGAGTTCGAGACCAGCCTGACCAACACGGTGAAACCTCATCTCTACTAAAAATACAGAAATTAGCTGGGTGTGGTGGCGTGCACTTGTAATCCCAGCTAATCAGGAGGTTGAGGCAGGGGAATTGATTGAACCTGGGAGGCGGAGGTTGCAGTGAGCATGAGATCGCACCACTGCACTCCAGCCTAGGTGACACAGCGAGACTCTGTCTCAAAAAACAACAACACAAAAAAGATAAACTTGGACTATTTTCACTAGCAAGCACACACAAGAAAGAGAACACTTTTAGCCTCCTCTGCTACTGTCAGCTGAATTCTTCCCTCAGACCCTATAAATGTGTTCTATATCTTGCAGCAAACCAAGGCAGAACTGCAAGCATTAGCTCTTTGCCTCTATATTGTAATGACCGGGAAGTCATCTGTTTCTCTCAGAAGGCTGACTATACAGGAATTGAGAGTACAGACTGTCTTCTGTTTCATCCTCAGGACCAGCACAATGCCTAAAACATAGCAGGGGTAAAATAAATATTTTGTTACATTTGCATTATTTGATGATCTTTTTGCAAATGGCCTAAATTGTGTATTAGTTTGTTCGTGGGTAAAATGAAGATAATTATATTCCTGACTTCACTGGGTTGTTATGAGGATTAAATGCCCCATAAATGCTTCCGTGGTTGCTGTTGATAACTGAGGCCCGGTTGACAATCATTATTCACTGATTAGAAGCCATCAGACCCAAAGCAAGTTATTTATAGGTGGAGAAATCACAAGAGAATATTTCACAAGAGGTCCAGGTCACTGTTCTCAAAATAAGTAGCAAATGAAGTTTCACTGCTCAGCCATCCCCTTTCTTGTCTTCTCTGTAGTCATTACACCCTGGATGTTAGTAGTTTTTTAATACATCTCAGCTCATTTATACATTCATACTACTTGCTAATCATTTGTTTTTAACAAGTTATCAACATAATTTATTAGGAGTCAAATAAGGTAGCATCAGTTTACTTTATTCTACATGTTTAGAGACATTATTACACTTGTAATACTGCAATAAAGAAAGAATCCTGGTGCTTTTCTGTTTATTTTATTAAGTCACTTTGCTCCAGGTTGGCAAGTTGGCAAGTGTCATTTACCTTTTGAATACACCAACTCTGCTCCTTAAGACTTCATCTCCTCTATCCTGAGATAGTAATCAATAAAATAAACCTATCATTAGAAGCAAATTATAGTATATAGAGATTAATTGTATATCTAAGAAATAATTCTTTTTATAGAAATCAAGAATCATAGTATCCCCTTCATACCATAATTTTTTAAGAAATAATTTCAGCTTATAGTTTTAAACACATTCACACACTCCTTTTGGGATGAGCAAGTATACATAATGTTCCAGTAGGCAAATAAAATCTTTGTTTAACTACAGGTAAAAAAAAAAAAAAACTACTTCAGAATGAACCCCTCAGATGCCAGCAGAATAATTCTGGAAAATAGTGCTACTCAAGAGGATGGCGGATACAAGCCAAGAATTTATATTTAACCCCTGAATAAAGGAAATATTAGAAAGAAAAAAGTCATACTTATCAAATATATGTTTTAATTAGTAAAGGCAGTGCCATTCTTTTGAGTCGTTTTGGTGGAAGATGAGAGGAAAGCTCATTTTCTAGAATTTAAATGTATTGCATGGAATAAAGGTCTTTTACACTTACCAACTACCAAATGATTTTAACATAAAAATTGAAGTTATTTGAACAATTAATTGCATAATCAGAACTACTATTAAAGCCATTTTTAAAATGTTAAGAGTTTTTTTTAATCTCCTGCTAAAAGTACAATTCCTAATTACCCAGAGTGTATTTAAATGTGGAGTAAATTCTCTGCTACCATGAATGCACCAAAAGCTGTTTCATTGGAAATATGTTGGTAATGTCCCTACCCTTTCACATAGACAAAGGTGAATTTGTTACCTAAGACATACATTCCATCCTTAATTGAGATTATAATCCCAAAACTTTGCTCCAAACAAGTTGTTAGGAAATTATAAGCTAGGGTCTACTCACTTCTGACTCAAAGTAAAATGTTATAATGTACCATTGGTGATCACAACTCCAGCATCTCTCCACTGGTATGCTAAACATGCCATTTCTTGAGTTATTGCCCGTTAACATTCACTCTGTGATATATGAATATCACCAGGGAAACTCAGAACCCTTCAGCCACTTACGTATCACATTAATATCCCCAAGTGGTTTTATTAAAAGTCCCACCATTGCTCCCCGTTAGAAGTTGTCATGCAATGTTTTATTTTGATATTTTACTTCACTGATTTTCATCATAGTTTCCTAGCCAGGTTCCAGACACTATAACTGCATTCATAAACTTGCATATAATATGCATGTGAAATCATATTTCCTTCTTGGACACATTAGCAAAATTCCATCTGTCTGTTCCTTTTTAAGCTGTTAAGTTTTCCACATTGAAAACAGAATTGGGTTACAATTACCTACTATGACTTCTCATCAAAATAGCATTTTAAGTTGTATATAATATTGTTCCACATTATCCTTTCCCTGAGGACTTTAAAATACTTCACACACCCAAATATTTTTACAAGAAACCTAATAGCATATTAAAGTATTTTAAAGTTGAAAGGAACTTTAGAGATTTTTCTAATCTAACCCCTTCATTTTCTCAGATAACAAATCTCAGCTTTAAAAGACTGGAGAAGCAGGAGGGTACAGTGGGTGCGAATGTGAACTTAGGGGCCAGACCAGACTGACTGGATGCAAAGGCTGTTTCCACCACATCCTCACTGGGGGACTTGGGCAAGTTGTCTGTGGCACTTCTCTGTGCCTCTGTTTCTGTGTCTGTAAAATTGTATAAGACCAACTTTATAGAGTTGCTGTGAGAATTACTAATAAATGAGCATATATAACCATTACCATGGAAAAGGGTTTTTCCCCATTCAGTGGCCTTAAATATCCCTGACTAGTGACTCTGAAAGATGAAGCAGGGTCCTATAGCCCAGCTCCATTCTCTCCCTCTCTCCTAAGAGCGGCTGCCCACAGAATCTGCCCTTTCCTGCTCCTCTTAGATCATCCTTCATATGGAAAATCCCACTTTTGACCAGCATGGCCTGAGACTACATGCAGAAATCTGTGTAATACCAGGATTCAGCATTTGGAAGCCTGTTGTTGCCACATTGTCTGATATTAGCTTCATTCATCATAAAAGTGACATGTTGATTCCCCATCTGACCGAGAATCCCTCTCATTTGGTTCAGAACTCTGGCAACAACAAGTTATGCTATCCATCTAAGTGCCCATCAATGGAAGAATGGATAAAGAAAATGTGGTATATCTACACAATAGGATGCTATTCAGCCTTAAGAAAGAAGGAAATCCTGTCATTTGCAACAACATGGACGAACCTGGAGGACGTTATGCTAAGTGACATAAGCCAGGCACAGAAAGACAAATAGCCCATGTTTTCACTTACATGAGACAATCAAATTTATAGAAGCAAAGAGTAGAATGGAAGTTACTAGAGCCTGGGAGCCTGGGAAGAATGGGGAGATGTGGGTCAAAGGGTACAAAATTGCATTTAGACAGGAGAAACAAATGATAAGTATTTCAGGTGCTGGGTATGTTAATTGTTTGATTCCGTCATTCCACACTGTATACATATATCATTACATCACTTTGTACCTCATAAGAATATGTATAATTATAATTTGACAATAAAAATAAATAACAAAAAGAATTCTGGTAAAGAAAGCCATTAGTGAAGCCCTTAAAACAGCAATGTAAGGCACAGAGCTCACATAGTCGCTGGCACAGGGTAAGCACTCAATAGACATTAGCGATGACCTTCCTTATTTTGTCTTGCTACAAGTCACCTATCACACTAACAACAAAATTAATATTACAACCCAAATCTCTTATGTACAGCATTAAGAGGTCATCTGTGAACAGAAAAAGGAGCTTGGATTAGTTAATACCTTAAGACCATATTGTGTCTACCTCACAGCTCTTCAAGCCAACTTACCAGATAGTCACTATGCCCCAGTGTGAGGAAAATGTTCACTGTAAATATTCACTAAACATTGTTCGGGACCTACAATTCAATTAACAGTAATTTATATTCCTAAAGAGAGTGTTTAAATCATATCTTTATACCTTGAGACATTAAAATATAAAAGCAAAATCTCAATTTAGCCACACCTTTTATTTCTCAGATAAATAAATTGCATTTCTTTGATTTGAGTGTTCAGTTCCTAAATGCTATATTTCTTATCTTTGTAACTTTTGAGGCTATAATCTTCCATTTTAATTTGCTATTTTCCATTTCCTACAATTACCCACCTATATATGCACTCTGTACAGACCATACACAGAGCAGATTATTTTTATTTCTGGTAGATTCCTTTTTTACAATTTCATAGTTTTATATAAATGTCTATGAATGTTTGTGTAGTAGAACTTTCGATAATAAATTTGAAGTCTCTTTTGTGCAGCTACAGGGTCTTTTTCACTGGTCTCACGTATCACACATTATACCACATCAGTCCCCTACTCTGAACCCCCCAATGTCTTCCCATCACGCATAAAGTTAAACCCTTTAAAGTCTGCTGTGGACTGGTTCTGCCTCTCTCTCTGACCTTGATTCCAGGGAGCTCTCCCTGTCACTCAAGGCCTTCTAGCTGCAGTTCGCCAACCTGCTACGCCTGGGACATGCCGAGGGCACTCTCGTCTCAGGCACTTGCCGTTCCCTCTGCCAGAAACTTTGTCCCCTCAGGGATTTGCTTGTCTCTCTCTCTCTCACTTCACTTGGGTCTCCACTCCAATGCCATCTCCTCAGAGACCTTTCCTGACCATCTTCTTTAAAACATCCTCACCCTCCCATTTTTCCACCCTCTATCACTTTGTTTCATTTTCTTCACAGCCCTTATCATTACTTGATAAAATATATGTCTGCATTTCTTTATTATCTGTCCCCCTACTAAAATGTAAGGCCCATGAAACCAGAGATTTGATTTACTTTATGCCTGTATCTCAGGCACCTGGTACATACAAATGGATTGAATTAATAAATAACAGAAGAATCCTTGCATGCCAAGAACTTAGCACAGTCCCTGGCTTATAGTGAGTACCAAGTAAGTGGTGGTTGAATAAATGAAAAAATAATAATTTGTTCAACAAAATATATAGCTAATGTGCCCTCAGAACAGAAAGTGTGACCTGCCTGCCTTTAGACATCTCAGAAACTAATGGGAGAGATAATTGCATGCGCTAAAAATTAAATAACTATATGTAGTACTGTGTGAAGCTGCATGTAATCAGTTCTAAACAATTGTGTGTAAATTAATGATACAGCTAATAGGTGTGTGTCTGCTTAGGAAGCAGAGTTTGATGCAGGCTGGAGTTCTCGGGTCAGCTTTATTGAGCAGTGGGATTTGAGAAGGATCTTAAAGAACTTGGGAGTTTGGGATAGGTGATATGATAGCTAATTCTGTATCAACTTAAGCACACTTAAGATGATACAGATACCTGGTGAAACATTATTTCTGGGTGTGTTTGTGAGAGTGTTTCTTGAAAAATGTCGTGTTTGAATCTGTTGACTGAGTAAAGAAGATCTGCCCTCATCAATACGGGCGGCAACGTCCAATCCATTGAGGGCCCAGATAGAACAGAAAGGCAGAGGAAGGATGAATTCACTGTGTCTGCTTGAGCTGGAACAACTGTCTTCTCCTACCCTCAGACATTGGAACTGCTGGTTTTCAGGTCTTCAGGCTTGGGCTAGAACTACACCACTGGCTTTGTTGGGCTTGCTGACAGCTACTCTGAGACTTCTTGGCATCTATAATTGTGTGAGCCAACGTGTCATAATAAATATTTTTCTATATGTCTGCATATATCCTATTGCTTCTGTTTCTCCGGAGAATCCTGTCTAATACAGTTAAAGGGGAGAAGTTACAGAGGAGAACATCACAAGTGGGAAGGAAGGAGCCAGCCTGTGACGGCATTGAATTTTCTTAAAAATGTATTTGTTCTAGTGATGTTTTTCCAATTTAAATATATAATATTCCTGGCAATGTTGAGGTTCTTATAATCAGAAATTTAGAATTATTAAATAAAAATTAGAAGTTAATTGTTATAACTCTCACCTCTACTCATGTGTTAACATGCTTTATTTTTGCTTAAAGTAATTTAATCAAAAGTGAGTATAAATATTTGTAAATTATACCTATTTAGAAAACTTAAAGACTTTCAGAAGAAAAGCCTTTAATGTATTACAGATACAGGAAAGGTGCTAGAATATCTTAATAGTGTAACCATATCAATAAAACACATGATTTTTATGACTAAGATAAGTCATTGAAGATACTTTTAGACACACTCACTGTCTCAGATTTAATGTGTACTTGAATATTAAGTGGTTTAAATGGTATTCTCATTTACTTAGACTTCAACATAGTAAAGCTGAAGAATTAATATAGTACTCACAGTTCAATAGGCTATGCTTTAGTGGGATTCAGGACAGAATACAATTACAAAGCATTCATACCTTATATGCCATATCTTCATATTGAGCTTTTGATGCTATTTGACATTATTTACCAAGTAAGAATCAACACAATATTGGCAGATCACAGCACTTTTGCCAAGGGAGTGAGTCAAGTTCTGAGCAGAGATGTTGTAGCAACAACATCTCCATGGTTGCATTTTAAAGATTATATCTGAGAAAGTGGAAATAATCCGAAAGAACTCTCATGGACTTCCATTATCACATCTACCCTCCTATATTAGTTTGCTCGGGCTGCCATAGCAAAGCACCACAGACTGGGTGGCTTAAACAACAGAAATTTATTCTTTCACAGTTCTACAGGTTACAAGTCCGAGATCAAGGTGTTGGAAGGGCTGTTTCTTCTGAGGCCTGTCTCCCTGGCATACAGATGGACATCTTGTCACTGTATGCCTGCATCTCTGGTGTCTGTTTTCTCCTCGTCTTATAAGGATATCCGTCACATTGAATAAGGGCCTCACACTTATGACCTCATTTTACCTTAATTGCTTCTTTAAAGTCCTCCAAATACAGTTCTGAGATATTAGGAGTGAAGACTTTAAAATAGGAATTTGAAGGAGGGGAACACGATTCAGCCCACAACACCGCCTAGGAGCATCTGTAACCCCAAAGGATACATCTATGTCCCTTCCACTGGGTAGATTCAGCCCCACACGAAGAACACACAGCTTTACTGAATTTCAGCTTCCACTCTTCCCTCAGGCAGAAAACCCTGAGCAGAACACAAACTACATATCTGTAGGCCGTGACCCAATCTGTACCCAAATACTATGTCTTCCCACCCATTGCTGTAAATGGGCACTACATCCTTCTTTCTATCCAGAGCTGATCCATCCATTTGTTCACTTGATCCTTGCTCATTCACCTTCTATATGCCACAGTGGCAATTCTCACCTCTCTCTGCTTCATCACCATTTTTTCCTCTCTAACTAACCACGCCCTTCAACATACAAACATGTTAGTTATCCCATCTTTAACCCCACCTTTCATCCCATCTTTGACCCCACTTCCCCTTCCCCAAGCTATTATCATCACCCTGTGCCCTTCACGGCAAACCCTCTAAAGCAATAGGCTAAAGTCACTGGTTCCAATTAGCTTCCTTGCATTCTCCCTCATGGCACTCTGACAACTAACTCTCTCCTCTCCATAAAAAACCATTCTCATAAAGGTCATCAAAGTCCTCCATGTTGCTAAATCTAAAAATCAAATTTTTGTCCTTATGTTACTTGATCCATCAGCAGAATTAATGGGTTGAATTAATCAGTTTGACACAATTGATCAAACTGATAACATTTGATATTCGTGTGTGTGTGTGTGCATGTGTGTGTGTGTCTGTGTGTGAAACTTGGCTTCCTCTTTTCCCTGATCTCTTAATGCTGACACTCCCTGAAGTTCAGTCCCTGAACTTCTTTTTTCCATCTACATTGATTCTTAGTGAGCTCAGTCTTACTGTTTTAAATCCATCTATACCCCAATACTCTCAAGCTTTCTCTCTCTCCTGAACTCTAAATGTGAATATCCAATTGTCTATTCGACATCCTTACTTGGATGCTGTGGTAGTCAGCATTCCAAGATGGTCCCGCAAGGTTTCTGGCTCTGGGAAATCCCTAAGATTGTAAATATGATGGGTCTCACTCCCGTAGTTGTTATGTTTCATTGTATTTAAGAAATGAAGATATTCATGTGGGCCTAGTCTAATCACATGAGCCCTTTAAAAATTGAGTTTTCTTCCACTGACCTCGGAAAAGAAAATCAGAGAGTTAAAGCAGGAGAGGAATTCAACAGGAGGGAAATTTTCCACTGGTGAAGATGGAGGGCGTCATGGAGCAAGAACCCAAAGTGACCTCCATTGCTGAGAGCAGCTCCCACCCTGACAGCCAGCAAGAAAACAGAGACCTCAGTCCTACAACCAAAAGAAACTCTATTCTCCCAACAACTTGGATGAGCCCAGAAATGGATCATTCCCTAAGGCCTCCAGACAAGAACTCAGCCTGCAGCATCTTGATTTCAGCTTTATGAAACCCTGAGCAGAGAATCCAGCTGTGCACTGCCTGGCTTCTGACCTAAAAAACTGAGTTCATAAGTGAATGTTGTTTTAAGCCACTACATTTCTGTTAATTTGTTGTACAGAAGAAAAAATCAACTGATACAAATGTGCAGCACCTTAAGCTCAACATTTCCAAAATTGAACTCTGTCTTTCCTTTAAATTTGTTTCACCTCCATCCTCCCCCCATAATCATTGATCAAGCCTCCTCCCTTGCAGTGGCTTGGGCCAAAACACTTATATTCATCCTTGCCTCCTCTCTTGTTCTTACAACTCACATTGAAACTGTCAGGAAATTCCATTGGCTGTGCTTTCAAACTATATCCAAGTCTTAATACTCCTTATCCCCTCCTCTGCTACCATTTCTGTCCAAGCCATCCAGCCAACATCATCATCTCTCACTTAGATTGTTGCAAGAGCCTTTTAGTTGCACTTTTCTGCTTCCATCCGAGTTCAGTATCTGTGCTTAACATAATGACCAAAGGATCCTTTTTAAAAAATTTTTTACAGACAGGGCCTCGCTCAGTCCTACAAGTGCAGGGATGCAGTTGTAGCTCACTGTAACCTTGAATTCCTGGGCTCACGTCATCCTCCTACCTCAGCTTTCCAAGTAGCTGGGCACAGGCATGCTGCCCCATGCCTGGCTAATTTTTTAATTTTTTTTAGAGACAGCATCTTGCTTTGTTGCCCACACTGGTCTCAAAACCCTGGTCTCAAGAGATACTTTTGTCTCAGCCTCCCAAAATGTTGGGATTACAGGCGTGAGCCACTGTGCCCAGCCTAAAGGAGCCTTTTGAAGACTGCAAGTCAGATTATATAACTCCTCTCTCAATAAAAGTACAAATATTATCACTATGCAATATATCCATGTAACAAAACTGCACGTGTACCCCTAAATCTATACAAATAAAAAGATGAGTAAGCATTTGTGCTGTCCTTGAATAGCTTCCAGTTCTGCTACCAGTATTCTGAAAAGGGGAAAACAAGAGAAGGGGCATCTAAACAACAATTCAAACAGAGCATTACCTTATTTCCAATGCTACAGTTCTTCTCTCATTCGACAATCTTATAAACAAAACTCAGTGAAAGAAAGTGTTACCCCTACATCCTCAAATTATCTGAGAACAATAAGAGGCCTAGATGTTCTCTGCTTTGAAATCTTTCATTGGAAATTTTTATGATTGAAAAGAAAAGAAAGAAAAAAAGGAAAAGAAAAGAAAAGGAGGGAGGAAGGAAGGAAGGAAGGAAGGAAGGAAGAAAAAAAAAGGAATTGGTTTCCTATAGCTCTGTCATTTCCCAGCCATAGGAGGCTGGCAGGTCAGTTTGCCTCTGAGGCTCAATTTCTCATCTGAGATGGGAGTTAGTCCTTCTTGCCCTGCCTGACTCACAGCGCTACCATAAGAATTAACTGAGATTCTCACATTTGGGGAAAATTTTATAACTACAGAGCTCTGTACACATGTATACTCTTATTATTAATAAAACTATTCAGCAGGCTTGCTGTTGACTGAGTGGCCTCTCAGCACCTCATCACTCCTCCCACAGCCAATGAACTTCCCCCTGTGAAATTACAAAGGTTTCTAGTCCTGCAGGTGACCCCTAGGCTTGGGTGCTCATTGCTTACCGGGTGACAAAGTAATGGAGAGCAAGTTATGGCTCATAAATTTTCAGAGCTGTCTTTTTCCTGCAGAATCTGAAACTAAGATGGAAAGGGGAATTGGGGCTATTTGTTAAATACCGTTATTCCTTTGTCTGACACAGGAATCCCACTGCTCAAATGTCAGCTAGTACAATTGGCCCTCCATGTGCATGGGTTCTGCATCTGTGGATTCAGCCAACTACAGATTCAACCAACCACAGTTCAAAGATTCTGGGGGGTTGGGGGCGGGGAGATACTGATTATTGTGTTTGTACTGAACGTGCACAGATTTTTTTTCTTGTCTTTATTCCCTAAACAATACAATATAACAACTATTTACATACCATTTCCGTTGTATTAGGTATTGCAAGTAATCTAGAGATGATCTAAAGTACATGGGAGAATGAATAATCAATCAATCTGATTGATTCCAGGAACCCCTCAGATACCAAACTCATAAATAAGATGGCCTAGTATTTGCACAGGTTCTATGCAAATCCTATTTATTGCACAGGTTCTATGCAAATACTGTGCCATCTTATAAAAGGGAAGGGACTTGAGCATCCACAGAGTTTGGTATCTGAGGGATTCTTGGAATCAATCTCCCCTGGGTACCAAGGGATGACTGTATTATCGACACATTTCAATTTCTGCCTTCCTTTATTTCAACACCCATGGCCTTGCTGAGAAAAAAAATTACAAAGCCACCCTAAGAAAGAGCAGAGCAATTGTCAGGAGGAAACGTGTCACTATAAGAATGTGCATAGGTGCCTGAGTGACTCTGACAGCACTTTGCTCAGGTATGAGAAGTTTCTGGCCAGTTGCACTCTCCAGGACACTGCCATACATGCATGATTTCAATAGCATCATAGTAGACAGAGAGGAGAAAATGAAGCCCATGAAGAAAAGTCTGAATTCCTAAGCCGGAGAAATCTCAGGAGAAAAGTCTATTTAATAGTATCCAGGCAGCAGTAATTTTTATTCTAATAGCTCACACCACACCACAGAGGGATTTAAAA
This sequence comes from Homo sapiens, assembly GCF_000001405.40. Classification (NCBI taxonomy): domain Eukaryota; kingdom Metazoa; phylum Chordata; class Mammalia; order Primates; family Hominidae; genus Homo; species Homo sapiens. Next base: position 173,673,904 of record NC_000004.12, on the reverse strand, counting down.
CTGAAGAAAGCTTCATAAATCTTTTCACAAGGCTAACAATTCTCTTGCATACCCTACAACTAAGCTTCACCCATAATAGGTGTTTTGTGTAGACTTTTTGTGGGGGACATCTTCCCTTTTCCCCAAGATCACCGCTCCACCTTGCAGACCCTAATCTCCACACTGAGAGGCCAACATGCGTGGAATACATCACCTTTTGACTTCTAGTTGGCTTCAGCCAGTAGAAGCCCAGCAGGAGAGCAGAAGGAAGCAAAGTGAGATCCATGAGGTCCACCTCAAGTAGAAAATTTCACACCTGACTATACCCAAAGGATTATAAATCATGCTGCTATAAAGACACATGCACACATATGTGTATTGCGGCACTATTCACAATAGCAAAGACTTGGAACCAACCCAAATGTCCAACAATGATAGACTGGATTAAGAAAATGTGGCACATATACACCATGGAATACTATGCAGCCATAAAAAATGATGAGTTCATGTCCTTTGTAGGGACATGGATGAAGCTGGAAACCATCATTCTCAGCAAACTATCACAAGGACAAAAAACCAAACACCGCATGTTCTCACTCATAGGTGGGAATTGAACAATGAGAACACATGGACACAGGAAGGGGAACATCACACACCGGGGACTGTTGTGGGGTGGAGGGAGGGGGGAGGGATAGCATTAGGAGATATACCTAATGCTAAATGACGAGTTAATGGGTGCAGCACACCAACATGGCACATGTATACATATGTAACAAACCTGCCCATTGTGCACATGTATCCTAAAACTTAAAGTATCATAATAAAAATAAAACGAAAAAAAAAGAAAATTTCACACCTGACCTCGTATGATGGGTTGCAATCAAAATACAATCAAAACTTTGTTTCATGTACAAAAGAATACAAACATTATATAAAATTACTTTCAGGTTATGTGTATAAAATGAAACATAAGTGAATTTCATGTTTAGACTTGGTTCCCATTCCCAAGATATTTTATTATGTATATGCAAATATTCCAAAATTCAAAAAAAAAAATCCAAAGTCTGAAACACTCTGGTCCCAAGCATTTCAGATAAGAGATGCTCAATCTGTGTATCCTTTGAGTCTCTGCTTAAATGTCTTTTCTTCAGACCTGTTTTCCTCGACCTGTAGTGTTTCTCATGGCGTCTTGTTTTTCTTTTCTACTACTTATTGCAGCTTCTTGTTAAATACATACGTTTGTTTTCACATTTGGTGCCTGCTGCCTGCTAGATCTTAAACTTCATGAGGGCAACAATGTTCATTGCCTTCTGCACTACCATCCGTAGCAAGGCACCTGATCCATGGTGGATACCCAATAAACATGTGTTGAGTGAATGGCTGAGTTAAACAAATAGGTAAGAGGGAGAATGTCTAATTCCTCAGCTAGCTCCTGTTCAGCTTGGTCACCCCAGCATATGCCTAGATTGTCATCCTCCCTGTTCAGTGCCTATCCAAGTTCTATTATTTCATAGCAGCTCAAGCCCTCATTGCTGTTCCCCTCCATCTTCTCCTATGAGTGAGTGCTGCTTTCCCAAAATAGCGTATACATTTCTAGAATATAGAGCCTATGACTTAGATTTCCTTTGTATCCTCCGCAGTGCACTTTAAATAAGAAAATCCAGGACTGAGTCTGTCCTAAACCAAGGGTTCTCTAAGATGGCATGGGATAGGGCTGACAGAAGAGCTTGAAATAACTTAACAGAAATCATCTCTTACTCATACCTCATTTCAATTACAAATCCTTGACTGCATATAACCAAATACCATTTAGGCCATTACCTTATTCCAGATCATTCAGCCATGTAATTCTTTATCGAAACAGAGATACCTCTCACCCATGTAAAACTCTTTAACAAGGTTTGAAGTTGACTCTAGTATTTTGGACCGTTTGCAGTAGATGTAACTGCCAGAGTTCCATGGCCAAGGTGACCATTTCTCCAACTTTAAATTTTGTCCTTTCTCCTTTTTTATCCTCCAGTCAGGAAATTTTAGCTGCAGTTTTCAGATAAACCTAGTCTGCAGTAAAGCAGCACAGAAGTCTGACAACATTATATTCCCAGGTAGGTTCAATTATTCCAACGTAACTATATATTGTATTGACTTTTTGGAAAACCTCTTTTATTTGCATATCCTCCCCCACCTCACTGAAAAATATACAAGCAATTTATAAAATGTTAATTATCAAGATAATTTTGAAGTTGATGACAATGTGTGAAATAAAGTTGGTATCTAAATAGGAAGATAACTTTCTAAAATAGACACTTGAAACATACTGAGAAAAAATATATTGAGTTTATTGCGTTCTTTTGTGTTTCCTCTTCTTTCTGTTTCCCATAAATGTGCACTTTTGGAAGAGAAATTTATTGTTTTATCTGCCTTTGATATGACCTGGCTTCTTTCAGAAGCTTCTAGATAAGATGACCAGACTTGAGCACACCTTTGGTTTTGCCTGGCCTGATTTGTAACAGCCATAAAAAGCATTTAACTTCTTGCATATTTATCAAAGTTAGATGCTGTTTAAATATTCCTTGGCTGGCCAGGTGTGGTAGCTCTTGCCAGTAGCCCCAGCTACTTGAGAGCCTGGGGTGGGAGGATCGCTTCAGCCCACAAGTTTGAGTTCAGCCCAGGCAACACACCAAGACTTCTCTAAAATAAATAAATAATTTAAAAAAAAATTTAAGATAGGTATAAAATCTTCAAATGCGTGCAAGTTAAGCAACATACTTCTAAGAAACCCAAGTCAAATAAGAAATCACAAAGAAAATTTTAATATATAAATGTATAATATTTAATATATAAATGTATAATATTTAATATATAAATGTATAATATATACAAATATTTATATTTGTATAAATTTATATATTTTTTATATATATCCCTTGGAATAAATTTTTTCTTACCCAAAATCAGAGAGTGCCAAATAAATGCTCAGAAAACAAAAGGTAAAATTGTGTCCAGCCTAAGAAAAAATAAATTTTACAGGTATTTTTGCTTTCTAAAAAGAAATAGCAGAATGTATGTAAGCATGGTGACAAAGAATACAGAGGGCTCTCCCATTTAAAATTTGACATGTTTAAACTCAACACTCTTGGTGAACTTCCGGAAAGCTCTACCAGTCATAATTAACCACTAATGAAATTTTACTGGGAAAAACATTACAAGTTATATTCGAAATCTCTTTAAGTCTGAGGAAGCAAATTCCATGAGAATGATTACCTTCCTATATAAGAGACTGCCACAGAAAGGCTCAGAAACAAATCTGTCCCCAACAGCTAATAATTCACCTATTATCAAACCCTCCAGAATCATAATACCTCAGTCCCAACTGTGAGTCTGCGAATATGTGACAAAAAAATTGATGAATTGCCGTGACCAGCCGAATTGGTAATGTGTCTTGGGATTTGGGAACTCCACCCACCCTATGTGTGAGAAGAATTTATGAAGATAACATGACATGCTAATATATTTTTACAGCTTAAACAAGATATTCCATGCCATTTTTGGGCACCACACATAGTTTATCAATATAACTCTTAAGACATTTATCCCCTTTTGTGTCTTTGTTGTTGCACGTAATATAATTATCAGAAAGGTTAAGACTAACTGACCAATGGAAGCACTTGATCCCTGGGCGGAAGCTCTTTTTTAGAACTTTCTTTCTCGATTTTTATTCTGTTCATTGTTTCATTTTCATTTCGTTGTTTTTGTTGCCAGTATCTTAATACAATCTTTAGCCATAGCAAAAGCACGAAAAGAACTTTGAATGGCTTAGGTGTGACTTCTGAACAACTTATTCTTCTATCTCATTTTAAATGGGTCAGGTGGTAGGTCAGATCCTAAAGCAGTGTTGCCTAGAAGTCAGATATCTTTCAGAAAGAAATCAAGGTCACCACCTTTAAAGGATAAAGCTATTAGTTTGTAGGTAGAAAAGACATCAGTGCTGTCCTCTCCTCTAGCTGTTGGTGAATATCAGATCTACTTCTGAAAACCGTTCTGATTCTCTAATACAGTTTGTATAGTTAATTACAGAAAAGTACTTCTGGCTTCTCTGGTTAATCATATTTAATGTATAAAAAATTATTCTGCTATATTGGGTAGTCAAGAAAATTCCTGTAAATTGAAATAGTTAATATGTACCAGGCCTGTCACTGCCTGTGATAAAAAAAAGAACAAGTAGCTAACGTTTGGCAAGTCATTAGAGTGTCTGCCTCGCACAGGGTGCTTTTCCTGAATTAGCTCACTTAGTCCTTATGCAACCCTAAGAGATAGAGACTATTATGATGCCCATTTTCTAAATGAGGAAACAGGCTTCTGGAGTTTGCAAATTTTTCCCAAGGTCAAAAAACTAGTAAGTGGAAAAGCTGGAACTTGAACTTGAGTCCATCCTCCTCCAAAACCCACACTCTTAAGAGTTACACTTAAGTTTTTGCTAAATTCCTATGTACTTCGTGTTGCTTGTATGTATTTGAAACATTTCAAATATCAAGCATGCACTGGAATAACATTTAACTGTATCACAAAATCCTTTAAAATTAGACAAATTAGGATGAGAGACTTCAACAATTACGAACAGTGTGATCTTGGGAAATTTACTCAAACCCGTTGAGCTGCAGTCTTCTCATTTGTGTAAGGCTCGCAGGATTATTAAAGGACAAGTGACAGCACGTATGTCAGGTATATAATAAGAACCCAACAAATGGTAGTGCTTTTCCCTTTAAATCATTTAAAACTTTTCAATATTTCAGATAATCAACTTCAAAGAAACTGCCTTGCACATATTCTCCCTCTTACTAGCTTGCATATGGCAGGTAATTTCATAAGTATCTATTAAAGAAAACCACAATGAGATACCATCTCACACCAGTTAGAATGGCAATCATTAAAAAGTCAGGAAACAACAGGTGCTGGAGAGGATGTGGAGAAATAGGAACACTTTTACACTGTGGGCGAGAATGTAAACTAGTTCAACCATTGTGGAAGTTGGTGTGGCAATTCCTCAGGGATCTAGAACTAGAAATACCGTTTGACCCAGCCATCCCATTACTGGGTATATACCCAAAGGATTATAAATCATGCTGCTATAAAGGCACATGCACACATATGTTTATAGTGGCACTATTCACAATAGCAAAGACTTGGAACCAACCTAAATGTCCAACAACGATTGACTGGATTAAGAAAATGTGGCACATATACACCATGGAATACTATGCAGCCATAAAAAATGATGAGTTCATGTCCTTTGTAGGGACATGAATGAAACTGGAAACCATCATTCTCAGAAAACTATTGCAAGGACAAAAAACCAAACACCGCATGTTCTAACTCATAGGTGGGAATTGAACAATGAGAACACATGGACACAGGAAGGGGAACATCACACACCGGGGACTGTTGTGGGGTGGGGGGAGTGAGGAGTGATAGCATTAGGAGACATACCTAAAGCTAAATGACGAGTTAATGGGTGCAGCACACCAACATGGCACAGGTATACATATGTAACAAACCTGCATGTTGTGCACATGTACCCTAAAACTTAAAGTATAATAATAATTAAAAAAAGAAAAAGAAAATGGAACATTATCAGTAAGCCTCAATAGTAAAATATTACCTGATTGAAACTTTAGTAAGAACTTTCTTTTATTGCACTTTGTCAATAGGAATGTGTACCTACGATGGCACTAAATCAGATGAAGATTATCCTCTTAGGTCAGAGCCTATTACACTCTGAAATTAAAACTTAAAATAACCAACATACAACAACCATCTGCAGAACTACTCACCTTAAAAAAGATTTGCAAATACACTGCAGGAGAAATATGTCTCCTGCATGATGGAGAAAGTGTCTCTTAAATCCTCAACAGTAAGTCTAAAGCTGTGACATCCAGCACAGTAGCCACTAGCTGCATTGACTACTGAGTATTTGAAGTGTAGCCAGTCCAAACTGAGATATGCTCTAAGAGTAAAATAAACACTGGATTTTGAAGACTTAGTATAAAAAAAGATATGAAATTCTCATTAATAATTTTGTATTGACTACAGGTTAAAATAATTATATTTTGGATACACTACATAACATATATTAATGTATATTCACATATTATTAATATTAACTCCACCTGTCCCTTTTTATTTTTTAATGTGGCTAGCTAGAAGCTTTAATGATGACTCACATTAGAGTTTTTACCAAATCTAATCAAGGTAACTAAAAAATAAACTAATTATTTAGTGAAGAAAATGTAAGAGGCAAGTAAGTAATGGAGTTTAGGAAGGAGATTAAAAATTATTCAGTACATATTCAGTACTGTTTAGAGAGCGTAAACTCTGACTTTCAATGGCCAACATTGTTTACTGAAATAGAAATAATTATACAGTAAAGAAAAATTAATCACTGTGTTAGTTTGCTAGGGCTGCAATAACAAAACACCACAGACTAAGTAGCTTAAACAACAGAAATTTACTGTCTCCCAGTTCTGGAGGCTTGAAGCCCAAGATCAAGGTGTTGGCAGGGTTGTCTCTTTGAGGCCTCTTTCCTTGGTTTGCAGATAGCCTCCTTCTTACTGTGTCCTCACATGGTCTTTCCGCTGTGTGCGCAAATGTTTGTTTCCTAATCTGGTCTTATTAAGACACCAGTATTACTGAATTAGGTTCTCACTCTTATGACCTCATTTTACCTTAATTACCTCTTTAAAGGCCCTATCTGCAAATAGAGTCACATTCTGAGATACAGGGGGTAGGACTTCAACCTTTGAATTTTGGGGGAGACACAATTCAGCCCATAACCATAATTCAGTTGCAGCAGTTTAAAAGGAAATCCATTAAGAACATTGTTTCTTTGTTCTGATTATAGAAACTTTCTAATTGATTAATGGACCTCCAAAGTGTATCCATCAAGTGGAAGGGAAAACCTTCCACAAATAATCTATATTTGTAATCCTCTTTACAGAAGTAATTTGAAATCCCATTTTATAAGTCAACTTCTGTGGGCCTTGATTAAACGAATTTGTTTCCCAGAGCTTAACTCACCTGGTCGGGTATGGAGATAATACTTTTCTCTTAGGACCAATGAAGTCATTTTGGGCATTATTGTACAGTAATGTGCCAACCAGGACTACTGACCCATGATTCACACAACCTTTGAGCTTTGACTTGTTCCCATAACAAAGTACTTCTTATGACTTATTGCAAGTGTTTCTAAATAGCTGGTCAGGTTGATGTAGCACAACAGTCAAGAGTACAAACAGGCCTTAAAATGACATGGACCTGAGTTCAAATCCCTGCTTCGCTAGTTCTTTTGTAATACAGGTAAGGTTGTTTAACCTCTCCTCTCTCCAAACCTCAATTTTCTCATTTGTTGTATAAGGAAAAGGATACACTTAATCAGAGGGAAGTGATGAGGGTAAAATACCTTGACTTAATTAACTTACTTCTCCAACAAATTGAACAACTAGTCTCCTCCATCTTTCTGCAGTTCGTCACCTGACAGCGGGGCAGTCAAAGATGATAAGCCTTTTCGATTCTGCAGCTTCCTTTAGGAACTGTGCACCTAGACACTATATTTGGTTTATGTCTCAGTAGCCTATATCCATTAAGAAAAATTAGAGTTATAATTGGAAGAAAAGTAGAAAAAAAAAAGCCTATTTTTGGGAGTGAGATCTTTTAAAATGGTACAATCATCTAACAAAAGAGAGGACAGAAAATACTGTCTCATGAGTCCCATCAATAGATACTTTGGGTGTAGGGAAAAAAAGAAGACTCAAAGAAGAGGCAGATTATTAGAAACTTCTGGTCATCCACATCCAAAGTGAATTCCAAGCTTGGCTCGGTTCAATAAGAGTCCAGAGGCAGATATGGGGAAAATTGACCCAAAAATAATTCACTCAGGAAGAAATCAGGGCTATAAGATGACTTCAGCTTTCCTGACATGTTAAGAAAATGTTTGCAAACCAAATCTGAAAAAAGTAAAAGCAAATGTCTAGGTTAAAGTGAGAAGTAACAGGTTTTACGCCCTCCAGTTCCCTTTGTTGTTCCTTTGGATCCAAGGAGATTTTGAAAAAGTCTTATCACCAAAACAAGCAATCAGGCATGAAAAATGTTTATTGACTAATATTTCAGGAGGATTAAAGTAACATCCGGTTAGGATTGCATACTTATTTTAATCTTTCTTGAAAAGACTTCAATTTCAAAAAAGGAACAATTCACTTGCTTTAGAAACTGAGAACATTAACTGATATATAATTATTTAACTTTGTGGCATTTTATAAAAATATACCCAACTGTGTAAATGTTGATTCTTAAATCAATGGTTAAAAAAACCAATTAAAGTGTTCTAGATTTATATATTTTTTCCATGAGAATATTTCTTATTGGTACTGCTTATGAGTTTAAAGTCATCTAAATAGCATTTTATGAAATTTTCAAAAAACCAACCATGCCGTTCTGACCCAGACTTCAAAGAAACTATTTGTCTTGGTTTGTCACACATGACATCGCCTCACCACCTGAGTGAGAAATCTTGAAATTACTATAAAATAGTAATACATTGGGCCTCTGACCTCACTAAAATTTTTAAAGCTGTGTTCAAAATAGAGATTTCAGCTGCCTAGGATGTGCCTATTTGTGATGGCCATTGAATATAGAAATACTTTCACTGGGGTTCACAGTTTAATTAGTTTGTGCTTACATCTTCATGGTTTTTTATGTGTTAAGTGAAATTTTATGACTATTTATAAGACACATTCAGGGATGAGATACTTTTAACTTCTTTAGATGACAGATAGATGATAGATAGATTGATATAATATATGATTGATATGACATGATAAATTGATAAATTATAAGCTCTCAGTAGATATTAAAAGTAAAGGGGGCCACTTTGGTCAAACACAAGAAGGGCACTGTTGAAAATAGAACAGAGAACCTTGAGAATTATGGCGCATGTGCTAGCTAAATATTCTAGCAAGCTCTGACATCTGCTTGTGCACCTGAAAGAAACTAGTCATTCCAATTTCCAGTACACAAAAGTGTTTGTGTAATTAAAATGACTTCTTCACGTTTTTAAAAATGGCAGCTTTTTTTTTCCATTTTGCGTAAGTCAAATGACCCCCTCAGACTTGATTTACCCAAACCACAATTGAGCTGTGTGAGTAGTTATCCACTGATTTTGATTGATACAGAATCAGTCAAGATTTAAAAGAAAAAAGGATAAAAATAAGCTAGGGGTTTAACCTTCCACCTTTGTTAGGTAGACACGGCCTTTGAGGTACAATGTTTTCAGAAGCATTCTCAGTAAACATCTAAATGTCTGGAAGCATTTTAGATCTCTACCAGGATCCATGCAATGTATAGAGCTACTTGATTTCCATTAAAATCATTCTATCATCATCTGAGTTGTGCAGTAAGTACCTTCAACAAGGTGCATAGTAATATTTCAAAGGCTTATTTTCAGGAAATAAAACACACTTTTTGTCAGAGCTTAGAAAAACTGACAAATCTGTGTAAATATAGTTCCTCTGGTGCAGGTTCACATAAATAGCAACAAAGCAAAGCCCAAAATTATACAATTAAAGAAGGAGGCTATTTTATAATCAAATAACTGCAGATATTTATTATGCACCTACCATGCATCATGCTGCTCTTTGCGGAGAAAGTTAGATATGGAAAACAGTGATAGAAAAGGATAATCAGTTGCTCAAAATATACTTTGTTCTGGAAGTCTTCTGTGATTATCCATTCCCATGTGAGGTAATAAACATTACTGATATAAGTACCAGACGCTGCTAAGCACTGGGGGTACAAAATAAATAAGATGTAGTCTGTGCCACAGATGAGATCACAGCCTAATGGGAGGGAGACCACAGTGCTTACCATTTAATATGCTAAGCTATATGGCAGTATGATAATGAAAAATAAGAGGTTAAAAAAAAGTCATATAATCACTTGAGTTTGAAAGTAAAAACGAGTTTAAGACCAGCGTCAGCAGTTTTGGAGTGACAGAGCTTCATTCCAGCTCCATCACCCACGTGGAGCTCAATCTCTCTAACCCTAGAAGGGTGTGTGCCTACCACAGCTGGTGTGTTTCCAATCTCTAGTTTTCAGCAATGGAACGCCCAGATATGTGTTTCCCTTTATGAAAACAATTTTGTTTTGCAAGTTGCTTTTGACTGTTTTAAATGTCTCCTTTCAACTGAAAGTGTTCCATCTCTTAAATCTAAAATATCACATCCAACTCTCCCAGTCACAACTCTTTCTCTTTATGGATTCCCCACTCCCTACTGCCATTGCCACCTAAAGTCACCCTCAAAGAAACCCTCATTTTCTTCCTCCCATTTCTCTTCTGTCTGGCCCAAGTCTCATGGTCTATCACTTGAAATGTTCTCTTGTCAAGGACTATTGTCCTTGACAATAAAGGAAAAAAAAACACTGGATCAATCTTACCATTTCTGTGCTCCACTTTTGCACCTACATTCTGTGAAGAGAATCATATAGCCATGGAATCTGGCACCAAAAAGAAATATTGCTTTCGGCTTTGGTCAAGCCTTTGGGGCTGATCAGCAGTCCTTTTGTGTGTCCTTAAGCTGCTACTTTTGCCTTTACCACAACAAGCTTTACTATTTACTATTTACATTTACAATTCCTCAGACTCCTTTTTCAAATCCCATTTTACTCATTCACACCAGATTATCTTACCCTCTTCTTAACATATAAAACACAGGTTTTTTAGTGTATTCATTCATTTTCACACTGCTATAAAGAACGACCTGAGACTGGATAATTTATAAACAAAAGAAGTTTAATTGACTCACAGTTCTGCATGGCTGGGGAGGCCTCAGGAAACTTACAATCATGATGGAAAGTAAAGGGGAAGCAACACCTTCTTCACAAGGCAGCAGGAGAGAGAGAGAGAGAGAGAAGGGGAACTGCTAAACACCTTTAAAACTATCAGATCTCATGAAACTCCCTCACTATCACAAGTACAGCATATGGGAAACTGACTCCATGATCCAATCACCTCCCAACAGTTCCCTCCCTTAACATGTGGGGATTACAATTCAAGATGTGATTTTGGGGAGGGATACAGAGCCAAACCATATTATTCTACCCTGGAGCCTCCCAAATCTCATGTCCTTTTCACATTTCAAAACCAGTCATGCCTTCCCAACAGTCCTTCTAAGTTTTAACTTATTCCAGCATTAACTCACAAATCAAAGTCCAAAGTCTCATCTGAGACAAGGCAAATCCCTTCTGCCTGCGAGCCTGTAAAATCAAAAGCAAGTTAGTTACTTCCAAGACACAATGAAGGTACAGGCATTAGGTAAATGTTTCCAATCCAAATGGGAGAAATTGGCCAAAGCAAAGGGGCCACAGGTCCCATGCAAGTCCGAAACCTGGCTGAAGAGTCATTAAATTTTAAAGATGCAAAATGTCCTTTGACTCCATGTCTCACATCCAGGACATGCCGATGTAAGGGGAGGGCTCCTGAGGCCTCAGACAGCTTTGCCCCAGTGATTCTGCAGGGTCCAGCTTCTGCAGCTTCCTTCACAGGCTGCCATGAGTACCCATGGATTTTCCAGGAGCATGCGGCAAGCTGTCAGCAAATCTATCTTTCTGGGGTCTGGAGGGAAGTGGCCCTCTACTCACAGCTCCAATAGGCAGTGCCCCAGTGGGAACTCTGTGTGGAGGCTCCAACCCTAAATTTCCCCTCTGCATTGCCTTAGTAGATGTTCTCCATGAGAGCTCTGCCCCTGCAACAGACTTCTGCCTGGAAATCTAGGTGTTTTCATACATCCTCTGAAATCTAAACAGAGGCTCCCAAAGCTAAAGTTTTGTCTTCTGTGCATCTGCAGACCCAACACCACATGGAAGCCACCAAGAGTTGGGGCTTACACCCTCTGAAGCAACAGCCTGAGCTGTACCTTGGCACCTTTCAGCCACGTCTGGAGCTAGAGTGGCTGGGATGCAGGGCACCAAGTCCCAGGGCTGCACAGAGCAGTGGGGCTCTGGGCCCGGCCCATGAAACCGTGTTTCCCTCCTAGGCCTCTGGCCCTTGATGGGAGGGGCTGCCATGAAGATCTCTGACATGCCCTGGAGACATTTTTCCCATTGTTTTGGCTATTAACGTTTGGCTCTTGGTTATTTATGAAAATTTCTGCAGCTGGTTTGAATCTCTCCCCAGAAAATGGGTTTCTCTTTTCCACCACATGATCAAGCTACAAGTTTTCCAAACCTTTATGCTCTGCTTCCCTTTTAAACATAAGTTCCAATTTCAAATCATCTCTTTGTGAATGCATATAACTGAAAACCTTCAGAATGAGCTAGGTCACATCTTGAATATTTTGCTGCTTAGAAATTTCTTCTGCCAGATACCCTAAATTACCTCTCTCGAGTTCAGAGTTCTGCAGGTTTCTAGGGCATGGGCAAAATGCCACCAGTTTCTTCACTAAAGCATAGCAAGAGTGACCTTTGCTCCAGTTTCCAATATGTTCCTTATCTCCACCTGAGACCACCTGGACTTCATTGTCCATATCACTATCAACATTTTGGTAAAACCATTCAACAAGTCTCTAGGAAGTTCCAAATTTTCCCACATCTTCTTGTCTTCTGAGTCCTCCAAACTATTTCAACCTCTGCCTGTTACCCATTTCCAAAGTCACTTCCACATTTTCAGGTTATCTTTATGACAGTGCCCCACTCCTGGTACTAATTCTCTGTATTAGTCCATTTTTACACTGCTATAAAGAATGACCTGAAACTGTGTAATTTACAAACAAAAGAGGTTTAATTGACTCACAGTTCCCCATTACTGGGGAACTGTGGAAACTTCAAATCAGAAGGCACAGGGAAAGCTAGCACCTTCTTCACAAGGTGGCAGAAGGGGTTGGAGGAGGGAACTGCCAAACACTTTTAAAACCATTAAATCTCATGAAAACTCCCTCACTATCATTAGAACAGCATGGGGAAAGCTGCCTCCATGATCCAATCACCTCCCTCCCTCCAGGTCCCTCCCTTGATGGGATTACAATTCAAGATGAGATTTGGGTAGAGACAAACAGCTAAACATTATTTAGGAAGGATATTCTTAAAGGCCTGTCTTCTTATGTAAATAGGAAAGTATATCTGCATGCCTACACACATTTAATCTCAGATAATGGGATATCCAGCCTCCTGCTCAAAGTGGTCCTGCAACCCACATCTCTCACTTACATAGGGTCTCTGCTTCACCGACCAGCTCTTCTTTCTCCTACACTTCAGCCTCTTCCACTGTTTCAGATTTTACAATCTGCGTATAATATATTTGAGCCTTGTACAATGAGCTTGTACAATTGAGCCTTGTGCAACGAGCTTGTACAATTTTTCAAGATAATCTTTTAAAACTAACATCTCATGTGAGAAAACAAGCCATTCTCTACTCTATTCCTCTCTAGAACAATCTCCCTAGCTTTCTCTGACACTCACATCCCAGTTTCTTAAGAGTGGGCTTTACCCCCTAATTCTTCAATCACTATAATTTGTTTCTGTCTCTGCTGCTCTACAAAACTGTTCATAATGAGACCAAATGGCTGTTCAGGCTGTTCCCAAATTGTTACAGCTAATGGGTAATTATCCACCTTAACTTACTTGATTGTTCTGTGACATTTGACACTACAGACAACTTTCTCCATTTTTTTTTCAATGCTGGATTTTAAAGCATCAAATCTTTCTTTGTTTTCTTCTACCTAAATAGACACTTTGGGGGATGAGGGGGTCATCTATTTCACTGACTCCCTAAATGCTTAAGTTCCCCTACAGGCTCTTCTATCTCAGGCCTCAATGATTCTGCATATGAATCCAGTGTTACTTCTTCAGGGTTTGAATTTCCAGCTGTACAATAACATTGCCTGCATCAATATTTACAGCTCTGATCTCACTCTAAATCCAAGACCACAAATGCACCTCACTAAAGGACAATTTCATATGAACGTCCCATAAGCACCTCAAATTCTGAATGTTAAAACTCAACTCAAATTCATAGGATAATATTAGAGATGTAATATATAGTTACAAAACCAAAATGCCTCTGGAAATATTCTATAATCTTTTCCCTTATCTTTAGAGGGTGCTTTTAGGCACTATTATTCCATACAGCACAAAAAAAAACCATTCATCTGAAGTTGAGGAAATCCTGCAATTTATCTATCTTTCTATGTGTATATTTTTTCATAGAAACATGTCTGGTATTAAGTGTACCAGAAATTAACAAGGAATATTTCTTAGTTCTGAGATTTGAGATAATATTTAACTTTCATTTATGACCTTACTGTATTGATCTAATTTTTATAATGAGCTTGTATAATTTTTCAAGACAATTTTTAAAAACTAATACCATTTCCTTCTATATTCCCATTTGCAAAATGACATCAAATGGTACTTCCAACTAGTTCCTCAACAAGAACTTCAGATGTCATCTTTGACTTGTTATCGTGCCCACCCCTCACTTCTTTTCCATGTCTAAAGCCAAGAAGTCATCCTCTCCCACCTTAACTTCTGCAATGGCTTCCTGCCTCCAATTTCATCCCCCTCCATTTCACTCTGCATTACTATCATCAGACATTTCTCTCTAAAATCCTGGCTTGCCTTTTGCTGCTTAAAATCAGTGGCTTTCAATAGCATTCAGAATAAAAGCTAAACTACTTGACATGTCCTAAAATGGTCTATATGATTTGGCAGGTAGGTGCTTTTGTAAACCAGCTGTGGGGCTTCTAAAATTCATCATTCTAGTAATCCCTCCTTTGCCATCTGAACCCAATCATAAGGTAAGCTTTATGTCTGCATGCAGTAAGAGATTATAGAACGTCCTTCTAGCTTGCTTCCTCCACCCCTTACTTACAAAGTTTTTATAGATTTTGGTTTTACATTTAAGTCATTAGTCCACCATAAGTTAATTTTTGTATGTGGCATAAGGAAGGGGTCCAGTTTCAATCTTCTGCATATGGCTAGCCAGTTCTCCCAGCACCATTTATTGAATAGGGAATCCTTTCCTTATTGCTTGTTTTTGTCAGGTTTGTCGAAGATCAGATCGTTGTAGGTGTGTGGACTTATTTATGAGTTCCACATTCTGTTCCGTTGGTCTATAACACCATTTCCTCTTATTCCGCAAATTTTAACATTTGTTTTCTTGGATTCCTGAAATTAAATTGAAAAGGCCAGTTTCTAAAGTCAGTCAAGACCCATCAATCTATTTGTATTTTGATGTACATACCCTAAGTTAAAAAAAATACCAAAGTGTTTCAAAGTACAAACCAGTTACAACTTCAGGCAGTCATTAAGGTAAATAAAATGCATTGTTTTGACTAAAGAAAAAAAAGCATTGTTTTTGTAAATGTTTATGGAGTACTCCAAAAGCAGGGTTTTCTTATCATCTTCTGAGTAAACAAAGTCTAGAATTCCACAGACCAGAGTAAAATAAAAACAAAATTAAAAATTGACCACACACACCTGCCTGCTTAGCTGTAACATATGTGATTAATATCATGATTTAGTACCTAGAGAGTGATGAGGCATCCAAGGAGGTTAGTAACCCTAAATTTGTGGCAGTTTTATTTTTTAAGATTTTTTAAGATAAAATAATGTTCTAAGGAATAAATACTATTCTAAATAATAATAAAAGTGCCTCTATAGGCATGTTCTCCCCCTTTAATAGTATAAATTCATTTTGCACCAAGACTAATTAAATAATGAGCTAGTCATGTCAATGAGATATACCATATGTCTATGAACACGACTTCTAGAATTAGTAAAATGAAATAATCAGAAATCACCATATCTTTAACATTATATCTTGACATTCCTGGCCAGACTCCCCTAAACTCTGTCAAATCACATTTTAACTCAAAGGCATGCAAAAAGGACTGCAGTAACCTTGTGGGGATGGTGAATTTTTAAATGTTTGGCCTCTGATTCTAGTGGACACGGAGTGATGGAAAATCTATCTGGGTAATTTGAGATCATTATATTAGCAAAGGGTGGGAAATTACATGTAGCAAAATGTGAGAATCTAAATGCATAAAGTATAATTATTGTGAATAACAACATTACACTTGCTATGACCATTTCCATTATTTAATAAAATACACTTTGACAACTTTGCATTAGAAAACCTGAAAGAATAATTCACTCAGAAAAATCTACTAAAATAACCAATCATATAAAAATAGTACTTTTAATCTCACATGGAGATTTTCTTTTAGATAATCCAGATTAGTTCACAAACATTCAGCTTGGATTTTTCAATCAGAATAGAGGAAATGATTTCGCTGTTTAGGGTAAAGACAATGAAAAAAATGATATTTACTACTTTGAAATGTACTGAATGTAATAACATTCCTAAGTTAACATCACCAAAAGCTACATGACCAACTCATAATGGTGACACCTCAACAGGGCAGTCAGCATTTATCTTTATTCCTTTCAGTTTAATGTAACAAAGGTGCCTACTAATAAGTTGCCTACTCAAGTTTACAGATCAACATAAGGAGGAATAAAGCCTAGAAACTATGTAATAGCAAGCAATACCTTCTTGTCCACATTTTATCACAGAAATTATTCCTTTTTGATAGTGAACTGAATAGTTCATGTTTTAATCAACTAAAAAGAACTGTGCTAGATACCAATAAGGCCTAATTACTGTATATTTGGTTTGGAAATAATGAGTTCGTGTACAACAGAGATAGATTCCGTGACAGAGTTGAGAGCTCACAAAGAATGCAAGAAGCGATGAAGTGTGAGATAGAGTGACCAGAACAGGCTAAAAGGTGATGATATATGATGAAGTGCAGCTGAGAATCCCAAGAAATGATAGAGTGAGATAGGCAGTGGTCATGTGGAACCGGACATCTTTCCATAATGTAAAAGACTTTATCTGAGGGATTATTCAAATGACCAGGAGGAAACAAAAACTCATTGGGCTGAATTTGAATACATGAGTATTATTAAGAGCAACACTTGCCAACTAAATCTTTAAACATAGTATAGATGTTCTGTCTTCATATTATCTCCTGTTTTCATATAACTGTAGTGATATGTTGTCAGCAAGCAGTCCTCAAACACTGTAATCTGCCATAATTTAACTTCCATATATGGTTGGTTTTGACACTCAATAATCCCATAATTCAACTTTAACAAATCCTGGACTGCAAGGATTACTAATGTGTTCCTAAATCTGTGTTGGTTTGTTTGAAAGACAAGATAGCAGGCTCCATGAGGATATCTGAAGCACTCAGTACAGGATCTAGCACATGGTAGGCTACCAAAAAATATTGAGTGGGTGGATGAATAAATGGATAAATAGATGAAGTCAACAAAAATCTAAGACCAGAGGCAAAGCTAAGACCACACCATAATTCTCCACATTATAATTGAAGGCCAGAACAATCGAAAAGTAAAAGCCACTTGATGGGTTTTCCATTTTGGGCGCTGCTCATGATTTCACTAGACTACAGGCTGCTTAAGATGCAGAGACTTCATCCTAGTCACTGTGGTACTGTTAGCATCCAGGATAGGGCCTACGTATAAAATGAGTTAAGAATATCCAGTGATCTATCCAAACTCATATTTGTAATAATGTTAAATCAGAGGATTTCATCTAATACATATTTCTTCATTGACATGCAATGATTTTTAACTGTTTTTTTTCTTTCCTTGATATCTTAATCAACTGCTGGACAAAACTGGTCATATTAACTCAGTGTAGGTTCAAATTCAAGTCCTACACCTATATGAATACATCTATTTCATTCTGAAGTAAGTATAGCCTGTAAAGGGATAATTCCTAGTCCACCTTTGATCTTCCTTCTTACCTTAGCCTTTCACATCATTCTCCATGCCAGCCTATCTAAGGTATCTTTGGTCCAAGTCAACATTGATTTAACATCCATGGGAAGTGAGAGTTAATGTGGCATTAATTATCTATTCAAATATGCATTCCTTGAAATCAAACAATTCAAACTGTAATAGTAGTAGGACCTTCTATTAAAAATACAAACTTTTGGCAGGGCTCAGGGGCTCACTCCTGTAAACCCAGCACTTTTGGAGGCAGAGGCAGGGGGTCACTTGAGCCCAGGAGCTAAAGACCAGCCTGGGCAACAGAAGGAGAATCCTCTTTTCAACAGATAAAAAATTAGCCAAGCCTGGTGCTGCATGCCTGTAGTTCCAACTACTCAGGAGGCTAAGGCTGGAAGATCTCTTGAGCTCAGAAATTCGAGGTTGCAGTGAGCTATGATAGCACCACTGCACTCCAGCCTGGGTGACAGAGAAAGACCCGGTCTTTAAAAGAAAAAAAAAAAAAAAACTTTTGGGTAATATGCAAATTTGCTTCTTTTTCAATTTGTCTGAATTTAGGTAGTCATAGCTTTTCTATCTGATCAATTTTGTGTTTATCATTTTCAGATGCCTTACCACCACCACCACCCCTTTGCTGCAATAAAAAGAATCCTAGTGTCACTCCTTTGCTTCTATCTACTTTGTATCTCTTTCTTTAAGAAAATCTTACCTTAAAAAAGCTTCTGGCTATTTCTATTTATTCTCCACTTACACTATAAGTAGCAAAGGGGCTGTATTTTTTCAAAAACTACCTAGAAGTAGGTAATGTTCGGAAAGCATATCCATGCTTTCTGCTAATGAAAGGAGGATGGAGGAGAGAGTGTTATCAAGGAAAAACTTTTAACTACTTTCTAAAGGTGATCAAAAAATAAAAGAATTATTTTTTGGCATAACTCATCCCAGCACCATAAAACACAGGTGCTTTGGAAGAAAAGTGAATGGATAGGCCAGAGTTCAAGGGCCAGTAAGGAAATCCACAGTGGACTAGGTGCAGAGTAAAATTCATCAAGGATGTGGTTTTCAAAGAGGCCATATCAGTTTAATTCATTCAAATTTTACACTTTGCAATGGAAGAGTGAACTGTCATGAAGATATCCTTTGGCTTGTTCACAGGATGAACAAGAAAAGAGGTGGGAAATGCAGAAAATCCCCTTGTACCTACTTTCTTATGCCATGCATCATGCTGTGCAGGGCACAACAATCACTGAGACCAGGATGGAGATGTCACACCACCTCTTGGAATGCTCCATGGCTGACAATATCTGTGAAATCTGCCTTTGGGTTGAAAAAAAGAAGAGGGAAAGAGAAAATCCCCACTGTCCACAAAGGAGAGTCGGCAAGCCCTGCCTAAATACGAGAGAAAGCAAGAATTTAAAATTTACAAGTCAAGGCTGGGCGTGGTGGCTCACACCTGTAATCCTAGCACTTTGGGAGGCCAAGACAGGTGGATCACCTGAGGTCAGGAGTTCAAGATCAGCCTGGCCAACATGGCGTAACCCCATCTCTACTAAAAATACAAAAATTAGCTGGGTGTGGTGGCATGCGCCTGTAATCCCAGCTACTCAGGAGACTGAGGCAGGAGAATTACTTGAACCCAGGAGGTGGAGGTTGCAGTGAGCCGAGATCTAACCACTGCACTCCAGCCTGGGCAACAGAGCAAAACTCCATCTCAAAAACAAAAACAAAAACAAAAAAAAATGTACAACTCACGCCAGCCACCTTCATCATTTACAAAAGACTGTTTTTGAATTTAAGAATAAGAACTAAGAATAAGAATAAGAGTTCATCATCTTTTGAGAATCTAGGAAGCAAATGGTTTCTTTCGGAGGTGATCCTGGGAAGCACCTGTGCGGAAGGAGGGAAGTGAAGCAGAAAACAAGGCAGGTCACAGCTTTGGGCAAGTGGAGCTCCATTCTCACTCAGGAACTTGGGGGACAATGCGGACTATGCCTCAGAGATACCCCAGTCAAGGGATATTTACCTTCCAACTCTATCAGCTGTTGACTGAAACCTACTCCCAAGAGACCTTAATGCCACAGCACTTCCAGCATGCCCTACCCACAAGCCAAAAGCATGCCATGGCCAGAGAAACCTTAGGCAGATTCTCACATGCCTGCTGCAGGAAGCAGTAGAGTGGATACACATGGGGACCTGAGTGCCAAGCCAGTATGGGGAGGACAGCAACTGTGTTTGCTACACCTCATTCCCCTACGACTAGATTCCAAATGGCAATGCATTTATGATCTGACCAAACCATGAGTGAAGGGAGAAAAACTATGCTTGTATTTAAGAGAATGCTGGCATTACTCTGAAAGAAAGCATCCCTACTCCAAACTTCTTGGACTTTAGAAATAACTAGAATTTAGAAATAACGAAGAAATAACCTAGAAATTAATATTGTATTAGTCCAGAGAAGAAGTTGGCAGTGTGGGGCCCTCTGGCCAAATCCAACCTGGTGTTTCCATACGGCCCCCAAGCTAAGACTGGTGTCTACATTTTTAAATGGCTGGGAAAAATCAAAAGAAGCCTATTTCATGACACATGAAATTTATATGATATTCAAATTTCATTGTCCCTAAATATTTATTGGAACTCAGCCATGCTCATCTGTTTACATAATGTCGATGACTGTGCTGTCAATGGCAGAGTTGAGTAGTCACGACAGGGACCAGCTGGCCTCCAAGACCTAAAAGTTTTATTTTCTGGCTCTTTACAAAAAGTTTGCCAACCTGTAATTTAAAACCAGGTTCACTCTTAGAGAATCTTCATGATATTAGTGTGTGGTACAGGGGAGGGCAGGATGGTCTCTTCCTTTATTTAAGAAGAATCCAAACTGCTGATTAGGCTCCATCAGGCAGCTCTCTGAACTTCTTGGATAAGGAGGACTCTCTGTTATTCTTCCCCTCCCCTAAATTCATCGAGCAGAATAAATATTGATAATCCCCCAACAATGCTGGTGTAAAACTATGGTTTCTTATTGGCAAAGTGTGTACTAAGAAATTAGATTCTTATATATAGTAATGAAAATGGAATAAACTTTTAGAGTTAGAATCACTGTTTTCTCCAATACAAAATATAGCACTTTCCAAACACCTGCTTTTTTTTTTTGAGTGTTTCCAGACATAAATTCACACTGGAAACTAATGTTTGAACTCTTGAAAAGGACCTAATTTTGAGAAAGGAGATCAAAAGATAACATACCAAAAGATAATACTGGGGAAAAAAGAGAGAAGTGTGTGGCAACAGGTGAGCGAGAGCTTAATTAATCATATTAATCATCAGGTGTCAAGCTGATAAATTACTGAAGTCATAAAGATTTATATAAACCATTGGACACAGAGCTCAAGAATTAAAACTGGTAACTTTAATCAGATCCCAAAGGAATCCAGTGTGCCAAGTTTAATCCAACTCCTAGCCACGTGGTTGCTGGTTCAGTCATGGAAGGGGGGACTAGATATGTAAACCAGGTCTTTTCCAAGGAGTGCTACAGTGATCTATGGGCGTGCTTATAAATCAGCATTTCATTCCTCAGAATGCCAAAATCCATTCCCGAGGCCTTGTTTACAGGAGAACATCAGTATTCTCTGGGCATGCACGTCAGTTGGAAGGGAACTTTAAATAGCACAAGAGAAAAGTGTTCTTGGTAGTAACACAGCCTGTGATAAACTTTGAAGTCCAAATGAGAAGTGGAAGTGAATGTTAAACGTATGCCTTGTCCTAAAACTTCATGAAAAATGAAATGTACAAGAAAAGCTGGATCCCTGCCATGACACCCATTACAGTGTAGATGAAGGCTCTGACCTTTCATGTTATACTTACTGTGTTTTTGACACATTTAGTCAATTAAAACGGGTGAAGTGTAATTTGTTTTTCTTAAGTTTAATACAGCATGTCAATAGAAGTTAACCAAAATTTATAGTTTGAACACTAAAGCTGCCACATGCACTTAAACAAATGAACACAATTTATCATGGTTGAAATAAAGAGAACATCACGGGCATTTGACTTTATACTTCACATAAGCACGTTGCCAAATATAGGAAAGCAAGCTCCTCTCACACTTCCAATGAAAAAGACATTTTAGTTCACATTAAATATTGGTGTGAAAACCCTGGCAGGTATCCAGTCCTAAGGAGTGTTAACGTTGGCACTTCCACTGTGTACTTTTACTATAAATTGTTGTAGCATTTATTTGACATGGAATACCCAAAGGATTGATGAGCAAAGAACGGAAGATTTTTTTTATTGTGCCAGATTACCTTTTTCAGACATCCATACTAAGCGTTTACATCTTCAAAGTCTAAACAAGTAGCCACCTGTATTCAATCCGTGCAAGATATTTTTCATGAAACTATAGCTTACCTTTTTATAAACCCATAAAAGCACACATTTTCCATTTTATTAGTCAGCAAAGCAGTGGTGGATTTAATAATAAAACGTATAAAATGCAGTTTCTTTATAGACAGTTTAACTTTTTGCTTGTTTAAAATGCCACAAGGACAACCACATTTATATCAGTTTCTGTCTCTATCACACAAAAACAAGTGGCTACAATTTTGTATATCTTTACATAAAAAAATTCACCTAGTGCTCCTCAGACACTTTATATATAGCAGCCAATAGACCCCTAAAGATTTAACAGAAACATGCCACTAGGGGAGAAATTATCTACTATAATCCAATACATGCATCTGAATTCGGCATCTATAATGTGTATGTCAATTATATACAGCTACAGTAATCACACACTTCAAATTTCTAAGAGCATTTAAAGCAAGTTTGTGTCTTTTCAAATATTAAATAAAATGTTTCCAATTGTGACCACAAAATTAACATATACTACCTACATAAAAATATGAGTGGGGTATTTAAATAGATTTTTAAAGCTGAGAGTGGCATAACTATACCAAGTGGTAATATTTTGAAATTAACATGATGACGTAGAAGGAAGTCTTGTAACATTTCAGATTTTAAATAGGAGAAATATGTAATACATACATTAATAATTCTACTGGAAAATTATCTGGTCTGACAAGCACCTAACCCAAGACTTTTACACTCGTGAACACTGGTTTTAATGTTTAACAGAATCAATTATATTAACATAATCAATTGTTTTAATGTTTGACTTAATCAAAGGTGATGTCTTTACACTGATTCCATTAGTCTAAATTTTATAATAAAATTATTTCTCTTAATCTTTAGCTCTATTCACTCATTTCAAACTTACAGTACCAGAACCTTAGCCTCCTGAAACAGGCAATTTGCCCTGCATAGACCCATATAGATCTGGAAGAGTTTGCAATCAACCCTTATCTAACTTAACTACCAAGAAATTTAAGATTAAAAGTAACCCAAGTATTTTTAAACACTACAAAACTAGATATATGTTTACTGTGAAACAATGGAATGCTTGGTAAACTCTTGTCTGGTGGTAGAAGTTTACCAACTTTTTAGTCATCTGCTGGGTTTAAACAATAATAAAACATCCAGTTAATTCAGCTACTTAAATTTTGAAGTTGCTTCTGAAATTAAAACGGTAAGTTAGATGGTTATTTTATATCATAAAAAAAAGTTGTACATAGAATTTTTATTTCTCAAACAGTTCATGTGTCCTGTTACAAGCAAATTTATAGTGTAATATGTATCAGTAAAATACTAAAAATGTCATGGATGTTTTGTTATTGTTAGTGTTGTTGTTTTTTGTTTGTTGTTTGTTTTCATTTTTGAGACGGAGTCTCACTCTGTCCCCTGGGCTGGAGTGCAGTGGCTTGATCTCGGCTCACTGCAACGTCCGCCTCCTGGATTCAAGCGCTTCTCCTGCCTCAGCCTTCCAAGTAGCTGGGATTACAGGCTCCCGCCACTAAGCCTGGCTAAATTTGGATTTTTAGTAGAGATGGGGTTTCACCATGTTGGCCAGGCTGGTCTCAAACTCCTGACCTTGTGATTTGCCCGCCTCGGCCTCCCAACGTGCTGGGATTATAGGCGTGAGCCACCGCGCCAGGCCAACATCATGGATGTTTATGCTACTTTTAAATAGCCTAAAAATACTAAATACATATACATACAAACTCAGTGACTATAAAGTGAAAAATTAAAGTAGTATTGAGATTATTACTAAACATATGGTATTAGTAGGAATTAAAAGTGATTACGCCTGTTGCTGATGGAGATGTGGGAAAGTATATACCCATGCGTTGCTGGAGGGGGTGGAAATTGTTTCAGCCTTTTGGGGAAGCAATCTGGCAATACCTATTAAGATTTAAAATGCATATACCCTTCAAATCACATCCCCATTACTGGGAACTGATTCCAGGGAAATAAAGCACTGGTATATAGGAATGGTTCATGCAGTATTTAGGGCAGAGGGAAAAAAATGGGGTGAAAGAGTGAATGTCCATTAATGGGTAAAAAATTTGAATAAGTTGCGGTAAAACCATACCATTCAATAACATGCAGAAATTACATAATTTTAACCTATAATCAATGATTTAAAAAATGTTCACAATATACTGTAAAGTAACAAAGGTAAGAGATAGAGAAATATATAATATGATCCCATTTCTCTAAACCAACTACTACCAAAATGTTTAAATGTATATACAGATGATGTATATATATATACATATGTGTGTGTGTGTGTGTGTGTGTGTGTGTGTGTGTGTGTGTGTGTGTATTTTTTTTAAATGGAGTCTCACTCTGTTGCCCAGGCTAGAGTGCAGTGGCAGGATCCCTCACTGCAACCTCCACATCCTGGATTCAAGCAATTCTCCTTTCTCAGCCTCCCAAGTAGCTGGGATTACAGGCATTCACCACCATGCCCAGCTAATTTATGTATTTTTAGTAGAGACAGGGTTTCACCATGTTGGCCAGGCTGGTGTTGAACTATTGACCTCAAATGATCCGACCACCTAGGCCAATGTATATTTATTCAATTAAACATTAAAACTGTTATTCAGTTGGCAAGAGAAAAGATAAAAAGAGAAAATTGCATTTTTTCGAAGTTTGCTCAATGAAAACGGGATAACTATATGGTAATCTTTAGATAAAATCTTTGGAAATGTTTTTGTGTATGTTTCTTTAAAAGTATGTGAAATACAGTCATTGAAACAATGATATTTTTCTGAATGTGCAGAAATTTCAGATATTTTCTCTTTTATTAGCTAATTTGTGTTTGTTTGTTTGTTTGTTTGTTTTGAGACGGAGTCTCGCTCTTTCGCCCAGGCTGGAGTGCAGTGGCGCGACCTTGGCTTACTGCAAGCTCTGCCTCCTGGGTTCACACCATTCTCCTGCCTCAGCCTCCCGAGTAGCTGGGACTACAGGCACCCGCCACCATGCCCAGCTAATTTTTTGTATTTTTAGTAGAGACGGGGTTTCACCGTGTTAGCCAGGATGGTCTCGATCCCCTGACCTCGTGATCCGCCTGCCTCGGCCTCCCAAAGTGCTGGGATTACAGGCCTGAGCCACAGCGCCTGGCCTATTGGCTAATTTTTTAAAACAATAATTATTATGTATAAAATATACAATGAAAGGACTATCCTTCATAAGGGGAAAAAACCTAAACCTAAAGGAAATATTATACTAGCTTAAATTTTTCTCAATAAAAATTCTCACTGTAGTGGAAATTTTGAAGCATTTAAATCCAAGAAAACATCCTAGTTTTAAAAGAAGGAAAAATGGGCAGCATCACGAGAAAAGGGATGTGGCATACACCAACAGTTGGCCGCACCGTTCATTCTTCCCCTCCTCCATTATAAGATTATCTCTGAGTTTTATCTGAACAAATGGGTACTGAGAATAAATACTACGTTTTCCAGTTTCCATTACAGGTAGGAATGCAGAGATGTAGGATATGCCTAAGTTCTGCCATGCTGGCCGCAAGCAGAGGGGATGTGTGCAGCCTTAAGGCCTGGAGTATGACAGTATCAGGCCATCTGCTACCACACAAACCAGAGCAACCCCCAGGGACTGTGATAGAGCAACAGAAGATAACAGAGCTGTCATATCATACCCCTAGTTTGTTTATGCCTGGATTATTATGAGAGACAAATATACTTTTACCTTTTTAAAGTCACTGTCATTTTATTATTTTGTTAGCAGATTACATACTCCACAAACACAGAGTTTGGTACCTAGAAATGGGGCTACCTTAACAAAATTTAAAATATGGGATATTAATTTAGTGAGCAGCTGGTGATCAGAAAGGAAACAGATATTGCAGGCTGAAAAGTTGGTGATTCCTATGCCATGGTACATTATTTGATTAACTGTAGGTGATAATACCTTACCATACAAATCACATGTGGATAGATTCTATGGGTGAGACAGATTAGGAAAAAAATCAGTATATCAGTGAGAGCTGGTTTTTCCTTGCCAAGTTTAGCAGTCCTACAAGACAGGTTAATTCAAGAGAATTATAAGATTTAGCTGAATATAAGACTGGCCCAAACCTCTCAAGAACATCACTGAGACAATGGGGCCGGTCTAATGGCAAAGATCAGATAAAAATATGGCCTTTTGCCTTCTCACCCCAGCCTGCTGTTTCAGATGACCTAAAGATAGCCATAACCAAAAAATTAGCTAACTTAATTGAGGAAAAGAAAGTATAGATAGACAAAATCATAAATGACAAAGGAGAAATAACCACTTAAAGAGATGAAACTTTGAAAATCATGAGTCCAGGCCAGGTGCAGTGGCTCACACCTGTAATCCCAGTATTTTGGGAGGCCAAGGCAGGAGGTTTGCTCGAGGTCAGAAGTTTGAGACCAGCCTGGCCAACATGGCAAAAACTCGTCCCTACTAAAAATACAAAAATTAGCCAGGCACATTGCACACCTGTAGTTCCAGCTACTGGGGAGGCTGAGGCACAAGAATCAATTGAACCTAGGAGGCAGAGGATGCAGTGAGCCAAGATCGCCACTGCACTCCAGCCTGGGTGACAGAGCGAGACCCTGTCTCAAAAAAAAAAAAATGGAAAAGAAAAGAAAATTATGAATCTATATTGCATAATTCTATGAAAATAAATTGAAAATCCCACAAAGAGAGTTTCATAGGAAAGTACGTTTTTCAAAATTGACCCCATCTTTCCAGATAATAATTAGTTTTCTATTGCTGCCATACAAAGTTACCATAAATGTAATGTCTTAAAACACCACAAATGCATTATTTTTCAGTTCTATAGGTTAGACATTTAATATGCATCTGACTAAACTAAAATCAAGGTGTCTGCAAACTGCTTTCCTTTCTGGAGGTTCTGGAGGAGAATATTCCCTGCTCATCTGTGTTGTTGGCAGAAATCATTTCCTTATGGCTGTCCCTGTTTTCTTCTTGAGTGTCAGCTGAGAGTCATGTCAGCCTCTGAAGTCCATTCCTATTCCTTGGCTGGTGGCCCTTCCTCCACTTCCAAAGCCAACAACAACGGGTGCAGGTCAATTCCCTCTCACGTTGCATCCCTCTCACCCAGAAGGGAAAAGCTGCCTACTTTTAAGTACTCATATGATTAGATAGTTCAGAATAATCTCATCTCAAGGTCCCTACCCTTAGTCACATCTGCAAAGTCCCCTTTGCCATGTAACTTAACATACAGGTTCTGAGGACTAGGGCATGGGTATCTGGGGGGGCCTTTATTCTCCAACCACACACCCCAACACAAATTTCCTAAAGCAAAACCAAGCAAAAAAAACTTGTATCAATTTTCACAGGAGAAAAGGAGAACTAACCCTCAAATTTTACTATGTGCAGATGATTTTAAGGGGGTATTTAGCCAAAGCTTCAAAGATTAGATAATGGAATGCCACTTAAATTTTTCCAAGCATAGAAAAAGAAGACATTTCCAAAATTTTTTTTAACTTCTGTAAAAAATTTTACTACAAAGAAAATTTAGCATTGATATATAAACCTAATAAAATGGCAGTAAAAAAAATAGACAATCTCACTTCAAAATATTGAGGAAAGTTTACTGCAGCACTATTCACAATAGCCAAGATACAGAATCAACCTAGGTGTCCAACAACAAATGAATGAATAAAGAAAACATGGTACATATGCCCAGTGGAATACAACTCAGGCATAAAAAAGAATGAAATCCTGGCATTTGTGACAACATGGATGGAACTGGAGGACATTATGTTAAGTGAAATAAGCCAGAAACAGAAAGTTAACCACATGCTTTCACTCCTATGTGGAAGCTAAAAGAAGTTGATTTCATAGAAGTAAAATGGAACAGAGGAGACTAGAGGCTGGGAGGCTAGGGAAAAGGGAAGGGTGAAAAGAGATTTATTAAAGGTTACAAAATTATAGCTAGATGGGAGGAATAAATTTTGGTGTTCTATGGCAGTGTAGAATGACTATAATTAACACTAGTATACTATATAGTTTCAAATAGCTAGAAGGAGGATATTGAAAGTTCCCAATAGAAATGATAAATGTTTGAGATGACAGATGTGCTAATTATCCTGATCTGAGTCACTCTATATTATATATATTGAAACACGATTATGTACCCCAGAAACATGTACAATTATTATTTATCAATTTTAAAAATAAAATTTTAAAAGCAAATAAATAAAATTTTAATAAATAAAATCATAAACCAAAGAGTAGGAAACAGAATCCAACAGCACATTACAAAATTAGTATATCATGATTAAGTAGAGTTTATTACATGAATGCCAGAGTGGTTTGATAATAGAAAATCCTTTAGTATAAGCACAATTTTAAAAGATCTAAAGAAAAAATTATTTGACTATTGTCATAAACACTGAAAAAGCACTTTAATAAAATCCAAAAACCCATTTCTGATAAAATACTTTGTAAAACAGAAAACCAAGGATTTTTCTTTAAATTGATAAAAATATATTTTCTGCAACTCTAAATCTGGCATATTACTTACTAGGTAAACACTTCAGGCATTTCCAGTAAAAATTGAGAATGATGCAAGGATGTCTGCTATTCTGCCTTTCCTATTCAACACAGAGTTAAACTTATTAGCTAATGCAATGAAACAAGAGAAATGAATTAGAAAGAAAAGAATCGAAAAAGTTAAACTATCTTTATTTGCATATTGTATGAGACTTTACTTAGAACACCAAATCAATGATATTATTTCTATATAAGTAATAGCCATTCAGAAGATATAATGACAGAAAAAGAAGTTTAAACTATCAACAAAAATAAAAATAAAAGCATATCAAACAGTAATGTAAAAAATCTATATGAGGAATATTTCAAACATTCCTGAAAGACAAAAGCAGAGCTGAACAAATGGAAAGACCATGCTTGATGTTCATTTGGATGACACAACAAAAAAAAGATATCAAGTATCCTTCTAGTTCATATGTATGTAATGTAATTCTCCAAAAATATATATAAATGAGATTTTTTCTAAAGCTAGACAAGTTGGCTCTAAAATTCATATAGAAAAATATACAAAATTAACTGATAAGTTCCTTATAAAAAGGAGCCAAGAGGGAAGTGATTTGGTCTTCTCTACATCAAAACATTGAATATGAGTAAACAACTAGACAATTAAAACAGAATAGAAAGTTTAAAGGTAAATCCAGCTACATATAAAAATGTAAAATATAATTAATTGAAATAGTGTCTCACATCTGTGAGAACAGGATGGACTTTTTAATAAACAGTATTGTGATAACTGGAGATTCATTTGGAAGAAGACACAATTGCAGCCCACACCTCACACCAAACACCAGGATAAACCCTGTGTGAATCAGAAACCCAAAAAAGGAAAAAATGAATTATGTACACGTATTGAAATACCACTCTGTATCCCAGAAATGCATACATTATGTGTCAACTAAAGATAAAAGGGGGAATTTCTTAATATAAAAATTTAAAATATAAAAGAAATTAAGTCCTACAAGTTCTAGAATAAAATATCAGTGAATCCCTTTATAATCTGGGTGTGAGTAAAGCCTTTCCAAATAAAACTCAAAATCCAGGGGAGGAAAAAAAGAGTTTGGAGAAAAATAAGCTTTTACATGTAAAAAATAATAATAATAAGGTAAAAGGTAAATGCCAATTTGGGAGAAAACACTTGCAACACGTATCCGAGATAAAAAGTTAATCTCCCAAACATACAAGGAACTCTCAGGGCAAGAGGGCATGTACTTACGTTGCAAATGTTTACTGAGAAACTACTTAATGTAAAGACCTTCAGCTGAATCTGAGACAGTTATAATGCTACACAAGCACATTTCCATTCAAAGTAAGAAAATCCTACTGAAGGCTTCTCCACCTCAGTAGCATCCCGTTTGGCAGATAAGGGCTACTGCTATACTGATTTCCTGCACGTGCTTTTCATTTTGCTATTTGCCTCCTTGAAAATCCTGGAATGCAAAATAACCCACATAAAGGACTATAAAAATCCTTTGATATTCTAAAGTAAGAAAAATATTCCTATTCATCACAATATTTATTTGAAATTTTAGAAAATGTAGTTACTTAAGATATTTTTATTAAACTATCAGGTTCTATTTTTAAAAGTAACTTCCAGCGCTATCTTTTGTTTGCGGCCATTAATGCAGTCACTTATGTGTTTATTTAACTCTGATTCTAATTTGAAATCTCTAATATGACAGTAATTGCACTGTCTTCAATCAATATTTGGCTCTCCATTTTACCTCACTCATAGCTCTAACTACAGCTGCCTAAGAATTCTGAGCTTCCTGTCACCCATTATTTCCTACTCAAACATACAGAGTTTAAGTTTGTTCAATATTCTGTTTAATAATTTTGTTTAAACAAGACTATTTATTTGCACTGGAGCAAAGTTGTTGTGTTTTTTCTCCTAATACGTTATTCTTATTGTCATAAAGAGAGAGAACAAGAGTGGTTTATGTTTCCCATCTGACAAGAGAACTATACCCACTTTTGTATTATTTACACAATAATGATCAAGGCCCAGGGCATTTCCTGGGGATTAATGGCTGACTGGGAGATTGAAGACCATTAACCTTAGGCAGTCATTAATTTTCTCAGAAAACCTGGTTGAAGTCATTATTTCTATTATAAGATCAATAACATACATCCCTCACCACCACTACCAAAAAAAAAAAAAAACCATTGGAAATAACTTTTCTCTGGAATTTTTCTTAAGTGCATTCAACCTGTATGTTATATTTTAAGAAGAATGTCACTAAAACTCTGAACAACTTAATAAGTAACACGACATACCTCATCACTTAGACATCAATGTCATGAACATTTGTGATTGTTTTCTCTCTGCCCTCCTAAGCTTGACTTAGAAGTCGAGCTAAAAATAAAGTCTCTCTCTCTCACTCGCTGGCTCACTCTCACTCTCTCTCTTGCTCTCACACTCTGCTCCCACTCTTTCCCCCACCCTTGTTCCCTCCCTCTTTCCTAAGGGCTTCAGTATGCAAGGTGTAAATCTGCAAAAGCAGCATGTGGTAGGTCACACTATACACAAATTATTGGAGAGCAGGTTGAGCTATGAATCTACAGTGTTTTCATTAGTGGCATTTTCTCTGAAATAAATGTCAGAAAGAGCTACTTTTTCTGAGCAACTTAATTGAAATGGATCTAAAAAACTAGAATTCACATGATTCAATAAGGTGTCATTTGTCTGACACTGCTTTAATGCTCCAAATACTGAGTTTGGCAAGAGGAGAACCTGGACCCAAACAGGATCTCAGAAATCAAAGAGCTCCAAAAGAGCAGCAGCAACCTTTGAAGCCATGAAAGAAGGAAGAGAACGTACAAAATAAACATTAAAGAGCCTCGGGAAATGTGTTTCTTTGTGAAAGTATGTGGTTAGGACAGTGCCACATCAAACGGGAGAGCTCTCTTCATGGATTCTCCAGTTTTCAGACATATTTGTCAATATAATTTTCCTCATCTTTAAAATGGAGATAATGTGAACTACATTCCAATCCTCAATTCAAGGGCAAGATATTATGTGATATAGTAAGAACGGCTGCTCATCTAGGATGCACCATAAATAGCACATAAGAAGTGATATGAAATGGGAGTCTCTACCTACCTTCTTTTCATTGATCTTATTTACATCTCAGTCACTTCTTACCCTTGAAATAACAAGCAGAGATATTGACATCTTCTCCCCATCAATGTGTTTATATCACTTTCTTGTATATCCACCGGGAACTATAGCCTTATGCATTGAAAAGTTCCCGTCCTTCCTTCTTTCATCTCTGCTCCTCCTACCCCTACTACCACCACCACCATCAGTATATTCCATGCACAGGTAGGGAGAAACAGTGAGTCATGAAAACAAAAGAAGAAATCTTAGAGAAGGAAAAATAAAAGTAATTGATTGGTGCTGAAGAACACCCGGGGTTAGTGGACATCCATCCTTCCCACAATTAAGGGCAAACCAGGGTAAATGATTATGTTGATGAGAAATACACACATAAATTTAAAATAATCCCTATCTCCGAGAAGCTTGCCATCTATTAAGGGAAATAAAATATATAAGAGACTCAAAGAAATATTTTCTCTCATTCCATTGGTTGTCTTTTTCTCTATGGTTTCCTTTGCTGTACAGAAGCTTTTTGGTTTGATGTAGTGTCACTTGTTTTTTGGTTTTGTTGCCTGTGTCATATCCATGAAATCACTGCCAAGACCAATGTTATGAAGCTATCCCTTAAATTTTCTTCTAGGATTTTTATAGTTTCAGGTCTTAATTTTAATTCTTTTTTCCATTTTGAGTTGATTAGGATGTATGGTGAGGCCAAGGAGGGCAGATCATGAGGTCAGGAGATTGAGACCATCCTGGCTAACATGGTGAAACCCCATCTCTACTAAAAATACAAAAAATTAGCCTGGCGTGGTGGCACACACCTGTAGTCCCAGCTACTCGGGAGGCTGAGGCAGGAGAATCGCTTGAACCCAGGAGGCAGAGGTTGCAGTGAGCTGAGATTATGCCACTGCACTCCAGCCTGGGTGACAGAGTGAGACTCCATCTCACAAAAAAAAAAAAAAAAAAAAAAGATAAGCATCCAATATCATCCTTTTGTGTGTGGAAGAGGCTATCCTCTTTTCTTTGTGTATCTTTAGTACTGTTGTCAATGATCAGTTGACTGTGTATGCATAAGTGTACTTTTGGTTCTGTATTCTGTTCCTCTGGTTGATATGCCTCTCTTTATGCAGTGCCATAGTGTTTTGATTACTGTAACTTTGTAACATATTTTGAAAGCAGGTTAACAGGATGCCACCAGCTTTGTTCTTTCTCAAGATTAGCTTGGCTATTTATAGTCTTTTATTATTTATTCCATTTGTTATTATTATTCCTGAAGTATTATTGTTACAATAGTATCAAAATAGAAAACCAAACAAATAAAAGATGACCATGAATGAACCACAGATGAATGTGTCATGAGCCAAGAATTATGATTAATATGTTTTATGTTCCTGAGACTTAAAAAATAATAATACAGTTTCTTCAAGAGACAAACTTCATAGAGAATGTCAGCATCTCCTGAGGGAAATAACTTTATAAAGCAGAAAGAAATGGGCTTGGGATACAAATAAACCTGGCCTTCAATTACAACTCTTTTGCTTACAAACTGAGTGACACAGAATCACCCATTTCACTTATTTGAGCTTTTGTTTTCTCATCTGGCAAATGGGAATAATAGTACTTACCTGGCAGTACATTATGAGACATAGATGACATAAAATTTCTGGCAGATACTACATGCTTGATAAAAGGTAGCTGTAATAGGCGATTGATTAAAAGTGTACAGAAAGAGAAGAAAAAGATTACTCCAAAGCTTTGACTCTAGTCAGGTGACTATAAAAATAATAATGCTATAAATGGAAATATAAAAATCAGGGAGGATGAGCAGATTTTAGGAGTGGGATTTCTCTATGTTAGCAGTTTTTATTTTACATTTTATATGTAAGTCCCATGCCATCACTAAAGCAAACTTATAGGATACAGACTTTCTCTCTGATATCCTGCTACATTTAGGACTTGTGATGACTCCATTTCCTCATCATTGCCTAGAAGAAAACCCAGGCAATACCATTCAGGACATAGGCATGGCCAAGGACTTCATGTCTAAAACACCAAAAGCAATGGCAACAGAAGCCAAAATTGACAAATGGGATCTAATTAAACTAAAGAGCTTCTGCACAGCAAAAGAAACTACCATCAGAGTGAACAGGCAACCTACAGAATGGGAGAAAATTTTTGCAACCTACTCATCTGACAAAGGGCTAATATCCAGAATCTACAATGAACTCAAACAAATTTACAAGAAAAAAACAAACAACCCCATCAAAAAGTGGGCAAAGGATATGAACAGACACTTCTCAAAAGAAGTCATTTATGCAGCCAAAAAACACACGAAAAAATGCTCATCATCACTGGCCATCAGAGAAATGAAAATCAAAACCACAATGAGATACCATCTCATACCAGTTAGAATGGCGATCATTAAAAAGTCAGGAAACAACAAGTGCTGGAGAGGATGTGGAGAAATAGGAACAGTTTTACACTGTTGGTGGGACTATAAACTAGTTCAACCATTGTGGAAGTCAGTGCGGCGATTCCTCAGGGATCTAGAACTAGGAATACCATTTGACCCAGCCATCCCATTACTGGGTATATACCCAAAGGATTATAAATCATGCTGCTATAAAGACACATGCACACGTATGTTTATTGTGGCACTATTCACAATAGCAAAGACTTTGAACCAACCCAAATGTCCAACAACGATAGACTGGATTAAGAAAATGTGGCACATATACACTATGGAATACTATGCAACCATAAAAAATGATGAGTTCATGTCCTTTGTAGGGACATGGATGAAATTGGAAATCATCGTTCTCAGCAAACTATCACAGGACAAAATACCAAACACTGCATGTTCTCACTCATAGGTAGGAATTGAACAATGAGAACACATGGACACAGGAAGGGGAACATCACACACCGGGGCCTGTTGTGGGGTGGGGGAGGGGGGAGGGATAGCATTAGGAGATATACCTAAAGCTAAATGACGAGTTAATGGGTGCAGCACACCAACATGGCACATGTATACATATGTAACAAACCTGCACGTTGTGCACATGTACCCTAAAACTTAAAGTATAATAATAATAAAATTTAAAAAAAAGAATTTCTTAAAGATGGTCATTTCTAAAGCTCATATATAATTCACCAGCATAACAAAGTTAACAACCTAAACAGCCAACTAGATTGGGTAATTGTAGAAATATTCTAGGAAAATGTATTATACCTTTTGGAATGAAGTTGGGTATTAGGCAGATAGATTTTCAGCACCAAGTTACAGTGATTGTTGTATCTGTTAGAAAGAACCTGAAGTTAAGATTCAATTAATAAAGTTTGAAAATGTAGGGCACTGTAGTTTTTTTAGGGGTGCAAAATTTCTAGTTAAAATGTAAATATTAAATCAAAGTGATCTGTTTTCTTTCCAATTTAAAGCACACTAATTCCAATTTTGTTATGTGACCCTGTATGACCCATGAAATGTGTGTAAGTTGTGAACTGTCATTTAAGAGTAAGAAGAAAATGAGACTACTCATCAACTGCATTGTATCCAGCACCAAAATCTTCCTGATGGAGTAAGATAAACATCCATTCAGCTACCTTTATTTTTTAAGAGTACCAAATGACATGACTTAATTTTACATGTCAAAATATGGGCAAACCACTGGGCATCATGGCACATACCTGTAGTCCAAGCTACTTGGGATGCTGAGGCAGAAGGATCACTTGAGCCCAGAAGTTCAGGCTGCAGTAAGCTAAGCTATGATTATACCAATGCACTTCAGCCTGAGCAACATAGCAAGACCCCATCTCTAAAAATAAATGAATAAATAAACAGGCAAACTGTTAAAGGACTTTGATGGTCATCAGTTAGCTAAAGTAAGCGACACTTTTAATAGTGTTATCTGTGGCAATTAAAAAGCAACAGAGAACTAAAGCAACCACAATAGTGGTATAAGGGGTATAACACTTAAACACTTCACACAAACATCATTCCAGACCAATTAAATCAGAATCTCAGAGACAAGTTCTTATTTAAAAGCTCTCCACATGATTTTAATACATGCAGCAAGGGTTAGGTCTACAACCTTGCATAAAAAAATAGATACTCGGAAATTTATGCTTCTTGCCAAGACAAAGTAACAAGGACCATATATACTGGTTATACTCCTGAAACAACTAAATCAACAAAATTTATCAAACAATAATTTTCAAAACATTAAAATTCATGCTACAAAAAACATTGATCTCTGAGAAATGGGAATAATGAACAAAGTGAGTCCTATGATTGCCTACATATTATCTAAAAAGAGTTTCCAGGCCATGACACAAGAAAGAAAAACATAGGCAGAGTCCAGTAGTCACCGTGAGTAGAGAAGATGTTGCTGGGAGCCTATGGATACCACAGCAAGTAGACTCTGTAGAGCAGAGATACAGAGAGGAGAGGGCTTCAGAGATCTGCAGTGTCCACATCAAGTCTTCAACTAAGTACTAACCAGCTTATGGGTGTGTGAAAAATAACTGAGACCAGGAAAATAACCACCCAAAAGGATAATGGGGAAGAACACTGAGAGTTCACGCAGAAGAATAGCTCCTATTCTCATCAACAAAGTCTAAAACCTCATCATTCCAAAAGCATTGTATAAAGTACATAGAAGGGTTTTGTATCAATATAGTACTAGGGAAATATTAGCCCTTAGACTCAATTCTACTTTGATCCCAATTCAAAAAAAGACCTGCTAAAATCAAACTGTTTCCAAGTAACTTAAGTGCTTCAAACAACAAAATTTGAGAAGATTTGTTGAAATACAAGAATACCCAGAACACAAGGCAAAATTCACAATGACTGGCATTTAATTAAAAATTATTAGACATGCAAAAAAGCAGGAAAATATGAACAATAATGAGAAAAAGTAAGCAATCAAAATTGACACAGAAATTATATAGATTATAGAATTAATGAAAATGGATGTTTATACAATTATTATAACTATATTTCATATGTTCAAACAATAAGAAGTAAAATTGAACATGTTAAGCAGAATTATGAAAAATAAAAACATAACACAAATCTAAACATCTAGAAATAAAAAATTAGAATGTTCAAGAAGAAAAATATGAGATTTTTGCCATGAGATTAATGCCAGATTATTCACTGCAGAAGAAAATATTAGTTAATTTAAAGACAATGGAAATTATCCCAAATAAAACACAATGTCTAAAAAAGATTTAACAGAGTCATCAGTGAGCTAAGTGACAAATTCGACTTGTCTAATATGCATGTAATTGGAGTTCTTAAAGAAAAAAAAAGGTCAAGGTAATATTTGAAAAGATAATGGCCAAAATATTTTCAATTTAATGAAGTACAAAAGTCCACAGATCCGAGATGCTCAATGAACTGTAAGCACACACACACAAAAATAAATAAATAAAAAGAAACCAAGTCACAACATGATCAAACTGCTTAAAATTATGATGATAGAGAGAAAAACATCTTAAAAGTAGCCATAAGAAAAAAACATTACATACAAAGGAACATCAGTTGTCCTGAGTGGGGTAGGGAGGGACAAACATTAGGATGGCATTAGATTTTCATCAGAAACAATGTAATGCAGATGACAGTAGAGAAATATAAAGTACTGAAAAAAAATCAAATGATAATTTTATTTTATTTTATTATTATTATACTTTAAGTTTTAGGGTACATGTGCACAATGTGCAGGTTAGGTACACATGTATACATGTGCCATCTTTTACACAGCAAAAATATTTTTCAAAAACAAACTACTCTTTGAAGCATACAAAAATTGAAATAATTCATCACTAACAGAGCTTAAATACAAGAAATGACATAAAAAGTCCTTCAGCCAGAAGAAAAATAACAGATGGAAATAATAATCTGTGCTCAAATTAAAAGCACCAAAAATTGTAACTACATGTTTTTAAAATGATTTTTATTACTAATTAAGTATCTTTAAAAGATACGTGACTATATGAAGCAAAAATAATAATATTTTGGGGGGTTTATGACATATGTAGAAATAAAATGTATGACAACAGTGGTGCAAAGGCTTGGAGGAGAAAATGGAAGTATACTGTGGTAATATTTTTATAAAAATATGAAGCAGTATATTACCAGAAGGTAGAGTGTAAAAAGTTAAAGATATTTTCTATAAACACCAAAGCTATCACTAAAATTACACAGCAAAGCATTATAACTAATAAGCCAACAATGAATATAAACTGGAAGTATAAAGTAATTATTTAAAAATGGGAAAAGATAAGAAATAGAAAATAGAAAAAAAGAGAAAAAGATAATAGACAAAGAATAGAGAGAAAAAAATAGCAAGAGAGTAAATTTAGACTCATCATATCAAATATCACATTAAATGTAAATGGTCTAAACACCACAGTGAAAGGCAGAGATTCTCAGATTGAATTTAAGAAATAAAAGGCAAGACCCAATTCTATATGCTGCTACAGAAGAAAAAAAAGTTTTAATATAAAACACAAATTAACTAAAAGTAAATGAATGGAAAAAGATATACCATGCTAACCCTATAAAAAGAAAGATGAAATGGCTATATTAAAATAGGATAAAATAGATTTCAGAACATAGATTATTATTGAGAATGAAAAGGTCATTTCATATGATAAAGAGGCAGAGCATCAAAACACATGAAACAAAAGCTGATCAAAGTACAACAAAAAAAGAAGCAAATTCAGAATTATAGTCAGATATTTCAAAAATCCCTGTTCAGTTGTTAATAAAACCAGTAAACAGAAAATCAGTAAGAATATGAGTTGAACACCATCAATCAACTTGACCTAATTGATATTTATAGAATAATCCATCCCACAATACTAAACTGTAATATATATTCTTCCCAAGTGCACATGAAACATTTTCCAAAACATACCATTTTCTGGGTCACAAAATACGCCTCCATAAATTTAAAAGGATCCAAACCATGCAAAGTATGTACTATGAGCACAATAAATTATATTATAAATCAAAAACAGAAAAAAATATAGAAAATCCTCAAGTATATTGAAACTAAACAATGTTCTTTTAAATGATCCATGAGTAAAAGAAACGAAATAGAAAATTTCTAATTATGTGGGACTGAATGAAAAAGAAAACACACATTCTAAATTTTGTGAGATGCAATTAAAACAATATTTGGAGGTAAATCCATAACACTGAACATCCATATTAGAACAGTGGAAAGATCTCAAATCAATGACCTCAACTTGTACCTTAAGAAAGTAGAAACAGGAGCTGGGCACAGTGGCTCGCACTTGTAATCCCGGTACTCAGAAGGCTGAGGTTGGATGATTGCTTGAGGCCAGGAGTTTGAGACCAGTGTTGGCAATGGAGAGAGATCTTGTCTCTACAAAGAAAAAAAAAAACTTAGCCAGGCATGGTGGCACGTGCCTACTGTATCAGCTACTTGGGAGGCTAAGGCAGGAAGATTGCTTGAGCCCAGGAGTTCAAGGCAGCAGTGAGCCATATCACACCACTGCACTTCAGCCTGGGTGACACAGTGAGACCCAATTAAAAAAAAAAAAAAAAAAAGGAATAAGAGCTCAGGTGGAAGGGTGCGGAGATGCTTCTGGAAAGAACGCCGGGATGACTAGACAGGGAGAACCCCAGGTCCAGTTCAAACTTGTATTGGTTGGTGATGGTGGTACTGGGAAAACGACCTTCGTGAAACATCATTTGACTGGTGAATTTGAGAAGTGTATAGCCACCTTAGGTGTTGAGGTTCATCCCCTAGTGTTCCACACCAACAGAGGACCTATTAAGTTCAATGTATGGGACACAGCCAGCAGGGAGAAATTCGGTAGACTGAGAGATGGCTATTATATCCAAGCCCAGTGTGCCATTATAATGTTTGATGTAACATCAAGAGTTACTTACATGTGCCTATCTGGCATAGAGATCAGGTGAGAGCGTGTGAAAACATCTCCATCGTGTTGTGTGGCAACAAAGTGGATATTAAGAAGAGGAAAGGGAAGGCAAAATCCATTGTCTTCCACCAAAAGAACAATCTTCAGTACTATGACATTTCTGCCAAAAGTAACTACAACTTTGAAAAGCCCTTCCACTGGCTTGCTAGGTAGCCCATTGGAGACCCTGACTTGGAATTTGTTGCCATGTCTGCTCTCTCCCCACCGGAGGTTGTCATGGACCCAGCTTTGGCAGCACAGTATGAGCACGACTTAGAGGTTGCTCAGACAACTGCTCTCCCGGATTAGGATAATGACCTGTGAGAATGAAGCTGGAGCCCAGTGTCAGAAGTCTTAGTTTTATAGGCAGTTGTCCTGTGATGTCAGCGGTGCAGCGTGCGTGCCACCTCATTGTTATCTAGCTAAGCGGAACATGTGCTTCATCTGTGGGATGCTGAAGGAGATGAGTGGGCTTCGGAGTGAATGTGGCAGTTTAAAAAATACCTTCATTGTTTGGACCTGCATATTTAGCTGTTTTGGAATGCAGTTGATTCCTAGAGTTTCAAATATAAGACTGCTACATTCGGCCGGGTGCAGTGGCTCACGCCTGTAATCCCAGCACTTTGGGAGGCTGAGGCAGGCTGATCACGAGGTCAGAAGATCGAGACCATCCTGGTCAACATAGTGAAACTCTGTCTCTACTAAAAATACAAAAATTAGCCAGGGGTGGTGGTGCCGGCCTGTAATCCCAGCTACTCAAGAGGCTGAGGCAGGAGAATCGCTTGAACCAGGGAGTCGGAGGTTGCAGTGAGTGGAGATCACACCACAGCACTCCAGCCTGGCAACAGAGCGAGACTCCATCCCCCCGTCCAAAAAAAAAGACTGCTACAGTCACATCACAATATTCAGTGGTGAAATCTTGTTTGTTACTGTCATTCCCATTCCTTTATCAAAATAAAGTTACATTTAAAATATCTTTAAAAAAGGGAATAAGAAAATAGAAAAGAAACTAGAAGCCAAAGAACAAATTAAAACCAAAGTAGAAGAAG
Organism: Homo sapiens; assembly: GCF_000001405.40. Classification (NCBI taxonomy): domain Eukaryota; kingdom Metazoa; phylum Chordata; class Mammalia; order Primates; family Hominidae; genus Homo; species Homo sapiens. The sequence goes on along the minus strand of NC_000004.12, from coordinate 173,633,002 downwards.
ATAACTTATGAAAAAATCAGAGTAGATATTAATAAAATATATAAAGTCAATGAAAAATTAATGAAACCCAATGCTACTTCTTTAAAAAGATCAATAAAATTGGTAAAGCTGCAGCCAAGCCAATCAGAGGAAAAAAGAGAGAAGACACAAATTACCCATTGTCAGAAATAATAAAGGTAACAACACTACATATTTTACATATATTTTTTAAAATAAGAAAATATTATAATGAACATTATGCCAATAAATTTGACAATTTAGAAGAAATAGGTAAATTTCTTGAAAGACACAAACTACTAATTTCATCCAAGTATAAATAGATAATCTAAATAGCCTATTAAATTAATTAAATTTGTAATTTAACCACCCTCCCAAACAAACAAAAAAAAAACAAAAAACAAAACAAAACAAAACAAAAAACACCTCCAGGCCCATATGACTTTGCTGGAGAATTCTACCAAACATTTAAGGAACAAATGATGCCAATTCTACAAAACCTCTTACAGAAAATTGAAGAAGATGAAATATTTTCTACCTTCTTTCATGAGGCCAGAAGCTTGGGAATATGAAAAACAGACAGACATTACATATAAGAAGATGACACAACATGGCTGAATAGGATTCATTTACAAAAAGCAAGATTGTTTTAACATTCAAAAATCAATCAATGTAATTCACCATATTAACAGCCTAAAAAGAAAAATCATATGATCATCTCAACAAATGCAGGAAGAGCGTTTGACAAAATTCAGCGTTTCTGCTAAAAACTCTTAGCACAGCAAGGATAGAAGAGAACTTCCTCAATCTGATAGATAGCATCTATTTAAAAAACTTAAAGCTAATATCATATTTAATGGAGAATGACTGATTGCTTTTTCCTTACGAACAGGAAAAAGGCAATGATGCCTTTTCTCACCATGTTCATACAATATTGGACTGGAAAGTTCTGACTAGTTCAATAAGACAAGAAAAAGAAATAAAAGGCATCTAAACTAGAAAGAAGAAAGAAACTGCCTTTGTTTCCTGGCAAAATCATCCTCTACGTAAAAAATTGCTTGAAAATTACCAAAGAAATAACTACTGTTGCTAATAAGTGACTTTAGCAAGATTAATCAGTTTTATTTAGGTATTCTAGAAATGATTAGAAATTAAAATTTTTTAAACAATACAATTTACAATATGCAAAAAAAAGAATTTTCATCCATACCTCATACAAAACACAAAAATTAACTCAAAATGGATTACAGTCCTAACTGTAAAACTGAAAACCATAAAACTTCTAGAAAAAAAAATTTTATAGTCTTGGGTTAGGGAAAGATGTCTTAGTTATGACAGCAAAAACACAATACATAAAAGAAGAAATTGATAATTACACTTCATGAAAATTAAGAGCTTCCACTCTTCAAAAAAAATTTCTAAGAGAAAGAAAAGACAAGCTACAGGTTGGAAGAAAATGTGTGCAAATTGTATATATGATAAAGAACTTATATCTATATAAAGAACTCTCAAAATTCAATAATGAGAAACCAAACAACCCAACAAAAAAAAGGGAGGAGGCAAAAGATTTTACCAGAAACTTCTCCAAAGAAGACATACAGAAGGTAAATAAACATAGGAAAATGTTCTCGAAATCATTAGTCATTAGGGCAATGCAAATTAAAAGCACAATGAGATACCACTATGTAGGCTACCACACACCTGTAAGAATGCCTAAAATTATTACCACTGGCCACGTGTTATCAAAGATAACATGGAACTGTCATACAATTATAGTGGGTATAGAAAATGGTACAACCACTTTGGGAAACTGGCAATTTTTTTAAAAGACAAAACTTTTTTATGATATGATCCACTTATTTCAACACATGATCCAGCCATTCTACTTAAAAATATTTACCCAAGAGAAATACAGGTATATACCTCATATATAAATATTAATAGCAGATTGATTTGTAATAGTCAGAAATTATAAACAACATATATGTCCACCAATACCTCAATGGATTTTTTAAGTTGTTATGGACTGAATGTTTGTGTCTGCCTAAAATTCGTACATTAAAGCTCTAGTCCCCAGTGTGATGGTATTTGGAGATGGAACCTTTGAGAGGTAATTAGAGTTAGATTAGGTCATGTGAGTGGGGCCCTCATAATGTGATGGGTGGCCTTATAAAAAGAGGAAACTCTCTGTGTGCATGCACAGAGGAAAGGCCATATGAAGATACAGTGAGAAGGCAACTGCAAGCCAGGAAGAGAGACCTCATCAGAAATTGAATCATCTGATACCTTGATCTTGGACTTCCCAGCCTCCAAACTGTGAAAAATAAATTTCTGTTGGTTAAGCCACCTAGTCTATTGGCATTTTGTTGTGGCAGCCCAAGCCAACTAATACATTCATACAATAGAATGTTAGAGGTCGGGTGCGGTGGTTCACGCCTGTATTTCCAGCACTTTGGGAGGCTGAGGTGGGTGGATCACAAGGTCAGGCGATCAAGATCATCCTGGCTAACACAGTGAAACCCCTTCTCTACTAAAAATACAAAAAAAAAATTAGCTGGGCATGGTGGCGGCGCCTGTAGTCCCAGCTACTCTGGAGGCTGAGGCAGGAGAATGGCATGAACCCAGGAGGCGGAGCTTGCAGTGAGCCGAGATTGCACCACTGCACTCCAGCCTGGGTGAGAGAGCAAGACTCTGTCTCAAAAAAAAAAAAAAAAGGATGTTAGTCAGCTGTAAAAAGTATGAACTGCTGATACATAAAACAAGAAGGATGAATCTGAAAGAAAAATTACACTGAATGAAAGAAGTCAGAAAAAAGACTTTACATATATGATTTCATATGTATAGAATCTTAGGAAATGCAAACTAATCTCATAGTTACAAAAAGAAGATCAGTAAGTGATTGCTTGGGAATGAGAGAGACAGGAAGGAGCAAGAGATAGTGACCTCAAAGGGTCACAGCAAAAATTTGGGGGTCAAGAATATATTATCTTGATTGTAATAATGGTTTCACAGGTATATACCTATGCCAAAACAAATCAAGTTGTTCACGTTAAACATATGCAGTCTATTTTATGTCAATTACACCACAATACGGCTTTTAAAAAGAAGAATAATCAGCAAAATTCTGATAGAGACTGATGAGCAGATACATGTTGCCAGACATTACAGAAAGCTAAAAATATTTTTATCTGACATAACATGTTCCAGGATTGATAGATCTGTGGACTAGAACTAAAACTTTCTAAATGGAATTGCATACATTTGAGGTTTTAGGGTAAAATAAAGGTAAAATTCCATATCAATGGGAAGAAGTTGGATTATAAAATAAGTTGTAAAGCTAGTAGCATTTTCTTTTTTAAAAAAAGAAGTGATCTCTATCTTACTATTTACTAAAAAGTAAATTCAAGTGCATAAAAAATTAAATAGGAAAAGTGAAGCCATGAAAATACTAGGAGAAAATTAGTTTTAAAAATAATATTGAGAAGTGTCTGTTCATATCCTTCGCCCACTTTTTGATGGGGTTGTTTGTTTTTTTCTTGTAAATTTGTTTGAGTTCATTGTAGATTCTGGATATTAGCCCTTTGTCAGATGAGTAGGTTGTGAAAATTTTCTCCCATTTTGTAGGTTGCCTGTTCACTCTGATGGTAGTTTCTTTTGCTGTGCAGAAGCTCTTTAGTTTAATTAGATCCCATTTGTCAATTTTGGCTTTTGTTGCCATTGCTTTTGGTGTTTTAGACATGAAGTCCTTGCCCTTGCTTATGTCCTGAATGGTAACGCCTAGGTTTTCTTCTAGGGTTTTTATGGTCTTAGGTCTAACGTTTAAGTCTTTAATCCATCTTGAATTAATTTTTGTATAAGGTGTAAGGAAGGGGTCCAGTTTCAGCTTTCTACTTATGGCTAGCCAGTTTTCCCAGCACCATTTATTAAATAGGGAATCCTTTCCCCATTGCTTGTTTTTGTCATGTTTGTCAAAGATCAGATAGTTGTAGATATGCGGCATTAATTCTGAGGGCTCTGTTCTGTTCCATTGATCTATATCTCTGTTTTGGTACCAGTACCATGCTGTTTTGGTTACTGTAGCCTTGTAGTATAGCTTGAAGTCAGGAAGACACTTATGCAGCCAAAAAACACATGAAAAAATGCTCACCATCACTGGCCATCAGAGAAATGAAAATCAAAACCACAATGAGATACCATCTCACACCAGTTAGAATGGCAATCATTAAAAAGTCAGGAAACAACAGGTGCTGGAGAGGATGTGGAGAAATAGGAACACTTTTACACTGTTGGTGGGACTGTAAACTAGTTCAACCATTGTGGAAGTCAGTGTGGCAATTCCTCAGGGATCTAGAACTAGAAACCCCATTTGACCCAGCCATCCCATTACTGGGTATATACCCAAAGGACTACAAATCATGCTGCTATAAAGACACATGCACATGTATGTTTATTGTGGCACTATTCACAATAGCAAAGACTTGGAACCAACCCAAATATCCAACAATGATAGACTGGATTAAGAAAATGTGGCACATATACACCATGGAATACTATGCAGCCATAAAAAATGATGAGTTCATGTCCTTTGTAGGGACATGGATGAAATTGGAAATCATCGTTCTCAGCAAACTATCACAAGGACAAAAAACCAAACACCGCATGTTCTCACTCATAGGTGGAATTGAACAATGAGAACACATGGACACAGGAAGGGGAACATCACACTCTGGGGACTGTTGTGGGGTGGGGGGAGGGGGGAGGGATAGCATTAGGAGATATACCTAATGCTAAATGACGAGTTAGTGGGTGCAGCACACCAGCATGGCACATGTATACATATGTAACTAACCTGCACATTGTGCACATGTACCCTAAAACTTAAAGTATAATAATAAAAAAAAGAAAATAATAATAATAATAATAATAATAATAATAATATTGAAAGGGATTTAAGACAGCTGACTAGAGGCATCTGGTACTCACAAGGTGCTATCCTGAAGGCCCAGCCCCTACCAGAATGCATTCCACCTAGGAGCCCAGTAACTCCTACACCTCCATATCTCCAAAGCCCCATTGACATCCACTGATCATACCCAGGTACCATTGCTGGCTGCTCTCACCAGGACCAAAGACAGAGCCACTGGCAGTGACCACACCACAGCCAATAGCAGAGCCATCATACATTTAAAAGTGCCCTGAGGAAAGTTACCCTGCATATAGCCACCATTTATTGCTGAAGCATGTGCTCCCCAGCCGTCTGTTTGTGGCTGCTGCCACTAAAAGCAACCCCATCTTCACCAGCAGCAGGTGCCACCTTCACAACAGACCCACTGCCACACTCATCTGAAGATGTATTGAACCCCATCTTCACAACACAGCCACTGCCACCCCCCTCCTGAAGATTCCACCAGGGGCCTGGGAATCACCCCATCCTTGCCTACCACAGCCAGCTACCACAGACACCACCAATGAGTGTGAGAACAGACCCACCTGCCCCAACTGTATACTCCTTCGCAGTGCCCAAGCACATGCCCAGTGGCCTAAGGATGAGCCCAACCAACCTGCCACTACCACCACAGCTGGCATTCATCCACCAAAGCCACCTGCAGGCCCAGAAACTAACCTGCCCAGGCCGTCACAGCCACCACCAACACCAGCACAGACCACATGGAAGCCAGAGGGTACTCCCACCACTGCTACTGCCATTGTCCATGTCATGCCCACTGCCCAAGGGCTCAAGGACCTTCCCACTTGCCTGATTAACATTGCCACTGCTTCCACACCTGAGTAAGCTGCCCAGAGGTCCAAAACTCATGCACCTGGACCTGCTAACATCAGTGCCCATGACACTGCCGAGGGGCCCAGTGATAGGCACACTTAGCCTGCCACCGTGACCAATGGGTCCTGAGAACTGGACCATGTGATGTCTCCATCCCCAGCAAAACTTTAAACATGGCCTCCACTAAAAATTGCAACCTAATCCACTGAGAAAATCAGAGACATTACTGATGTGTTTATAGCTGAAGAAACCATATGGGGACTATACTAGTGTATACACACATGGAATCAAAGCGAAAGTGCCCTACATAAACAGAACCATAGATACGTCTTTAGAAAATAGTCTTTCCCTACAAAATCGAAGTCAAAAACTTGGAAGAGATGACTATTACACCAGATGTGCATATATCAACATAAGGACACAAAAAATATGGAAAAGCAAGAAAATATAAACACTTCCACAAGAACACAATAATTCTCCAGCAACAGATTTCAATTAAGAAATTTATGAATTTCTTCCAGAAATTCCTGGAAAAAGAATTAAAAATAATATTGAAGCTCAGTGAGATACAAAAGAACTAAGAAAAACAATAAACGAAGTCAGAAAAACAATTCAGGGTATGAATGAGAAACTTAGCAAATAGATCAATATCATTAAAAAGTATCAAACAGAAATTCTGGAACTGAAGAATTCATTGAATGAAATACAAAATACACTTGAAAGCTTCAACAATAGACTAGATTAAGCAGAAGAAAAAACTTCACAACTTGAAAACTGGTTTTCTGAAATAACCCAGTCAGACAAAAAAATAAAGAAAAGAGAATTCTAAAGAAGAAACAAAGCCTACATCACATATGGAGCACCACAAAGTGACCAAATATTCAAATTCTCAGTGTCCCAGAAAGGGAACAGAAAATGAAGGGAATAGAAACCTATATAAAAAATAGTAGCTGAAAACTTCCTAAGTCTAGCAAGAGATACAGACATCCAAATGCAAGAAGCTCAAATATTTCCAAACAGATACAATTTCAAAATGTCTTCTTATTCACAGCACATTATCATCAAACTGTCAAAAGTCAAAGACAAAAAATGAAATTATAAAAACAGGAAAAGTGACTAGTCACTTATAAAGGAAGCCCCATCAGATGAACACTAGATTTCTTAACAGAAACCTTACAGGTCAGGAGAGAATGCAACAATACATTCAAAGAGCTGAAGGAAAAAAGACTGCCAGCCAAGGATACACCACCCAGAAGTTCTCATTCATAAATAAAGGAGAAATAAAGTCTTTCCCAGAAAAGCAAAAGCAGAGGGAATTCATCACCACTAGACCAGCCATACAAGAAATGCTTAAGGGAATCATACACATAGTAGTGAAAGGATGGTATCTACCATCATGAAAATACCAAAATTATATAACCCACTGGTAGAGCAAGCACACAAATGAGGAATAGAAGACTCAAGTGCTATCCCTACAAAAAACCACAATGATAAACAATAAAAGAGGAAGAAAGAAATAAAGGATATTCAAAATAATCAGAAATCAATTAATAACATTACAAGAATCAGCACTTACATATTAATAAGCTTGAATGTAAACCTTAAACTTTCCACTTAAAAGATATAAACTGGTTCAATGGATTTTAAAAAGCAAGACTCAACTATATGCTGTCTATAAAAAACTTACTTCACCTATAAAGACACATATGCACTGAAAATAGAGGGATAGAAAAAGATATTTCATACAAGTAGAAACCAAAAATTAGCAAGAGAAGCTATATTTATATCAGATAAAACATACTTTAAGTCAAAAATAGTAAAAAGAGATGAGAGGTCATTATATAATGATACAGGGATCCGTTCAGCAAAATGATATAACAGTTCTAAACATGGACCCAACACCAGAGCATCCAGATATATAAAGCAAATATTAAATATAAGGGAGAGATAGATTCCAATACAATAATTGTTGGTGACATAAACGCCCCACTCTCAACATTAGATAAATTATCTAGACAGAAAATAAACAAAGAAACATTATATTTAAACTGCACATTGGACCAAATGGACCTAACAGACATTTCATCCAAAAGCTACAGAATATACATTCTTTTCGTAAGTACATGGAATATTCTCCAGAACAGACCATATGCTAGGACACAAAACAAGTCTCAAAAGAATCTTAAAAATTGAAATTATATCAAGTATCTTCTCAGAACAAAATAGAATAAACCTAGAAACCAATAACAACAGAACTTTGGAAAGTGTTTAAATACATAAAAATTAAACAATATGCACCTGAACTACCACTGGGTCAAGGAAGAAATTAAAGGGAAAAATAAAAAAATTTTTTGAAACAGTGAAAATCTAAATACAACATACTAAAACCTATGGGATACAACAAAAGCAGGGCTAAGAGAGGTTTATAGCAATAAATGCCTACAGCAAAAATGTAGAAAGATTTCAAATAAATAATCTACCAGTGCACCTCAAGAAACTAAAAAGGCAAGAATAAACCAAGCCCAAAATTAACAGAAAAGAAATAATAAAGATCAGAGCAGAACTAAACAAAATTGAGGTTTAACATTACGAAGGATCGATGAAACAAAAAGTTGGTTTTCTGAAAAGATAAGCAAAATTGATAAACTACTAGGTAGATTAACCAAGGGAAAAAAAGACACAAGTAAAATCAGAAATGAAAAAAGAGACATTACAATGGATACCACAGCAATACAAAAGATCGTCAGAGATTATTAAGAACAACTATACACTACAACATTGGAAAACTTAGAGAAAATAGGTAAATTCCTAGACACATACAACCTACCAAGATTGAATCAGGAAGAAATTTTAAAAACCTGAACAGACCAATAACAAATAATGAGATTTAATTAATAATAAAAAGTCTCCCAACAAATAAAAGTCCAGAACTGGATGTCTTCACTGCCAAATTCCACCAAACATACAAAGAATTAGCACCAATTCTCCTTAAACTATTCCAGAAAATTAGAGAAGGGAATTCTTCCTAACTCATTCTATGAGGCCAGCATTAACCTGATAGCAAAAAAAGGACACAGAAAAGAAAGAAAGAAAGAAAGAAAGAAAGAAAGAAAGAAAGAAAGAAAGAAAGAAAGAAAGAAAGAAAGAAAGAAAGAAAGAAAACTACAGGCCAATATCCTCGGTAACTATAAATACAAAAATCCTCAACAAAATGCTAGTAAACCATATCCAACAGCCTATGAAAAAGATAATATACCATGATCAAGTGGGATGGTTCAACCTGTGCAAATCAATAAATGTGACTCATCACATTAACAGAAAAACCATTATGATCATCTCAATATATAAAGAAAAAGCATTTGATAAAATTCAACATCCCTTAGTGATAAAATCTCAAGAAACCTGGCCTAGAAGGAACATACCTCAACATAATAAAGGCCATATATGATAAGCCCACAGCTAACATCATATCGAATGGAGAAAAGTTAACAGCCTTTCCTTTAAGAACTGGAACAAGACAAAGATTTCCACTTCCACCACTCCTGTTCAACATAATAGTAGAAGTCCTAGCCAGAGAAATCAGGCAAGAGAAAGAAATAAAAGGTATCTAAATTGCAAAAGAGCAAGGCAAGGTGCTCCTTTTTGCAGATGACATAATCTTATATCTAAATCAATTTAAAGACTCCACCAAAAAAATAAACTCTTAGATCTGCTCAATGAATTCACGAAAGTTGAAGAACACAAAATCAACATAGAAAAATCAGTAGTGTTTCTATAAATCAATAATGAACCAGCCAAGGAAAAAATCAATAATGTAATCCTATTAATGTTAACTGCAAATTAATTAATTAATTAATTAATTAAAATATCTAGGAGTAAATTTAACCAAGGAGGTAAAACACTTCTACAAGGAAAACTATAAAACTCTGATGAAATAAATTGAAGATGACACAAACAAATAGAAAAACCTTTCATGCTCATGGATTGGAAGAATTAACATCATTGAAATGACTGTACTACCCAAAGCGATCTACAGATTTGATGCAATCCCTATCAAAATACCAATGTCATTTTTCACTGAAATAGAAAAAAAAATCTTAAAATTCACATGGAACCAAAAAAGAGCATGAATAGCCAAAGCAATGCTAAGCAAAAGAACAAAGCTGGAGGCATCGCACAACCCAACCTTAAAACATATTATAGAGGTTGTGAGCAAGATGGCCAAATAGGAACAGCTCCACTCTGCAGCTCCCAACAAGATCAATGCAGAAGGTGAATGACTTCTGCATTTCCAACTGAGGTAACCAGCTCATCTCATTGGGACTGGTTAGACACTGGGTGCAGCCCACAGAGGGCAAGTGGAAGCAGGGTGGAGTGCCATGTCCCCTGGGAAGGGCAAGGGGTCAGGGAACTCCCTCCCCTAGCCAAAAGAAGCCCTGAGGGACTCTGCCATGAGGAACAGTGCATTCCAGCCCAGATACTACCCTTTTCCCATGGTCTTCACAACCCACAGACCAGCAGATTCCCTCAGGTGCCTACACCACCAGGGACCTAGATTTCAAGCACAAAACTGGGCAGCCATTTGGGCAGATGCCAAGCTAGCTGCAGGAGATTTTTTTTTTTTCAAACCTCAGTGGTGCCTGGAATGCCAGGGAGGCAGAACCGTTCACTCCCCTGGAAAGGGGGCTGAAGCTAGGGAGCCAAGTGGTCTAGCTCAGTGGATCCTGCCCCAATGGAGCCAAGCAAGCTAAGATCCACTGGCTTGAAATTCTTGCTGCCAGCACAGCAGTCTGAAGTCAATCTGGGATGCTCGAGCTTGGTGGTGGGAGGGACATTTGCCATTACTGAGACTGGAGTAGGCAGTTTTTCCATCATGGTGTAAACAAAGCCACCAGGAAGTTGGGACAGAGTGGAGCCCACCGCGGCACCTCAAAGCCACTTTAGGCAGACTGCCTCTCTAGATTCCTCCTCTGTCAGCAGGACATCTCTGAAAGAAGGGCAGCAGCCCCAATAAAACTCCCATCTCCCCGGGACAGAGCAGCTGGGGGAAGGGGCGGCTATGGGCACAGATTAAGTAGACTTAAATGTTCCTGCCTGCTGGCTCTGAAGAGAGCAGTGGACCTCCCAGCACAATGCTTGAGCTCTGCCAAGGGACAGCTGCCCCCTCAAGTGGGTCCCTGACCTCCGTGCCTCCTGATGGGGAGACACCTCCCAGCAGGGGTCGACAGACACCTCACACAGGAGAGCTCCAGCTGGCATCTGGTGGGTGCTCCTCTGGGACAAAGCTTCTAGAGGAAGCAACAAGCAGCAATCTTTGCTGTTCTGCAGCCTCTGCTGGTGATACCCAGGCAAACAGGGTCTGGAGTGGAACTCCAGCAAACTCCAGCAGACCTGCAGCAGAGGGGCCTGACTGCTAGAAAGAAAAGTAACAAACAGAAAGGAATAGCATCAATATCAACAAAAAGGATGTCCACACAGAAACCCATCCAAAGGTCACCAACACCAAAGAACAAAAGTAGATAAATCCACAAAGATAAGGAAAAAACAGTGCAAAAAGGCTGAAAATTCCAAAAATCAGAATGCCTCCTCTCCAAAGTTTAACAACTCCTTGCCAGCAAGGGAACAAAACTGGATGGAGAATGAGTAGGATGAATTCACAAAAGTAGACTTCAGAAGGTGAGAAATAACAAACTCCTCTGAGCTAAAGGAGCATGTTCTAACCCAATGTAAGGAAGCTAAGAACCTTGAGAAAACATTAGAGGAATTGCTAACTAGGATAACCAGTTTAAGGAAGAACATAAATGACCTGATGGAGCTGAAAAACACAGCACAAGAATTTTGTGAAGCATACACAAGTATCAACACCTGAATTGATCAAGCAGAAGAAAGGATATCAGAGATTGAAGATCAACTTAATAAAACAAAGTACAAACACAAGATTAGAGACAAAGGGATGAAAAGGAATGAACAAATCCTCCAAGAAATATGGGACTATGTGAAAAGACCAAACCTACATTTGATTCCTGTACCTGAAACTGATGGGGAGAATGGAACCAAGATGGAAAACACTTCAGGATATTATCCAGGCGAACATCTCCAACCTAGCAAGACAGGCCAACATTCAAATTCAGGAAATACAGAGAACACCACAAAGATACTCCTCAAGAAGATCAACCCCAAGACACATAATCGTCAGATTCACCAAGGTTGAAATTAAGGAAAAAATCTTAACGAAAGCCAGAGAGAAAGGTCAGGTTACCCACAAAGGGAAGCCCATCAGACTAACAGCGGATCTCTCTGCAGAAACCCTACAAGCCAAAGAGAGTGAAGGCCAATATTCAACATTCTTAAAGAAAAGAATTTTCAACCCAGAATTTCCTATCCAGCCAAACTAAGCTTCATAAGCAAAGGAGAAATAAAATCCTTAAGAGACAAACAAATGCTGAGAGATTTTTGTGGCCACCCAGCCTGCATTACAAGAGCTCCTGAAGTAAGCACTAAATATGGAAAGGAAAAACCGGTACCAGCCACTGCAGACATACCAAATTGTAAAGACCGTCAACACTATGAAGAAACTGCATCAACTAATGGGCAAAATAACCAGCTAACATCATAATGACAGGATCAAATTTAAACATAACAGTATTAACTTTAAATGTAAAAGGGATAAAGACTCCAATTAAAAGACACAGACTGGAAATTGGATAAAGATTTAAGACCCATCGGTGTGCTGTATTCAGGAGATGCATCCCACGTGCAAAGACACATAGACTCAAAATAAGGGGATGGAGGAAGATCTACCAAGCAAATGGAAAGCAAAAAAAAAGCAGGGGTTGCAATCCTAGTCTCTGATAAAACAGACTTTAAACCAACAAGATCAAAAAAGACAAAGAAGGGCATTACATAATGGTAAAAAGATCAATGCAACAAGAAAAGCTAATGATCCTAAATATATATGAACCCAATATAGGAACACACAGATTCATAAAGCAAGTTCTTAGAGACCTACGAAGAGACTTAGACTCTCACACAATAATAGTGGGAGACTTTAACACCCCACTGTCAATATTAGATCAACGAGACAGAAAATTAACAAGGATATTCAGGACTTGAACACAGCTCTGCAACAAGAAGACCTAACAGACATCTACAGAATGCTCCACCCCAAATCAACAGAGCATACATTCTTCTCAGCACCATGTAGCACTTATTCTAAAATTGGCCACATAATTGGAAGTAAAACAATTCTCAGCAAGTGCAAAAGAATGGAAATTATAACAAACAGTTTCTTAGACCACAGTGAAATCAAACTAGAACTCAGGATTAAGAAACTCACTCAAAACTGCACAACTACATGGAAACTGAACAACCTTCTCTTGAATGACTACTGGGTAAATAATGAAATGAAGGCAGAAATAAAGATGTTCTTTGAGACCAATGAGAACAAAGACACAACATACCAGGATCTCTGGGACACAGCTAAAGCAGTGATTAGAGGGAAATTCATAGCACTAAATGCCCACAGGAGAAACCAGGAAAGATCTAAAATCGACACCCTAACATCACAACTAAAAGAAGTGATGTCCTTCTCTAGAAAGAGAGAAGAACAAACAAATTCAAAAGAAAGAGAAGAAAGAGCAAACAAATTCAAAAGCTAGCAGAAGACAAGAAGTAACTAAGATCAGAGCAGAACCGAAGGAGACGGAGACACAAAAAACCCTTCAAAAAGTCAATGAATCCAGGTGCTGGCTTTTTGAAAGGATAAATAAAATAGATAGACCACTAGCCAGACTAATAAAGAAGAAAAGAGAGAAGAATCAAATAGACAGACAAAAAAATTACCAAGGGGATCTTCATTCCAAGATGGCAGAATAGGAACAGCTCCAGTCTGCAGCTCCCAGTGTGATTGATGCAGAAGATGGGTGATTTCTGCATTTCCAACTGAGGTACCTGGTTCATCTCATTGGGATTCATTGGACAGTGGGTGCAGCCCACGGAGGGTGAGCCAAAGCAGGGCAGGGTGTTGCCTCACCCACGAAGTGCAAGGGGTCAAGGGATTTCACTTTCCTAGCCAAGTGAAGCCATGACAGACTGTACCTGGAAAAACGGGACACTCTCACCCAAATACTGCACTTTTCCCAAGGTCTTAGCAACCGTCAGGCAAGGAGATTCTCTCCCATGCCTGGCTCGGCAGGTCCCACACCCACAGAGCCTTGCTCACTGCTAGCACAGCAGTTTGAAATTGAACTGTGAAGCAGCAGCCTGGCTGCAGGAGGGGTGTCCGCCATTGCTGAGGCTTGAGTAGGTAAACAAAGCTGCCAGGAAGCTCAAACTGGGCGGAGCCCACCACAGCTCAGCAAGGCTTACTGTCTCTATAGACTCCACCTCTGTGGGCAGGGCATAGCCAACAAAAGGCAGCAGACAACTTGTGCGGGCCTAAACGTCCATGTCTGACATCTCAGAAGAGAGAAGTGGTTCTCCCAGCATGGTGTTTGAGCTCTGGAACAGACAGACTGCCTCCTCAAGTGGGTCCCTGACTCCTGTGTAGCCTAACTGGGAGACACCTCCCAGTAGGGGCTGACCAATGCCTAATATAGGAGGGTGCCTCTCTGGGACAAAGCTTCAGAAGGATTAGGCAGCAATATTTGCCGTTCTGCAATATTAGCTGTTCTGCAGCCTCTGCTGGTGATACCCAGGCAAACAGTGTCTGGAGTGAACCTCCAGCAAACTCCAATGGACCTGCAGCTGAGGGACCTGACGGTTAGAAGGAAAACTAACAAACAGAAAGGAATAGCATCAACATCAACAAAAAGGACATCTACACCAAAACCCCATCTGTAGGTCACCAACATCAAAGATCAAAGTTGGATAAAACCACAAAGATGGTGCGAAACCAGAGAAGAAAAGCTGAAAATTCTAAAAACCAGAGTGCCTCTTCTCCTTCAAAGGAAAACAGCTCCTTGCCAGCAAAGGAACAAAGCTGGTTGGAGAATGACTTTGACAAGTTCACAGAAGTAGGCTTCAGAAGGTCAGTAATAACAAACTTCTCCGGGCTAAAGGATCATGTTTGAACCCATCACGAGGAAGATAAAAACCTTGAAAAAAGGTTAGCCAAATGGCAAACTAGAATAAACAGTGTAGAGAAGACCTTAAATGACCTGATGGAGCTGAAAACCATGGCACGAGAATTTGTGATGCATGCACAAGCTTCAATAGCTGGTTTGATCAAGTGGAAGAAAGGGTATCAGTGATTGAAGATCAAATTAATGAAATAAAGCTAGAAAACAAGTTTAGAGAAAAAAGAGTAAAAAGAAATGAACAAAGCCTCCAAGAAATACGGGACTATGTGAAAAGACCAAATCCACACTTGATTGGTGTACCTAAAAGTGATGGGGAGAATGGAACCAAGTTGGAAAAACTCTTCAGGATATTATCCAGGAGAATTTCCCCAACCTAGCAAGGCAGGCCAACATTCAAATTCAGGAAATATAGAGAACACCACAAAGATACTCCTCAAGAAGAGCAACCCCAAGACACATAATTGTCAGATTCACCAAGGTTGAAATTAAGAAAAAAATGTTAAGGGAAGTCAGAGAGAAAGGTCAGGTTACCTACAAAGGGAAGCCCATTAGACTAACAGAGGATCTCTCGGCAGGAACCCTACAAGCCAGAAGAGAGTGGGGACCAATATTCAACATTCTTAAAGAAAAGAATTTTCAACCCTGAATTTTATATCCAGCCATACTAAGCTTCATAAGTGAAGGAGAAATAAAATCCTTAACAGACAAGCAAATGCTGAGAGATTTTGTCACCACCAGGCCTGCCCTAAAAGAGCTCCTGCAGGAAGCACTAAACCTGGAAAGAAACAACCAGTACCAGCCACTGCAAAAAAGCATGCCAAATTGTAAAGACCATCAATGCTAGCAAGAAACTACATCAATTAATGGGAAAAATAACCAGCTAAAATCCTAATGACAAGATCAAATTCACACATCATATTAACCTTAAATCAAATGGGCTAAATGCCGTAGTTAAAAGACACAGACTGGCAAATTGGTTAAAGAGTCAAGACCATCAGTGTGCTGTATTCAGGAGACCCATCTCACGTGCAGAGACACACATAGGCTCAAAATAAAGGGATGGAGGAAGATCTACCAAGCAAATGGAAAACAAAAAAAAGCAGAGGTTGCAATCCTAGTCTCTGATAAAACAGACTTTAAACCAACAAAGATCAAAAGAAACAAAGAAGGCCATTACATAATGGTAAAGGGATCAATTCAACAAGAAGTGCTGAAGGAGGAGGTGGCAAATCACTTATAAATGGTGCTGAAGCAGGACCCGAAGCCTAAATTCCAGGAGGGTGAGCGAGTGCTGTGGTTTCATGGGCCTCTGCTTTATGATGCAAAGTGTGTAAAGGTTGCCATAAAGGACAAAAAGTGAAATACTTTATACATTACAGTGGTTGGAATAAAAATTGGGATGAGTGGGTTCCGGAGAGCAGAGTACTCAAATATGTGGACACCAATTTGCAGAAACAGCGAGAACTTCAAAAAGCCAATCAGGAGCAGTATGCAGAGGGGAAGATGAGATGGGCTGCCCCAGGAAAGAAGACATCTGGTCTGCAACAGAAAAATATTGAAGTGAAAACAAAAAAGAACAAACAGAAAACACCTGGAAATGGAGATGGTGGCAGTACCAGTGAGACTCCCCAGCCTCCTCGAAAGAAAAGGGCCCAGGTAGATCCTACTGTTGAAAATGAGGAAACATTCATGAACAGAGTTGAAGTTAAAGTAAAGATTCCTGAAGAGCTAAAACCATGGCTTGTTGATGACTGGGACTTAATTACCAGGCAAAAACAGCTCTTCTATCTTCCTGCCGAGAAGAATGTGGATTCCATTCTTGAGGACTATGCAAATTACAAGAAATCTCATGGAAACACAGATAATAAGGAGTATGCAGTTAATGAAGTTGTGGCAGGGATAAAAGAATACTTCAACCTAATGTTGGGCACCCAGCTACTCAACAAATTTGAGAGACCACAGTATGCCGAAATTCTTGCAGATTGTCCCGATGCACCCATGTCCCAGGTGTATGGAGTGCCACATCTCCTGAGATTATCTGTACAAATTGGAGCAATGTTGGCCTATACACCTCTGAATGAGAAGAGCCTTGCTTTATTACTCAATTATCTTCACGATTTCCTAAAGTACCTGGCAAAGAATTCTGCAACTTTGTTTAGTGCCAGCGATTATGAAGTGGCTCTTCCTGAGTACCATCGGAAAGCTGTGTGAGAGGCACTCTCACTCACTTATGTCTGGATCTCCATAAACACATTTTTGTTCTTAGTCTATCTCTTGTACAAACGATGTGCTTTGAAGATGTTAGTGTATAACAATTGATGTTTGTTTTCTGTTTGATTTTAAACAGAGAAAATAAAAGGGGTAATAGCTCCTTTTCTCTTTTTTTTTTTTTTTTTTCATTTCAAAGTTGCTGCCAGTGTTTTCAATGATGGACAACACAGGGATATGCTGTAGAGTGTTTTATTGCCTAGTTGACAAAGCTGCTTTTGAATGCTGGTGGTTCTATTCCTTTAACACTATGCATTTTTATAATACGTGTTAATGCTACATGACAAAATGCTCTGATTCCTAGTGCCAAAGGTTCAATTCAGTGTATATAACTGAATACACTCATCCATTTGTGCTCCTTTTTTTTTTTAATGGTGCTTAAAGTAAAGAGCCCATCCTTTGCAAGTCATCCATGTTGTTACTTAGGCATTTTATCTTGGCTCAAATTGTTGAAGAATGGCTTGTTTCACAGTTTTTGTATTTGTGTCTAATGCACGTTTTAACATGATAGATGCAATGCATTGTGTAGCTACTTTTCTGGAAAAGTCAATCTTTTAGGAATTGTTTTTCAGATCTTCATTAAATTTTTTCCTTAAATTTCAAAAAAAAAAAAAACAAGAAGAGCTAACTATCCTAAATATATATGCACCCAATACAGGAGCACCCAGATTCATAAAGCAAGTCCTTAGAGACCTACAAAGAGACTTAGACTCCCACACAATAATAATGGGAGACTTTAACATCCCACTGTCAATATTACACAGATCAATGGGACAGAAGGTTAACAAGGATATCCAGGACTTGAAATCAGCTCTGCACCAAGCAGACCTAATAGACATCTACAGAACTCTCCATCCCAAATCAACAGAATATACATTCTTCTCAGCACCACATCGCACTTATTCTAAAATTGACCACATAATTGGAAGTGATGCACTCCTCACCAAATGTAAAAGAACAGAAATCACAACAAACTGGAAAAACATTCCATGCTCATGGATAGGAATAATCAATATCATGAGAATGGCCATACTGCCCAAGATAATTTGTAGATTCAATGCCATCCCCATCAAGCTACCAATGACTTTCTTCACAGAACTGGAAAAAACAACTTTAAAGTTTATATGGAAGCAAAAAAGAGCCTGCATTGCCAAGACAATACTAAGCAAAAAGTATAAAGCTGGAGTCATCACGTTACCTGATTTCAAACTATACTACAAGCCTACAGTAACCAAAACAGCATGGTACCTGTACCAAAACATATATAGAGACCAATGGAACAGAACAGAGGCCTCAGAAATAACACCACACATCTACAACAATCTGATCTTTGACAAACCTGACAAAAACAAGCAATGGGGAAATGATCCCCTATTTAATAAATGGTGCTGGGAAAACTGGCTAGCCATATGTAGAAAGCTAAAACTCGATCCCTTCCTTACACCTTATACAAAAATTAATTCAAGATGTATTAAAGATGTAAATGTTAGACCTAAAACCATAAAATCCCTAGAAGAAAGCCTAGGCAATACCACTCAGGATATAGGCATAGGCAAGGACTTCGTGACTAAAACACCAAAAGCAATGGCAACAAAAGCCAAAATAGACAAATGGGATCTAATTAAACTGAAGAGCTTCTGCATGGCAAAAGAAATTACCATCAGAGTGAACAGGCAGCCTACAGAATTTGGGAAACTTTGCAATCTGCCCATCTGACAAAGGTCTAATATCCAGAATCCACAAAGAACTTAAACAAATTTACAAGAAAAAAACAAACAACCCCATCAAAAAGTGGACAAAGGATATGAACAGACACTTCTCAAAAGAAGACATTTATGCAGCCAGCAGACACATGAAAAAATGCTCATCATGACTGGTCACCAGAGAAATGCAAATCAAAACCACAATGAGATAGCATTTCACGCCAGTTAGAATGGCGATCATTAAAAAGTCAGGAAACAACACATGCTGGAGAGGATGTGGAGAAATAGGAACATTTTTACACTGTTGATAGGAGTGTAAATTAGTTCAACCATTGTGGAAGACAGTGTTGCGATTCCTCAAGGACCTAGAACCAGAAATACCACTTGACCCAGAAATCCCATTACTGGGTATATACCCAAAGGATTATAAATCATGCTACTATAAAGACACATGCACATATATGTTTATTGCGGCACTACTCACAATAGCAAAGACTTGGAACCAACCCAAATGTCCATCAATGATAGACTGGATTAAGAAAATGTGGCACATATACACCATGGAATACTATGCAGCCATAAAAAAGGGATGAGTTCATGTCCTTTGCAGGGACATGGATGAAGCTGGAAACCGTCATTCTCAGCAAACTATCAGAAGGACCGAAAACCAAAGACCACATATTCTCACTCATAGGTGAGAACTGAACAATAAGAACACTTGGAAACAGGGAGGGGAACATCACACACCAGGGCCTGTCAGGGGGGAGGGGGCTGGAAGAGGGATGGCATTAGGAGAAATACCTAATGTAAATGATAAGTTGATTGGTGCAGCAAACCAACATGACACATGTATACCTATGTATCAAACCTGCATGTTGTGCACATGTACCCTAGAACTTAAAGTATAATTTAAAAAAATGACAAAGGGGATATCACCACTGATCCCACAGAAATACAAACTACCATCAGAGAATACTATAAACACCTCTGCCCAAATAAACTAGATATTCTAGAAGAAATGGATAAAATCCTGGACATATACACCATCTCAAGACTAAACCAGGAAGAAGTCAAATCCCTGAATTGACCAATAACAAGTTCTCAAATTGAGGCAGTAATTAATAGCCTACCAACCGAAAAAAGCCCAGGACCGGATGGATTCACAGCCATATTCCACCACAGATACAAAGAGAAACTGGTAACATTCCTTATGAAACTATTCCAAATAATAGAAAAAGAGGGACTGCTCTCTAACTCATCTTATGAGGCCAGCATCATCCTGATACCAAAACCTGGCAGACACAAAACAAAAAAAGAAAATTTCAGTCTCATATCCCTGATTAACATCGATGCAAAAATTCTCAATAAAATACTGGCAAATGGAATCCAGCAGCACATCAAAAAGTTTACCCACCAGGATCAAGTCTGCTTCATCTCTGGGATGCAAGGCTGGTTCAACATATGCAAATCAATAAACATAATCCATCACATAAACAGAACCAATGACAAAAACCACATGATTATCTCAATACATGCAGAAAAGTCCTTTGATAAAATTCAACACCGCTTCATGCTAATAACTCTCAGTAAACTAGGTATTGATGGAACATATATCAAAATAGTAAGAGCCATTTATGACAAACCCACAGCCAATATCATACTGAATGGGCAAAAGCTGAAAGCATTCCCTCTGAAAACTGGCACAAGACAAACATGCCCTCTCTCACCACTCCTATTCAACATAGCATTGGAAGTTCTGGCCAGGGCAATCAGACAAGAGAAAGAAATAAAGGGTATTCAAATAGGAAGAGAGAAAGTCAAATCGTCATTGTTTGCAGATGACATGATTGTATATTTAGAAAACCCCATCGTATCAACCCCAAATCTCCTTAAGCTGATAAGCAACTTCAGCAAAGTCTCAGGATATAAAATCAATGTGCAAAATCACAAGCATTCCTATACAGCAATAATAGAGAGCCAAATCATGAGTGAACGCCCATTCACAATTGCTACAAAGAGAATAAAATACCTAGGAATACAACTTACAAGGGATGTGAAGGACCTCTTCAAGGAGAATTACAAACCACTTCTCAAGGAAATAAGAGCTGACATGAACAAATGGAAAAACATTCCATGCTCATGTATAGGAAGAATCAATATTGTGAAAATGGCCATATTGACCAAAGTAACTTATAGATTTAATGCTAATCTCCATCCAAGCTACCACTGACTTTCTTCACAGAATTAGAAAAAAAAACTACTTTAAATTTCATATGGAACCAAAAAAGAGCCCATATAGACAAGACAATCCTAAGCAAAAAGAATAAAGCTGAAGGAATCACACTAACTGACTTCAAACTATACAACAAGGCTACAGTAACCAAAACAGCATGGTACTGGTACCAAAACAGAGATATAGACCAATGGAACAGAACAGAGGCCTCAGACATAATACCACACATCTACAACCATCTGATCTTTGACAAACCTGACACACACAAGCAATGGGGAAAGGATTTCCTATTTAATAAATGGTGCTGGGAAAACTGGCTAGCCATATGCAGAAAACTGAAACTGGACCCGTTCCTTACACCTTATACAAAAATTAACTCAAGATGGATTAAAGATTTAAACATAAGACCTAAAACCATACAAACCCTAGAAGAAAACATAGGCTATACCATTCAGGACATAGGCATGGGCAAAGACTTCATGATTAAAACACCAAAAGCAACGACAACAAAAGCCAAAATAGACAAATGAGAGCTCATTAAACTAAAGAGCTTCTGCAGAGCAAAAGAAACTATCATCAGAGAGAACAGACAACCTACAGAATGGGAGAAAATTTTTGCAATCTTTCTATCTGACAAAGGGCTAATATCCAGAATCTACAAAGAACTTAAACAAATTTACAGGAAAAAAACAACCCCATCAAAAAGTGGACAAAGGATATGAACAGACACTTCTCAAAAGAAGACATTTATGCGGCCAACAAATATATGAAAAAAAGTTCATCATCACTGGTCATTAGAGAAATGCAAATCAAAACCACAATGAGATACCATCTTATGCCAGTTAGAATACAATCATTAAAAAGTCAGGAAACAACAGATGCTGGAGAGGATGCAGAGAAATAGGAACACTTTTACACTGTTGGTGGGACTGTAAATTAGTTCCACCATAGTGGAAGACAGTGTGGCGATTCCTCAAGGATCTAGAACCACAAATACCATTTGACCCAGAAATCACATTATTGGGTATATACCCAAAGGATTATAAATCATGCTACTATAAAGACTCATGCACATGTATGTTTATTGCAGCACTGTTCACAATAGCAAAGACTTGGAACCAACCCAAATGTCCATCAATGATGGACTGGATAAAGAAAATGTGGCACGTATACACCATGGAATACTATGCAGCCATAAAAAGGATGAGTTCAAGTCCTTTGCAGGGACATGGATGAAGCTGGAAACCATCATTCTCAGCAAACTAACACAGAAACAGAAAACTAAAGACCGCATGTTCTCACTCATAAGCGGGAGTTGAACAATGAGAACACATGGATACAGGGAGGGGAACATCACACACCAGGGCCTGTCAGGGGGTGGGGGGCAAGAGGAGGGATAGCATTAAGAGAAATACCTAATGTAGATGATGGTTGTTGGTGCAGCAAACCACCATACTATTATAAACAAAGTGAAAAGGCAAAAGATAAATTGAGCTAAAATATTTTCAATTCATATCACAAGCAAAGGCACCCAACTGAGAGTTGGGAGAAGCAGGACAGGATGACTAGGAATTTGGGGGACTCGGAATTTTTCCATATGTGAAATGGTTAAAGGGATTATAGATGTTTGGCTTCAACAAAATAAAATAAAATCTCAGGAATTAAATTTTTTGCCTTTCTCAAAGCCATCACAAAGAAAAAAAATAGCATTTCTTTCTTCAAGGAACCAGTATTAATAGGTAGATCTTACAGGGAAAGGTCTAATGTTTAAAATTAGCTCGATTTTTTAAAAAATCTTTTACCCCTCAGAGACCAAAGGTGGCACATGCTGCCACTGAAAGTGGAGAGGTCCAAAGCCCACAGATAGTGACTTCCTAACTTGGGTACTTAAGGGTGTATAGGACAAATGATACCTTGCAAGCAAGTATCCAATAGCTCACAAGTGACTCCGAAGGGAAGTTTTTGGTTTTTGTTTTCCCTGATGTAGCCCAGGAATATGACAGACTATATATTTTTTAGAAAACAATTTCATTCATGAATTCCACAACCAGTCCCTTCCCTAACTGACAGGGACCAGGAATACTATGACAGTCAATCCCCAGGAACCAGGAATACAGCCTCCTGTCAAAACTGAGATAACATTTACTGGGGAGCAACATCCCAAGAGTTTACATTTCAGATGGAAAGGAGCAGGTAGATAATTCAGCAACAGAAATACACATGAATATTCAGGGTGGCATTTGAATAAAAATGGTCCAGTTCCTTTGGCTGAAGGTACTGGGTAATAGAAGAGAAATCTTTCTTAAAGAAAAATGGAAAGGTCAAACAGCAGAAACACGGTGAGGTGGTTTTTCAGATGAATTTCTAAGGCTATGCCCAGCCATAGGATTCTATTACCTCATGATAATCTTCTATAAATTTACAAGAAAACTACCTAATTTTGCTTGTGCTTTCTGGTTTAAAAAACACTTTTGCATACATCATTCCACAATATGCATTTCACAATAGCCTTGTGAGAAAATCCAGGCAAGGGTTACCATCTCCATTTTACAAAGAAAGCTCAGAAAGAATCCCATAGCTAACATGGAATGGTGTCTGACCCCCAACCCAGGTCTCCTGATTCCAATTCAAAGGTACTTGAAGTTTTTCAATGATTCTCAACATTCTCTTGCTAGATGTCAACCCATGGCAAAATTGTCATTCAAATAAGAAAAAGAGACCACGAAATTACCTCTGCAAAAGTTAAACTGGATCCGGGAGCCAAGATGGCTGAATAGGAACAGCTCTGGTCTACAGCTCCCAGCATGAGCCACGCAGAAGATGGGTGATTTCTGCATTTCCATCTGAGGTACCGGGTTCATCTCACTAGGGAGTGCCAGACAGTGGGTGCAGGGCACCGTGCGCCAGCCGAAGCAGGGCGAGGCATTGCCTCACTTGGGAAGCGTAAGGGGTCAGGGAGTTCCCTTTCCTGGTCAAGGAAAGGAGGGCACCTGGAAAATCGGGCCACTCCCACCCAAATACTGCGCTTTTCCGACGGGCTTAGGAAACGGTGCACCAGGAGATTATTTCCCACACCTGGCTCGGAGGGTCCTACGCCCAGGGAGTCTCGCTGATTGCTAGCACAGCAGTCTGAGATCAAACTGCAAGGCAGTAATGAGGCTGGGGGAGGGGCGGCCGCCATTGCCCAGGCTCGCTTAGGTAAACAAAGCAGCGGGGAAGCTCGAACTGGGTGGAGCCCACCACAGCTCAAGGAAGCCTGCTTGCCTCTGTAGGCTCCACCTCTGGGGGCAGGGCACAGACAAACAAAAAGACAGCAGTAACCTCTGCAGACTTAAACGTCCCTGTCTGACAGCTTTGAGGAAAGCAGTGGTTCTCCCAGCACGCAGCTGGAGATCTGAGAACGGGCAGACTGCCTCCTCAAGTGGGTCCCTGACCACTGACCCCGAGCAGCCTAACTGGGAGGCACCCCCCAGTAGGGGCAGACTGACACCTCACACGGCCGGGTACTCCTCTGAGACAAAACTTCTAGAGGAAAGATCAGACAGCAGCATTCGTGGATCATGAAAATCCGCGGTTGTACAGACACCCCTGCTGATACCCAGGAAAACAGGGTCTGGAGTGGACCTCTAGCAAACTCCAACAGACCTGCAGCTGAGGGTCCTGTCTGTTAGAAGGAAAACTAACAAACAGAAAGGACATCCACACCAAAAACCCATCTGTACATCACCATCATCAAAGACCAAAAGTAGATAAAACCACAAAGATGGGGAAAAAATAGAGCAGAAAAACTGGAAACTCTAAAAAGCAGAGCGCCTCTCCTCCTCCAAAGGAACAGAGCTCCTCACCAGCAACGGAACAAAGCTGGACGGAGAATGACTTTGACGAGTTGAGAGAAGAAGGCTTCAGACGATCAAACTACTCCGAGCTACAGGAGGAAATTCAAACCAAAGGCAAAGAAGTAGAAAACTTTGAAAAAAATTTAGACGAATGTATAACTAGAATAACCAATACAGAGAAGTGCTTAAGGGAGCTGATGGAGCTGAAAGCCAAGGCTCGAGAACTACATGAAGAATGCAGAAGCCTCAGGAGCCGATGCAATCAACTGGAAGAAAGGGTATCAGTGATGGAAGATCAAATGAATGAAATGAAGTGAGAAGGGAAGTTTAGAGAAAAAAGAATAAAAAGAAACGAACAAAGCCTCCAAGAAATATGGGACTATGTGAAAAGACCAAATCTGTGTCTGATTGATGTACCTGAAAGTGACGGGGAGAATGGAACCAAGTTGGAAAACACTCTGCAGGATATTATCCAGGAGAACTTCCCCAATCTAGCAAGGCAAGCCAACATTCAGATTCAGGAAATACAGAGAATGCCACAAAGATACTCCTCGAGAAGAGCAACTCCAAGACACATAATTGTCAGATTCACCAAAGTTGAAATGAGGGAAAAAATGTTAAGGGCAGCCAGAGAGAAAGGTCGGATTACCCACAAAGGGAAGCCCATCAGACTAACAACTGATCTCTCTGCAGAAACTCTACAAGCCAGAAGAGAGTGGGGGCCAATATTCAACATTCTTAAAGAAAAGAATTTTCAACCCAGAATTTCATATCCAGCCAAACTAAGCTTCATAAGTGAAGGAGAAATAAAATACTTTACTGACAAGCAAATGCTGAGAGATTTTGTCACTACCAGGCCTGCCCTAAAAGAGCTCCTGAAGGAAGCACTAAACATGGAAAGGCACAACCGGTACCAGCTGCTGCAAAATCATGCCAAAATGTAAAGACCATCGAGGCTAGGAAGAAACTGCATCAACTAACAAGCA
This sequence comes from Homo sapiens, assembly GCF_000001405.40. NCBI lineage: Eukaryota > Metazoa > Chordata > Mammalia > Primates > Hominidae > Homo > Homo sapiens. The sequence continues at coordinate 173,607,120 of NC_000004.12, read as the reverse complement.
AAATAACCAGCTAACATCATAATGACAGGATCAAATTCACACATAACAATATTAACTCCAAATGTAAATGGACTAAATGCTCCAATTAGAAGACACAGACTGGCAAATTGGATGAAGAGTCAAGACCCATCAGTGTGCTGGATTCAGGAAACCCATCTCACGTGCAGAGACACACATAAGCTCAAAATAAACAGATGGAGGAAGATCTACCAAGCAAATGGAAAACAAAAAAAGGCAGGGGTTGTAATCCTAGTCTCTGATAAAACAGACTTTAAACCAACAAAGATCAAAAGAGACAAAGAAGGCCATTACATAATGGTAAAGGGATCAATTCAACAAGAAGAGCTAACTATCCTAAATATATATGCACCCAATACAGGAGCACCCAGATTCATAAAGCAAGTCCTGAGGGACCTATAAAGAGACTTAGACTCCCACACAATAATAATGGGAGACTTTAACACCTCACTGTCAACATTAGACAGATCAACGAGACGGAAAGTTAACAAGGATACCCAGGAATTGAACTCAGCTCTGCACCAAGCAGACCTAATAGACATCTACAGAACTCTCCACCCCAAATCAACAGAATATACATTTTTTTCAGCACCGCACCACACCTATTCCAAAATTGACCACATAGCTGGAAGTAAAGCTATCCTCAGCAAATGTAAAAGAACAGAAATTATAACAAACTGTCTCTCAGACCACAGTGCAATCAAACTAGAACTCAGGATTAAGAAACTCACTCAAAACTGCTCAACTACATGGAAACTGAACAACGTGCTCCTGAGTGACTACTGGGTACATAACGAAATGAAGGCAGAAATAAAGATATTCTTTGAAACCAATGAGAACAGAGACACAACATACCAGAATCTCTGGGACGCATTCAAAGCAGTGTGTAGAGGGAAATTTATAGCACTAAATGCCCACAAGAGAAAGCAGGAAAGATCCAAAATTGACACCCTAACATCACAATTAAAAGAACTAGAAAAGCAAGAGCAAACACATTCAAAAGCTAGCAGAAGGCAAGAAATAACTAAAATCAGAGCAGAACTGAAGGAAATAGAGACACAAAAAACCCTTCAAAAAATTAATGAATCCAGGAGCTGATTTTTTAAAAGGATCAACAAAATTGATAGACCGCTAGCAAGACTAATAAAGAAAAAAAGAAGAATCAAATAGACGCAATAAAAGATGATAAAGGGGTTATCACCACTGATCCCACAGAAATACAAACTACCATCAGAGAATACTACAAACACCTCTATGCAAATAAACTAGAAAATCTAGAAGAAATGGATAAATTCCTCGACACATACACTCTCCCAAGACTAAACCAGGAAGAAGTTGAATCTCTGAATAGACCAATAACAGGCTCTGAAATTGTGGCAATAATCAATAGCTTACCAACCAAAAAGAGTCCAGGACCAGATGGATTCACAGCCGAATTCTGCCAGAGGTACAAGGAGGAACTGATACCATTCCTTCTGAAATTACTCCAATCAATAGAAAAAGAGAGAATCCTCCCTAACTCATTTTATGAGGCCAGCATCATCCTGATACCAAAGCCGGGCAGAGACACAACCAAAAAAGAGAATTTTAGACCAATATCCTTGATGAACATTGATGCAAAAATCCTCAATAAAATACTGGCAAACCGAATCCAGCAGCACATCAAAAAGCTTATCCACCATCATCAAGTGGGCTTCATCCCTGGGATGCAAGGCCGGTTCAATATACGCAAATCAATAAATGTAATCCAGCATATAAACAGAACCAAAGACAAAAACCACATGATTATCTCAATACATGCAGAAAAGGCCTTTGACAAAATTCAACAATGCTTCATGCTAAAAACTCTCAATAAATTAGATATTGATGGGACGTATCTCAAAATAATAAGAGCTATCTATGACAAACCCACAGCCAATATCATACTGAATGGGCAAAAACTGGAAGCATTCCCTTTGAAAACGGGCACAAGACAGGGATGCCCTCTCTCACCACTCCTATTCAACATAGTGTTGGAAGTTCTGGCCAGGTCAATTAGGCAGGAGAAGGAAATAAAGGGTATTCAATTAGGAAAAGAGGAAGTCAAATTGTCCCTGTTTGCAGACGACATGATTGTATAACTAGAAAACCCCCATTGTCTCAGCCCAAAATCTCCTTAAGCTGATAAGCAACTTCAGCAAAGTATCAGGATACAAAATCAATGTACAAAAATCAAAAGCATTCTTATACACCAATAACAGACAAACAGAGAGCCAAATCATGAGTGAACTCCCATTCACAATTGCTTCAAAGAGAATAAAATACTTAGGAATCCAGCTTACAAGGGATGTGAAGGAACTCTTCAAGGAGAACTACAAACCACTGCTCAATGAAATAAAAGAGGATACAAACAAATGGAAGAACATTCCATGCTCATGGGTAGGAAGAATCAATATCGTGAAAATGGCCATACTGCCCAAGGTAATTTATAGATTCAATGCCATCCCCATCAAGCTACCAATGACTTTCTTCACAGAATTAGAAAAAACTACTTTAAAGTTCATATGGAACCAAAAAAGAGCCCACATCGCCAAGTCAATCCTAAGCCAAAAGAACAAAGCTGGAGGCATCATGATACCTGACTTCAAACTCTACTACAAGGCTACAGTAACCGAAACAGCATGGTACTGGTACCAAAACAGAGATCTAGATCAATGGAGCAGAACAGAGCCCTCAGAAATAACGCCGCATATCTACAACTATCTGATCTTTGACAAACCTGAGAAAAACAAGAAATGGGGAAAGGATTCCCTATTTAATAAATGGTGCTGGGAAAACCGGCTAGCCATATGCAGAAAGCTGAAACTTGATCCCTTCCTTACACCTTATACAAAAATCAATTCAAGATGGATTAAAGACTTAAACGTTAGACCTAAAACCATAAACACCCTAGCAGAAAACCTAGGCATTACCATTCAGGACATAGGCACGGGCAAGGACTTCATGTCTAAAACACCAAAAGCGATGGCAACAAAAGCCAAAATTGACAAATGGGATCTAATTAAACTAAAGAGCTTCTGCACAGCAAAAGAAACTACCATCAGAGTGAACAGGCAACCTACAAAATGGGAGATAATTTTCGCAACCTACTCATCTGACAAAGGGCTAATATCCAGAATCTACAATGAACTCAAACAAATTTACAAGAAAAAAACAACCCCATCAAAAAGTGGACAAAGGATATGAACAGACACTTCTCAAAAGAAGACATTTATGCAGCCAAAGACACATGAAAAAATGCTCATCATCACTGGCCATCAGAGAAATGCAAATCAAAACCACAGTGAGATACCATCTCACACCAGTTAGAATGGCGATCATTAAAAAGTCAGGAAACAACAAGTGCTGGAGAGGATGTGGAGAAATAGGAACACTTTTACACTGTTGGTGGGACTGTAAACTAGTTCAACCATTGTGGAAGTCAGTGTGGCGATTCCTCAGGGATCTAGAACTAGAAATACCATTTGACCCAGCCATCCCATTACTGGGTGTATACCCAAAGGATTATAAATCATGCTGCTATAAAGACACATGCACATGTATGTTTATTGCGGCACTATTCACAATAGCAAAGACTTGGAACCAACCCAAATGTCCAACAACGATAGACTGGATTAAGAAAATGTGGCACATATACACCATGGAATACTATGCAGCCATAAAAAATGATGAGTTCATGTCCTTCGTAGGGACATGGATGAAATTGGAAATCATCATTCTCTGCAAACTATCTCAAGGACAAAAAACCAAGCACCGCATGTTCTCACTCATAGATGGGAATTGAACAATGAGAACACATGGACACAGGAAGGGGAACATCACACTCTGGAGACTGTTGTGGGGTGGGGGAAGGGGGGAGGGATAGCATTAGGAGATATACCTAATGCTAAATGATGAGTTAATGGGTGCAGCACACCAGCATGGCACAAGTGTACATATGTAACTAACCTGCACATTGTGCACATGTACCCTAAAACTTTAAGTATAATAATAAAAGAAAAGTTAAATTGACTCCATTTAAAGCGCTGTTTTTCGTTCATTGATTATAACTGTCTTAATACTGGTATTAAAAGGTACTGCCATTTATTAAGTGATAAAAGTAGTTTCTTTCATGTCTATAATTGGCAAAATTGAAAGCTGACCATCAACTAGGTTCTCCTCCCCACAAATTCCTGGAGATATTTCTGCTTATTTTATCAAAATTCTGGAAACCACCTGAAGGAGAGATAGAGATAAGGTAGAGTTCATGAGACTGGCCACAAAATTTGGGACAGTGTTTGTATTCAGTAAATATAACTGTAGATGGCTGTTCTAGCCCTGGAGAAGTGCAAACCACTCCAGAAGCTATCAGGCAAAAGTCTAAACATGACCTCACATACACATCCCTGCCCCACCCAGTGGTTTTGGGGAGACAATTCCCTAAAGCCAGAAAATATCTGAAATCTGCATCCACTGAAACTTCCTCGGTGAATGCCCAAAGTGTCCTGAACTTGATTTGGGAACCATCTAGAGTCAAAAACAACATAATTGTGTGAGAACAAGCCACACAGCAGACATTAACATTAAAAGTTAATTGTTATTTACACACAAGACAGTGTTTCTGACTGGAATTCATGCACCCTGAGTACATTTAAACATTTTAAAAGTAATGACGCCAAAGTGAGCCATCATGCGCTATCATAGCCATGTGTGGTTTATTTATAAAGCAGAGCTCACTTATAATTCAGCTTTTATCCAGTTTTAATTTTCTTGAGGTATAATCTGGCAATGTGTGAAACCACTTGATTTGTCTATTTTCTTTCTAATTTCAAGCCACAAATCTCTGGAGATGCACTACATTTATTTTCCCCACTGTACCTACAAAACAAACGGACCAGAGCACAAGTTATTTTAACAGTGTGGATTACAAAATGGTTAAGTCAATCACCACAATGAGAGGTGATCGTGAAGACGGCTGAAATAAGGAGATCAACTTGCCCTCCACATATGGGCACTGTGAGACTTAAACTGCAGCCGTAGTTAAACCCTGCAGCTCTGAGTGGACTGAAACCAGAGCCCTACCTCCGCACTCCATTCACAAAACTGAACTCATGGTAATTAATTAATGATTAGTCCATTTCAGCTTAATATACGAACATAAGCTTTTGCTGAGTGATGTAATATTTCAAAAGTGAGACTGTGCTATGGAATTTATTGGACTTCCTGAAATCACCAGTGTAATTGTTTTTGCTGTTCACATATTAGGCACAGTCTCAGGAGGAAAAGCTGATTCTTCTCATATAATACTCTTTCCCCAAAGTTTGGAAGTCTGTCATCTTTCTCAATATACTCACTTCGTTAAATAGTTTACGGCTTGCAAGAGGGTCACAAAGTCTGAGTAACAAAATGACTGTCCCGACAGATTTAGACAATAAAACACCAGATTGTTATATAAATGTTTTTCTCAGAGGCTGTTTCTGAAACACATACTAAATGCAAATATTGAAACACCTGCATGCCAAGCACAACTCTTTTAACAGATGTTAATCCCTCTGCATTTAACCAATGGATTTAGATCACATAAATATAACTTACCCCCTTTAGACTATCTTGGAAAATTACCAATTAACTTATTTCAGTTTGACAAAGAAATCATCACTCCCTACATTATAATTTTATTTTATATTAAAAATGGGGAGACCTAAAAAGCATGCAAAAAATATGAAAAGCCAACCTGAAACTCAGGCAAAGCCTTATATCAGAAGGAATTATGTAAATTGTCTACTTTCAGCATGAAAAATATACAAAGATTGATGTTTACAAAGTTGTTTCTTTTTTTTTTTTCTCCTTGGTTCTGAAGGCTAAAAGGTTTGATTTAATCCATCACTAACTAGGACAACCATCTAGAAAGCAGTCATCTTTTTTTCCTCCATTTCTGAAGCCTGGTGGGTACCCTTGCTTATAGTTAAAACCTACATCAACATCTATTTCCTACTTGGGATGCCTGTAAGAGATCTTTTTAATTCTTCTTCAGTCTTCCAGCCATCAATCGTCCTTATGAGTCAATTGCTTAATAATAATAGATGTTATCATTTTGGTGCCAGACCCTGCAATGGGTATGTGATATACATTATCCCATTTAATTCTCAAATATCTCAAGAAGTGGGTTTCATTTTCCACATTTACTGATAACTCAGCAAGCCCACACAATTTAACCTGACACACATACTGGATAAGTGGTACAGTCCAGATTTTAACACATTCCAAAGCCTATACTTTCCTCTTGGCCATAATGCCACTCACACATCTAACTATAAATTAATGTTTTATAGAGGAGCCTTCCATTTCCATTTTTAAACATATTTTATTCTTTTTTTTTTTTTTTTTTTTTTTTTTTTGAGCCGGAGTCTCGCTCTGTCGCCCAGGCTGGAGTGCAGTGGCGCGATCTCGGCTCACTGCAAGCTCCGCCTCCTGGGTTCACGCCATTCTCCTGCCTCAGCCTCCCGAGTAGCTGGGACTACAGGCGCCCGCCACTGCGCCCGGCTAATTTTTTGTATTTTTAGTACAGACGGGGTTTCACCGTGTTAGCCAGGATGGTCTCGATCTCCTGACCTCGTGATCCGCCCGCCTCGGCCTCCCAACGTGCTGGGATTACAGGCGTGAGCCACCGCGCCCGGCCTCTTTCTTTTTTAAGAAAAATGGAAGGAAAAAAATATTTGTGAGGATTGCCAAGATACTTCAAAGCCACATGCTGGTCTCATTCTCTCATGTCAGAGTCAGACTTGCATGGCTGGCACAGTGCAGATAGTTCTTTTCCTGTAAATATGGATTTGTTGCTGGATGAATTCATATCTACATGTATGATAGTGTCCCAGAATTTCATCCTCCACCTTGTTGAGACTTTTCTTCCACACATTTGCATGATCCCATTTGTCCAAGAAGCTTCTGGATAAGAAAAGAGTCAGCCTTGCCTCATGAGAGTCCCTTCCCTCCCCTATATTTAATCAGAGATAAATCAACACAAGTCACCAACACACTGAGATTAAACTCCAGTAAAGTCAAGCCAGGAGTTAGCTGTGGAATCCTGTCATGCTATAACTATGAAGTCATAGACCTTCAGATTCTTAGTCTGGGAATTCCATTTTTTGGTCGCTATAGCATGACAAATAGGAAACTATGGCCAGTTTTCATTTTGTTACCATGGATAACCTTTCCAATTGTTGCCTTTTCTCATACCCTCATATATATTCTCTATATAGCATCTACAGTATTGAATATTACTGTGGATACAAAATACAAATTTTTCATTTTGTTGCCATGGACAACTTTTCCAAATGTTGCCTTTTCTCACATCCTCATATATATTCTCTACATACCATCTACAGTATTGAGTATTGTAGTGGATGCAAAATAGCTCTAAAAGTGGTTTCTGCCCTCACAGATCTTAGATCCTCCTTGAAAATATAATACGTGAAACCATAAGACACAGGGAGGTGTAAATTAGATGATTAATATAAAATATTGGTATAGGCTATAATACAATGAAAAGTCAATGAGAGAGAAGGTTTCTCTAAAACATAGGCACCAAGAAGGCTGAAAGGAGGTGGTTCTTAAAGTGTTGATTTTCCGGAATGAATAGCATTTCAGTAGATAAAAGTAGTGAGGGTATTGTTAGGAGACAGTTCTCCATAGGTGTCTTACATTTTTACATTACTTTTTTTTTCTTTTTCCTTTCTTTTTTATTTCTGATGAGCAATCAAACTGGGCATTTCTAAATTTCTTGCAAGCAGAGGAGTGAACTGTCACTGTTCCAAACTATCTTTTCAGGGATGTTTGTATAGCTAACCACCTTGGAAGGTAGAAAGAATATCTCTCTCTGGGGCAATGGAGCAGACATGCTAACTGCCCATTATAAAACACTTAGTTTCCGTAAGCTCAGAGTTCCTCTCCGGCAATGCAACCCACGGGGTGTACAGGTGTCACCTGGCCCACTTTATGTCACCCTGTTGGGTGGTCACACTGTTGGAACTGGAGCTTGGGGCAGTGACATAAATGCTAATACACCAGCTACTGCTATTGCTTGGGGTCATGAAACCATGGCAGGCTAACTTGTTAGCTAGCAAGTAAGGTAATATATCAGACCCTTCACAGTTCCTAACAGGCATATTTAAGACAAAGGTCACAGACTAAATAAAAGCCTAGAAACAGGAATATACTGGGGCAAATGCAAAGAAAGATACTATATCTCCAGGTAGTTTTAAATAACATCACTGGATTTGGTCCTTATAATTGAACTAAGAATATGACCGGCCAGATTTGCCAAGTGAATTAATTATACTCCATATTTAAATGACCTACATTGTAAAAAGAATTTTTTTTTCTTTCCAGTGCCTTTTAAGGTAGAGAAATAATACATTTAGTTATGTTACCTGTGGCAGGACAGAATAAATCCATTCACTTCCCTAAAAATTACTGACACATCGAGGTGGGACTTACAAAAGCCCTAACCCATTGTCCTAGCTGGTTCAGGCTGCTACAAAAAGTGACATAAACTGGGTGGTTTATAAACAATGGAGGCCAGGCGAGGTGGCTCAAGCCTGTAATCCCAGCACTTTGGGAGGCCAAGGTGGGTGGATCTCTTGAGACCAGGAGTTCCAGACCAGCCTGGCCAACATGGTGAAACTCTGTCTCTACAAAAATACAAATATTAGCCGGGCATGGTGGCACATGTCTGTAATCCCAGCCACTCGGGAGGCTGAGGCATGAGACTCACTTGAACCCAGGAGATTGCAGTGAGCCGAGATCATGCCACTGCAGTCCAGCCTGAGTGACAGAGCGAGACTCTGTCTCAAATAAATAAATAAATACATAACAGAAACGTATTTCTCACAGTTCTGGAGACTAGAAGATCAGGGTGCCAGCACAGTCAGCTTCCGAAAAGAGCGAGAGCTCTCTGGGGTCCCTTTGATTAAGGGCACTAATCCCATTCCTGAAGGCTCCACTCTCATGACCTAACTACTGCCACAGTCTCCACCTTCTAATACCATCATATTAGGGGTTAGGATTTCAACATATGAATTTGGAAGAACACAAACATTCAATCCGTAACACCCATTTTGAGTCTTAGTGATCAACATAATGCACTGAAATCTTTGCGTAGTTTATTTTCAATGAATTAAATTTAGGCTTCACCAATCATGTTTCCCATTCCACCTCAGTCACCAGGAAGTTTAGAGCCAACTGAACTCAGCTTTACTCCCATTGGTCTGAATAGTTCTAATTCTCCCTAGATTCGACCCTCACATTACATTTGCGCTGGCCCTGACTTTCTATTCATGCATACCTTTTAACTTATTTTACATATGGATATGTAAAATACCTTTTCTGGAATGAAGAGAGTATTAATTAGTCAATAGTAGATCATTGATCATTTACATAATTAAGTTTTGATGAATCTATCAACTGTTTACCCAAAATCTCACCTCGTTTTCTCAATCCTAAGGGTAGAACTAAAAATTCCAGCCAGATGTGCATTTAGCAGACAATGTGGCTACACTCTTCAACCTCTACATGCTGCGTAATGACTTTCTGCTCAGGCAACAGTCCAGGAGCTGGGAGATGGAGAAAGGAAGTCAGAGTAAAACAACTTAGGTTTTTTTCCAAAGAGTCACAAGGATTCTCGTGATCATGGAGGGGAAGGGTGCTATCCAGATTGTGTCTAAACACTATACTGATTGGCTCTACATAAAAGTGTACAAATAATGTGCTTGTATATCACCTTGACATATTTAGGCTGATGGCATTATATCAGCAACGTGTGTTTCTGCTACATTGCACTTTTCACCCCCAAGTCTCTTTACAAGCATTATGTAAAATTATTGACACAAGTACCACATGGTTCAATTAAATTGAAATCATTCAGGGCAGTGACCGGTGCCTGGACAATCAGACAATCGAAAGATGCTTTCCAAAAGTTGTTCTTCCAATTGAAGTATATGAAATCTGTAAAATAACAATAATTATTTCCACACCATAAATCAAGATAAAATATTTATTGCCAGAAATTTCCAGTAGAATGAACACCTTCCAGATCTAAGTCATCTCAACATAATACAGCTGTCTGAAACAACACTGGAATTTCTGTGTTTTTCTTTCTTTTTTTTTTTTTTTGTTTGAAATCGAGTCTCGCTCTGTCCCCCAGGCTGGAGTGCAGTGGCAATGCAATCACCATCTCAGCTCACTGTAACCTCCGCGTCCAGGGTTCAAGCGATTCTCCTGTCTCAAGTTCCCAAATAGCTGGGATTACAGGCGTGCACAACCACGCCCAGCTAATTTTTGTATTTTTAGTAGAGATGACGTTTCACATGTTGGCCAGGCTGGTCTCGAACTCCTGACCTCAGGTGATCCGCCTGCCTCAGCCTCCCGAAGTTCTGGGATTACAGGCGTGCGCTGCCGCGCCCAGCCTGTTTGGCTTTTCTTTAATAAGAAAACACATTTCAAATCGTGAATAATAGGTAAGATTTATATTATATTTAAGAAATCAAGGAAAAAGATAAATAAGAAAAGGATTACTGTAATGCCTTGAAAAAATAGTTTTTACTTTTACTTGTAGGGATCTTCTGTAAAATGCAACTAAGTACATGAGAGATGCAAAAGTAAGGGAGGCAGGGTTGAAAAGTGCAAGACATAATGAGAATAGGAGACAACATTGTTTTTAGCACTGTTTTAAGATTGTGCAAAACATGAAAACAGATGAAAAGAAAGGATTCATTTAAGTATTCCCCGCACCCCATTTTCCATAAGCTAAGATTACTATTATCTAGAGTAGCAGTACGCTGCAGAGGTTAAGAGCTGGACTTTAGGAGCAAACGAATTGTCTAATGAATCAAAACTTGACTCTATCACTTCCTTTCTCCGTGTTCTTCGGAAATTACTTGGCCTCTCTAAGCCTGAGTTTCCTCATCAGGATAGAAAGGTTGTTATGAAGAACAAATGAGATAACACCAGGATAGCACATAGAACAATAGCTGGCACATATATGATTCTGTAAATTCAAATTTTACATTTTGATTTAATGATAGATTTTACTGCAACAATGAAGTACCAGATGCATTCTCTATTTGTGACTTGATGGTTTCCATTCAAGCCTGTTCTGTGGGCAGAGGTCTACTCTGTTTTCTAAAGTGCTGAAGTAGATCTGTTTGCAGTATGTTTACAGAGACATCTAAATTTTTCAGATCAGTAGAGTTGCATTTAATATTAAAAAATGTCACATATCCCTGTATCTTCCAATAAATATATCCAAAGCCTTCATTTGACACTTTGTGTTATACTGAAATGACAAATATTCTCAGTATAGCCTTCCTAGAGATTATCAAATTCAGGTAACACATTCTGAAAGCTTCTCAGATGTTGAATAGTACTTAATTTTGATTACTTATCACACATCTCAATAGGCATTTCAATATAGTTTATCTTGATGTTCCAAAAATATGACATAACATTAAATCTATAGATACTCTCTGTATTTTAAGAAAATCTAAGAAGCAAGTTGTTTCTATAGAAGCTGATGCAGTAACCAAATTAACTATAGCAGAGGTCCTCAAACCCCAGGCCTCCATCTGGTACTGGTCCATGGCCTTTTAGGAACTGGGCTGCACAGCAGGAGGTGAGCGCTGGTCAAGGGAGCATTACTGCCTGAGCTCCACCTCCTGTCAGGTCAGCAGTGGCTTTAGATTTTCATAGTAGCACGAACCCTATTGTGAACTGCACATGCAAAGGATCAGGTTGCTCACTCTTACTAGATGGAGCAGTTTCATCCCGAAATCATTGCCCCCCACCATCCGTGGTGCCCGAAATGTTGGGGACCGCCAAACTGTAGCATTATTGCTACCCAACTTTCTCATTGTGACATAGTTTTATACATTTTTATATTTTTAAATATATATTTTTGGCCGGGCCCGGTGGCTCACGCCTGTAATCCCAGCACTTTGGGAGGCCGAGGCGGGCAGATCACGAGATCAGGAGATCGAGACCGTCCTGGCTAACATGGTGAAACCCTGTCTCTACTAAAAATACAAAAAATTAGCTGGGCATGGTGGCGGGCGCCTGTAGTCCCAGCTACAGGAGGATGAGGCAGGAGAATGGCGTGAACCCGTGAGGCGGAGCTTGCAGTGAGCCAAGGTCGCGCCACTGCACTCCAGCCTGGGCGACAGAGCGAGACTCTGTCTCAAAAAAAATAAAAATAAAAATAAAAAATAAATAAATAAATTTTTTTAAATGTATTTAAAGATACATGATTTTATCCAAACTAATCACTGTAACAGGGCTCACTTGCAAAAAATTTTAATCATATATTAAAAGATACACATTTAAAACAGGTAAATCAGTGTGTAATTTGTGTTATAAAATGCAGTATTGCTTATGGAGTAGCACTTGATCTAAAAAGCTGTAAAATAATTGCAAATTAGTGGCAGAAGTCACTGTTACTTGGAAATGAATCCGAAACTAAAATGAAACAGTTCTGAATTATAATATGTCAACGAGGATAGTTTTATTTACAAATAATGTAACAGATCTCAGCAATTGTACAAATCGAGAAAATATGTAACTACAAATTAATTAAGAACTAAGTAGCCATCCTCTGGATTATTTATCAAACACTTTTATTTTAGCCTCCTCCATGTGGCCACATGCCTTTCCACTGGCCTTCCCAACTAGTATTGGTTATAGTCAAATGTCAGGGATCCACAATTGTTTTTATACAGGACCAGGCAGCAATTATGTTAGGCTTTGAAAGTCATATCTCTGTTGCAACTACTCAATTCAGCTGTTTTAGCATGAAAGTGAGCATAGGCTGTATGCACAGTCAACAAGTTACGAAATGGGCATGGATATGTTCCAATAAAACTTTATAGAAACAGGTGGTGGGACATATTTGTTGACTCCCCACCCCACCCCCAACTCTTTCTCCTGCAGAGAAAACTCTCTTGTTACTCCCTTCACTTAAGTCAAAGAAGAAAAAAGAAATATGTGCAGTTGTTGACCATCTGACCCAAATATTCTGTTAAATATCTGAAGATCAAGATGAAGAACTGAGTTTGAAATGTGATCACACACTTCAATTATTAAAAGCAGCCCTAATCTACTTAAAGAGGTATTTTTTCTTAGTATATGCACATTACACAAAGATACGTTTAAACGTTATTTCTGAGATGTTTCCTCAAAGGGATTATTTCTGGAAAGCGTAAAGATTTTTTACTTTCTAATGCAAGTGCCTCTTTCAAAAATGTGAGAAAAGTCAGAAATTACTAAACTTGCCCTCAACATTCTTCTCTTAAGCTAGAAAAGACAAAATTCAAACACTGAATGTTGTGATCTGTAACAAAGAAAACACCAGGTGCAAATGTGGAATTGGTTCTCTTTGCTCAAGTGAAAACTAAGTGTTGTTCTAACCAAGTTTTGGACTGGAACTAGAGTATTCTAAAAAATATGTATAAGGTAGGAGTAAGTCCCTTCTTTTATACATTTATTTATTTATTTATTCTTTCGACAAATATATGTATATGTATGTTTGTTGAAGCAGTAAATATATGAATTTATATATATATATAGTTTGTCATATATTTGTCATCAAATATATGATGATGATACATTAGCTTGTAATGGTAAGACAGAATTCTTGCACTGTATTTGTACTTTATTGAAGCAGAAGAAGCAAAGTACAATAAAAACTATACCTTGTGACACTATGTGGCAGTACCATTCAGGCACCGGGAACACAATGGTGAGAAAACAGACAAAAATATTTCACAAACCTTACATCATGTAGTGAGAGACAGAGAATAGACAGAGTAAAAATTTTAAATATGCAATACATTCGATGACAATAAATAACTTAGTGAAAAATAAAATTTGGAATGGGATTAGGAAACATAAGGCCTGGGAGTTACAATTTCATATAAAGTAGCCCAGATAAATCCTCACTGAGGATGTTGACATTTCAGTACAGAGACACTGCAGGATAGAGCCCAAAATAGAGTGAAATGTGGTCCAGACAGAGGGAAGAGCAAGTACAAATGGCCTGAGGTGACAGCATGCCTGATGTGTTGGAATGTCTAGAACAGAAACAGGTTAACCAGTTAGAAGAATATTGCAATAGCCATTCCTGATGCAGGGGCTCACATCTGTAATCCTAGCATTTTGGAGGGCTGAGGTGGAAGGATCATTTGAGGCCAGGAGTTCAAGACTAGCCTGGGCAACATAGCAAGACCCCACCTCTATCTAAAAAGCTAAAAAATGATTAACCAGGCATGGTGAGGCACACCTGTAGTTCTACCTACTTGGAGGCTGAGGCAGAAGGATAGTTTGAGCATGGGAGTTCAAGGTTACAGTAAGCTGTGATTGCACCACTGCACTCCAGCCTTGGCAACACAGCAAGACTCTGTCTCTAAACATATGTGTGTGTGTGTGTGTGTGTGTGTGTGTGTGTGTGTGTGTGTGTTGCAATAACCAGGTGAGACATGTAATGGTGTAATGGCTTGGACTAAGGTGGTAGTAGTGGAGATTTTCCTATTTCTATTTATTCCCCAGAATGAATACATCCTACAAAAGACCTGGAAAGAAACAGGACATGGTTTTGAGTATAATCTTGCTGCAATTCAGCAGCCTTTCCTTGGGGTGGGATCTCAGAAGTTTGGGCAGGGAGAATGAGGTCAGAGAGCCACATGCAGTATCTCATACGGGTTTCCTCTGGAGTATCAGAAATTCTAGACTGATAACGTTAAGTCTGGGCATGAAAGTAAAAGAGTAGCAGAGGAAAAGATCCATTATAGTCACTACCAGTTTCTGGAGTAAGGTGGATACTTCAACATGAGTTGCTAAATCTGCCTGTTCTCATCCCTACTTTTTCACCGCTTGCTCTAGACTAATTACAGGGCTGATGGACTTTGTATGAATTTCCTATGCAAGAGAGTGAAATTATAGGAAGGTTGCCTTTGGAAATTGAGACTAGAGAGAAGGATGGGAAATTCTCCATTCTCTGTTTCTTCAGTACAGAGAACATAGGTTCGCAATACACTAACAAGTACAGAGGGTAGAGGGAGCGTCTCATGGAAAGCTTGGCGTACTCCACAGTGCCTACTACAGGTGCCAGTAATTATTTGCTCTATCAAATTTAATTGAATTACACAGCAAGTTCTATTTATTTCTAGATAATGGGCTTATTTGATTCTTAACATTTTCAAGCTTTCTTATTTATGATTCTAATATTCTTTAAAATGATGATGTGTTAGCTTATATTGGTAAGATGTGATTTTTTTTTTTTTGAGACGGGGTATTGTTCTGTGGCCCAGGCTGGAGTGCAGTGGCAGGGTCTCAGCTCACTGCAGCCTCCACCTCCTGGGTTCAAGCAAGTCTCCCACCTCAGACTCCCAAGTAGCTGAGATTACAGGGGCGCACCACCATGCCCAGCTAATTTTTTGTATTTTTAGTAGAGACCGGGTTTCACCATGTTGGCCAGGCTGGTCTGGAACTCCTAACCTCAGGTGATCCACCCACCTCGGCCTCCCAAAGTGCTGAGATTACAAGCATGAGCCACCACCACCAGCCAGATATGATTATTTTACTGTACTTGTACTTTATTGTAACAGAAGAAGCAAAGTACAATAAAACTATACCTTGCATACAGCCCTCAAATAGTTGGTATGTAAACACTTATAATAGAGTTACAAAATTTAAGGTAAAAATAAACAAAATACTATACAACCAAGGTCAAATTATTTTCCAATAGATTAATACATGACATAATGGTTATACAGTGCCTTGCTCACAATAGATACTCAAATATTTGACAATTGATTAATTGGTGTTCTCATAGACTCCTGCATTTAAGATCTTCATGGATAGTTCGTCCACACTAACAAGAACCTGGATGTCTCTACAACTCTGCAATTCAACTGCAGTCATGGAGAAAAATCCCTTTCTGGGAAGAAACACCCATTTGCCAGGATCTCTGTGGAAAAAAACAGAAAGCTGAGTTTAGGTGCTCTGATGTCATTCTCTATTTTTATAAATAAGAAAGTTGTGATGCAGAGAACCATTTAAGGAAACTAATTTGAGAAGCACAGTAGGAGAGGTGGGACCGAGGCCAAGTGTAATAATATGTGCTGTGCAGGAGAGGTATGGCATGATTTCAAATGGGCGAGTGACAAGGTCAGGCTGCAGAGCCATCACTTTGGCGGTGCAGGATGGCCCCACCACTCCAGTCACATGTGTCAGCAAGTCACTGGACTCCATAATCTCATACCCCTGTACCTCTGTAAATGGCCTTCTCTCTGATGGGAATGACCTCCCCTTCTATGCCCACCAGACGCATCCTTCAAGCATCACTCCTTTTTGAAGTCTCCCCTACTACCAGTCCATTCTTCTTTTGTGCCCACTCAGTAATCATCTGGGACCTGGAGCAAAGATTGCTGGTGTATCTTATTCCTCCGCTAGGCCATGAGTTCTTTAAAAGAAAGGACTGCCTTACTTCTTATATTTTCAATTGTGAATGCCTAGCACAAAACCTGATACACTAGGTACTCAAGAAGTGCTTGTCACTGCATATGGGCACGGTCATCAAGTGGCTAAAGTGTTGCATTCCCAACTCCTTTCTCTGCATCGCATACACCTGGATGTTGCCTCTTCACTGCATCTTTGCTTTCCTTTACGATTCCCAAACTCTTTTGAATACACAAATAAAAGTTCTATATATTTATGGTGTTCAATTCCATGTTTTGAAATATGTATATGTTGTGAAATGGCTCAATCAAGCTAATTAATATACATGTTATTTCACATATTTATCTATGGTGAAAACACTGAAAAACTCTCAGCAATTTTCAAATACACCATACATTATTATTACCTGCGGTCACCGCCCGGTAAATAGATCTCTTGAATTTATTCTTTCTGACTAACTGAAATATTGTCTCTTTTGATCAACAACACTGTTTCTCCCCACCCTCACAGGCCCCTGGCAACCACCATTTCAACTCTCTGCCTCTGTGGTTTCAACTTTTTGGATTTCACATATCAGTGGGATCACGCAGTATGTGTCTTTCCGTGCCTGGTTTATTTCACCTAACTTAAGGGCCTCCATATTCATCCATGTTGCTGCAAATGACAGCAACATGGTATGGCTGCATAGTATTCCACTGTGTATGCGGATGAACCCTAAGACTGATTCCATACCTTGTTTATTCTGAGTCCTCATTTCAGTGCCACACTGAAGCTCGCCCTCTAAACATTTCAAGGTCTAAAGCTACCCCCACCCCCTTCCTCTGCTCCTTAAGACCTGCTCTTTCTCTGTCAAGGTAATAAAGCTGATCACTGGCTAAACTAGCTCATGTTGAATCGCCGCATGACACAATTTCTCTTTTGGAAGACAGTTCCTAAAATCCTCAGGGAAAAATAGCTAATGGTTGAATTTCAGACACAGTGGCTTAATGGCAGGGGCAGGAAAAGGAGGCATTTCTGTGTTATGGGTGCAGCCAGTGATCCCTAAAAATAATATTCTGAAGGCAGCTGTTATACCATCAACATGTGGACATATATGAATGGATTAAAAAAATTTTCACTCACAAAAGCCTGGTTATTTCAGCACTGTTTCAGCACATATTTTTAAATGTACGTATGAGGTTTTCCTTTTTCAAAATGACTGTAACTTGATTGATCTGTGTGATTGAAATATTTTTCACATTCAAAGAAAAAAAATCAGATACACACATTGACACGGATGAATGACCAAAAAATAAGAAGCAAAAAAAAAGGAAAAGTCACAGAAGAATATATCCAGTATGATTTCATTTATTTAAAGTTCAAAAACAATCAAAATAAAACTGTGTATGTTTTATGGAGACATTCACAGCTGGCTAAACTATATAAGAAAGCAAAGACATGATTAGCACAAAATTCAAGCAAGTAGCTACCTCCATGACAGAGGCAGGGGCAGAAGGAAGGCTTGCCTTCTGCAACAGAGTAATAAATTATTTTTTTCAGCCAAGCAGTGGGTATTCACTATGTTATTATTATTTAAACTGTGCATATGTCCTCTTTCAAATGTATGACACCTTTCGTAACAACAAAAGAAAACTGTGCACTATTTTTCTTATACAAAGAAAATAATAATCACTTAAAACCCACCACCGGGAGTTAACTATTAACAACTTTAACAATGTAGTTTTTTTTATATGCATGTGCACACACAAACACACACACAAGATTTTACGTGTATATAGGATCATATGTCATAAATACTGTTGCAGCCTGCTTTTTATTCAATAGTACACAAATGCATTGTATTGAGATGAACCCAAGGGCAAATACATGAGAAAAAACATCAGAACCTTGATAAGAACTCAATTCACACAAAAAGAAATGTTCTCATCTAATGTGATTAAGTAATTTTCCTCAGACCTCCAGAATTTATACAAAAGAATTGTATATGTCCCAAACAAATTTTCAGAAAGTGCCACACAAAACTAACCTTTCCTTAGGAAGTAAACTTCATCATATAACATCTTTTTAATCCATGGCCAAAGGCAGAGGTTTTTCACTTGCAAGTTAAATTCTTCTTTACTATGGAACAAATGTGCCAAGAACTATATTCATCATTTTCAACACAGAAAAAAAAAAAAACTGTGTTACATCAGAGCTCATAAAAATGGAAAATGAAGAAGTAGTTTTCTCACTTCTGACATGCATAAGACCTAGACAGATACAGCATTTAAATTCTGTTATCTTAATAACAGAACTCTTTCCATCTAAGACCTTAAATCATGTCTCAGCCATGGCGATGCTTATGAATCCTAATTGCCTGTTACTACTATATTAGTAAACTCTTTTTTGGCTGACATGCCTTCTGGACCAAATTGTTCTCTTGAACAAACTGCTTGCAAACCAGAGCCTCAGTAAATATTTCCTATGAACTTGAATTTTTCAATGCAGCAAGCCACAACTGGTAATCATACACTTCACACTCATGGCTTTCTATAAATGTTTGAGTTTGAAATAATAAATGCTTTTAAAAATACCTCCACTTTGATAGGAAAACCCTGTTCACCTCACAGCTCATTCCCACTTTTTAGTAATTTTTCTCTCATCAAGTTGACTCAAATTGAAAACATATCACCAAGAACTGAGCCACATAACTGCCTAACATAGGTTCCAGAAATGAGGGCAGGGGCCAATGAGTGGGACCTGAGAACTTGTGGAGAAAGGGATTTTTCTTATCAAAACATGATCGTGAGCTTGGGAATGTGCTCACAAAAATTATTTTGGCTGAAGGAATTCCATGCAGTTCCAACCATCCCCCAAACCAAATCATTCTGAAAGATTGTAAGATTTCACACCTACAATTCAAGTCTCTCATTTCCTCCTAAATAAACTAAATTGAATTTCTGTAGCTATAACTGTTAAAAGGTATTTTTCCCTTTTTAAGTGAATGCAATGTGCACAGATACTCCCAATTCATTAAACATGTCTCTCAAAAAGCAGAGACGTTCAGAACAGCAGTAACATGCTGGGCTTCATGAGCCCGGAGGCAAGTGCTGTGATCAGGATGGATAAAAATGTCTCACTGCAAGCCAAGATCGCGCCACTGCTCTCCAGACTGGGCGACAGAGCGAGACCCCATCTCAAAATATATATATATATATATATATATATATATATATATATATATATATATATATATCTCACTGCAACCAAGACAACTCTGTTGGGGAATTAGAACTGGAATCACCTGAGGTCGGGAATTCAAGACCAGCCTGACCAACATGGAGAAACCCCTTTTCTACTAAAAATACAAAATTAGCCGGGCATAGTGGCACATGCCTGTAATCCTAGCTACTCAGGAAGGCTGAGGCAGGAGACTTGCTTGAACCCAGGAGGCAGAGGTTGCAATGAGCCAAGATCATGCCATTGCACTCCAGCCTGGGCAACAAGAGCGAAACTCTGTCTTAAAAAAAAAAAAAGAGACTGAGTCCAAAGGAGCACTATTACCAAATTTTAATGTATTCTCCCAATTATTTACAACATTACCAAAACCAATACATAGAGATGTACCATGTTTGCATGCCTATGTGGGGCTTAACCACTTATAAAATAACACATGTGGCATGAAACAGAGCCATGACTGCAGTGAAGGGGACTGGGCACCTCCCACACTTCACCATAGCCCTGGCCCTGCTGTGAAAGCAGTAACCTGGACAAATAGAAATGGAATGATTTATTTTAATGACAAGTAGCTGTTCTAAAAATAGGAATTTTAAAAGATGTCTTGGTATTTTTAAATAGTCCTCTTTCAATTCTTATAACATTAACAGTTCTAGAGCCAGATTCACAAGCCACACAATTCAACAGGATTTTCCCAAAAAAAGAATTCCTCGCAACAAACCAGCAGGAGGCATAGTCAGTCCCACCTTGACAGGGTGCTATTTCTACCAATTCTATTTTTAAAGTTTTATTGCCTTTCTCCCAGCTAATCAGTACCCGGTAATTGATCTTGAATGTTGTATGTTCATTTCACTGTATTGCAACGTAATGCCTTCCACATTTCCTTGTCAGCTATATTATTTTTTAAATTACCACTCAAACACAACTCTGATGTCAGGAGGTGACTTCTGTCACGTGAGATACAGTATCTGCCTTCAACAGCCGATCAGAACCTCCCAGCACCTCCTCAGACACACCTTCCTCAGGATCGCATCTATTCTCACATTCCTGCGAGGCTCTTTTTCCTTATTTGAAGTTATGCTCATGACTCTGAGCAAGGCAGTCATTACCTCTCCTACCCACAAATAGAATCCATTAAGAGAAAATTTGTTCCAAACTCATCTTCGGGTAGTGAGGAAGACTGGGTAAACCTCCAAAGGTCTAAAGGTTGAATTTCATTTGGAAAAGTCCCCAGAAGTTCAGCTGCTTATCCAGTCCTTATCCAAACTATGAAAGTGGACTAGGGATGTGCTGACAGGGAGGAATTAAAAGTTCTACCAGGCACCAGTGAAACCAGTTGCATAGCCCATTGCTGCACACAGCTTCTGAGAAGGAGGGAAGAGAGTGAGAAGATGCCGAGGGAAGGCGGATCAAGAAACCTCATTCTTAGTCTTCCAGGAGCCTCTGAGAATTGTTCATGCTGCATTTCAAACCAGGAAGTCCTATTATCCTTATAGAGGTTGCTCTTGACAAATAGTTCATTTGTAAATAAGGTTGAGATGCCTTTCCTAAAAATAATTTATTTTCTGACTTGAAGGTCAAAAGCTTTGAAAGGTAGTGAGGCACCATTATTTCCTTAGGGTTTTATTTTTTTTTTTATGTTGTAGAGACAAGGTTTCACTATGTTGCCCACCTGGTCTCGAACTCCTGGCCTCAAATGAACTTCCACCTTGGCCTCTCCAAGCAATGGGATTACAGGTATGAGCCACTGTGCCTGGAAAAATCCTTGGAGTCTTAAAGATGATGTTTGGAAATGAAGAAAATTATATTTGAAAAAAGAAATAGACACAGAGGGATTTATTATGGAATCCCAGCCAGGCACGGTGCCTCACGCCTGTAATCCCAGCAGTCTGGGAGGCCGAGGCGGGCAGATCACTTGAGGCCAGTAGTTTGAGAACAGCCTGGCCCACATGGCAAAACTTCATCTCTACTAAAGATACAAAATAATTAGCCGGGCATGGTGGTGCACATCTGTAATCCCAGCTACTCAGGAGGCTGAGGCATGAGAATCACTTGAACCTGGGAGGTGGAGGTTGCAATGGTTGAGATCACACCGCTGCACTCCAGCCTGGGCGACAGAGCAAGACTCTGTCTCAAACAAAAAAGGAATTCCAAAGAAGTCTATCAGATCAGGTACTCATGCTGTGAGGGTATGGGACTGAAATAATTCAGCAATTTAACCACTCACATCAAAGATTCCTTTGATTTTCTCAATCAATGTTAATGGCATTTTGATCTGAGCTTTAATAAAAATAAAATTACTCAGATCACTGTTTAGTTGAACTAGGTTAATATAGGGAGTTAAAATATTAAGCCTTAGAATAGTGCCTAGAAGGAGAAGCTTCCTTTAAGAGATCTGCCAATCCACCTTTTCCTCCCCAGAGCTTCATTCAATCATTCCAGAGAAAAGACAGCTTTTCTATTTTTGAAGCACAGCCATAGGGAAAACTAAATTCTATCCCATCTCATTGTTAATAACACTCATCAGTGCTGGAAAATTGTTTCTTATGTGTGACCCAAAGGAAAGAATTAAAGAATGCTCTAGGCCATCCCTCACTGGGACTGACATCCTATCTCTGAGGCCTAATCCCACTCACTGGCCTTTCTGAAGTCCAGAACGGGTGTATGAGGCGCTAAAGATAAGCTAAGGCCTTCCATATGTGTTCCGCTCTTCCTGGAAATCATTCTCTCCTAGAAGAAAAAACAAGACTCTATTTCAACGGGGACATATCTTTTCAAATCTCCCAAAACTTTGAATAAGATTCCCTTAAGTCCAGACCTGGCCATTTTTTTGATGAACAGTACTAAGAAAAAACAAAAAAAGAAAGGAGGTTTAATTAAAAGAAACTTACATTTTTATATATGTGCTTTTCTAGGATTTGAATACACTAAACACATCAATATTACCCAGATCCCTTGGGGGAAAAGGAAACCACTCCAAAAGAAGAAAAGCTTTGAACTTTCTTTGAATGTAAAGCACAAAGTCATATAATGCCTGCTCACATTATGTAATTGCCCACAGAAAGTTGGCTAACTTAAAAAAAAATGTACAGTTCTAGTTTGTTTGTTTGTTTGTTTGTTTGTTTGTTTGTGACGGTGTCTCGCTCTGTTTCCAGGCTGGAGTCCAGTGGCGCAATCTCGGCTCACTGCAACCTCCGCCTCCCAAGTTCAAGCAATTCCCCTGCCTCAGCCTCCGGAGTAGCTGGGACTATAGGCGCGTACTACTACGCCCCGCTAATTTTTTGTATTTTAGCAGAGACGGGGTTTCACCATGTTGGCCAGGATGGTCTCGATCTCCTGACTTCGTGATCTGCCCGCCTCGGCCTCCCAAAGTGCTGGGATTACAGGTGTGAGCAACCGCGCCCAGCCAATTCGAGGAGTTTTTTAAAGGTGTGTTGAGTAGGTGGGATCCTGTGTTGCTAGGATAATACTTGTGCAGATCTCATTCTGATAGAACACCAGGTATCCAGAAATAAAAAGCGGGGAAGGGAATGGAAGGGAAAGGGAAAAGGAAAAGGAAAGGGAAAGAGAGAGGAAGGGAGGAAGGAAGGAAGGAAGGAAGGAAGGAAGGAAGGAAGGAAGGAAGGAAGGAAGGGAGGGAGGGAGGGAGGGAGGGAGGGAGGGAAGAAGGGAGGGAGGGAGGGAGGGAGGGAAACTAGGTATCCGGAAAGTCACAATTTTTTCTGGTGTATCTAGGAAACAGCCATGTGTAGGTGATTGGAAATCAGGGTTTTTTTGGACACTCACATCACAATTCTTTTTTTTTTTTTTTTGAGACGGAGTCTCGCTCTGCCGCCCAGGCTGGAGTGCAGTGGCGCGATTTTGGCTCACTGCAAGCTCCGCTTCTCGGGTTCACGTCATTCTCCTGCCTCAGCCTCCCGAGTAGCTGGGACTATAGGCGCCCGCCACCGCGCCCAGCTAATTTTCTGTAATTTTTTTTTTTAATTTTTTAAGATGGAGTCTCCCTCTTCGCCCAGGCTGGAGTGCAGTGGCGCAATCTCGGCTCACTGCAAGCTCCGCTTCCCGGGTTCACGCCATTCTCCTGCCTCAGCCTCCCGAGTTGCTGGGACTACAGGCGCCCGCCACCACACCCCGCTAATTTTTTGTATTTTTAGTAGAGACGGGGTTTCACCGTGTTAGCCAGGATGGTCTCCATCTCCTCACCTAGTGATCCGCCCACCTTGGCCTCCCAAAGTGCTGTGATTACAGGCATGAGCCACCGCGCCCGGCCTCACAATTCTTATTATCCTTTCTCCTTTAGAATTACAGAATCACAAAAACCCTAGAAGTCATCCGGAAGGGAAGAAGAGAATGCGAAAGAACAGAAGAGTATAATGTTCAACATGCAGGGAAAAAAATAACAATACATATTTCAGAAATAGGAGCAGCTTCAGTGCAGGCAGTATCATGGCAGCCACTCCACGGGAGGAACGGGATCCTCTGCCAACCTTGTCAGCCACTCCAACTAAGCAGCTGCTGCACCAGGTGTGTTGCTGCTGTCTTTCTAAGGGTTCAAGAACATGGGCTCTGGGGTCATATGGCCTGCGTTCACATTCCAGCTCCATTCATAGCCTGCATGACCTTTAGCACATGTCTTGGCTTCTCTGCCTCAATTTCCCCATCTGTAAAATAGAAATAAATATAACATCAATCTCATCAAATTGTTGAGAAGATTAAATTGCATAAAGCACAGAAAACATATCATAGTGAATGAGAGATAGTAAGTATCCAATAAATGTAGGCTAGTATTGCATTTCTTTTCATTTCTACAACAGCCCTATGAAGTAATGATCATCCTCTTCATTTACAGAAGAGGATACAGAGTTAAGGAGGCCATATCAGCCTCCTAGTTTCACTAAACTAGTTTGAATTCCATATAGTACCTGAGTCCCAGAAATATCTGGCTCCAAATTAATGCCCTTTCCCCCATACCACACTGTTTCTCCACACTCCCAGGGCACTCAATGAGAAAAATGCTGACTTAACTTAGTGCAAATGGTCAATCAATAGTATTTGGCTGAAGGCCAGGGCAGTGGTTCACTCCTGTAATCCCAGCACTTGGGTTAGTGGATCCCTTGAACCCAGAAGTTCAAGACCAGCCTAGGCAACATGGCGAAACCCTGTGTCTACAAAATTACAAAAAAAATTAGCCAGGCATAGTGGCACGTGCCTATAGTCCCAGCTACTCAGGAGGCTGAGGTGGGAGGATCACTTGAGCTCAGGAGGTAGAGGCTGCAGTAAGCCTGATCACACCACTGCATTCCAGCCTGGGCGACAGAGTGAGACCTTGTCTCAAAAAAACTTATTTTAATAGCATTTCAATGAACAGCTATCATTCTACATGTCTGAAAGACATGGGATATTCTGGGATACTCTTCCCAGAATATACAACTTAATACTAGATGGTAACATTCTTGGATTATGTACAGTCAATCTTAAGCATTCGATGACTCCTTTAAAGACACTTGTCTTTAAAATTTGTGTATAATCCCACTAAATTAGTAGTTCTTAAATTTTATTGAGTCTTGGACCCCTTGGTGAATCAGATCAAAGAAAAGAACACTTTCCCCAGGCAGAAAAAAATGCACATATACATACTCCCAAAATATGTATACAATTTCAGTGGGTTCAGAGACTTGAGAAGTTCATGCAATCCAGGTGAGCAATCCCCCATTCTAATGAGCCTGGAGATCTGGAATGCTGTTCCATTTACAAGGATGCCCTTTCTATATGGCTATTATCACCCTGCTTGGCCTCTGCTTTGTTTCTTTTTGATTTTTCTCTTCTTTCCTGTTCTCTTTCCTTTTACCTCTCTTACTATTCCTTTCTCAACTCTCCACCCACTCCTACCTTGGCAATCAGACAGCGCCACTATCGGAATCTCCTCTCCCTTCCCCTTCCTCCCCTCTGTATCCTTCCTGACCAGCTGATTCCGGAGAGGAATCCGATAACTTATCAATAGGCATAGGTTGCTCCATAGGAATTTTGGCCAGCCTGGGAAACAGTCTTTCTTTGAAGGATAGCAGATCAGAACTTCTGGCTCCATTAAGAAGTCATTTCTCCTAATTCTCCAGTAAATACAACCACTTTCCATTAAATATATGCAGATTCACTATATCCTGTTTTCAAGGAAACATTCGCTAAGTTAACAATTCTGGTATAGATATCTGTGAACTCATTTGTTCTTTTATATCTGTGACTTTTTTTCTGGTACCCATCAGCTTAGTAGTTAAGTACTCAGAAAAACATATATTGGACACATAAAGCCTCATATAAGCAACCTGTGCATTAAAATGTGTCTGTCTCCATTAGGTTTCTTGTTTGCCTACAATGTGCAAGTGAATTGCATTTATATCTGTTTTTTTAAATAAGCTTTTAAAAACTCATGCAATCATTTGGAATCCTTGGCCAACTATAATATATATATATATATATATATAACTGCCTAGAGTTGCCTAATATGAAAATGTGGTTAAGCAATTGTAAGAATGAAAAGCTTCAAACTGAAATGAAATGTAAAATCATAAACTACAATATTGAAATGAAATCTTGTTTAAAAGATTTGTCTTAGAGTTTGACTTTGGATGCATTTTGTACCTCTAGAATATTCCATCATCAAGAAATCTGAAAAGTCAGTATTTTCATTTCCTAGCAAATCAAAATGTTTCGTCTAAGCCCAATAATTTTCTTGAAGGATGCTTTCCAAGAGAATTGTCCTCTGTATTTTTCATATGAAAGTTTCTGCAAAAACCAACTATGTTTTTAATAAGGTAAATTCACAACCATAAATGTGCCTTAGATTATTATGGGACATTTTGTAAACTGCCAGGCATATGAAATTAAAGGAGAGAGACAAATGCTTTATATATGAGCATTACATATTTACTTCACAGTTTTTAAACTATTTCATAGTAACTTCATCAGCATTTCCACTTACTATAATGATCATTTAAGATTTTGTTATGGTGAAGCCATTCACTGAATTGAAACACTATTTTTGTAATTTGGAAAGAAAAACTGTATAAAATGAATAGCATTGGCAAATGTTTCTAATCATTTCCTTAAAATACTAAACCACCAATCTTTTTATTTACTGCATTTTGCTTAAGTGCATAAATCAAAGGACAATAACAAGCCTAATGTCAAAGAAACTTTTTGACACTTCATACATTTGAGCAAGCTTAGCCGATAAACAGTTTAGATGAAGTTATGGTTTGAAATATGTTTCCCAAGAGGACTGTGGTTCATAAATTGCTATCAGGCTACCTCTGTCATTATTGATTTGAGAGGTACTCAAGGTACCCCCAGCTATTAACTAAGGCTAGCATTACCTGACCTGCTTTTCAGAGAATGATATTTGGTTTTACAAAGACAAGTAACCATCCATCCTATAAGAAACATGTAGTTTGCTTGTCATCGGGCACAAAATATATTGCATTCTATTTGAAATGTTGACCAACAATTAAAAGACGAGGCAACATAATCTTAAACAGGCTTCCAACCATCTTCATAATCCTAAAAGGAATTAAATCAGTTCCTTTTGTATAACAGCTGTACTGGGAAAAGCTAGAAGAATGAGAGCATTTTTTTTAAAAAATGCATCAAACAATAGAAATTTGCATCTCAGCATTTTGCAATTATATGATTATTTATTACACCTGTGCTCTTAAATATTCTTTGCAGATATGTGTTTTTGATAAGCTTATTAAAAATACACCCACAGGCAAATCAAATATTAGTCCCATAATGTGTGTATGTTTATTTCTTTACCTGCCTGCAAAAACTAGCTTGCCGGTGCTCCTCATTGAGAGCTGAGTATGGAACAGTTTACTCTCCAACCCTGCACCATGCCCTCTGCCTTGTGGATTTGGGAAATGTCAGGAAAGATCAGAGCAAGGATCCTGCTACTTTTTTATTCAGATCCTCTGGTCTTAACCTTCAAGGAAACATTTAAAAGTTAGTTATGACTTGATCGTTCTGCATTAGGTTTGTCATCAGTGACCCCGCTTTACAAAAGCACAGAACCAAAGAGTTTCAGGAACAGACTTGATGAGTGTCATCAGCCGCTAGAGATGTGATAAATTTATGAATTTTATCAGTCTTGCTTTTAAAAGTCCTGGTAAATTAAACAGTCAGAGGTGGAGGTTTCCTGCGAGCCCTCTTAATCATGTGAGTGGCTGCGTGACAGCATGTTCCAGGAGAGCTACACAAATAAAAACTCGACCGCATCACTTTCACACAAAGAAATAAGCCAAACATAAAGGAAAATGTTTAGTATTCTTATTTTAAAAACAAAACAAAACAAAAAACTATCTCCCTGGAACTTATGATTTGAAGCCCTTTGGATAACTCATTCAAGGAAATATTGCTTGAACTACTGTCTGCTACCCTTTTGGTAAACTTTCTTAATGCTCCCATAGTAACCTTTGCTAATTTTGCACAACCATCTATTCAGCTATCTGAACAAGAAAATGGGTTTTGCCAAAGCTAACTGAAATTCACCTCAGCTATGACCTTTGTCTAGCATGGCTTAGGAGTCAGAAGTCCTAAGAAGAGCAAAGATCATCTTTCTCATTCATAATTTACAGTGCTACATGGCACAGAACTTGTAGAAACAGAGCAGATGCTGGTGAGCAATTAATGGGCTCTCCAGATCACGATCAGAGGCTTCACTCGCCCACCCCTTGCACCCCAAAGTAAAAACAAAACTAGTTTGTTTCGAACCCATTTTAAATATGAAATACCAGGTCTCTTCCATAGTTTGTTGTTATTGCTAATTAAAACAGACTCTGTAATTCCAAAATACCGTTATTTTTGTTTTTTTTAGGTTATAAACCATAGAACTCCTCTTTCCTAAGGACCTTGGGAAACTTCCACAGAATTGGTTTACTCCTCTAAAAAGTATCTAAAAATGCACAGGGCATTTTACTCTGATAAAACACTTCTGACACGTAACTATTAACCTCTGAGCAAAGGGTCTCCATCTACTTTTTCTCTTGACCTCGTCTCCCACAATCCTTTGCGGTAGTTCTGGCCTCACTTCAAAGACGGCCGGGCCGGAGGGGCTGCACTTATTCTATTTCCTTCTTCCTCCCCCACTTCTTCCCTTTGCCTCTAATTTTATTTTCTTCACTTTCCTCTTACAAGTTTCTTGCCTTTGGTAGAAAAATGTCTAATCTCTCTGTCTTCCCACAGCTTTAACAGTTTGCCTGACCATGTGCCTAGCTCTTTTATTTCCTTTCTTGGAGGGAAGGTCCAGCTCTGGCCTGTGGGGGTTTAAAAATGACAAACTTGGTCTTGACTTTGGAGCTCTCTATTTTCACTTGGAATGATAATATTTTTGGCAAATTAAAGGAAACTTAACCTCAAAATACTAGGTAAGTTAGGTCATTATACCCAAAACACAGGTTCTTTGGATGAAAAAAAGAAAGAGCTGGAAAGCCGTCCTTCCACTATGGAAGATAACAGGCCTACCGAGGCTGTGGAATTTGTTCAGAGCCACGAGGCTGTTTGTGACAGAGGCAGAAACCACTTCTTTAGCCCAGCACTTTCCATTTTGACACCAGGATTTCCCTGTGTTTTGAAGAGACTAACTCTTTGCCTTGGGTGATAGTTGCTAGAGGAACAATGCCCCCCACCTGTCTTTTGAGGACTGGAAGGATATAGAGGAGGGGGGTTCTGCCTTCCTAAATCCACTCAGAGGCGAGGCACTTTGGAGTATACTGTCTACTTTGACATCACACTTCTTTCTGTTCCTTTTCTCCTTCATCTTGAGAAAAAAAAAAAAAACATAATCAAACAACTACACAAAAGATTAAACATATTTGTGACCTGAGTCCATGAGTGAGAAAAAAATAAAAATAAATAAACACATAAGATTAAACTTATTAAAAGATTAACTTCAGGATCGTCGAGGTTTCCAGCACTTATAGAAGACTGAACTCTTGTAGTCCATGTTTTTCACTTTACATGTGAGGAAACTGGGCCTCAGGTTAGTTATTTGGTGTTAGGAAAGAAGCTGGGAGCAGAAGGCCAGGTTTACGACTCTCTTTCTACTCACATATAATGGAGAATCTGAATATTACTCTACATTACTAGTAATACATTTAATTTACTGTGTTTGTGTGAATCTCACCTAATTACTTTTGTATTTCAAGGATCTATGACACATAAAAACCAGGATGTCTCATAAATTTACGTTCAATCATTTAATTACTCCTAAAATCTTTTATAATTACAACTTTTCATGCAATGCCTCCAACGGTTTCACATATCAAATATCAAATTTATCAGTCTTCTGGGCAATGTCCTAAACATGCAAAATTTTTTCTGTGCTGTATTTTAAGGAAAATTGCCACCTTAGCTTTTTAACTTGTTTTTTTCCTGTGTTAGCCATAAAGGCAATACTGATTTAGTTTTATTTTAAGAAATTTTCTGATACATGGTTTCTGCTAAAGATTGAATTTTTAAGGAAAACAACTTGTCTTGTACTCATGTTTGTTTTCACCTTGGAGAACAAAGTCCCACAAGTCAAAGTTTATAGTCAATCAAAAAAGGGCACATTACTTTCCCATTTTAATGGTAGAACAGGGACCTTTAACTTTCCTGGAGGCTTTGCTTTGGGGTTTACACAGAGCAGAACTTCCTTAACGCTAATAATCAGACCCACAGGACACGTGTTAATTGTTCCCAACATGTAAAACTATCTACAGTATCTCAGCTAATAACAGCATTGCAAACATTTCAGTTTTGAAAAGCACAGTATCGAAACCAATTACATGCCTGTTGATTTACTTCTCCCCACCTTCCCAAAACATTAGAATTGCTCATTCCAATAATGTCAAAGTTCAGATTCCCAAATGGCAGCACAAATTCTGAAAATACAGAATCGAGTTACAGTATGTGCCATCACTGGCTGATTTAGAGATGACTGCCAAAAGCAAATACATTTGGGCAAATTGTATTTGTTAGATCCTACAGAAGTGTATAGTTGATATGGCTTCCCAATAGCTATTAGAATAGCTTCAAATAAAACATTATTTAAAGGTTGCATCACCCTACAACTGGTTCCTGTTGGTCGCCTTGATAATTCAGGGTAAAATGTTGACTTTTATTTATACCCAGGCTTTGAAATTTGTTGCATCAATGAAAATTCTTGTTTGCAAGAAATAGAAAACTACTCTGATTATCATAAGGAAAAAAAAGGTGGAAGAAGTATTGAATGGGGGTATATGGAGTCTTGCAGAAATGATGGGAGGCTGGAGGCCCAGGCTGGGAAAATATCTAGGAACCCAGGGTTCCCACAGAGCTGGGAGCCAGGCAGGCTATGCTGGCCGGCCCAATTCCACTGCAACAGCGAGCCCTCCATCCATCCACTACGCTCTTATTCCTTCCTCAAGATTCAAAGTCCGAAAGACAGTGGCTGGTGCTCCAAATCTAAATAACATGGACATCCCAGGGAAGGGAGAGGGAGGATCTGGCCTATAAATGTGCTAGTTTTATTTGTTGTTTTAAAAAAGCCTTTGAATTGGGGAAATAATTTTCTATTTCTGACAAAGTCCACTTTGAGCTTCAGAAATGAAATGCCTTGGATGGAAAACAAAGTAGATCTGCCTCACACCAATGTCTTTGCTGCAATAAGGAAGGTCATAAAATAATTCCTGGGTTTTACTTAACTCCAATCATAGAGAGAGATGTGGCTATAACAGGGACCAGAATAATCTATCCTGGGATCTTTGACCCTCATGCCAGAAAACAAGATTTGACCATTTCTCAACAAAAAAGAATATAGTATTTTAAATTGAATTCCAACGTTTGATCTTTTTCATTTTTTACCTTAGGTGATCCCCGTAAACTTATAGTTTCATTTTCTTTGTATAACACATAAAATGTAAAAGTATTATTTGCATATAAACATTTCACTAAATGAGGACAAAAATGCAATTTGACATAGAATTATACTCTTGGTGATATCTTTACCATCTGAATAAAATAAAATCAACTTTTTAAAGGTCAAAATGCTGATTATTTATGCATCCATAGGCATTACGTTTTTATTAAAAAGTGGAACTATTCTGTGCCTGCTGTGTTATAATCTATTTTTAAACACAATAATATATTTTGAAATATTATTATTCCAATAAATATTCATTTCCACCTCAAAAAGGTCAAACTAATATTTCATTGCATATGTGCTTACTAAAGTCCAGATACTTCCCTTTACATTTTTTTAAAGGGTTTATACTAAAAATATTGCTACATCTGAGCACATTTTCATGAGATTCTAATTCTTCACTTAGGGGAAATAAACAGTGAGAGCTTGTAATCAGGTTTACTTCCTTACAGAATTGTTTCCCATAAAAGATAATAATAATAATATAGAAAGATGATGCATCTTAGTAGATGATAAAACATTAAATCCTTAATAAATATTAACTAATTAAATGAATAATATTCACATATACATAACATTAACCATGCCAAGCACTGTTCTCATCACTTTACATATGTTACTTCATTTAATTTACAACAGCCCAATGAACTAGACATTGTTTCCATATCCATTTCATTGATGAGAAAGCCAAACAGTAGAATAGTTAAGTAACTTGTCAAAGATTTCATAGCTGATGTAAGAAGTCTGGTTTTAGATCTATGTTATTCATAGCAAGTTATTGTTTTGTGGCTAAGAGTTTTTCAAGAAAGGTAATGGAAGCTCTTTATTAATGTAATTTAAAGACAAATTATGTAATCATTGGGATCATTGAAACAATCTTCCACCTGCACCAAAGTTTGGATCTAAAGGTATTACAATTTCATCCCACATATTACAGCCCATAAATCTGGAATAAAGGACCCCTTTCCAAGAAAAGATATATTTAGAAAACTGTCCCCAAAGTAATTATACATTCCTTATACCACAACCTAGTTGCAGTTAATACTCCCATATTATACTTGTCAAGATATGACCTGAGGGTTTTGCAGAGGTTGCGCCATACAACACAATGTTACAGATACATAAATAAATAAGCATAATTTGATGCCATAGGGTGTCACGTGTACTTTTAGTGGCCTGAAAGAATAAAGTAATTTAGAGAGACATCTAATTTACACCCAGGAAATAGCTTAATGAGCGCAGGAACCCAATGCCTGATGGTGCATTGGATTGTATATTAAAGTGCCAGTGTAGGAGGTTTCAAACAGCCAATCTTTGTGACAAGAAATGAGTGTGTTTTGAGAAGTGGACTGAACAGCATTCAAGAGTACAGCAGTTACTAAAAGGGTTTCCAGACACACGAGAGTTATTGGACCCTGTTACAAACTCTAACTTCTGCCATCAGTTACTGCTTTCATTTGTACCATGAAGCCTACATCATTGCAACTGGAACAAAAATGATGTTTACATTTTACCAGTGTTTTATTTTCAATTAAACATCTCAGCTGCTATTTACATAGTTGAATGGCATGGCATTTATACCATGCAATCTGATGTTAATTCTTTGTAAATATTTCTCCAGCAAGAGACCTAAGTTCAAACTAGTTGTGAAAATGTCACTAAAAGTAAAATAAACTCTAATTTAATCTTGATCACAAATTATTGTTAAATGAAAGCTAAAAACCTGTAAAAATTTTAAATGGAAGTCTAAAGGAATTAACTGAGATGCTCATGTCCCAGGAAGTGACTTGCTTTTAGACTGCCTGAGTCCTTGAGGACTTAGGTTGACTTAACTCCACTGAGGGGAAGTTAAAGGCAGGAGACAAAGAAGCTGCCAAGATCATGGCTGAGAAGATACAGGGAGGCTGCAGCTCTGCGCTGCACTGTCCGCTCTCAAGCCTGCAGTTCTGTTCTGAAATAGGTCACGACTGGAAGGTTTCACGTTTCTTATGCATAGTTGCTGTTCCCTGACCAGCTCCTCCATCTGAGATCATTCATCATTCATCATAGCTGGAAATCTCCACCCTATCTGCATCTGAAACTCCCAGGGCCAAGCTGGTCAGCATCCAATTCAGAATGGAAGTAAGAATGGAAGAGGGTCTGTCTAGCTTTTCTTTGCTTTCTGTCCCAAAACATTCCCTTCCCTTGTGGTGTCTTCTTATATGTTTTCATACACAAGGAGAGAAGCCTAAATAAATAAACAATGTTTTAGACTTACCTTTTTAAACATTTTCCTGTTGATTTCTTCCAATTTTCTAGATTCTGATGTAGAAATCTGAATGTACCTTATAGAAATAGGCTTTAGGGTAAGGCTTGCCTTACATATACACAGTGTAAAAGCCAATAATCACAAATATATAATTGGATTTGCGAGATTACAATCATGCAAAAAAAAAGTTATGTCCCTATAAATATTTCCACTGGCTTGGCAGATGTAAGAGGTGAAGCCATGGTTACCATCCTCCTTCCAGTAGCTCTGGAGGGGTAAAACGTCAAGCTGGTGCAGTCATTTACAACTCAGTGTGGATTCCCTTATTAGATTACTCTCCTCTGAGAATGCTAACTGCAATAAAAAGAATAAGAATTTGATGGAGAAAGGGAAAAGAAAGAATAAAAATTTGACAGACAAAGGGAAAAGGGAAGAGATCATTTTGGGCAGGAGTGAGATGATGTCAAGGAAATTCAACAATTCATCAATTTTGCTGACTTACCGAATTTGTCCTGGTTTGGAGAAAATAAGATAATCCTTCCCTTCTCTATTTAAGTAAGTACACTCAAATGCTTCCAGTAGTGATACAGGTAACATCTATTACACAGAATCAATTCTGTGTAAAACAATAGAAGGCCTATGGTAAACTAAGGAGCACAAACTTCATCACAAGAATTGCAAATTTTTAAAAAAATTATAAAACACTTTGGCTGGTCAATTAAGACCTATATGCAGCAGCTACTTTTGACCCCTAAGGTAGCAGAATCTGAGTGACATTTTATGCAAGACTAATATTATTCAGGAATTAAAATAAAACAAAGGCTGTGTGCAGTGGCTCATGCCTGTAATCCCAGCACTTTGGGAGGCTAAGGTGGATGGATCATCTGAGGTCAGGAGTTTGAGACTAGCCTGGCCAACATGGCAAAACCCCATCTCTACTAAAAGTACAAAAATTAGCTGGGCATGGTGTTGCACACCTGTGGTCCTAGCTATTCGGGAGGCTGAGGCACAAGAATCATTTGAACCAGGAAGCAGAGGTTGCAGTGAGCCAAGATCACGCCACTGCCCTCCAGCCTGGGTGACAGAGCAAGACTTAGTCTCAAAAAAAAAAAAAAAGTAAAACACAATTTAACACCTAGTGAATGCTTATTAAATTGAGAGGACCTAGGAATATCACAACCCAGGGGCAATCACTAGTCCGTTTCTCTCTAATTTTTCTACATTTTTTTGATGATGGGGATTATGGTGATGAGTTTGAAGGAGTCCCCTGTTATGCAGAATGAATTAGCAATATCTTAGGAAGACAAAGTGCCAGCTTAGACATCTGCAAACTCAGAACTAGAAAGCCAAATGTTCATCATCAGCATTCAAGTAGACACCACTTTCAATTCTTTTGTTTTCATATCTTCAAAAAGAATACAACACTTCCAGACGTCTAGTGCCTACCTCAGAGTGGCATTATAAATATTAGTCATGTTAATGCCTCACAGGTACTTTGAAGATGAAAAGGACTAGTTAGTATCAAGCCATGAAGTGGCAGCCAAGACTTCCATAACAATTACAGCAAAACAGAAAGGAGGCACCGCTGAGAAACTTGGAAGCAATACAGCCACGTATTTGTTTCTGTGCAAACCTTTTAATAATGAAAGCCTGTGAACTCCTCTTCAGATGAAAAGAGGCTCAACTGTGTCTTTAATTAGATCATCCTATTGGAGCACAATATAGTGATAAAGAAGATTTAATAAAGCATTTTGTCTTTTTATTACTTTGATTTGATGCAACATATCTGCTCATCCAAGCAAGATGTTTAACTTCAAAAGCAGTTCTGTCCACCCTCCCCCTGACCAATAAATAACTCCAAGGGGGAAAAAGAAAACAATATATTTGGACCATCCCTAAGCTGCTGAGTGATGAAAAGATTCATCATTTTTTTTCTACTGTGGACACAGGTCTTTTAATTAGTCCTTTACTTTTCTCTTACAGCTGATAGGATTGTAAGAGTTTAAATGTTGCTAGTTATTGATTAAAACGTATGGTAAAGTAATTTGGGGGAAAAAATCTAATTACTCCACACCATGGTAAGATTTCCATGTTTGACATGATCCTGGATAGGCCCATTAGACTGGGAATTTTAGGAATAAACAAAATTAAATCATAAAACTGTTGGCATAGAATTCTCCTCATCATGACAAACTGACTCTAAACATCTTTCTTGTATGTAGATCTGTAATTAGATTCAGTGTTTGAATTTAAGATTTTGGCCATGCTAAGCCTGGAAACACTAAAATAGAATATTTAGGAGGTTAAGGAATTGATTTTTGGAATTTGTTTACTTTTTTAAGGCATCTTAACAGTAACATTAGCATAGATGATTGTATTAGCTGGAGAAAACTTCAGACAAACCCATCCAAATAAGCTGGTAGACACTGAGTGAATAGACTGGAGACAGATGAGAGGGAAAAGATGGACAAACCAGAGGAAGGGAACTAAAACATTATCAGCAAGGGCAGAGGGAGAACGAGCAACCCAGTCAGTTCATTGTCTTAACTACACTAGACTTAAAGGCCAGAATTTTTGTCCTTAACAACAATGTGGCTGTATTAGTGAATCCACAGACTCTTGTGGATGCTGGCTTAAATCCTCAAGTAAGCAAAGAGAGAGAAAAAAAGAAAGAAGTCTCTCAGATGAGCCTGCAGGCCACAGTTGTTAAGTAACATAACAAAATTTCTTTTTTTTTTATTATACTTTAAGTTCTGGGGTTCGTGTGCAGAACATGCAGGTTTGTTACATAGATATACACGTGCCATGATGGTTTGCTGCACCTATCAACCTGGACATTAGGTATTTGTCCTAGTGCTCTCCCTCCCCTAGCCCCCCACCCCCCGACAGGCCCCAGTGTGTGATGTTCCCCTCCCTGTGTCCATGTGTTCTCATTGTTCACCTCCCACTTATGAGGGAGAACATGCGATGTTTGATTTTCTGTTCTCGTGACATAAACTTTCTAAGTGATTTTCTAGAACCTATTTTTTCACTACACAAACAGATTTTTTTTTAAAGAAAAGTCATTCCCAACATTCCTTTTTCCACAGGAAATCACTTGTTTCTATATTTCCCAATTTTGGGTTCCTTACTATTACCTTCATACCTTTGGAAACAAAGAGACCTCAATTCAAGCTCCACCTTTATTATTACCAGAAGCTTCAGTTTTCCTATCAGTAAAATTGGAAATAATACAACTCCATTTATATCCTCTAAGCTTGGCCTTGTACCAGCATCTTAATTCTCCTACTGGATTTTCTGCAATGATATGTATTCAAGATTGCTCTAATAAACTGCACATATCCAGGTTAAATTGCTTTTTATTATTCATAAATTTTACAAATGCAATTATCCATTTATTGGGGGCGTTTTAACTGGTTATTAGGAAATACATAGACATATCTTTAAATTGCAAATCTATACAGAATAGAATACATCATATTGAAGGACGTGGCCTGAATAGTCCTGTTTCTTGCAAGTAGGAGGGGATGAGGTCTAGAACCAAACCTACCCACTGACATTAGCTCCTAGGAGTCAAGCCTCTACTAAACTGATGGGAAGGGGGTCCTGCTGGCAGACAGAGTATGGCATCCAGCAGTAGGCTCTATGCACTGCCTTGCCCACCAGTGCCCTGGCAAGAGCAATCCCAGGCCTCCACTCAAGGAGGGCACCGAGATCAAGGCAACTTACCAAAAGAGGGGCTTGGAAAATGGGCTCTTTGTCAAGGTCTTTATGGTTACATGCAACAGAAACCAACTCAATTCAGTTTAAGCAAACAAGAGATCTTTTTGGAAGGAACTGAGGTGTCTAGTAGAACCCAGAGATCTTTCCCAAACCT
This sequence comes from Homo sapiens, assembly GCF_000001405.40. NCBI lineage: Eukaryota > Metazoa > Chordata > Mammalia > Primates > Hominidae > Homo > Homo sapiens. Next base: position 173,569,308 of record NC_000004.12, on the reverse strand, counting down.
GAAAAGCCATCAAGAACCCAGGCAGTGGCTGGGCGCCGTGGGTCACGCCTGTAATCTCAGCACTTTGGGAGGTCGAGGCAGGCAGATCACGAAGTCAGGAGTTTGAGACTGGCCTGATCAACATACTGAAATCCCGTCTCTACTGAAAATATAAAAATTAGCCAGGTGTGGTGGTGCACACCTGTAATCCCAGCTACTCAGAAGGCTGAGGCAGGAGAATCGCTTGAACCCGGGAGGCGAAGATTGTAGTGAGCCGAGATCACACCACTGCACTCCAGCCTGGGCAACACAGCAAGACTCCACCTCCAAAAATAAAAATAAAAGAACCCAGGCGGGTTCTCTCAATCTCTCTCTCCCTATTCTCCTCCACCTACCCGCCCCACCACACCCTGCTTTTTTTTTTTTTTTTTTTTGAGAACAGGGTCTTGCTCTGTTGCCCAGGCTTGAGTGTAGTAGCATGATCGTGGCTCACTGCAGCCTTGACCTCCTGGGCTTAAGCGATCCTCCCACCTCAGCTTCACAAGTAGCTGGTACTACAGGCATGTGCCACCATGCCCAGCTAATTTTTACGTTGTTTTTGCAGAGACAGGGTCTCACCATGTTGCCCAGGCTGATCTCAAATTCATGGGCTCAAGCAATCCTCCCATCTCAGCCTCCTAGAGTGCTGAGATTAGAGGCGTGAGCCACTGCACCTGACTCTCTCTCCCTTTCTCTCCACACCACCTTTTCCTGTGGTGAAAGATGGGTGTCCAACAGCAATTCTCATGTTTACAGCACTGAGCTATAGCCACTCGCAGACACTGATTCTGCACGTCAGTTCAAAATTGCCTGGAAGAGATTCTGAAGGCCCCTGCTTGGATCAGATGATACTAACATGTCTGCCAGAGTCCCAAGCCTGAGCTGAAGATAAAGTCTTCAGAAAAAGTAATCATTGTGAAGATCCTCAATCTAAATGTTTCAACTACAAAAAAGATCAGAAACTGGAACAAATCAGCAGCCAAAACAAAACAGTGCTGAGCCTCAGCATGTGGACATGTGACAACAGAGCTACCCGCGCATCATCTGCCTCGAGTAAAGGTGAGCTCTTAGGACTGAGCCTGAGAGATGGAAATGAGGTAACCCCAGCCATGGAGAGGGAAGGATGCAGAGTTTTAAAATTCTAACTGGCAGGCCCATGCCTAGCTCTTGGGGGATCCAGAGCAAGAATGCAAACAAAGGCCTACATGCTCAATATTTAAATATTTAAAATTCTAGGCTGGGCGCCATGGCTCACGCCTGTAATCTCAGCATTTTGGGAGGCCGAGGCAGGTAGATCACCTGAGGTCAGGAGTTCAAGACCAGCCTGGCCAACATAGTGAAACCACATCTCTACTAAAAATACAAAAATTAGCCAGGCATGGTGGCGGCCGCCTGTAGTCCCAGCCACTCAGAAGGCTGAGGCAGGAAAATCACTTGAACCTGGGAGGCGGAGCTTGCAGTGAGGCAAGATCGCACCACCGCACTCCAGCCTGGGTGACAGAGCGAGACTCTGTTTCAAAAAAAAAATTAATTAATTAAATTAAAATTAAAAATTACATTTTAAATCTAGCTTACTAACATGTTAAATAAAATGTTTTAGCCTCTGACCTTGACAAGCATACCTTCATAACAACCTGGAAGGCCAGGTTCCAATTTAGAATTATCAGACTCCTCGGAGCTCCACGTTGGAACATGGTGGCATGAGAGGGCTGGACCAAGAGCCATTCCCCTTCACCACCACCCCTGGCATTTGAAAGGGGCCTCCCACAAGTATGTGGGCACCTGTCCAACACCTCCAAGCTTTGTCCACGGCCCTCTCAAATAGCCATCCGGTGGGCCCAGGTGATGAGAGGCAGAGACCCTGGAAATGGACTAAATGGGGGAGAATTTCAGAGTTGCTGGGACCCAAAGCATGGTCTAGAGCAGGGTTTTTCAATCTCTGGACTATTTGCATTTTACACTGAATAAGTCTTTCCTGTTGAGAGGAAAGAAAGAGCTTTTCCTGTGCATTGTAGAATGTTTAGCAGCATCGCTGGCCTCTACATACTAGATGCTATAGCACCATCCAAAATTATAAAAATCAATGCTGGGCATGGTGGCTCATGCCTGTAATCCAAGGATTTTGGGAGGCTGAGGTGGGCGGATCACTTGAGGCCAGGAGTTTGAGACTAGCCTGGCCAACATGGTGAAACCCCATCTCTACTAAAAATACAAAAAAACATTAGCCAGGTGTGGTGGTGCATGCCTGTAGTCCCAGCTACTCAGGAGGCTGATGCAGGAGAATCGTTTGAACCCAGGAGGCAGAGGTTGCAGTGAGCCAAGATCATGCCACTGCATTCCAGCCTGGGCAACACAGTGTGACTCCATCTCAGAAAAAAAAAAAAAAAAAAAAAATATATATATATATATATATATATATAAATCAAAACAGTCTCCTGACATTGCCAAATGTCTCCTAGGTGGTGGAAGGATCACTGCAAACTTAGAACCACTGACCTATAAAAGAAAAGCTTGTGCTGTGAGAAGGGGCAGAGCTGCGGGAGGGCTGGGGTTGGGGGGAAGGGGTGGAGAAGGGAGCTCTCTAAAGCATGGGGACCAGAACAGCAATAACTGTGCACCAGGCTCTACGTTAACTATCTTCCCAGAAGTATTTTCTCTCATCTTCCTAGCAACTCAGCAAGGTACCTACTATTAACCCATCTTATGGATGAGGGAACTGAGGTTTACAGAAGTTAAGCAACTCGCTGAATTTTACACGTCTAGAAACTGGCAGAAGCAGTCATCAAACTTAGATCTATCAGTGCCAACTCAACCTGCACTTAACTTAATATAAGCCCAACTAGAATCTCAGATCTTGAAGTGACCTTCATAGTAAAATGACACAACTTAATTATCTGTCAGACATGGAGCAGATTCATCAATGCTCGTGAAATGGTATATGATGATGAATATAATAAAGTGTTTTCTTCTGTTTAGAAAAATATCCAAGAGATGAAAAAGGTTATTCCTGACTTTAATAGCAACACTAAAATATTTTTAATTATGTCTGAGTGGAAAAGATCTCCCCCAGTCTCTAATTCATTAGTTAATATAACTTTAACTAAAACGAGCATCTGCTTTTTTGAAACCAGTAAAGATTTTGTATGTGCCATTAGGCAAAGACTAAAGTAAGACATGTATAAATTAAGGTACATGCCTACGTTAGTAGGGCCATAGAATCACACAGCTACAGTATTTTAAGGGCAGGGAGTACGTTTTCCGTATTTCTGATCTAGCATAGTATGTGATACATAAAAAGCCCTTACAAACTTTTGTTGAATGAATGAATGGCTTTGGATTTCTCTAAATAATTTTAGTTCAAGAAATACACACTCCTCCACCCACGGGAAGATTTTGGATAATTGCCTCAACTTTTTATTTAACTTAAGCTGTGTAAAAATAATCTCTGAGAGAGGCTTGGAATGTGTCACATTTAAAAGTTTTAAAACAAATTTCGTGTTTGGTGCAGTGCAGTTCCCATGAAGCAAGGTATTCAGCAAAACTAAATAAACATGTGGCATCAGAAAGCTCAAATGCATTAATAAGTACATTTGCATGCACTGGGCCAAGGGTAATAGTACACAAGGGCAAAGGTTAAACAGTTGGAGGCCTTGGTTTAATAGCAGACCTGAACTGTTATTTAAATGTCACAAATGTCAGTGTTCATCTTCAAATGGTATTACAGTAGGATTAGTGTCCTAAGCCTTGCTCCAATTTATGGAGAATCAGGGAGAATGATTCTCGTCAACTTGGTCCAAAGCAGAAGAAGATTGATTTTCCTTTACCACTCAGTCTGCTTTTATGAGTTTTCCAGACTCTACCTTCCCAGCCTGCATCATGAATGGAAACTGCCAGATCTGCATGCAGGCCATGTGTGAGCAGTGAATCTGAAAGAGTTATGGCTCATTGAGAACCAACGAAGAAATTGCTGCCACTCTCAGCCACCTTCCCCCAGCCAGGGCTCCCTGCAATTGTCAGAACCAGCAGTGGCTTAAGCCATGGAACAGGTATAGGACCAGGCAACCCAATTCTTCCACCAATGTGCCAATGGCAGACGCCAGCAGAACCAGGGAGGGGAAAGACATCTCATGTCTCCATCATCATCATTTGTCTTTGCTCAACTAGGAAAAGGTACATGTTTCTGAGGTCAATCTTATTATTTTTTGTTTTTATTGGTTATTTTGTTATTATTAGCAATAAAAATGTGAGCACATACAATGTGCCAAGTGCAATACACACAGCCTCTTATTGCACTAAGGCTCACAGAGCTATGTGAGGTAGGTATTATTATGCCTACTTTAAACAATAAAGATGGCCAGGTGTGGTGGCTTGTATCTGTAATCCCAGCACTTTGGGAGGTCAAGGCAGGAGGATTGCTTGTGTCCAGGAGTTTGAAACCACTCTGGGCTACATAGCGAGACTCCTGTATTGACAAAAAATAAAAGTAGAAACAAATTATCCAGGCATGATGGTGTGTGCCTGTAGTCTCAGCAGGCTGAGGTGGGAAAATCTCATGAGCCCAAGACATGGAGGCTGCAGTGAGCCATGATCGTGCCACTTCCAGCCTGGGTGATGTAGCAAGACCTATCTCTGAAAAAATAAAATAAATAATAAAGATAAGACTAAAGGTCACACCACTTGGCAAGGATTCCCAGATTTCAAGCACCAGCCTCTTCATAATTATGTAAATGGAGTGACTTGCAGAGAAGGAAGAGGCAAAAAGATCTAAAGGCCCCAGAGCTTCATCCCTTAAAGTACTGCCCACCATGGACAGAAATAGGGTGATGTAGTTCAAGGGGCTGCAGCATTTGAGGTCTCAGCCTTCATTAGGACACCCCAAATGGCAGGGGAGTGCCTTTTGAGATGTTGAACAACCTCCAAATGAGAACTGTGTCTATCGTTGACATAGCCCTTTCCTCTTTGGAGTTTTGGGCATATCATATAAGTGATTTCCGAATAGAAGGTAGAGCCTTTCCAACCACAAAGAGGGCACAAGGGATGTCACAGCAGGTCATGGAGACCTTACTGTGAGCGTCTTGAGCTCTGAGGGGAATGGCAGCCCACGGGAGCAAAGAGAAGCAGCTGCTTCTCCCCTCCAGCCTTCTCCACCGTCCAGGCCTTTGAGATTTACTGTAACGTTAGAAAGGAAATGAACTGTATGATGTGCTGGGGGGTGTGAGTGTGTGGGTGGTGTGAGGAGGCTCCCAGAGAGTCCACAATAAAAATATTTGAGAAAATAGCCCCTGCATAGTAAGGAATCAGAAATGCATTTAGATCTCCAGAAAGAAAACACTCAGGATAGCCAGGCCCCTCTCCAGGAAGGCTTTTTTTTTTTTTTTTTTTTGAGGCTGTCTTGCTCTGTCGCCCAGGCTGTTGTGCAATGGCACGATCTCAGCTCACTGCAGTCTCTGCCTCCTGGGTTCAAGCGATTCTCCTGCCTCAGCCTCCTGAATAGCTGGGATTACAGGTGCCATACCGGGCTAATTTTTGTATTTTTAGTACAGACAGGGTTTCACCATGTTGGTCAGGCTGGTCTCAAACTCCTGACCTCATGATCCACCCACCTCAGCCTCCCAAAGTTCTGGGATTACAGGTGTGAGCCACCACACCTGGCTTTCAGTAAGCCTTTTTTTAAGTGTGCTCTCTATTCTTCTTTTCCTCATTTCAGTTTGATCAGATGACACTAATAAACAATCACATAAATACATGTTGTGGGGCCATATTGACAATTAATGAGATTAATGCAAAAATATGGTAAGATTGATGCCGGCTGGGTGCGGTGGCTCATGCCTGTAATCCCAGCACTTTGGGAAGCCAAGGCAGGTGGATCACTTGAGGCCAAGAGTTCGAGACCAGCCTGGTCAACATGGCAAAACCCTGTCTGTACTAAAAATACAAACATTAGTAGGGTGTGGTGGTGGGCTCCTGTAATCCCAGCTACTCAGGAGGCTGAGACTCGAGAATTGGTTGAGCCCAGGAGGTGGAGGTTGCAGTGAGCTGAGATCACACCACTGCACTCCAGCCTGGGCAACAGAGATAAGCTACTCTGTCTCAAAATAAATAAAATAAAATAAAAGCCACACTACAAAAAAATGTTTAACCAATAATCACTATCTTTCATATTCTGCAAACAAAAAAAATGCCCTTAATGCCTACTAGGTGCCAGGCATTAGTGGGCACTTCACATAATGAATTTTTTTCCTTCACAACAGCCTTGTGAGGTAGGTGATATTATTCACTCCTTTTATAGAAGAAATGATTGTGTCTCAGAAAAGCTGCATGACTTTTCCAAAGTCCCCTAGAAATAAAACTCTGAACTGAGGTCTTTGATTCTATAACTCCTGTTTTTTTCATGTCAGCATTTTGACAGTTCAGCAAAGCAAACAGTCCACATGGGCAGTTACAAAGAAGAGGCTAATGAAAAGGTCATTATTAACTATAGATTTTATTCTTACAAAACGTTGCCTAGGTGAGTTTAGGTTGCTTACGTCAGTAGTGTCCAGGGCCTACACACTTAAGTTGAAGCTACATAGACCAAGTAAAGATTTATCATCATTTTTTAAATTATTGTTGAATTGGTATCAAGATCAACCATCATGTAATTCTGTACAGCCTCAACTTACCTGATAATTTGATCTTATTCACTGTGGTCATTTCTGCCATTAAAGTCTCTTGTTTTCCATATTCATCCATACACACAAATCCTACACAAACATACACACACACACACGCACACCAACAAATTGGATTTAAGCAAGAATAAGGAGCGATAGCAGAATTCAAAGCAACTCTTCTTTTGTGTCTTTAAGGTTAATTAGTCCATACTTTATTTTTGGAAAATTATCTTCCATATTTAAACAAACTTTGAACCCCCACTACTAAAAATTTTCCACAAAAAAAGTGAAAACAACAACAACTACATACACCTCCCAGAAATGATTGGGCAAAAAACAAATTTTTAAAAAAATCATTTGATCTGGGTCTTTTTTTTTTTTTTTTTCGAGACAAAGTCTCACTCTGTCACCCAGGCTGGAATGCAGTGGCGCATTATCGGCTCACTGCAACATCCCCCTCCAGGGTTCACATGATTCTCCTGCCTCAGCCTCCCAAGTAGCTGGGATTACAGGTGCCCATCACCACGCCCAGCTAATTTTTTGTATTTTTAGTAGAGACGGGGTTTCACCATGTTGGCCGGGCTGGTCTCGAACTCCTGACCTCATGACCCGCCTGCCTCAGCCTCCCAAAGTGCTGGGATTACAGGCGTGAGCCACCACGCCCGGCCTAATCTGGATTTTTATGTTAGATATGGACATTAGAAAATAACCTACTGTGTATTATCATCTCAACTGATTTTTCAGAAAAAAAAGAAAAATCTTTTTAAACTGGAGTTTAAATGTATGTCGTAAGTGACCAGACTTTTATTCTGATGTCTATACCAGAAAATGTTACACTGTAGTCATTTTTTTCTCTTTTGCAATCATATTAAACATTTGCATCCTTACTAAAATGTTTGAGAATCAGTTGGTCCTAAAATGGGAGCTGATGGGACAGAGTAGCTGCTTGACTGATCAGAAGTAGAAGTAAAGGAACAGGGCAGTCTCCTTTGAGGGCAATGAGGTCCCAGGGAAGTGTTGGTAGGAGAAACAGAGTCCAGGGAAACAAATGTTCTTGGGCTACAAAAAAAAAGGCTTTTCAGTTTGTAACAAAAATCCAATTCAACTTACAAATTAACCTTTTCTTAGTTCACTAATAATCTGAAAATAATGTCTACATTAAGCTAGAAAGTAAAACCATTCAATTAAGGAATTAAAAATATCAATATGAACTAAGAACTTTCTGACCGTAAATGTATAATAGCTCTTTTGTTAATTTGTAAAATAAGTCCAGGAAATATTTTGATAGATTAATACTCCAATGAGTAGCAAGTTACATTTTTCCAGCACAGTAATACAGTCTGCTTTATTGAGCACCAAACAGAAAGTTGCAAAAATACCCACTGGATAACAATCTCTACACTGTTAAATTTTAGCAGGTGGAATTTCAGCTTGCCAAAGACTCAAAATTAGGAAACTGCTCTTCCAGCCATCTCCAGACTGCTAACCCTTTATTTGGTGAACTGAAAACTGTAGGAAGATTGTCCTTAAGTATGTGATTAGATCTTGAACCAATCTTTTGTCTTCTACTACATTCCAAAGAAGTCTTTATGCCAGGCAAATAAGACAATGGTACATTATAAAAGGGATAAAGGAGGAATGATGGAACATCAGTAAATGCGGATCATGAGATCTCTGAAACTGAATCTTGCTTCTGGAAATTCATCCAGTTTACCCAAAAGGCAATAATAAGAATTACTGGATACATCAAAGAGAGGAGGCCCCTTTAAAGGAGAGAATAAAATAAAATAATTAAGCTACATACGGAAATTTACTTCACTGTAGTTAGTTTCTTCTACTAAGGTGTCTTAACATGTTTTAAATTTAATATTACTTGTCATTAAGCAATATAAAGAGTTTTATCCTGCCTGGAAAGAAAAATAGTCACAAGCATTATATTAACTCCATGAGCTAGGAAGACACGAGTTGTAAAACATTTAATATAGGACTGGACCGCAGTGGTTATTCGCAACTGAATAATGAATTGCATGTCACACAATGTATGATAGTTATCTGGGCTGCTGAAGTTATAGCTAAGGAATTATTGGTCTCCCTTATCTGAAAGACCAAATGTAATATGAGATCAAAGGAAGTAATAATAGTGCAGGAAACAACATCTAAAAAAAATTCCTCTGAGGATGAAAAACTGATTTATAAAGTTCAAGATTATCATTTTAGATTACTCAAGTCGGATCAAACATTTTTAGCAATATTTTGAATAGCCTATGTGCAGCAGAAATAAACACTAAAAAATTACCAAACTGCCAAACCAGAGAGTCCTTGTGGGGATGGAACAAAACAATATGTGAAGTTATTTTTAGCCATTTACATGGCATGAGAAAAGTCCATATAATACAGACAACATGATTATGTGACTTGGTTCCATTGAAAAGAGAAGGCCCTCAAAGTCTGCTCCAGAAGCCCCTTAGACCAAATTGAATCTCTCTAAGAAAAGGAGGAGACAATAGGAGATTTCTGGTCCCTGCCAACTGATGACACCCGTGTTTTCTGAATTGGCAGCCCCTGGTGACTCAAGGGTGGGTACATGAAGCATTTGAAGAAGATTGATGGGTGGTTCAAACCAACAGCTAGTCATTGAATAAGGTACCGAACTAGATTATTTTACTCCCTTACCAAAGCACGCCAACAAAGAAAACTTTAAGAATTCATTAACAACTGATTACAAGACATAATTTACTATCATCCTTAAAGACCTACAGAGACAGAAGACACCACATGGCTTCCCCATCTTGCATAGGCTTCCCTAGCAAAAGTTCTTCCCTCAAAAACTTCTCCATACAAAACTCAATTGAGATTAAGTGTAAATTTTTCTTTCAACACTCTATAAAATATTAACTATCTAAACATTTAAAAGTGGGTATTTGCAAAGAAGGGAAAAATTAATAATAGTTATATCTGAGTGAGATTAAGAATGATTTTTAGCTGTTTTTTTTTTGTTGTTTTTGTTTTCTGAGACGAAGTCTCGCTCTGTCGTCCAGGCTGGAGTGCAGTAGCGTGATCTCGGCTCACTGCAACATCTGCCTCCCAGGTTCAAGCAATTCTCCTCCCCCAGCCTCCTGAGGAGCTGGGACTGCAGGCACCTGACACCACGCCTGGCTAATTGTTTCTGTATTTTTAGTAGAAACGGAGTTTCACCATGTTAGCCAGGATGGTCTCAATCTCCTGACCTCGTGATCCGCCTGCCTTGGCCTCCCAAAGTGCTGGGATTACAGGCGAGCCACCGCGCCCGGCCTATCTTTTCTTTATTTTCCCAGATGAATACAATAAGCACATATTACGTTTATAAAATCAGAAAAACAAAAAGTTTTAAGAACTATCCGCAATAAGCACTTCAAGTGTAGGTAATAGATGACTTTTCATTCCCCCTTTAACTTACGTTTATGTCTCCCTTTGCAAACACAATCATGTTTCTAATACTTTCCACTTCTCTCTGTTGACTCTTTGGAATGTTCTATGAGCACTTGGGTCTCATTTGTTGTGCCTACGAATGGGAAAAAAAAATCTCTGGAGATACTGTCATGTAGTACTAGGTTAAGACTTTAGCAAGCCAAGTAAGGATATGATTTCCCAGCTATGCCTACAGGATAACAATAGCCATTACTTTTCTCCTGATTTAAATGTATGGTCTTTTGTGACCATTTACCTTACTGTGGTCTAATAATGCAACTGTAATATTAATTAATTCTATACAATCACCATTCTACAGAAAAATAGTCCTGAAACAAACCACATTCTTTTCACATTTTAAAATTCTAGGGACAGTATAGCTGATTGTGGTGAATCAGTAAACACATATAATTAATACAGAAAGCAAGAATACAAAACCAACTCTGGATAAGAAGTTTGTTTCATATCAACCACTGTTAAATTTGAATGATCCTAAAGTTGTATTTTACCTTCTGTGTTACACTATCTAATATAAGTCAAGCCTGTCCTATCCCTGAAGCTCTCCCCGACCACTCACCCACACAGATCTCCCTAAATTTCCATAGCCCTGTCTGGGGTTTGCGTACCCTGTCCATTTGGACTACCTTGTACCAGTGACAGCCAGATATACAAGTGACACACATTTGGGAAATCCATTTGGGAAAACAGGGTAGATTATATAGAAAGATAAATATAGAGATATATAATCTATCACTATCCTGTTTTTCCCAGTAGACTCCTTATGCCATTTTACAGGCCCTCCCCCACACCACAACAACCTCTCTGTTGATCTCAGTGTCTGCCACCATGTACAGCAAATATCTCTTGCTTGGTTGATTTGAAAGACTACGCGTGGCCTTATTTTCTCAATCTACCAACCCAGCATCCTTACCTGGGTCCAGCCACAGCCCTCTGTCATAACTGGGAGAGAGCGTGTTGGAATCAAGAGTCCCCCAGGCCGGGAGCCAGGACATCCAAACACCAGGTTCCAGTTCTGCTAATTCCTACTAGTGTGCCTCTGGACAAGGTGTTTCACCTTCTTGGCTGCCATTTCCCCATTTGTAAATCAAAGTTTGAGACCTGGTAAAGGTTAAGGTCTACTCCAGCTCTTAAGTGCTGTTAATTCCACATGTTTAGAACCCTGTTTAGAGCTTCCCTGTCCAATACGGTAGCTACTAGCTCACAGGGGGCCATTTAAATTCAAATTAAATTTCACTGAAATTAAACAAAGTTAAAATTCAGTTTTCAGTTGCACTAGCCTCATTTCAAGTTCTCAATAGCCACATGTGACTAGGGGTTACTGTTTTTGGACAACAGATATGGAACGTTTCTATCATGGCCAAAAGTTTAATTGGACAGGTCTGGAGTAGAGTGATATATTAAATATCATATTTGTCCTTCTAGTGGTGTGCCAACAGATCTAATTAATTTTAATTAAGTATATTACTCTCATTTCATTGTCAGTTTTAATACTCATAATTCATACATTACAAATGCAACATGTACTTTATTTTAAACAACAGTCACTTGGAAATGCTCCTTTTACTTGGAAAAATATATCTACAAGAATCATCACTAGAGCGGCAAGCTGAAAAACAGGAGCCTAAGATCTACCATTCCCATCCAGATTCCTACGTTCAGCCAGGCTGAACTCTGTTTTCCCACCCCTCACACTTGGCAGTTTTCTGTGAGCATGTCTTTGTTTGTTCACTTTCTTCCATTAGACCATTTCTCTTTCCTCCCACGTCCCTCCCCAGGTCCAAATTCATCAAGATCCTTTCCACAGTTATGCTGCGGCAAAGCTGGGAAGAACTGCGTCCAAATGCAGCCATGGTGGCTTAGCAACAGGGATCAGGATGGGCGGCTTAAACAAGTTGCATGAAAGAAATGCCCAGGCAGTCAGGTAGTCAGAAAGCATGCGACCTTGCCTCAATTTGCAATGTCAGATATGAGAAAGCTACATGGTTAATTTTCTGAGGTTGGGACTGCCTGAGAAGGTAGTAGCTCAGCTCACCAAAATACATCAAAAAATAAAATGAGGGGACAAAATAAGTCATGAAAGAAGGCTTCTTTGGGTCATTAGCAACTGCTGAGGCGGTCTGCCCCTCATGTGCATCTGGAGAAATGCCAAAATTCTCTGCCCAGCAGCACACTCAACCCTAGTAGACAGCACAGAACCAGACTATGTGAGCATGTGAAGTGTCAACCCCAGCACCAGGGAAAGGTGAACAGCTGGCAGGGGCAGGACTCCCTCCGTCAGCCCTGACTGAGAGTTTCCAGTCACAAACTAACAGTCAAGGTAGCCTTTGTATGAATCACTGCATTGTAAGAAAATCTATCCTGCTGTGTTTTTGTTACTCTAATTTTCTGGTACTCCAGAACAGATGCCACCATCCATTATCTATGGAAAGTCATGTCTTCCTCCTTAGATCTGCCATAACACTTTATATCATTCTTGAGATACCTACAATGCACCCTTACTGTTTCCTGTCCATTTCTTAATTCCTCTACAAGACTGTGAGTTATAACTGGTGCTTTGTACTTCTGTTTACCAGCATTTTAGCACAATGAGTAGCTTACTAGGAGATGAATAAATACAGAATCTGACAAGAAGTGGATGACTCAGTGAAGTGAATGAATTTATGAATGAATACTCAATAGCTAATCTGATTGCTACAGCCCCAAAATAATCTAGGTCTTACAGTGTCTCACCTTTACCCAGTCTTTCATACATGACTTATTTAAATCCTCTTTCTTTAGAGGGACATGTCAGCTGGTCACACATAACAGTAAACATCCAGCAACAATGTTAACTGCAAGGGCGTGTTGTTGATGTGTACAGTAGGTTGAACACTACTAAGGAAAGCTATTCTGAATTAAATTGTACCTTATTTCCTACTTAGTGCTTCTTCATTTAAAATAATTGTGATAATTCTTTTCTATTTTTTAAAATTATGATGGGTACATGATAACAGTATACATTTATGGGGCACATGTGATGTTTTCATGAAGGCATACAATGTGTAACGATCAAATTAGGATAATTAGGGTGTTCACTGCCTCAAGCATTTATCATTTCTTTGTGCCAGGGACATTCCAATTCCACTCTTTTCGTTATTTTAAAATATACAATAAGTTATTGTTAACTATAGTCACCCTGTTGTGCTACAGAACACTAGATCTTATTCCTTCTAACTGTGTTTTTGTATCCACTGACCATCCCTACTTTATTCCTTCCTCCCACTACCCTTCCCAGCCTCTGGTAATGATCATGCTACTCTCCCCATGAGTTCAATTGTTTTAATTTTTAGCTCCCACATATGAGTGGGAACATGTGAAATATGTCGTTCGGTACCTGGCTTATTTCACCTAACATAATGTCCTCCAGTTTTATCCATGTTGTTGCAAATGACAGAATTTCATTCTGTATTCTTTTTTTTTTTCTTTTGGAGACAGGGTCTCGCTATATTGCCCAGGCTGGAGTGCAGTGGTGTGATCAGGGCTCACTGCAGCCTCGACTTCCCTGGACTGAAGCAATCCTCCCACCTAGGCCTCCCTGGTTGCTGGGACTACAGGTGCATGCTACCATGCCCAACTAATATTTTATTCTTTTTTATGACTGAATAATATTCTACTGTGTATATGTACCATATTTTCCTTACCCACTCATCTGTTGATGGACAGTTAGGTTGCTTCCATGTCTTGGCTACTGTGAATAGTGTTGTAATAAACATGAGAGTGCAGATATCTCTTCAATATACTGATTTCTTTTCTTTTGGATATATACCCAGCAGTGGGATTGATAGATTGTATGGTAGTTCTATTTTTAGTTTTTTGAGGAATCTCTACTGTTCTCCATAGTGCTGTACTAATTTACATTCCCACCAACAGTGTATGAAGGTTCCCCTTTCTCCACATTCTCATCAGCATTCATGATCACCTCTCTTTTGGATAAGAGTCATTTTACATGGGGTAAGATGAATTCTCACTGCAGTTTTGATTTTATAATTTTTGATATCATACTTAATTGCATTCAAATAAAATTATCTAGACATGGTAAATTTAATTCCACATATATAAGATAATACATGTATAAAGTTATTCATTATGACATTGTCTTTAAAAATAAAAGATTGGAAACTCAATGACGATCAATAGGGGGCTAGAGAAATAAGTTATGATATAGCCATTCAGTGGAATGCTACGCAAATGTTTAAAGAAAGAAGAATGCTTTCTACCTAATGCATTCCAAAGTAATTCAATACATTGTTGTCTGTAATAGAAAATATTAGAAACTATATGAAGGTCCATCAATAGGGGGGTAGATAAATAAAGTGTGGCACATCAATAGAATGATATACAACTATGAAAAATGAGGCTACTTTGCGTATACAGAAAGATTTACAAAACATATTGTTAAGTAGAAAAAGCAAGCTCAAGACCTTTTTTTTGAGACAGAGTTTTTCTCTGTCACCCAGACTGCAGTGCAATGGTGCAATCATGGCTCACTGCAGCCTCAACCTTCTGGTGCAAGTGATCCTCCTGCCTCAGCCTCCTGAGTTATCTGAGACTACAGGCACACACCAACCATGCTTGGCTAATTTTTTATTTTTTTATAAAGACAGGGTTTCCCTAAGCTGCCCAGGCTGGTCTCAAACTCCTGGGCTCAAGTAATTCTCCCGCATGGGCCTCCCAAAGTGCTAGGATTACAGGTGTGAGCCACCTCACCCTGCCAGGAACAAAATTGATAGGGTGTTAATTTTTGTATGAAAAAAAGGAAAGAGTTTAAGATATATTGGCATAAAGAAATTCTGAAAGAGTACACAAGAAACTAATAAAAATGGCTATACAAGGGCAGTAGAATTGGGTTCATGATGGATGCGGGGTGAGCAAAACTTTTCATAAAATACCATCTCATATTTCTGTTTTTACCCTTGCAAGTGCATTACCTATGCCAAAAAATTTAATAGACATTTCCATTATGCTACATTTGTTTAATGAATGAATTTTAAAAGAATCTCTAATATATCATTCTTCATCATTCTCTCACCAAGTTTCCTTTCTGTTCTCTGCCCCACCACCCCCTTCTGTATCAAATGCCTTTATACTCACTACCACCCAGGTGAGGGAAACAGCTGGGGTAGAACACTTTGGAAAGGATTGGTTTTGATCCCATTTGAAGCCTAACAAGACCTAATGCTAAATTTAAAAAAAATATAGTTTGGGGAATTTGTTTGCCTAAAAATGAAAGGTGGGATGTGTAGGCTGGGTAATATCTGAAGACTTCAATAATAAAGAATTGTATTGTACCTGCTTCATGCTAACTTTTAATGGTCTCATTATCAATGAGTTTAATAATAATGTTTTCATTCTTGAATGAAGGCAATGATTCTCACTTACTCTCGGAAGAACTTATGAACTTTTTATTTCATTAGCCAAAACAGATTTTAATAAGGGAAGATAACTGAATAGCCATACTGAACTTTCTTTTTTAATATCACATCAACTTCTTAAATATTGAAGTCATTAATCTGTATTTGGAAACCTGTAATCATCTAAGGTCTTGTACAACCTTCCATTTATTAGAAATAAATTCACACAAAAAAGCGACAATGTTTAAATTTGGTGCTCAAAAGACCCTCTCAGCAAGAGGTAATAAAATGTCAGCCCCATTTAAATGAGACATTATTGACCCCCATTAGTAGGACACGTGCTTGACTTGACTTTTTCTAAGGGTGGTGATGGATTTGCTCTTGTCCATCCACACACTCCTGCCCCGTCCTCTCATGACTTGGGGCAGACATGTGCTGGACAGCTGGCTGGACCAGGTCTGTGGCCTCTGAACAAAGCAAACCTTGCTGGCCCACACAAAGACTGAAACTGTGACCTTGTTCTCATTAGCTCAATGCCCTAATCACCTGAGCTAAACAGCTACAAAAAATATATAGATTGAACTTTGTGTGGATATATGTCTGTGTGTGGGCATCAAAGCCAGGAATAAAATGATATATAACAACAAGCATGAAGCTGGCACTTGGGCATTAAAGGAGGTCCTCCTATAAGTTATGTGTCTTGTATGCCATGCCCCAGTGGCATCTTCCAAGCTGAGAGCCAAAATATAATCACCTTAAAAGAATTTTATTTCAGTTCTGAAACATAATATAATATGATTCTAACTCCAGAAAGAAATTGATCCTTGAAATTAGCAGTTAGTCACTGTGTACAAGGACATCCTAGGAAGCAATAGGTTCCATATCTTATATGATCTGGGTTCTCCTGAGCCTTGGACTGAACAAGGAAGTAGAGATTAAGACTAGAGCTAGAGGGGAAAACAGGAGGCAAAATTTTGTCACTAGAAGATACAGAAGCTGTTTATCCAGGCAAAGTTTCATGAAAGAAATACCTATGTTCCATCAGTTAAACTAGAACTGTAGGTGAGTATCCAGTGTGCTTGTGTGCCTCAGAACCTCTTGCTATAGAGATCTACTAACAGGAAGGGGACCTCCTCTCATGAAATTCATGATCATGGAGAAAGTCACTGAAGACCAGATTCCCAGGATTCTACTTCTCCCTGAATAGACAGCTATTCCAGTGCAACTAATAAGGGTCACCAAGACTGCAGGCCCAAAGCAAGACTCACCAAACGTGGAATATCTCAGATTAGATGAGAAATGTAAACACAAGTGCAATATGAAAAATTTCAATGTCATTGCTTTATTTCAGGAGATGAGATTAAGTTCAGCCCAGAAGCTCCTCCTCCTCACTCATTGGAATGGACCCTCTGTCAGGAATGACCTACAAGAGAATCTGGGTCACATCTCCAGGCACAACATTAACCATCAACCACTAGGAGATGGTAACTTAATGCATATCTTGGGTCACAAGAATCACATTCCATGTTAACTATCCAAAAATGCTACTTTCAAGCTCCTCCACTTTTGAAAGATATAATTCTCCTCAGCATGAAGTTCCAACTCCTTAACCTGACATTCAAGAGAAATCCAAGGCTAAGTTTTCTTTGTCTCTGCATATCCATGCCGAGCAGAGGGTTTCCCACATGAGAGAGCTTCCCACATAAAGAGTGCAATAAAGTATTAAATGAAGAAACAAGTGAATGGCTGAAGCTAATCCTAATTTATCTTTCCATGTGATCTCACTCTACTTCTCTTAATCTTTCCCTCCACTCATAATAGTCTTCTTTTTGTCCCATGAACATGGCTGGCTGTCTCCTTCCTCCAGACTTGTTTAGGATGTTCTCTCCAACTGAGAGGATTACCTTTTATCAAGTGCTTAAAACACTTTATATATATTATCTCAATTAATCCTAAAAAATTAACAAAATAGTCGCTATCATATCCTTTTTATAGAAGATGTCCATAAAAGCTAAGTAACTTCCCAAGATTACACAGCTAGAGAACAAGAGAACCAAGATTTGAACCCAGATCTGTCTGGCTCCAAAACTCTTCTCCCTTTCTGGGAATTATTCTTTCTTCATATCTCCAAATTCTGCATTTCCAAAATTGCTTTGTCTTTTATGGCTTAATGCAAGCTTCAAGGAGAGGAACTCTTCCTGTCCATTCTATCCCATAGTGATCTCTCATTCTTTTAACTTAGCATTGTAAACTCAATGTCTCAGATAACAATCATGGACTGCCTCAACACTCCATCTATTATTCCTTTTAACTTTTCACTGATCTATTCCTTCTCAGACTAACTAAATCAAAAGCTCATGAAGGGCAGATTCTACACATTGCACATCACTGTATCTCTTCGCAAGCATGGAAGAGACTTGTGCATGTGGTAGGCAGTCAACAAATATATGTTGACTGGTTAATGTTGACACCTCCATCTTTCCACCAAAATCTGTGTACCAATTCCTATGATTATAAGGATACACCCCTTGAAGCGTTTACCTCCTAAGGTTATCGTAATAAAGGACGAAAACTGGAAAGCTACAAAGATTAACTATGTTTTTAAAAATATTTTAAAGTTTTTCATTGTTAAACTTCTGGGGCATCTCTACTTCTGAGAAGTCTAACACACCAGCGTTAGTGAGATCATCTTGTTAAGATTTTCCTTGTTTCCTTCGAGTACCCTCATTTTCAAAGGTTAATTACCTGGTTGTAAACGTGCATTCCAGAATGAAATTTAACCTATGAGTTCTCCATCTTGAGGTGAATATTCTTAGTGGGTTTTTTTTTTTCAAAAGTAGAAAGCCATCTGTTTAACCAATTTAAATACATACTTATAGAAGAATAAAAAAATAGGAATACAGAGAGAGGTTCATGGATTTTAAGCACTTGTGAATATTTGTAAAACACATGACTTTGATGCTTGGAAAAAATATGAAGTGATACTTTCTGCTGTAAATCAGCACTGGCAAATAAAGAGGCACTAGAAGTTGTGATATCTTAAAGACAAAATTGTTTTGATCATCCAAAATGTTGATCATTTGTGGGCCATAGAAAAGGAAGATTTATTATTTTTGAATCATTCAATTTCTTAGGAAGATAAAAAAAATCATTTGAGAAAACATCAAACGGAATGTGGTTCTTATTAATATCACATAACCTTTCTCACAAAACTTTTCTCTTCTCCAGCCTAGCTCCCATTAGAACCAAACTAAACACGTTGACAGCTCCAAGTTAGGAAGGTGTTAGGCCAATAGTCTACCCTTTTGAGAAACTGAATCATTCATTCAATATCACTTTACTAGTTTTCTTCACGAACCAAATACATGGCAACAGACTCTATTCTGCAGGGTTTAATCACACACAAGTGGCAAAAACCACAGAACGCAGCGCCTAATCAGCCAGGCTTTCAACCATGGACTTACTCTATGCACATATGTCACTCCCATTATCATTAGTATCAATAAAACCCTGACATTTTACTCACTCAGGAGATGCTGGATCTCAATGTCTATGGTTTGATATGTTCTCATAAAAAGTATATCGCCTCATTACCAATAAGTTTATACGAATCGGTATGTTTTAAATTGAATATGCTCCTCCAGAGTAGAATAAATCATGGATTTTTTTCCTGAACAATTTTTGAATTATTTATTTTCTATTCTAAATACTCATGAAGCTAAAGTTAGCATTTCATATTTAGAATTTTTAAGACAACCAATGAATTCTAGGATTTCAAGTTTATTTTCAGTCTCAATAAACATTTATTAAATAATGTATGAATAAATTCAATCAACTGAACTTGGGAATGCAACCCATAATCATAAAGTGGTCTTCCCTAGAGGAGATCCCAGATGAAATTAAAAATAAAAGTTTCAAAAATTAACCTCACATATACCTCATATAGTTGACTCTACTTAACTCTGAGTTTGAATCCCGGGAAGAAATAGTCTTAAGATCTGAACAGAATTGCTTAGGCAGGGGTCAAAGATAATAGATGTGACTATATCTTTAGAAGAAATAGCTTAAACCAGATGTGGTGGCTCAAACCGTAATCTCAGCACTTTGGGAGGCAGAAACATGGATCACTTGAGCTCAGGAGCTTAAGACCAGCCTGGGCAACATGGTGAAACCCCGTCTCTGCAAAAAATACAAAAATTAGCCTGGCATGGTGGCTCACACCTGAGGCAGGAGGATCACTTGAGCCAGGGAGGCAAAGGTTCAAGTGAGCTGAGATTACACCACTGCCCCCGATCTGGGTGACAAAACGAGATCCTGTTTAAAAAGAAAAAAAAAAGGAACTTGAACAGTCCTTTCTAAAAAAGAGGAGAGCCATTGGGGCCATCTCCTAAATCCCCGGGCCATCCCCAAGTTGGTAAACCCAGAGTCATATTCCAGAGTCGTATGGCTGGCTGTACATCAAAACAAAACAAAACTGAGTTAATACCAACACTGCATTCTAAGATCATCCCATCACCCAACTCCCACCCCTACTGCCACTGCCACTGTGTATAGTCACATCTATTGTTACTGCCACAATCATATCCAGGTGCAAACCTGCTCATGTAGCCTACAACCTGAGACACTCACTGAGAACAGTGAAGGAGCCTGACATTGAGGGTGTGACCTTCCTACGCACTCCACTGGGGAGCAGAAGGAAGAAGACAATCAAGGCTGTGTGAGACCCAGGCTCCCTATTTTTATTATGGTGCTTAATCAAAATCATCATACCATGCAAACATTGGCATATATCATTTCACAACATCAAGTTTTTTATACAGTTAAACCATTAGCTTTTTGCCCACCAAGCTATAAGCTCAAAGAAGGCAGAGACATCTCCCTGGCTTCGCTAAAGTATTGCCTGCATAAAGCCTAATACCTTTCATATACTAGATGCTCAGTAAATATGTGATGAATGATAATAGATCAGAGAGCACACTAAGGAGCCAATCTGCATGGGTTTCATTCCTGCCTGTGTGACAGTGTGATCCTAGTTACTTCTTTGAGCTTCACTCAGTTCCTTGTCTACAAAACAGGGATAATAATTGTATCTTAGTGGCTAATCATGAAAAATAAATAAGTTAATATGAGAAACGAAGTTAGAACAGGAGCTGACACATAGTATGTGCCATTATTAATTATTATTATTATTATTATCATCATCATGACCTCTAATTACTGGTGTACAGTGGACCTTGATCAACTTCCAGAATATCATGCATTCCTACAGGTGTTCATCATCCTATGCAAGCATTTATCTGTATAATAAATCATCCTCCTTTTGTGAATGAAAAGACAAGAGTGCGCTACTTAATAAAATGAATTATTTCAAGGCCTGATGTTTTGCAATGTTTGAAAAGATCCTCCTGAGTAAGAAGCTTCTCACCACACTTGCCCTTTAGTATTTTTTTTAAAAAGTTGTATCTAAATTACTACCCCAGGTCCATTGCTATTAAACATAAAAAACAACTTCCACACACATACATACTTTGCACAAAATCCCGTCGGTGCGATTTTGACAGGTACGAGGAGACTCCCGATACTGCTAATTGTTCACTGGGCTTAACCTCAGATGATGATTCAGCTAAATGCTATATTGAATTTCATCACTTCCATTTCCCCTATTCCTGCAGTGACTCTCTGAGGGGTTTACGGTTTTCTAGAGTGGCCTGCCGGCTTGGGTGCGTGCACTCAGGTCACTGTGGAGGACTGTGTGAGTGGAACAGGAATGGGAACATCTTAAAACGAAACAGCTGCGTCAGAAGTGGTCAAGGCTCGGGCGCAATGTGATAGCTGCTATTAAACACCACTTTGAGCTCCTCGTGGCTTTGATGATTTCTTTCTTCCTCTCAAAAGTTTATCATTCTTTTCCTGACTTTAAGTCAACCTCATAAAATCAGCCCAATTTTTGTTTTGGTTCATATTAAAGTTTTGGTTGTATTGTCCATTCGTTTCAGAATTTTTGTTGTTTTTGTTTTTTGCTTTTTCTTTGTCTCTTTGGTCTGAGGAAACTATAAAGTGAGGTGAACCAGTCATGACAAATTCTTGTAAACAGACATGGAACTAGGAATTCTTGTTCCCTAGAGTTCACCTGTCTCACAGCCCTTGTCCTCCAAGGCACTTCCTGTTGGTAAGCATCTGGAAGTGTCCATTTGTGGTGTGGATTTTGTTTTGTGTTGTTTTGTTTTTTCAGGATCTGTAGTACCAATCTCCCTTCCTGCTACCTCTTAGTCCACTGCAAGCTAGTGGAGTGAAAATGGTTCTTTTCAACATCTGCCAATGGCGTCCTTGAATGAAATTTATTATTCACTATCATAAGAAAATAAGAACTTAATTGCATTGTTGAAATTTAAAATTTCATTTTTCATTCTGACAGTTAACTATTAAATGCACTTCAAGCTCCTAGAAGCAGTTCTAGGGCCTTCCAACCTTACTGTTAGGAAAATCATTTAAATAAAATGTTTCTTGGATTAATATACTTAATTCCACCTCTGTATTTAGCAAAATCTTTTCTTGGGGCAACAATTATTAAGTCACCACTTAAAGACTATTTAATGATGTTGAAATGAAGTCTACACTTAGTCAGCCAACTCACTGGGACTTTTTCAAACTCCCAACCACCACCTGGGATTCATCTCAATTCTCTGATTCTGTGTTTCAAATCAAAGATACTATTTGCTGTCAGCAAGTCCCCTGATTTATTTAATCCTTCCCCAAAATATATCCTGAAATTCTCACAATTTAACCCCTATTTGTCATGACAGCAGCTCCTCTACAATGACTAACACACTCTTCAGCATTATCAGGTGTTTGCAGAGGGCTCGGTGACTGCACTGGTGGCCTGGGAGATCAAGAGCAACCCTCTGTAATAGTGTTGTTACTTTATCTTCTCAACAAATCACCAGTAAATTTTAAAAATAACATTTATAATCTCCATTACTTCTCTCCGAAAATAAGAACACCCAAGCATATGGCAAGCATAGCATAATGTGTGGAAGCTCAAGAGTCTTTATAGTTCTCATTTTAAGAGCGTCAATTGCTAATTTAATCAACAATATGCATGCTTACTAGTTTTTAGACTAAACAGTACAATATAGGAAAATATGGGTTCAAATAGAATAAGGAAAAAAGAAAATAAAGTAAGGCAGGAAGAAGAAACAAGAAAGATGAGAACTCTGATTTTTAAAATAAATTGTGGCAATGGAATCTAATGTAACCAAGTTTCATCTTCTAGTGTGTAAATTAGTCAGCTAATAGATTTTTAAATCATATGTAAAACAGAAGTCCTATGATAGAGAGGTGGCATTTTTTCTTCTCCAAAATAGTAGGAAGAATGTCCTACAATCCATAATAAGAATCAAGGGGAAAAATCAGAATAATTTGAGTAGTTCGCTGAAAATCAGCCTCAGAGTTTACAACTCCTAAATTCTCAATTGTCCTTCCCCTATTTTCAGATCAGTTATGGAAAACAGGGAACTGAACTTCCTGAAGATCAGTAGGCATTTTTATTAAGCTTTTTATTTTGAGAAAATTGTAGATCCTCATGCAGTTGTAAGAAATAATAGAGATCCCATGCACGCTTTACCCAGTCTCTCCCAATAGTAACATCTTACAAAAACACAGTACAATATCACAACAAGGATACTGACATTGATACAGAAAATTTCCATTATCATAAGCATCCATTTTGTTGCCTTTTTATGGCCACACTCACCTCTCTTCCACCCCACTGCTCCTTAACCCCTGATAAGCACTTTTCTTTTCTCCATTTCTATAATTTTGTCATTTCAAGAATTCTATATAAATGGAGCCATACAGTGTGTTACCTTTTGGGTTTGGATTTTTTCACCCAGCATAATTCCCTGGAGATCCATTCAGGCTGTTGCACTTATCAACAATGTGTTCCTTTTTATTGCCAAGTAGTATTCCATGTGCCACGATTAACCATACATGCTTAACTGTTAACAGAATGGTTAAGTTTGTCTTTCCATTGAAGGATATTTGAGATGTTTCCAGTTTTTCACTGTTATTAAAGCTGCTGTAAGCATTCATGCACATATTTCTGTGTGAACTTAAGTCTTCATTTATCTGAGATAAATGCTGACGAGTACAATAACTGAGTTATATAGTAGTTGCAAGTTTAGCTTTTAAAGAAACTGCCAAACTGTCTTCCAGAGGCTGTACTATTTTACATTCCCATTAGCAGTATAGGAGTGATCCTGTTTCTCCACATACTTGCCAACATTTCTTGTTGTCATGGTTGATTTTTAGCCAAAGACAGAGATCCAATTTGGAACAAAAAGTAACAGAAAGACTTTCAAATTTAATGCATTGTTTTATTTTAACATTACCTGGAATTTTTTAATACCAGATCCCTTTGGTTTAAACTCTACAATTTAAATGCTGTGTACTTTAGACAAATTATTTAACATCTCTGAACCTCAATTTCTTTACATGCAAAACCTGTCCCTGCAAGTATAGAACTATATTAAAGGGATAATATGTGTAAAGAACATAGGATACAATAGATGTTTCGTAAATGCAAATCCCCTTCCTGCACATTATCTATTGATTATTATTTATTCTATTAATAATATATATGTTTTCTCTTAATGCATTCCCAGCACCACTTGTTTGGTTTTAATAAGAACAACAAGAAATGTTGGCAAGTATGTGGAGAAAAAGGATCACTCCTATACTGCTAATGGGAATGTAAAATAGTACAGCCTCTGGAAGACAGTTTGGCAGTTTCTTTAAAAGCTAAACTTGCAACTACTATATAACTGTCTGTCTCTACTCCATTCAGATGAATATGAATATCATTTAAAAATTGTGTTAACATGATAGAAAAGAATCAGGATGATATTGCTTTCAAAAACAAATTCAAACCCAGGTCTACCGCTGTGTGAACTTACGCAATTATCTTCCATCTGCAGTCAGCAACACTGGTGGTTTCATCTCTTCCATCTTTACAATGGACAGAATCAGACCTTCTCTACCTGCCCTATAAAGATGCTGAGTTCAAATGACAGAAATATGTGAACATTGATTTGCAAACACTGAAGAGCTATACCACTATGTGATCAATAGAGTAAAGCTAGTTATAGAAAATGAAGTCCACTGAACCTAAGGTCTCCTTCATTCTGTCACAGAATGTCAAGGTCAAGAAATGGCAGGAACCACAGTGATTTCAGAGTCTAGGACAGTGGTGCCCCAAGGAATGGGGTGTCAGAAGATTATAACAGAAATCATATTTGTTTTCATACAAACAATCAGAAATGAGTTCACTAATAGGGTAACCATTGGCATCAACACCCTTGCTTCTTCTTATGTTACTCAGCTGCCTTGAGCACACAAGGTAACCTCAGGGAAGGGGGAGCTCTTGACCACAGAGGGGTTAACAGTGGCCCTCTTAGAAGCACACATGGCCTGAAATGTGTTACAATTTGTCTGGCTCAGTTAGATTGAAATATATTATATAATCCAGTTTTAACTAAACTAATCTTCACCAAATGAACAAGGGGTTTAAAAATATTCCTGCAAAGAACCTTTCATTAAATATGATTCCAAGAAGGCAGACATAAACCATTGACAGGAAAATGGCAGAACTGACACTGCTCCTCCTCTTCTCAGCCACAAAACAAGACGGAAACACTGATGATATGAATCCAAAGGTAAATCAACCAGAGGATTTTTAAACCACCAAGGCTATTTGAAGTATGGATTTATACCCACTGTTGATGATGCTGAATCTTACCTTAAAACATTTAAACCTTTTGTCTAATTCTTCATTTTAATCTTACCCCTTTTTAGGTTATTTTTTGCACAGGTTTATCATGTACATATCAGTAAAGATGTACAGATGTATGATTTGCAAATAAATATACTTAAAATATTTTACTGCTGGGGTACATAATAAACACAGCAGGCAAATCATGGACCTAAGATATTCTATTTCTTTAAGGTGTTATTTTCCCCACTCTAGACGTTTGTGTCAGGCACCGATAGACTACACCACGAATGATGAAGATGGCATAAAACTAGATTTCCACTGACAGAACAGTGGGTTGTCATCACTAGAACCATCTTCTCATATCTTTTGGGAGCTCTAAAGACAGCCAGAAGCCATTACCTTCACCCTGTCAACCCTGAGGGCTGGGAGCCAATGCAGCCTCCTCATACCAATCTCCAAAAATTCTGTGGACTGTTACCGTTCCCACGCTTAGTGGCTCTCAAGAAGGTAACTGTGGCATGCCACTCTAACAGAGCTATGCCAAAGAGAACAGCTGATATTGAGTAAGTACTTACCCTATGCCAGCCCCTCATGTGAGTCGTCTCACTAAATGTTCACCACAACAACAGGACAGAGTCTATAATTATTATCCACCTTTTACAGCTGTGGTAACTAAAGCTGAGAATGGTTACTTTCCCAAGATCACACAGCTGATAACTTTTGTAGTCAAGTTCAGACTGTGCCTCTAACTCCAAGGACCTGCTCTTAATCACTATGGTATGCGGCCTTACATGCATAGTAATAACTTTATGGCATATCATTATAAAGATTTCTTTACAACAAAATTAATTTTTAAAATTTGTCACATTCTAAATGTAATCCTGCTTCCTCTTGGGATCAAAATGTTTACCAGAACACATAACTGATTTTGTAATACACATGAAAAGTAAATTACAGTGGTACTTATGGGAATTATTTTTATACACAGATTTTGAAAAATATAGCATACCAATTCTTGAAACAAGTGCTTTAAATCCTTTCTGACACAAAGCCGACATAATATAAATAACAATACAATAAAATATATACAGCTAACTATTTACTCAGTTGTGTCTGAAGTTATATGTTAAAACTTCTAGCACCCGGCTGGGCACAGTGGCTTATGCCTGTAATCCCAGCACTTTGGGAGGCCGAGGCAGGCGGATCACCTGAGGTCAGGAGTTCAAGACCAGCCTGACCAACGTGGAGAAACCCTGTCTCTACTAAAAATACAAAATTAGCCGGGCATGGTGGCATGCACCTGTAATCCCAGCTACTCGGGAGGCTGAAGCAGGAGAATCACTTGAACTGGGAGGCAGAGGTTACAGCGAGCCAAGATCGCGCCATTGCACTCCAGCCTGGGCAGCAAGAGTGAAACTCCATCTAAAAAAAAAAAAAAAAAAAAAAAAAAAACCTTCTAGTACCCAAGGCAATGAGAAAAAGTCAGTGGAAAAATACAATTATTTCCAAATATTCAGATAGTTAACAATAATTAGAAAAATCATAGGGTCAGCTGAGTGAATCTTTCAATTATTAATGTAGCTGTATTAATACCATGTGATATTAAGGTTTTTTAAGCAGAGAAAGCCCAGTGAGTTGCAGCAGCCACTCTTAATTCTGTGACTTTTTAGTGAAATAGAGCAAATGGAAGTACTAGATGGAGGAAAAGAAATGGCAATGTCAATAGAGAAATGCTTCTGAGGGCAAGTTCTCCTACATGATTGTGTATTCTTGGCTGTGTAAGTTGAGGACTCTTGAGTTTCTCTTCTCAGATGTCCCCATTGTAAATACCTAGGTCATGCTTTTAAAAAGCAGTATAATTTACAAAGCAGAGTCCACTCCACATTGACTCAAATGCCATCTTGTTATTATGACTATTTTATCTTTGATGAACCATCGTATTTATCTTTATAAGCACTTCATTAAATATCACTCTGTTGTCTGGAAAAAGAAAAATTCAGTGTTCTAAAAACTAAGCAATTAAACATCCCAATTAAATACATAAATTTTGTAATAAAGCAAAAATAGTCACTTGATTAGATTCTGTAATTTTATTACTGACATCATCTTTACTTGAATAGCACAAGTTGCATAGAACTTAACAATGTTTGGAAAAGCAGAAAAAATTACTAGAAATGTAAAGAAGCAGTTTCCTGTTTTATTTAGTCCAGATTAATAACGGTTAAGTTGCCATGTTTCTTCCAGAAAAAGCTTTTTCACTTTTTTCTCAGCAAGTCAGAGTTTACAGAAATCATCTCATAGATATACTTTATTATTCCAGCTTAATCCATCTGAAAAAAATTCAATGCTTTTTGACACCAATTGTTACACTATGCATTCATTTAGGAAAAAACAATATCACAGTAATAAAAAGATTCTTATATTTTATGCTAGTATTAAAAATCACAGCAGCTAATATTGTCCCATATACAAGAATCGACATATATTTTCTTGGTTGAGTTTCTTCATCCAGTAAAAAACAGTTTGAAAGGCACTGAATGGAAGAAAACAAACAAGCAAACAAAAACAATTCAATTCAATTGGATCCAGCTCCTTACCCTCTTGTTTGTAGACAAAGAGCATCAGCTCCTAAGCAAACTTTCTTCTTCAGATTTTGTTTCTGTATTACTCCACTCTTATTTTCTAAATACCTCTTTAAGCCATCATTTCATAACTGTAGTTAGAAAAGGCTTTGCGCATTTTCTCTGATTATTTTTTCATTTTTAGATGGACCACAAGCAGTCTCATGGGAAAACTCTACTTTTTGGTAGATTCTGCAGAGGGTAGGCAGTCTGTCCAGGGCACTGTCCGTTTGTCACCCAGCACAAATAGAGAATCCCATTACCTACAAAGGTATTAGGAAAGTGCTCCCAGCTGAAAGCATTTATCCAATTCCAATTGTTGTTTGAAAGTCTAAAATACTAAAGGTGGCATTATTCCAGGAGCTACTGTTTAAAACAATGCAATGCCCGTTCAGAGAAGAAAATCAGTGTTTGAAAATCTGAGTTTGTTTAAAAAATAATAACTATGCATCCAAAAAAGAATTCCTGAAGAAGCACTTATATGCCAGGCACATGTTTTTAATTTTAATAACATTGGTTTACCTAAATAAATATGTAGAACCTAATAATTGTTCTCTATATATTCATACTTTAATACTATTCTATTTTAGTGAGTTTGCAAAGAGGCTAATGAATAATAATGCAGAAAAATATGTATCGATCAGGACAAAGTTGCTATGGTTTATGGGCACTGCAAAATGCTGTGTTGAAAACAATTCTGTTAAAAAGTAATTGAAAACTGCTCCAATTTTAAAAGAAATAAATGTAGCCATATCCTTATAGGATAATGTCAGATAAAAAGTAATCATGTTCTCTCCACAATTGGGTTTGCTGGCATGTATATGGGAGTAATAATGCTTTAAGATTATTTTCATAGTTGTTCATTTAACGTGGGATTAACATCAAAATCTTCGTAATTATCTCAGATCACCATTTGAAAGTAGTGTGGCAAAACGCGTTAATGGTTAAGACACCCTAGCAGTTTTATACTAAACAGATTAACACACGTGAAAGTAATATTATAATCTTTTGCATTGAATAATGTGCCAGACCAATTTTTTCAGTGAAAATAGAATTCTTATGAAATGGTACCCTTTCATTAAAATAGGTAGCTACTGCTTCCTATTTCTTGAAATACCAAAGCAATCAGCTAGAAAACTGTATAAGAGCTATATAGATGAGCATGCACGGCTATATGGACTCAAAATATTATTCTGTGGCTTTGCCATTGCACAATTTTATGGAAACGATCATTTCTGAGGTTTGCTTTACATAAGATTGAGAACCAAAATATTGCAATAGGAGGGTGATACAGAATAGTGAAAATACAATCCAGGTGGGATTATAAACCAAAAACTTTTAAAGCGTGAAGGAGATTGCTTATTGGCCACAATGGCTATGAATTTATTTTATGACCACCAGCAAACAAATGTAGGTCCATACCTTACACATTCTTAAATAATAAGGAAGCACATTTTAGTATGTACTCCAGAGTCTCATAAAAATATTTCTCTGCCTCAGCATCCCATCTCTAGAAGTTGACATGAGAAGAAAATGGGTATTCATTTGGAAAGTAATATGAAGTTGTAACATAATTACTCAAGTCCTGCCTATCTTTCTTGAATTCTTGTGTAAAGCAGACTTCACATCCAAGACCTTATTATTTGATAATCCTTGTTACATATTACATGGGTCGGGGAGGGGCCTGAAACCTTACAAACTAAATCGAATGTAGCACAGGCAGGTGCCTCTCCCGAGAGAGGGAGATTATGTGTTAGAAGACAGTATCTGTATCACTTCAGCTGTGTCTGAAAAGGGGGATGGGGTGTTGGGGATTTAAATCATATTGTTTCCACTTATGCAGAGAGAATCCATAAAAAGAGATTCATTGTCATATTTTCTTTTTGAAGTGTAGTATTTGGTTTTTTTTTCTTTTTTACTTTAAAAGTGCTTCTCGGTATAGAACAAAGTAAATATTACAGTTTTGTTCAACAGCAGCCAAGATTTAATTGTCTGTGAAATATAAGGCTTACGACCTGAGTCGAGTCCACTACTGTTCTGCTGATACAAACTAGGCTGGCCTACGAGGTGACCGAACGCACCCAGCAGCTGATTTACACAGAAGAGCCATCTCCAAAGAATTAAAAGTGGGCCAGGGACAGCCACACGCCTGCAGGAGTCCATCCAAAGGGCTAGGTGCTTTATTCTTTCTGCAGCAGATTTAAAGTGACTTTGTACAAAAAGTCAAACAAGAATAAACAGCTGTGGAAAATGTAACAAATCATGCTAGCAGTTGAACAGCGAGGGAGAAGGGAAATCCAGCAAACCGCTAACATGCACTGAAGAAAAGCGAAACGGAGGTAGAAGAGAGAGGGAAGGTGGACAGAAAAGGAAGCTGGTAAGGACACGACACTGGTTTCCACACGCGAATCACGCACTTTATTATTGCGTATAGCTCAGTGACTGTCAGGAACCTGAAAAGTATGTCCTTCAACACAGCTCTGCGTGCCCGCGGCCCTGGGGTGCAAGCGAGTCTCCTCCGCCCTCCGCCGCCTCCCCCCGCGCGCGTCCCCCTCTCCTCCCTGCAGTGACTCCGCGGGTCGCTTCCTCCACCCGCCCGGAGCGCAGAGGAGAAAGCGAGCGGCTGCAGATTTGCCCCGGTGGCACCGTAGCCACAAGCCAACCCGTAATTGCAAAGCAAACAAGGCTGAAATACTGGATTGGTCTCAATCGTGACAAGATCTACGCTTTTGCCGCCAATCTGTTTGTGCAGCTCTATTTAAAGGCACTTGATTGAGGAAATGTTGAAAATAGCGGTGAGGGTTTCCTAATGAGACCTCAGGAGGGAAGCGGAGGCCTTAGCCCGGCACCAGGGTCTGGGAGGTGAGGGTGGGAGGCTCATGGTTAACCCCTTCCTGCTCGCCTCCGGCGAAAGGTCCTCCGAGACGGAGCTGGGGGTCCACCCTGCCCGGAGCGGTGACCTCTCCCAGCCTGAGCGGCGGAGAACCGGCCTCCTGGGTGTGGGGAACCGAGAAGAGGGCTGGGGATCACAATGAGAATTTAACCAGGATGGAAGGGGCGCCCCAGTGGCCATCGCAGTGACTGGAAAGCTGGCGACCTAAATCGGGGGTGGCCGCTCTGATCGCGCTCTGGTCCCTGCCCCGCAACACTCCCGCGCCGCCGGCCGCGAGGGCTGAGGCCCTGGCGATCCCCGTGGAGCCGCGGCTGCGCTCAGCTCTAGGGCACCGAGGCGGGGTGGTGCCCCCCATGCGAGTTGGGAGAGCAGCTGCCCTGGTGGGCGACGCGGGCTGACAGGCATCGCTGTCGGGCTGGGTCTTCAGGCAGCTAGAACGGAACGGAAGAAACCAGAGGCAGGAGGAGAAAATACAGGAACTAACAGTGCGACCCGCTCTGGCTGGCGCTTTGATTTTCCCATTTACTCTAGCCTGCCCACCCCAGGTACGTGTCATTATCCACATTGTTCAGATGGGGAAACTAAGACTTAGAGACGCCTAGGTCCTTGCCCTAGATCACTCAGCTAATCGTGGGGTGCCTAGAGTCGGCCCTGCTCAGGATGTTGGGAGTGGGCACCAGGAAGGCCAGGCTGGGGCTGAGCCTCCCTCTGAGCCAGCGCAAGTTGATGCAGACCCAGTGCAGACCCGATCGAGCCAGAGGACGGCTTGGAGATGAAAATTTGTTCCCTAGTGGGCCACATCTAACTCCTCTACTAGTTCTAATCGTTTTCAAAATAAAGGAAACTAATCTGATTGCAATTGGGGTAGACGGTATTCACCCTATTTCTCTTATTCATTTTATATGGGTTGTCTAAACATCTCCTTTGTTCAATGCATTGATTAGGTTGTCAAGAAACCCACAGTCACAGGAGGTGACATATGCATGCCCAGAGATCTACCCAAAAGAATATAAGTGACAGTACCAGCAAGGAATTCAGAAGAGAAAACTTCATTTGTGGGAGGGAGTTGGGGGAGAGAGGAGAAGCAGTATCTGGAAAGGCTCCCTGGAGGAGGTAACATTTAGGCTGGACCTAGAAGAAACGAAGTGTGGATTCTCCAAGAGAGATGGGTTGTTTGCCAGCATACTGGCAAGTCAAGAGGTGCCAGACCCACAGTTGCGGACGAAGTAGGAGTCATACTTTCATCCCCTGCTGCCATCTCCCAGCTGCCCTCCTAATTTGAACACTGCGTTGACCACATTTTGAGCCAAGGTCCTAATCCCTTTTAGGATTGAAAACCTATGGCTTGAGAGTGGACACCCAGCAGGTAGACTTTGACTGTCTAGAACCGTGAATTTAGACCAAAGGGGACTGTCAAGGGCAGGGATGGGAAAATGGCACTAGGGGCGCTCTCACCAGAGCTCCTAACTACTAGAGCCAAGCATTCCCGCGCTTTTCCCAGAGGGATCTGATCTGAGATGTACCTTGGCCAATCTGCAGTTTGTCTTTCTGGAGTCACAGGCAGTCGTAGACTGCGAAAGTGAAGATCCCCAGGCGGTGGAGAGGACTGGTTTCGGTTATACATCCCCATGAATGATCTGTGCCTTCTGTCAGCAAAACAAAAAAGCATCAGTCACACCAATTTAGTGAAGTCTCCAAACGTATTCTGAATGAAATTCTACTTTTTTTTTTGTACACAACCAATTTCTTCGTTTGAAGTTGGATGCTTCGCAAGCAGAATGCAATTCCATTTCTCATTCCTCAAAGTTGTGGCCTGTGTTAACTTAAGTGGGCATTCACACAAGTATTAAGAAGAAAAACCATTCTCTTCTGGAAAATGGAACAAAGTAGCACTTCTCCAAGCAGGGTGCAGATATATAATCTGTAACAACAAATTAGCTCCCTAGTGCTGCGCATTTCCAGCTAGCATCCTGCCTTCCCTGTTTATAACTTTGGTGCCTGCAATTATTTTTATTTTAATTTTCTGTCACTTTAACAAAAACCAGAGCCTTTTCTTTTAATGTTTTGTACACAACATGTTCATTTTGATAAGATGTTCTTTCCTATCCTCTTTTAGCTTGCCTTTCCTTGTTTAGAGTTCTGTATCAGGCGTTTCTAATATTTCTCTCTCTTTTTTTAAGAACTTGTCCCTGTCTTGCTTTATTTGTTTGTGTGAAATTTAGTTTGAAAGGAGATCAGAGAGAGCAGGAGGGGTTTGTAATAAGAGAATGACCGAATGACCCAAAGGCTGATTATCTATCATTAACTGGAGACTTGGTGTACCCAAATTACCAAGGAGACCTCAGTCTGCCGGATCCTTACCCAGCTAGAAAGGCAAGCCTGGAATGCACACACTGAAACAGGCTCATGGCATTGCAACCGAGGACGTAGTTCACACAAGATTTTCTTAAGGGGTTTTCCTGCAAAACTCAACTCAAGTTCAGTAGATAAATTTTCTAGATTCTGATATGTTGTACTCAGGTAAAAATCTCTGCCAAAAGATTACCTATAACATTTCTGTAACTAACTTTTTTGTGTTGTTTTGTTAGGAGCAAAATTGCAGTTAATTGTCTAAGCTCCAGAGAATATTGAGAAATCAAACCAAGCTGCTTTTGATCTGCTCACACTGCTAAACCCAAGCCTTGTAAAAATCGAGGTTTGCCATTAATATTGACAATAAAAGTGTTTCTTTTTGTTAACCTGAAACCTAACCATCCTGGTGTAACTCCCCTGTCTATAAGCAAAGGCCCTGGAAGAATGTAGGAAAGGTTTGGAGGAAACTGTCAGAGCTAAAGAAATCCATCTACATGAATTTGCAAAGGAAGCTATGGAACAGAACTTCCCAGGAATGCAACACTACAGTTAAAACTGGGAATGTTCCTGGGCCTCAAGTCAGAAGCAAATCTTTCAGTCAAATAAATGTTTTCTCTCCAAAGCCGCATTTGAAATTGCCAGTTGAACTCATATTTTATTCTGAACCCCATAATACACTGCAGACTAGGTGAAGTCCATTATTTACTATTTCCGTAGAACACGTATGAAAAATCACACTTCCTCATCTGAATGTTGAGTGATTTCCTCCCGGCTTGAAAGAAAATGTCGCTAGTGTGTATGTAATTTGCTTGAAGCAATAATTTGAATGAGTATTTAACATAAATCCTATGGGATGTAGGTTCTCAGACCGGTTTTGCTCTAAACTCTATATTTTACTACAAAGTAGCAAAGATTAACAAAGATCAGATTTACTGTACCTCTTAGGACTAGTATAATAACGTTAATAATACGTCCCATGTATCTACATCATGCTGCTTCTTTGAGGCCTTCACGGGGTTATCTTATGGTCCCTTTAGTCTGAATGAGGATTTTAGATTTACAGACACACTTAGACACCTGGAAAAATATTTAGTTCTTCCTTATCAATGAAAACCCTCCAGTGCAGCAACATATCTACCAGTTAACATGAGGATCTAGTCATTGATTATTTAGAAAGAAAGGAAAATTCTACTGACTGTGGATATTAAGATTTTTCTTAAAAGACTTCAGCATGAATCAGTATCTCATTCTTCCATGCCAGTTGCAGATTCAGTGATAGGGAAAAAAAGAAAAGAAAAGAAAAAAAACCTTGTAATCCCAAATGCTGCTAGACGGCAAATTACAAGGGAGAACTGGAGAGAAGAAGAGAGAGAGGGAGGGAGGGGGGTGGAAGGAAGAAAGAAGGGAAAGAGGGAGAGGAGAAAGAGGAGGAGGGAATGTGCAGGCACTAAGCAAGCCCTGATTTTCTCCACCAACTTAACTGTTTTCTAATTAGAGCTGGACTGAAGGATTCATAAGCAATCAGCCCCTCCACTGTCATCATTCAGCTGAACTAGCCCCTCCCCCTCCATCTCTCCATGTAGGGAAGAGAAAGGAAGAGGATCCAACCCCTAAATATGCCACCCCCTTAACCAAAAACTTGCTTAAAAGAAGAGGAAAAAACTTGCTTAAAAGAAGAAGAAGAAAAAAAAAAACCTCACAAGACACAAGGGCAGCTTTTCTTATTCTTCCTTTTTTGAAATAGACACTCAAATCCAACAAAATTTGATTCTGCTTTGCAGATGTGTACTTTGAGCAGCACGACACTTCTGGAGCCACTTTCACTTGGTATGTCTGTAGACAACTACTTCTCAAAGGCCAACAAGAAAAGACTATACAAGAAGAACTACACAAACAGGAAGGACTACACAACCCCAGTTAGAGGGAGACCCTTGCCACCACTCAGACAATATGCCTTGTTCTGAGCATCCTAAACATCCTGGGACTAAGTGGATAGCATGTAAAATGACTCCACCCTACCCTGGTACAGAAAAGAATGCAGAGCTATCAGAGTGTCGCAAGAAGCACTGTCCTTGGAGCAGGTGGGCTGAGGTGACATCTTCAAGAACACATTGCTCCTTCTGTCACCTTCCAGGCTTGATGTTCTTTCGATGGTTCTTAGCTTGTTCTGAGGCTCATCTCATGTAAGAGCATTAAAGATTCTTAAGGGAACGGTCAGAGTCACTTCCACTATGTTGGTTAGAAAAACAAGGTGAAACAAGATTTGAAAGACGATGATGAGAATTGAGCCATAATTCCCATGAACATAAAATGTGCATTTATGACCCTCTGGCCTGATTCTTTTTGGGTCCAGTTTATTTTGGGTTCTTATGAGCAAAACAGAGGATATAAACTGCCCTTGCCTTTGAAATAATAAACACCCTGAGACAATCTGTATTTTCCCTAAAACCTAACTAAAGATTTTTTTAAAATTAGTTTAAACCAGATTGATTTTTTCAAGTATAATAATATCTCACAAGACCAAAATGTTTGCATGGCCATGTTCAGCCTCTCTGCTGCTCTTTCCGTCTTTTTCCAGAGAAAGAAGTAGCAGTGACGGCAAAGAGACAAGAGACATGAGGAGCAAAATAAATGCTTGAACCAGATTCTGTCTATTTGGCTGAAGGCAGTTGACATGTGCAGTACAGTAGGTACACCATCAGCTACAACAAAGGTACAGAATCCCAAACACTCACCCAAACCTGGGCTGCCTCCTTGTGAAGCAGTTTCTGGACACGAGTAAGGCCGGTTTTGGCTCAGCCCTCAGCCTCTGAGGAGAGGCAGAGAAGCACTCCTAGCTAAGATTCCTCCACAGGCACCCAGAGGAGCCCCCAGCAAGCCAGTTCCCTGGGCCTTTGAGTACTTACAACATGTGCATCAGCAGCTACACTAGTGCAGCCCAGGAGTGGGGTCCCCATGCTGACATCGATGTCAGGGACTGTGCCTTTCTCCCTTTCTTCTCCCACTTTCCCTCTCATCACCAACACCACCCTCTCCTTCATTGCCACCACTGCCAACACCTCCATCACTACCACCAGGATGCCCAGGACACCTAAATTGAGGGCAAACTTGAGATGGCATCCTTGCTTCACAACTTCCCAAAGGAGCAGGCTAACCCAGTATCCTGGAAAACCTGGAACAAAACAGGCCAAAGGACACTGCAAGAGAAAAGTGGATGCGTTTGTGCATTTAGGGTAGAGCTCAACCAGTCAGGGCCAGCCTGGCCTCCCTGAGTCAGTTACTACAGTTGGGGACACCACTAGGGTTCATCCATTTGTCCCCTCTCATCAAGCCAGCTTTCTAAGGCAGTGACCTCTGGATTTGGGTTTCTGAGCCACATCAAGTCTTAGGCCCTTGGACCACAGCAGTTAACTGATAATGACACTGTGAGTGAGAACTGATGTTCAGATTAGCATCTTTTATGATTTCTTTTTTCTGTACCATGTTGTCCATTTCCTTTACCACTTGCAATGCTATCTGGAGCCACGAGGTAATTCATTCATTTTTGTTTGTTTGTTTGTTTCAATTAAAAGCATGAGAAAAGCTAAATGTGGCAAGTTCTGAAGCTTTCAAAAGTGAGGCCACTCACCGCTGGTCTCTGGTGGACAGAGCATCTCAATCCCTAACTCAGCCCTCCTCTGGACTCTTCTTCCTCCCTTCAATTCCCAAAACTCCCTTTGGGTCTTAAAGCAGCCAACCAACTAATTTCCCTGAATTTTTATATGTTCCCAGCCCCAGTGCAATCTTACTTTGTCTACCTGCTCCCAAGGCCTAAATGTGTTTTTATAAACAGACTTTTCAAAAACGTATCAAATGTCAGAGAATTGAACTACCAGTATTTACACATTCGGGGTTTGCCTCCGGGTGAAAATGTAAACAGAACCCCCAACCACACTACCTGCATTCTTTCCTTGAAGAACCAGGTCTTTAAAAGGCTCTCCTTGTGCTAAAAAATTGCAGACCCACGCAAGTTGGGGGTTTAGAGCAGTAGGTCACTATTTTGTTCCGAGCTCAACTGCAAGCCCCTGGCGCTTACCAACGAGCCTAGTTTCAGTTAATCCCTATTCTAGGTTCAATGCTTTAAGACGCTTGTCTGGGGACGTTCAAGGATGTTAACCCCTTTCCTAGAAAAAGAATGGGCCCTGCACCGACTCTAATCCTGGGCTTTTAAGTCCCTGTCTCCTACCGCCCAGCCGCGGCAAACCTGAAATATATATATTTCTCAATCCTGCTGCCCAAGACTCTAGGGCTAGTGGAGGGCAGAGCCCGAGCACAGAGTCAACTGCAACACCGAAGTTGGGCGCCCTCCATTCGCACTGACCTCGCCTTCCTGCCCCAACCACTTTGTCGGCGGTGAGCAAGGAAAGGACTGTCCTTGTGGAGTCCTTCGGGTGGGGATCGCTTTGTGGCCTGCGGCCGGACTCTGCCCGCCTCCAAAGGGCGATGCTCAAGGTGGAGTCTTTGGTCTCCCTTGGGCTAACCTGGCCTGACCAGCGGCGAGCCCCAGGCCGCCCTGTCCCGCGCTGGCGCCGCAGGCCCTCGCCTCCCTCTAATTTACAGCCCGCGGGCTCCTGTTGACACCGTTTTCCACACCGAACTCCTTCGGGTGGAATCTGCATATACACATCAGCCTCCCCTCTCGGCTTGGGGCCAAGCCTGGGGTGATTTCAGCTCCTGCCATTTACCACCCGCCCTCGCCGCACGTGAGCCTTCTCAAGAAGCTCATGCCACACGGGCGCTGCGGCCCGGGTGCCCCGCGGCCCGGTGACTTACAAGTGGAGATCCATTTTCCGTTATAATGCGTTCAAGATCACCAAGGCCAGCAGTCTCAACATCCACGAGCCGTCCTCCCGGCCTGCCTCTTAAACTGGCGTTTAATGGTTCCCCTCCGATAACTAAACCTGCTTTCCACAGATGCCCGCTTTTATGAGGGAGGCAGGAATGCAGAGATATATTTATATGTTTGTTCATAAAAACTGGAAAATAAGCTCTGAACACGCCGTAAAAAATATTCAGTTACTTACCAAACAGGCTAGTTAAACCAGGGGAACACCGATACCAGCCACACTACAGATTCGGGGAATCGAGGTGCCCGCACTTCAAAATCGCCCAAGGTCTTCGTAGGGACTGGTGTCCCTGAAGGATGTGGAAATAACAGCATTTACAATCGGCTTGACATGTTCGCCCGGAGGACTCAGCCGTCATCTCCAAAGTTTGCCGCAATAACGTGAGCCACCCCAAACAGCTCTAACCGGGGTAACTTGGTGGGTAACTCAATAGCCACTGAGACCGGCGTTTCGAGCCTGTAAACGGGTCAAAGAAACACCCTTCTCCAGCCGCTCCTCGTCCCTGCTGGGGCAAAGAGCGCCAGCTCCCAGCCGCGCCTTTGTGGGGGCCCCCACCGCCCGTCACGAGGCTCCCGGCGCCCCTGCATAAAATTGTAAGAGGCTGCCTGCGTATATTTTCTTACCTCGATTACCTACAAAGCACTTCGAAAAGCAATACCTGCGTTTTCTTTCTTTCTTTCTTTTCAACCAGAAAAGAGAGCAGAGTGATACTGTACCTGGTTAGAGATTCTTCAATATTTGAGACTTGGGGGGAAAATATTTTAATAGTGAAGCATCTGTTAAACACTTGCATTATCCTCTGACTGATAAAAAAAGTTTTTTTAACCCTGCCCCCCCCCCCCGCCAAGTTTTAATTATCTTATGGTTATGAGGAGGTAGCCAATCCTGGAAGAGGACCTCGGCAATTAGCAACGTGAACATCAAAAAGTTTTATTGCCGAGAGCTCGAGGCGCCGCCCCTGCCGCCCCGGGATTGGCGTGAGGAGCCTCTGACGACATATATTAACCCGAGCGGCCCTAAAGATGTAGCTGTACATGGAGATCTTGCTGGGAAAATCCGCTTGCTCCCCTCACGTCGTCCAGCCCAGGAGAACCACCGCCGTCACCCCGGAGCTTCCTCGGCCACCGCGCAGAGCCCTCCGAGAGCCCGAGCCGCGGTCTTCGAGCTCCAAGGCTCATTCAGGGCCCCAGATCCTTGCCCCGAAAGGAGAGGATCTGAGAAAATGGATGCACTGAGACCTCTCTGAAAACCCTCCGAGAGAGCGCGAGAGGAGCGAGGACACGTTACTCGCAGCTAAAATCACATTTAAGGACCAAAACAACAACAACCAAAAATTTCATTAAAACAATAAGCGCCCAAGAACCCAGATCGGGCTGGTGGGGGGAGGGGAAGAGGCGGGAAGGGGAGGGTCGCACGGAGGTAGCTTTGCAGTGAGCAGTCGACCCCGCCGCCCCCCGGCACAGCTGGACCGGCTCCTCCAGCCGCGGCTCAGACTCGCCCCTGGATTCCGGGTTAGCTTCGGTGCCAGGACCGCGGCCCGGGCTTGGATTCCCGAGACTCCGCGTACCAGCCTCGCGGGAGCCCCGGCACCTTTGTATGAGCACGAGAGGATTCTGCCTCCGCGCAGCAGCCCGGGAAGCAGGAGCCGAAGCGCGGGCCGTGGAGCAAGGCGGGAACCGGAGGCGGCGGCGGCGGCGGCCAGGGGCGCACGGTGCCAGGACCAGCTCGCCGCGCCCCATGGGGAGCCGGCGGCCGCAGCGCTGCTGAGGCGGGCCCGGCTGGCCAGGCGGGGGGACGGGGCCCGGGCTGCAGCAGCCCCCTCTGCGGCTGCCGGGCGGGCCCGGGCGCCCGGGGGCTGGGGGGTGGGGGGTGGGGGAGGACGCCGAGCGCTGAGGCAGGGGCCCGGGCCGAGGGCGCGGCGGGGCTGCGCGCACGCTGGGGCGCGTGGAGGGGCGCGGAGGGCGAAATGAGTCTGGTAGGTGGTTTTCCCCACCACCCGGTGGTGCACCACGAGGGCTACCCGTTTGCCGCCGCCGCCGCCGCAGCTGCCGCCGCCGCCGCCAGCCGCTGCAGCCATGAGGAGAACCCCTACTTCCATGGCTGGCTCATCGGCCACCCCGAGATGTCGCCCCCCGACTACAGCATGGCCCTGTCCTACAGCCCCGAGTATGCCAGCGGCGCCGCCGGCCTGGACCACTCCCATTACGGGGGGGTGCCGCCGGGCGCCGGGCCCCCGGGCCTGGGGGGGCCGCGCCCGGTGAAGCGCCGAGGCACCGCCAACCGCAAGGAGCGGCGCAGGACTCAGAGCATCAACAGCGCCTTCGCCGAACTGCGCGAGTGCATCCCCAACGTACCCGCCGACACCAAACTCTCCAAAATCAAGACCCTGCGCCTGGCCACCAGCTACATCGCCTACCTCATGGACCTGCTGGCCAAGGACGACCAGAATGGCGAGGCGGAGGCCTTCAAGGCAGAGATCAAGAAGACCGACGTGAAAGAGGAGAAGAGGAAGAAGGAGCTGGTCAGTACCAGGGGGCGGCAGGCGGTGGGGCTGAGGGGGTCAGGGAACTGGTGCTCCCGGCCTCTTTCCAATTGGGCTGAGAAATGGCATCTCGTGTTCTTTGGCTGCGTCCCGCTTCAAGGTTGTTTGCACCAGGTTGTGTAAGGATGGCTTCCGGCATAAGCAGAGAGTTGAGGGGAGGGTGTCAGCAGGAGGAGGAGAAGGTTAGGGATGCTTTGCGCTGGTGATCTTACCTCCGGGTTATCGCTGCTCCCCTAGTACTTAGGACGGACCTTGAAAACTCTGGGTCGCGATCGATCGCGATCGCACTGGTCTGGATGCCTCACCCCGTCTCTGTTAGACCCTTCTTTTGGCCTCCAATCCAATCTTGCTTTCAGATGTTTCCAGAATAAGTCTCGAAGAAGCCCTTGATTCCAATTATTTCACTATTGATCGCACCCCCTACCCCACTCCCAGAAGGAGGCTGCCAGAGACTGAGCCCTGAGTTTTGTGGTTGTTCTCATACTATGCCCGGAAAACGTAATGGTAAACATAAAATAAGTACTTTTGACTTCAAAATACAGCTCCAATTTTTCCTTGGCTATGACGTTAAAATGTAATTTCCCAGATGAGTATATTCCATTGGCATTTCTAATTTTATTTGAATAAGCCTGTACATTTTAAGGGGGAAAAGGCATTACTATGGTCATTGTTATTAAAAATAACACGAAAGTAAATTGAGCCGCTTAAAATTTTCTCAGATTCCTACCAAGTGCCCACAGGGCAGTGGTGCAGGATAGAGCTATGTCCACGAAGGGCCCGGAAAATAATTGCATTTGTCGAATTTTTCTTCTTTGGCCCCTGCAGCCCTTTGGTGGCTGCATAATCGAGTGACCTCCCGAATAACCAGAGATTTCAGAAGCCTTGGAGGAGAGGCACTGCTGAGCTGGAGGCCGAGAGCCTCTGGCCGAGAGGCCCAGGCCGAAACAGAGGCTCCTTCGCCCTATTTTTCCTAGATGTGGATCTAGGATTGCTAATGAAAACAGAGAAACCAGACTTAGCGCCGACTCCAGCTCCCGCCCCTACATCTGGAGTAAGAGAAAAGGCCCCCCGCTCCTCCATAAACGACTCGAAAACGGGCGGTTGTTTATAAACTTGTGGATCCGGTTGTTGAGCGCTGCAGCGCCGAGGCCTCCCCGCCGGCTAGGGTAGCGCTAACCTTGGTAGCTTCTCTGCAGGGGCTGGGACTCCCCCATCGTATCCTTTCCTCTCTGGTTCACTGTCTCCTCCGGCGCAGGAAGCTCCGGGTTGGTGTGGAACCAGGTATCCTCTCTGAATTTCTCTTTCCACTTTTCTCGCCCTCGCCTTTCCTCTGTCCAGAACGAAATCTTGAAAAGCACAGTGAGCAGCAACGACAAGAAAACCAAAGGCCGGACGGGCTGGCCGCAGCACGTCTGGGCCCTGGAGCTCAAGCAGTGAGGAGGAGGAGAAGGAGGAGGAGGAGAGCGCGAGTGAGCAGGGGCCAAGGCGCCAGATGCAGACCCAGGACTCCGGAAAAGCCGTCCGCGCTCCGCTCTGAGGACTCCTTGCATTTGGAATCATCCGGTTTATTTATGTGCAATTTCCTTCCCCTCTCTTTGACCCCCTTTGAGGCATCTGCTCCCCGTCTCCCCCTCCAAAAAAAAAGTGGATATTTGAAGAAAAGCATTCCATATTTTAATACGAAGAGGACACTCCCGTGTGGTAAGGGATCCCGTCGTCTCATAGATTCTGTGTGCGTGAATGTTCCCTCTTGGCTGTGTAGACACCAGCGTTGCCCCCCGCCAACCTACTCAACCCCTTCCAGATAAAGACAGTGGGCACTAGTGCGTTTGTGAAGTGTATCTTTAATACTTGGCCTTTGGATATAAATATTCCTGGGTATTATAAAGTTTTATTTCAAAGCAGAAAACAGGGCCGCTAACATTTCCGTTGGGGTCGGTATCTAGTGCTATCCATTCATCTGTGGTCGTTCCCTCTTTGAAGATGTTTCCAACAGCCACTTGTTTTGTGCACTTCCGTCCTCTAAAACTAAATGGAATTTAATTAATATTGAAGGTGTAAACGTTGTAAGTATTCAATAAACCACTGTGTTTTTTTTTTACAAAAACCTTAATCTTTTAATGGCTGATACCTCAAAAGAGTTTTGAAAACAAAGCTGTTATACTTGTTTTCGTAATATTTAAAATATTCAGAAGTAAACTAAATTATCATGATTGCCTCTAACTTTATTTTAAAGACTCAGTGGTTCCAACCAGTCACCCTGACCTGCGGCCTACGCAGGAGGAGGAGGTGCTCTTAAAGAGAAGTGTCCTTGTTACAAATCCTGCAAATGGTCTGGGGTTTGTCGGTGTGGTGTCTCCTTCCCTCTTCCCCCAGCTGGAGAACGCTGAGTAGTCTCTAGAAGGAAGATCTGGGCTGGAGAACCCAGTCCGGCAGTTCGCTCAGAAGGTGTAAAGGTGCTCTTGCTTTCCTGAAGTCAATCAGAAGCCATTTCTTGAGGCCGTCAGTTTTTGTTTGGAGAGTGTTTCTGGTGGAGGAGTTGTGAGGAGAACCCCGGCATTATTGCTGCAACGGGAACTAGTCTGGGGTGTTTAATTCAAACTATGGGGCTTTCATCCAAGAAAAAAAAAAGGAAAAAGAAAAGAGAGGAGAGGATTTTGCTTGTATTCTATACGGGGGCTTCTCATCTGAGCAGGCGGGAAAGGGGGGTGGAGGGAGTTTCGAAAAAGTCCATGATTAGGTAACAAGGAATTTTACGTCAAGTAAGAAATCGTGAACAAGACCACGGATTTAAAGAGGGGCGAGGGGCGGGTTAGATTTACAAGGAGTTACAGGGAACTCAATATTAACTGTGCGGTGTCTGAAGTCTTCCCGGCCGCAGCCCAGCGAAACAAGCGACACCCTTCCGGGACTACCGGCAGCACGGGACCCGGGATCTCTCCCTGTTGGGTCTTTGGGCTCCCTGAGTCCCAGCTCGTCCCAGAAGAAAGTCCCAGCGGCCTCCTTTGCCTGCAGCCTTGGCGGAAGCTTGAATCTCAGCTCTAGAAACCGGAGAAACTAAAGTGCCTGTGCAGGCTGCGGGAAGGGGGGAGGAGGCTGGGAGGGATTTTGGAAGGGGGTGGGAGGAGGAGAAAGGTGAACCGTATTAAAAAGTGGTTTGTTTCATGGAACGCCGCGTATATAAATCTGGTGTTGGAGAGGCTTGCCAGAGGGTTTCCATCCTGGAACCCATCCTCAGGGTGATGTTCGCAACTTGGCCTCGGGCACAGACCCTCCCGCGATGTCCCAAGGGTTCCCACGCCTAGCTGGTGTCCACTATGACCCCTCTGCCTGCAGCAGGCCGAATCAGACCCGGCGTGGGCGAATTCAGAAGTGCCCAGGGAGAGACAAGCTAGAGGCTCTGCGGACTTCTGCGGGCGGCTGACAACGCGAGGGCGAGGGGTTAGAACAACTCGGCCAAAGCGATCTGAACTTTCTCCCCTTGGGTCAGCCGGCGCTGGGCCGACCTGGTGGGCGCGGGGCTGTGTTTACAGACACTTGCCTTTGTTTATAGCATGGGGAGGAGGTGTGGGGGAGGCGCGCCCTGATTTTCTGTTGCTCTCCCAATCCTCCTGCGTTTGATCCAGTGGTTCCCTCCCTCTCCTGATTCCAGTTGTCTTCCGCGTCTTTATTTTAATCTGCTCAGGAGAAAGCCATCAGGTCCTAGACGTGGAAGAAAGGAGCCTACCAAAGTGTTGGAGTAAACAGTGGCGGAGGAGGTGAGGTTTTAAAAACAGGAAACGGAGAGGAGTTATCTTCACCATGCACCTACGCTTCTCTGCACCTTGTGTAGCTGGTCTCCGCCATCTGGGCCTTAAGGCACTTCTGCAGATTTAACACTTTCTCTGGCTTATTAAACAACAACAGAGGGAAACCAAAAGACCCTGGCGCACCATTGCTACGGAGAAACTTGCTAATACACTTGCTTTTTAAACCTGCGCTCCTCTTTGGCCCCGGCCAAGCACAGCCTGCCTCCTCTTCCTCAGGGCCAGCAACACTAGGCCTGGTCACCCCACCCGCCCTGCCATTTCAACTCGCCAGAAACCCTAACCAGCCAGACACCCAGCAGACCGGACACCCCAGACGGCAGAATGCCCAGCTGCCTGACACTGCAGGCGGCTGAACCCCCTAACCAGACGCACA
This sequence comes from Homo sapiens, assembly GCF_000001405.40. Taxonomy (NCBI): domain Eukaryota; kingdom Metazoa; phylum Chordata; class Mammalia; order Primates; family Hominidae; genus Homo; species Homo sapiens. The sequence continues at coordinate 173,524,531 of NC_000004.12, read as the reverse complement.
CCCCAACTGACCAGATGCTTCAACCTGCAGGACACCCCAGATTATCTGTCACCCCAGCCGCTCTCAGCCACCCAACATCCCCGCCCCAGGTTGTCAAGTCCCAGGAAGTGAAAGGCGTACTGGGCAGACGTTTCTTCTGAGCTTCCATGCTTTTCTCTTCCAACACTTATTTCTCTTTTAACTTTTTCTTCTTTGTTTAAAAAAATTTTCCAAGCCTCTACTTGCGGGACCGGCTAAAAGGCCTCTGTTTTAATTGCTCGGATAATGTGGTTGCTGCCATTTTGTTAAGAGCAATCACTCCTGCAGGGAAATCACAAGCGTTCTAGACAGGCCGGAGCCGACAAAAATGTAGGATTTGACGTTAAAAGCTAAATGGGAAGCTGCGGCGGCGGAAGGTAAATTGATGGTAGATCTGGCTGTCAGGGCTCTGCCCCAGACCGCTGTGCAGGCCCAGCGTCTGATAACCCTGGAGCACCGGAGGGGCAAAGGCTTGGCCAGTTGTAGACGGTGTGTGTGTGTGTGTGTGTGTGTGTGTGTGCGCGCGCGCAAACCCCTTCTCAGCTTGGGAAGCAATTTGAAAAACTGCAGAGTGGGGGCCCCGCTCCCAATTGCCTGGGCACTGACAGCAACTTAAAGGGCTTTTCCAGGCCGAGACAGCAAGCTCCAGCTTTCGGGATGGGTTAGCCAGCAGGCCCAGGCATCTAGGAAGGGTGGACCTCTGGGTCTGGGTTGCCTCCTTAGGTGTAGGAGCACCAGGCTGCTTGGTCGTGATGAGGTGAGCGTAGCAGCCGTGCCAGGGAGCGCAGCCTGGGGGCCTCTTAGCACTTGTGCGTGTGTCGGGAGTGGAAGGTGGTTCAATTCCTTCGACCAGACTCTGCTAGCCGCTGCCCCAGCTTGGCGTGAATTGCAGAGCTAGTCTCCCGCTCGGATTGGTGAAGTAGCAGGAGAACAAGAGAGGTAAGCGCACCTGGAATTCGCAGGAAGGGGTGAGGAAGGTGAGAGCTCAAATGCAAAGCGGCAGGGAGTACGAGACCCGGGAGTTCCTTCCCAGACTACAGATTTGCAGAGAGAACCCGGGCCAGTTGCAAGGGCCTGAGGTGTGTGCAGGGGACATAAGCAGGGCAAAGGGTGCCAGGAAAACTGGGACTGAACATACACTGCGGGCCTGCAAAGCGCAAGAAACCGCTCAGTTAGCCCTGAAGCTTTAATCAAATATTGCGCGGGCGGCACGCGATTTTGTTTTCCACAGCCGCCTTGAGTTCTCCCTGCCTGTGAGTCCCACCCAGGCTCCTAGATTTGGAAAAGGAGCTGGCTAGTGGGTGCCAAGCAGAGATGGTCTTGAGGGAGGCTTGTGGCATGGGCGCCGTAGAGGGCCGAATCTGGACCCTGGTGACCCAAGGGTACCCATTCCTTCCATTGGGCCCAGCTCCTGAGAGTCCAGATCTCCACGTGAGGAGGGGGCGCTAAGGAGTCTCCCGGACGCGCGCGACTCCTGGCCTGTCAGAGCCTGCGGATCGCTTGGAGAGAAAAACCCAGGAGTCATTCTCAGACTGGGGCCCAGGACCCTGGTTGGAGGCTCCAACAGCCCCCTCCCTGAGGAAGCTCCGCGGTGCAATGAATTGCTGTTGGGATTAAGTCTACCGGGAATGGGGGTTGGGGGAGACGGACTACGTGTTTTTTAAATGTTTAGAAAGAAGGGGGAGGGGAGAACTCCGGGAGAGGAAACCAATCCCACGTTTCCGGGGGCCGGACAGTTCTCATCGCGCCGCCTTACCACCCAGCCGCTGCGCAACGCGTGCTTCCCGCACAGCAACTGCGCAGCTCCAATCAGCCTGGAACCGCTAAACGGCTTCGGTCTGAGGGCTAATGGAGGTTAAAGAGCACCGAGTATCCGACTTACGTGCACCGAACTTACAGATCTCTCGCCCTGTTCTCCCTGCTCTACCCTACCGAAGCCAGTTCCCATCGCGAAGTGCACCCTCACCTCTTCCCCCAAGCGACCCCCCTCACACGCATTCCCTTCAAATTCTCCCGGCATTTGGGCCGCTTTGATGATCAGATGGTAGAGCCCTGATTACAAATTTATTCCCGGCCGCTCTGTCCGTCTTTATCTCCGCTATTAGGGACATCTGGGAGTGATTAGTGCCGCACCCGCGCCCGGCCGCGCTCGCCTATCTTGCCGCGGCGGGGCCGGAGCCTCGCTGACGTCAGGGCAGACGGCTCGGAGCCATCCCAGCCGAGTTGGGTGTAATCGGCGGCCGCGCGGCCAAGTCCTCCCTGGGCCAGGCCGGCAGCTGGAACGCGCCGCCTGCCTGCGTATAGGGACTTCATAAATATGTATTTTTAGCCCAGAAGACTGTGTTTTCCTTGTTTGGGGTGAGGAGGGGCCAGTTAACATCTCTACTGCCCCCTCCCCACTCTAAATTTTCCAACTCGCTACGGCTGGAGCATTCCGCCTGGAAAGCCTTCCACATGCGGTCGCTTCTTTGCTCTATCCCTGCGCCAGGGCGAAGCTTCCCTGAGGCAACAACTGCGGCCCAGGCGGTGCCGGTGCAAGCCCCGGATGGGGTTGGGGTGGCTCTTAGGGGTAAGGCTCTTATGCCACCTCTTAGGGTTGCCCTCATCTCACTGGCACCCGCTCCGCCCTACAGCCCTCGGGCCAAAATTGTGGGAGTTTCTGTTTAGCCGGACAGCCTGGCAGAAGCTGATTACAGAATGCGATGTCTTTTAGCAGCTGCCTTTGCACCTGTTATTAAACCCTAAAGTACATAGCGAGCTGAGGCCCTGGACCCTCTTTTGCCCCTCCCTTCCCCCAGCCCTCCAGGGAGTTGTCCCTGGCGCAAACACTGACACCTCGCAAGGACGAGGACGGCTGGCGGCAGCTTTGTCCCCTACTACGTCCCAGTGTTCAGAGTAGAGGCTGCATATATTTGCATAATTCCTGGACGGGCTGACTGATGCCCCAGACCTCTGACCCTAGCGTTCTGCGGGATAGCCTGGTCTCTTCTGAAGTAAGGGGTGCTGGGATTAATCCAACACCTGGACTTTCCACTCCCCGGACAACTTGATACAATGACAAATTCAGCCCCGTTTTCACCCTACCTTCACCAGAAATTCTGATTCAGCAGGTCAGGGGCTCGACGCGGAGCCTGCAGTTTTCAAAATCTCCCCCAGAGGATGCCGAACCACTGTGCCAAAGGAGGCCACACCCACCCAGCGTGCCTCCCACCCTGGACACCTTCTCCATGACCCGCGTGAAGTCCAGGATGGTGAGAATGGGGGATGGGTGAAGAGAGGCCTACATTATTTAAAGTCTTTACAGGGAGAGAATTAGCCATATTATTGGATCAACCCTACACCTCTGACTCATTGGGCAGCACAAGGATTCAAAGCAAATCCAGAAGATGCTGTTTATTCCTGCACGGGCTACAAAGGGCAAGCAGAGTCTTCAGTCAGAAGCTAGAGTGAATGTAACTAGAGGAAAAGGAAAACTGCTCATGATGTGAGTGGAGCAACAAGAAGATCTATTTGGGGGACACAAATAGTATCACAAATAAACAGGGAATCCAATTGAGGAAAATTCCCTAAAGTCCACGTTACCTCAGTTCTTTGAGGAAACCCTATACACCAACTCCAAAGTGTCTTCATGTAATCTAGAATCAGAAAGAAACATTTCCTCTCAAGTCAGGGAAATGTCACATGGAGAGCCTAGTCCCCTCTCCCACCCACCCCTATCTGGAGCCAAGAGGGAAGGAAACAGCTCTGCGGTTTGGGGGCTAATGATAGGGAATGAGGCTTTTAGACAATTGTGTCCTCAGTGACTGAAGGATTCTGGCCTATCTGTGCTTCTAGAAAGGGGAGGATCAGGCAATGTCTGCACAAAGTACAGTTTTCTAGAGTGCTGGTAAGTGGGTTCTCTATGATCTGTCTGAATGGTGGAGCCGACTGAGACACATTAGTTTTCTAAATCACTCAGATCGCTCAAAAGCAAACAAACAACAGCAAAAAACAAGCAAACTGAAAACTCCACATCACTTGTGCCTATAATACTTTCTTGCTCAGAGTATAAACAAACTTTTACTTGAATTAAGTGGAATAAATCCACATGGGACACAGGCCCAGAGAGTCCCAGTTTATATTTTCAAGCAAAGAAGACAGACTTGCAGGCAGCTAAACTTCGTGCAAAAGATCAGAGGGTACTCACCAGGCCACTTCCACAACTAACACCCTAGTTGTTTTCTCAAATAGTATTTTTAATGCATGAGCAACCAGATATAACCAACTGGATGCTTCTCCATGGCCAGATGGAGTGTTTGAAAATATTCCTTAATGTAGCACCAAATCATTTTTCAGTTCATTGGTGACCTAGAACTAAAGAGTCAGGGAGACTCTTCTGTAAAGGCAGGTTGTTTGGAACTTGTTTTTTGCCCCACCAGCTGAGATCCTTTACAACAAACAGTGCACTGACTCAGGGTCAGTGAGAATGTTCAACCTTCATTAAATACATTGCCTAGAGAAGAGGCCAAAAGAGATATGATCCTAAGATGGCAGTAAATCCAACCTTTGTAAAAAGATGGAAGCCAATGGCCACTGACGCCAGTGCAGAGTTGCCTTCAATTTAAAGTGGGTTGTTAATGTCGTTCCCTGGAGCTGACATTTTGTCTTTAGGATAAGGCAGAAAAGCAGGAAAAGAAGACTGTTATTTTGAAGAAGAAAACCTGAAAACGCAACCTCAGTTGGTAACTAGTACTTGGCGAAGAAGGAAAGCCGGTGCGGTTTTAATGAGAGAAAGTAACTGCCAGGCCTTTTGACCATCGCCTTCGCTTTGCAAATCTGGTTTTCATATTCTTGCTCAGTAATCACCCAAAGTCATAACTGTCTCTGAAATTATTCATTAAAGTCATTTTCAGGGATTCTCACAGGATGACTCTTTTACGTTTATGATCTTGTGAGAGCAATGACATCAGCCTCTGTCTGTTTTCCGCATTTAATTAACGTGCCGCGAAGACGCGAGGGGCCGTGGCTGTGTGCGTGGGGAGGGGGCGGGCTGGGGTGGAATCCAACGGCCCTGGTGCTCCCGGCGCGGTCAGCTGAGCTCAGGCGCGCAGACATCCTTTGATTAAGGAGGGTATTTCGGGGAGTGCAGGCTGTGCAGAAGATCACGGCTGTGCCCTCTGGTGCTGTCAGCAGTGACAGATCCCAGATGGGGCCGCTACTGTATGGCAGATTGAGTTTCTCAGCAGAAAACTCACCCTCCCTCCTAAACGTCTTCAAAAACCTTCTCCAGATACTCCAAGTCTCTTCGTGTGAAACTGAAAAAGTCCAATCCCAAAGTTGGTTTTGAGTGCGTGTATGTTACGTGTTTTTGTTTTGTTTTTTTTTTTATTCCTTCCTCTATTTTTTCTCTGCATTTACTCCTCCTCTGAGCATCTTCGACCCGCAGGGCTACCTGGCTGCTAATAGCGTAGACGTGGCGGGCCTGGGGGTTCCTGTTCGCCTAGCTCACAGCGCCACGCCGACTACACAGCACCGAAGGGCCCCGAAGGCAACCCGGTGGGTAGGGGCGCGGCGGACAGGACGTGGGGGCAACTCTAGCGTATCTCGGGAAGCCGGGGTGGACCGCCGGGCCAAACACTCCTGAGCAGAAAAGGAGAGATGCTGGCGGGAAGCGGGGAGCAGGGGGCGGGGGGGCGGACACAAAGGCGGAAGCAGAGAATACCTTGGCCCAGCTCCTGAACCTGCTCCTGCCAGCCATCCGTCTTTGCTCCGCGGAGGGTCGATCCACCAACCTAGGCATTTTCGAACGGCAAAGTGGAGACCAAAAAGGGGGCGCAGGGGCTAACCGCTGGGATTGGGAAACGGTGAAGGCGGGTCCCAGATGCAGCAGGGGCTCGGCAGGTTCTGGAATGGGGAGAAGGGGGACTGCGGAAGTCCAGGGAAGCCTGCGGCCCAAGCCCGAAGGCTGTACTGAGGCCTCTCCAAGGTGAGAGGGGGAGCATAGAGAGCAGGTTTCTACATAATAAGAATTCACCCACTTGGGGATTGCTAGTCTGGGTCCCGAGTTTCGCATTCCTGAACAGTGTGTTGGAAACTCTGTTGCAGAAACATTTGGACTTATTTTAAGCCTTTATTTTAAAAAAATAAGTAACTTTAAATAAATGCTCCGGGTTCCCTGCCTACCTGGAGACAACCGAGGCTCTTCCCGTCCCCCTGTCCCCCACCCTAGGTATCCAAGACTGGCTCCCGTGGAGCAGCAGTGGCCGGGAGAGAGGCAGAAAGGCAGAGGAAGGTGTGCCGCACCCAGTTTCGGAGCTGATTTCCAGGCCCCACCCATTCCTGCCCTCCCGGTCCTCTTTAACTGTGGAACTTGGAGTGTTCCTGCGGGCGAAAAAAACGAGAGAACAGAAGGGGAGCCTAGAGAGAGCGAATATTGTTTTAAACTTAAGGATAGGCAATTTCTTTTTTCTTCAAGATACTAGGGCAGCCTCCTCCCACAGCCCTTCGGGGTGAGGGCAGCTTGCTGAGCCTCTGTTAAGCTTACAAAAGAGCCTCTGGGGAGCAGAGAGAGGAGCTAAAAATACCTCCGAAGCTAGGCCCGAGGTCCGGGAGGAGCTCCTCACTCGCTCTCGCTCTGGCCCTGCCCAGGAGGGAGCTTTCGCCTTTTGCATTCCGAGGGCCGGGGCCGGCGAGGCTAAGGGCCCACACTAGTTTTGCCTTTACTTTGCGACCAGACCAGGCTCTTTTGTGGCTACGCCTGTTACTCTTAGTAAAGAAGACCTCCAGTCCAATCTCCGGTAAAATCAGAAAATCAGATGCCACTCTTTTGATGCTTTCCAATAAGCCCCCTCCACAGACTCAGTTTTTTAAAAGAAAAGAGATGGGACCGTTAGGCCCTATTTTATACCAGAAACAATCCGGTCACGCAAGGATTCTTCTCAGGTTGGTGTAATGCGCTGTGTGGATGTACGCAGTTACTTGCAGTCCTGGGACACCATCTGATTGTGAAAGAACCGGTGAACCCCTTATTTCAGCCCTCTCCAGAAAAAAAAAATAGCAGTTACTTCCCCCTAGTGTCCCCCTTTGGTTATCGGTAAAAAACGCAAAACTCCTTATATAAAGGCAAAACACACAATGAATTTCAAAACTCCCGCTCGCCCCCTCTGGAAGGCAGCTTTTCTTTTCACTGCCCATGCTGGATGAAAGTGGTTTATTTTGATTTTTTTTCTTGTACCCACATGCCTTGTAAAAGGTTCCTGTGCACGGGCCTGGCCCCCCTCCGATGACCGCAGGGCCTTGCTTCCAGACTGCAGTCCCCACCACTTGGTTTTTAAGTCCTCGCCTGGAGCCGAGGTGTAATTGTGACCCCGCCCGAGCCCCGAGCCTCCCGGGGGGACGGTTGGCCCGGCCTGCTTTGGGGCCGGGACCTCCCAAGTGGCGGCCTGGGCGCCGGGAGCCTCGTGGTCCTCTCCTTCCCTGCCTCCTCCCTCTCTCCCTCCCCTGTAGACTTTGCTCGTTTTCTCCTCGTTTCCCCAGCTTGCTAAGCACTACGGCGCACAAAATTTCTCTCCACTTTTTTAGTTTCCTCTTGCCGTTTCCTTTCTAGCACCTTATCACCGCTCTCTCGGCCCCCTTCACGTTGAGATCCCAGACCCAGGGAAGCAAAGTAGGGCTTTGTCGAACTATGCGGGGAAGAACTGGGAGCCTCTGGCCCCCTCGGCGCCGCGGTGGAGTCGGAACCCGGTGCGCCTCTGCGTAACGTCAGCGCGCGGGGTAATTTACCTTCCCTGGGCGTCTGTCAATATGACTAATTTCCACAGGGGTCAAAAAGCCTTTCTCCGGCAGTCCATCTTGGAACGCTCTCTTACGCAGTAGACGGGGTTGGTTGTTTTGTTTCCAACCCTAGAAATAAATACTCTTGGGGCGTCCCTGCCAGGGCAGCCTGAGAGGAGCAGAGGAATATACACGGTGTCAATTAAAGGCAGTTTTCCTTGAACTATGAACTATGATTGGGCGTAAACGAGAGCGACCTGCTTGCCTTTTAATACGCATTACCTAACTCGTCCTTGATACCAGTGCTTTCTTTAGAAACAGAAAATCAAAAAAGGAGGAAAATAATCATTGCTCCAGTTCTTCTCGGCCGCCTGCAGATGCCTATTGAAATATTTTCTCTGCATTGCAGGGTGTGACTTAAACGTAGAGTGTGTGCGCGTGTCTTGCTAATCTGGCCTAGACAAAAAGTAAATATATTATCCGGGTGGTGTTTTACAATAATTTTAAACTGCTACCAACCTGTAAGTGTGAATCAGAGCTGTGGAGTTAATTAAACATTCTCTGGGATTCGCCAGAAGCGGCTAATTGATACTGGTAGCAAAACCCAGACTCACTTTGAGAAGTGCTCGGAAGGAAGCCTACGTGGCTATCGGGTCAGGACGATTCTGTCTGCAAAGTCCTCTCTTGCATGGAACAGGGAGTGGGAAGATGAAGAGCATTGGCCCCCGAGGGGCACCCAGTTGGGCCCCTTGGGTTTTGGAGGAGGTAAACCTCTCCAATCTGGGGAATTGGGGTCCAGCGAGAAATGAAAGTCGCCAAACAACCCATTTTTCTCCCACCCAAGTTCAGGCATTGAGGCCCCAACTAATACACTTCTCTGAGTTAAATTTTTAACAAACTCTCTGAAAAAGATACGTCCCCACCCCACTTCTTGTGGCCTTTAGGCAAGTAAATGCCTGGATTTGGAGCAATTAGGAGCCTCAGTGGAACCCACGGGAAACCTGAGAACTAAGATAACCAAGGAGAAGCCTAGGCACAGAGGGCCACCTGAAGTCGTAGTCCCTGGCTGCTGCCCTCACAGGTGGGTGACACACAGCCCCACCACCTCCCCGCACAGCCTGACCTCCATACCTGCTCTGCCATTCTGGCCACATGCAAACACACACACACACACAGACACACACACACACCTCTTTCCCTCTCTCATCTGTTGGTGCATTTATGACCTAATGAAAGTATATCCTTTAGGGAAAAGACTGTCTATAAAACTTGAAATATGAAGAACCCATTTGGATATTCCCACTCCAGGCCAGGCCTGAACTTAAAGTTTTTTTTTTTTAGCACAAACACCTTGACTCCTTCTGTTGCTTCTATTATCACCCTGTTATTTTTACTAAATGATGAGAATTGGTTCTAAGTGACCTCTGCTCATTTCCTGTGGAAGGAGAAAAGTCTCCAAACTGCGAATACATCTTTATTTGTTGGAAGGCATTCTTTGGCGGGGGGCAGGGGGTAATAATTTTACTTTCTATCCCTTGCCATCTTGGAAAAATCCTGGCACCGTATGTTCCAACTTCTGCAAACAGCTGGGGAAACCAAGGATGCTTTCAACTCCCTTCCATTTCCTTCCTGCCCCACCGTTTCCCCCAGTTGCCACCTTTTTGGGTATTACAAACATTGACCCATTCTTTCTCCTGGTCACTATGTGAAATGCCTATCAGCTTCCAACATAAATGAGTGCCCTTTGGAAATCCTATTGTTAACCACCTGCCTTTGTGGGAAAAGGCCATCTGATTTTGTGTTTTGGGGCGGGTCTGTTTATTGCCGCAAAAGGATAGAATAGATATTATTGCCTTGTGACTTGATATATAGCATACCTTTAAACAAGACAGTTAAGTCTCTTATTTTGCAATTTGAACTTCACTGTAAGAGTGGCTTAAGTTGTTTATTAGCTGGGACTATGCAACAGGAAAAGCTGCAGGAGACATAAACAAAAGAATGACCTGAAGAGCTCTATCCTTTGGTAGAGTTTGTTTGTTTATTTGCATATTTCTTGAAAAGGAAAACAGTTCTAGCTTAAAATCTTTTTGGCATCCAGCAGCCATTTAATGACCTATGGGTAGAAGGGGTCGATTGTTCCACACCCTGCTTAGTTGATCCCTTTGTTTCTGAGTTTACAACATGAAAAGAGTTTACATCATTACTCCCCCCTTTTTTATTTAAACTTAAAGTTCATGAGTAACAAGAACTTTTACACCTAGGTAAAGCCTTGGGAAGGGAGAAAATTGCTCAGGCTGCTAAGGTGTAAGAGGATGTATGTGAAGGGGAGTGCTCTGAGAGGCAACCATTTCTAGGGAAAGGTCTTGTCCTCTTAGTAACAACAACAAAAGAAGTCAATTTTCAAACATCTATTAGACAATGTCAATCTTTCTTTTCAGTTGTATGCTTAGCTTAGCCTTTCCACTTGGGACTGATGGCTCAGCCAGTCCTCCAAGTCTACGATCCTAGAACTTAACTGGAGGAGCAAATGGCTTTAAACTGACAAGTCTCCCCATTTGGAAAGATAAGGGAGGAGAGGACTAGTGTGCATTTTGCCTCACCTAAGATTTTGTACTTCTCTGAACAAATATTTTCTAGTCTAATTTTCAACTTATGACCCATTGAGCAAAACAGAAAGTTATTGCATGTTTTTCAATCCCATATCTTCAGTAGGTAACATCCTCCTCCTCAATATGTGGTATTATGTGGAATATATTTAGCAGCAACTCTCTCATATATATTCTACTCAGGTTAATTTTTCATGAATAGGCAGTAATTCTCATGGTTTAAAAATACCCAAAATGTACATGTGAAAAGTCTCCCCAGTTTCCTCACCCACTGAAGTCTGTCCAGTTTCTTCACCCACTGTGATTCATTTCTTATGCATCCTCTCAGAGCTTCCTAATGAGTAGAAAAGCAAACAGAAATATCATCTCTATGGTTTTAGAATAATGCAGGTTGCTCCAGTTTTATCTGTTCCACTGATAGGGGGAGAGGAGAAGGATGGTGTCTTGGAAGCTTTGAAGAGCCTCACACCAAATACAATTTGGGCAAGGTGTGAGATTCCACCTGACTCTCTTTGCTAAGCTAAGCATACAATTGAAAAGAAAGATTGACATTGTCTAATAGATGTTTGAAAATGGACTTCTTTTGTTGTTGTTACTAAGAGGACAAGACCTTTCCCTAGAAATGGTTGCCTCTCAGAGCACTCCCCTTCACATACATCCTCTTACACCTTAGCAGCCTGAGCAGTTTGCTCCCTTCCCAAGGCTTTACCTAGGTGTAAGAGTTCTTGTTACTCATGTACTTTAAGTTTAAATAAAAAAGGGGGGAGTAATGATGTAAACTCCTTTCATGATGTAAACTCAGAAACAAAGGGATCTTCTCTTGGGAAAGAGAAGATAGGGACAAATGTGGAATAATCAATCCCTAGGACTCCAGATTGGATTGTCTTTTCTCTGTGGATGAGGACAAAGAATAAGAAAAAAGGGAGAAAGAGAAATAAAAGAAGTAAAAAAGTGAGATCAAATTCTGCCTAGAATTGTGGGAATGTGGCTTCTCAATTTTTGTGTGTCCCCTCTCTCCAACTCAAAATGAAAAGGTCTACATTGTTTGCATCATATAAGTAATAAATACATTTTCTCCTACCATAGAGAGGTTTTTTGCTATGTTCTAGTCCATAGATGGTTCATATGGGTTATAATGGAAGGAGGTGGGGGATTGGGAAATACACATTTATCACAAAACAATTGAGACAAATTTTGCAGTATAATAACTATGTGTAGACTTGATAGACTCCAGGCATTTTGCCCTTTACAATTCAAAAAGGCATGAAGGTAAAGCCAGAGGTGACTGTTCCCTACAAGAGCGGATGACACCTTCATTTACATCAATGTGACCCTTGGAGAGGCTGAGGGGTCTTGCTCCCCAAGTCTAATAGAGACTGTGAGTGACCTTGACTCTCCTCCACATAGGAGTTAGATATGGATGGAGAAAAGGACACATCTTGTAGGAAAAGTGCCATGCATAGTGTCCCTTGCCAGGGATGGGGGACACTCTCTGGGATTCTGCTCTCTGGGATGCTCTGTGACTTGTGGTACCTGGCCAGAATTGCAGTTAAGTTGAATCAAACCCATGCTCCCCTCAGCTGCTCCTTCCCTTATCCTTGTAAATGGTGTTGAAAGCATTTTCAGCTTCTAGATGGAATATAGCAATTACTTTCTCTGCGTGTGCACTTGAGTGCCAGGGGAGAGGGTTGCTAAGTATCCACGTCTTCCATGCATACCAAAAATTTCTCTTCTTTCACCTTGGGCTTCTCCCCACTCCTGTCTCATAATAATACAAGATGAAGTAATAACAACAAAAGCTTACTGCTGATTCTCATTTCCTCTGAACAGATTTTTTTCCCCTGTCCCTCTTAGGGACCCACTGCTAGGTTTTAGCCTAGTTGCTGAGGTTAAGCCATCCTCTGAAAGGGGTTAGCTTTCAGATCACCCACTGTATTGGACTAATGCCCTCTCAGGACCAAAGGGCATCTGCTGGGTGAAAAGGACCCCAAACCCTCTGCCCCCTGCATCCCTGGAGCTGTTCATCAGACTGGAAGCCAAAGGCCCACATAACTCTAATTAATGTGTGCATATGTTGGCCAGCCTCTTGGACGATTTTACCATTAGTACTTGAATTGGCAGGGTCAGAGAGTCTGATGCTTGTGTTCTGATGAGGATTTACAGTCCTAATGAATCATGTGACCATGAGTAGACTTGGACAGCACCGTATTCAGGAGACCTGCCTCTGGTGCTTTCCACCCTGAGGATCTCTTTCTGTTCCACAAAGAATGCTCGTCTGGGAGGAAACAACCAGAGGGAGGGCACCCTTAGAAGTTTAAAATGTCCTCCTCATCTGCATCTCAGCACAGAACATTACTAAGCCAAGTTTATATATATACATTATAATATATATTACATAACATATATATACACACTCAGGAATACAGAAGAAAAGTTTTGTCTTGAAAGTGTTGAATTTAAGACTGGAAATGGGCCTTTAGGGTTCATCTGCTTTAACCTCTTTTTCACAGATGAGAAGACTCAGGTCTAAAGATCTAAAGATGCTCTTGGTACCCGGCCAGCATGAATGTAGCACTCATTCATGAAATTGGGGGTGAGGGGGTTCCTCTCCCCTCCTTAGTTAGTTATTTCCAGGGACCTCTTGTTTAAGAAAGATAAAGGCATAAATAAAGAGAAAGTTGCAGCAGAAAACGTTTTGCAGAAAAAAAACAAAACAAAACAAACAAACAAAAAACGGTATAGAGGGCCAGGCCAGGCGAGAAAAGAGGTAGCCAGAGAAATGATATCTGGGGCCGGTTAATTGAGCAGGCCTATCTCCACCACTTCCTGAACGTCTTCACTCCACTCCAAGACTGCTATTAGAAGCTAATGTTTTCCACCCGGCGCGCGGTGGCTCACGCCTGTAATCCCAGCACTTTGGGAGGTCGAGGTGGGCCGATCATTTGAGGTCAGGAGTTCGTGACCAGCCTGGCCAACATGGTGAAACACCCCCCCACCCCGTCTCTACTAAATATACAAAAAATTAGCCGGGCGTGGTGGCGGGCGCCTATAGTCCCAGCTACTCCAGAGGCTGAGGTAGGAGAATCGCTTGAATCCAGGAGGCGGAAGTTGCAGTGAGCAGAGATAGTGCCACTGCACTCCACCCTAGGAGACAGAGCGAGACTCCGTTTCAAAAACAAAAAAAGAAGAGGCAGCTGATATTTTCACACCACATACTTTATCTTGGTTATTCTTTGTCTACGCCAGCCCAGAAGAATAGATTCTTCTCTACTAGGGAGAGGGAATCGTGTTTCCAAAAGGGTAGCAGCTCTCATCAAAAGCGCTTGTGGATCTGGTGACAACGTGGACAGGCACTTTGCTTGGATCCTGGAGATTATCGACTGCGGAGGCGGGATGGAGGACAGCTAGGTCTTCCAGTTGCCGGGGTGGGTACTTGGTTTTGGCGCGCTACGTCACTGAGCTGTAGAGAGGCTATATCCCAACTAGAGTGGATTCACAGGGAATCCCAGGGGGAGGGAAGTTGCTAGATCTCCACGTTGGAGAGAAGACTGCAGTAGAAGAGAGACTTCGTAGCTCGAAACGGGGCTTCTGGATCTCCATAGGGCTACCCCTGCAAGGCGCCAGGTCCCATCTTCTGACAGAGCTACCTGGATGTGCCTACCTACTTGTGGAGGGGTAGGCACCAAAGTGGCTCTGTTTTGCGTTAATTTATATATATATATATATATATATGGTTTTGGCCTGGGTCCTAGTGGGGTTGAAGTTGCCCTGGAGTACTGGCCGGACAGAGTTGTCTTGGGAGCCATCGGCTGCTTTCCTTAGGCCTTAGGAACAGAACAGAACAAAAGTTAAAATTAGCCAAACAAACCAAACCACAGCCCCCACACGCCATCCTTCCATTGCTGGGGAGCAGTATTCTGGCTTCAGTACTCAGGTTAGAAATTTGAATAAATGGAGCCAGATCCTGGATTACACCCCGGGGACAGCGTTTTAATGTAAATGTAAAATATGCTAGTAATAATCACTTTTGGGCCCTGAAACGCCATTAGGATTTCTGTTTAATTATAGGGCATGAGAGAAGCATTACCAGCTAATTAAATCAATCCTATTTGTAATTCTCCCTCTGCTGCTGCAGTCTTTAAAATGTGAAATTGCTTTTTAAATGAGCCCGCATATGAATTTTTAAAACAGCAGTGAACTAAAGTGAGAAGCAGGGGAAATGAGGGCCAGAAAGAGAAGGAAGGAGACGCAGGTACTGGGCCCGAGTCAACAGGCATGTGGGTGAATCTCCCCGGCCGCCTCGGCTTCCTTGCCTTCCAGCCGGCGCTCAGTTTTCTTGCAAAAGAGTCGGTTTCCTCTCCTTTCAGAGGTTTCCACTTCCTCCTGAGGAATCTCTTTCAGCTCCTGGATATCTCCCCCGAGAAGGGCCCTGGGGTGGGGAGGGGCGCGGACACCGCCCGACACCCCGAGTCCGCGCTCCCGGCTGCAGCCGCGCGGCCCAGGAGCGGGTTCCGGCCGACGGAAGGGAGCGGCGCGGGGAGGAAGTGAGCTCACTCGGGAAGGAAGGAAATAAATGAGGTTTTTGCCCGGCAGCCGCCAGGCCGAAGCGCACAGCCCTGGGGAGAGGCTGCGAGCGCAGGTCCCGCTACCGCCCTCCAAGGAGGCCGGGGGCAGAGGCCGGCTTTGCAAAGCGCTGCGGCCCCCGCTACCGACACCGTCTCGACCCCGCGCATTCTATCCGTCGTGCTCCCGGGGAGGAAAAGCGCCAGGCTCTACTCGCGAGGTTCAGGCCTCCAGGACAGAGTGGGAGGCTCAGAGCGCGCGAGGGCTTTATTCAGGCAGATGCCGCCTTCAGTCCCCACGCGTCCCATCCTCCCCGCGAGTGAGATTTAGCTTCCGAAGCTCCCGCACGCGCGCGCGCAACCCTCTCTTCTTTCTCCAGTGCCCCTCGCAAAAGTAGGCCCTGGAGCTTTGATTTACGATTAGAGTGTTGAGTTATTTGCATGAGAAAACAAGAGGGAGGACGGCCACCAATTCTGGACTCCTCCTTAGTACTCGTGAAGTGGAATAATATGCAGTGGGGTGTGTTTCCAAACCTGGCACCATCTGCACCTTCTGCTACCAGCCGTACCACCACCCGGCTGCTCGGATGCAGTCTGGTTTACGGAAATATTCTAAGAAACAGGGAAGCTGGCTATCTCGCCTCGGCACCCGGCCCTGCAAGCAGAAACTGTCAGAGTGCAGGGACAAGCTTTCTAAACTGACAAAGCCGCCCAACAAATGTAGCGGCACTTATCCCAAGAGCAGGCATTCCCACCTCGGCCTCCCGGGCCCCGAGTGCTTCTCCCACAGGCTCGACCTAGGATGCGGAGTGGTCTCTTGGTGGCCGCAGAGTGCCTTCAAGTCTAGAATGAGGCGGCGATGTCCATAACTCGGCCGGGGCAGGTTGGGTAGGAGGTGGGGAAATGTAATTCTCCCCTGCACTTGGGGAGATTCGGGCGGCAGGCCTTCTCTAGTGCCTTTCAGGGGGCCCCTGCCCTCACCTGAGAAGTCTCTTGGGCACCCACCTACCGCGGTGGCTGGGGCGGGGGCTGTGGTCTGGCTTCATCTGTGTCCGGCCTGTGGTTTGGGCGTCCTGCGACGGACTGCAGAGGTCCGGAAGGTGGAAAAGTTCAAACCCCTCCATGTGTGTTGGCGGTGGTGGGGCGTGCTGGGAGGCGGTTACTGTCAAAGTGTGGGCATATTTGTCGGATTTGTAGGCTCTCGATCTGGAGTTAGTTGGAGAAATTTACATCAGTCTAGAACCTCGGCATTTCACCTCCACCTCCACCTCCTGCAGAAGCGCCCATGTACCTCTTGTCATCTCTTCCCAGTGGGTTGATAGGTTGTTTCATAAAATTAGCAGTCTTGTTTTCCACCTGACTTTCAGCACGATCGCTATCTATCTTTTGACTTCAAGTCTTGCTCTGTACATTTAGGCGGGAGGAGGGGGAGTTCCAAGAAGCCGTCTTGTGTCAACTTTAGCAGCCAGGAAGAGGGAGCCGACAGGGCTTTTCTCGGGCTTTTCCCAGGCACTGCCAGCTTGCCCCTCCCTCTCTTCTCAGGGCGGACTGCACCCTCCACCCATCTCACCCTCCATCCATCTCCCCCTCCCCGACATTCCCTCTGCAGTCCTCGGCCAGTAGCAGCGCCTCCGGGAGCCGCACTCGGGGCAGCAGGGATTCTGGCCTTCCAGGCCCACCAGCGGAGGGGCCTCGCTGCCTGCTTTGGAAACTCTCCGTTTTCCCACAGTATTTCACATTCATATTACTTTTCACACCCTGTTAGGCAGTAATGGCACTGAACCTGCTAAATACTTCCATGCACCCAGCCAGCCCTCCCGCAACTGCTCCGGAGGGTCTGTGATACAAAAGAGATTGCTCTCTCATCCTGCGGGGTTGTTGGCTTCTCTTCTCTCCTCAGATCGGCCTCCAGAGTTGATGGTGGTTCTGGTGGTGGCGGCCACAGGGTGGGGGCGCTCAGGTGTGGAGGAGGTCTTAACACCCCCTTTCAAGCAGGTAGGGGAGATGTGGGAAGAAAGAGCTTGGGGACAGATCTGGCTTTTGGTAGTAGTGTGAAGTTAGATCGGCTATTTTTAAAAGAACAGGGCCAGGCCGGGAGGCTCACGCCTGTAATCCTGGCACTTTGGGAGGCCGAGGCAGGTGGATCACCTGAGGTCAGGAGTTCAAGACCAGCCTGGCCAACATGGCGAAACCCTGTCTCTACTAAAAATACAAAAATTAGCCGGGCGTGGTGGCAGGCGCCTGTAATCCCAGCTACTCGGGAGGCTGAAGCAGGAGAATCGCTTGAACCCGGGAGGCGGAGGTTGCAGTGAGCCGACATCGAGACACTTCATTCCAGCCTGGGCGACAGAGCAAGACTCTGTCTTAAAACAAACAAACAAACAAACAAACAAACAGAAAAACAGGGCCATGCTCCGGACCTTGTGCAAGGAGTAGAGTCTGGCCTTCTTAATTAGCACCATCTCGCGGCCTTCCCTTCATGGCACCAGACCGGATGAGTGGCAATTTGGGCACTAGGCTGCAGAGGGCAATGCCCCCACCCCTCCTCTGGCCGCCGCAGCGCAGCATGTCTGAGAGCTCCGGGGCTGCTCGGTAAACCTGCGGGTGAGGGAGGGAGGATTTAAAGCCCTGCTCATAGCCGGGCTTGATGACGGCGAGCGGAGGAGAAAACAGCGAGCCCGGCCGGGGAGAAGCGACGGTTCCCAGCATCTGAACTCGAACCACTCGCTCCCAGACCGATGGAGGTCGGACTCTCAGAGAGCCCAGTTACCCTGGACTGGACTAGACACCGCCGTCCCGGAATGAGCTGCTGGAAAACCTCGCGAGTCCGCCACCGTAACAGGACTGAGGCCGGTGGCCCTGAGGCTTCAAATCCAGGAAGTGAAGGGAAGTTAGAGGTGGTCCTCCGTCGCTCCTCCACAACCCCGCCTCAGTTCTGCTATCAGGAAAAGAGAAGTAATAAAATCTGCCCGCCCCTACCCTCAGGACAGGAGGGAAGGAACTGATTTTAATGATCGCATATTAAGTGCGAAGGCATTTTACAGGCTGCCTATTGTTTAATCTTCACAAACTGTAAGAAGGGCATTTCCTGTCTCTGTGCCTACAAGAAAATTGAGGTGCAAAGAGAGCAGACCTGGCTGTAGATCTGTGCACCCAAACAAGTTCCAGGCATGAGAGGAGTTGATGGCACACTGAGGGGCCCTGCAGCCTGGGCCGTCTCCTGGTAACCTGGGAGACGGGGCTGCACTGCCCTCCACGAGCCTCTAGCATACACTCCTAGAGGGTGATTTAAGTGATGGGAAATCCCTTTCTAAGGAATTGAAACTTTGGGCACTATTTTAAGCTGTAGGGCCTACGTCCCTATTCCTCTAAAATACCCACAGGAAAGTCAAAGTTACCATGACTCTCTTACTCAACCAGAGGAGTCCAGAGTCCTACCATACATGTGTCCCTCAAGTGTCACCTTTCTTGCCTCACCACACCAGGGTTTGAGATTTAAACTGAAATTCGCTGGGCTTCAGTGTCTACTCACACCATCTAAATTGAGCCCAGAGCTCCCCCTTCAGCCCGGGCGGGGACAACACAGGCTTAGAAGCACGGGGAAACCTAGGAGAGGATTAACTTGGTTCCTAACTTCCAAGTGCCACCTCAGCCGTTTCTCCACTTGTCAGAGGTTTATTTCGTGAGCAGAAGGGACCACCCACCCTTAAACTGGGAAAGAACGAAGTGTGGAGCTCTGGAAACCCACGTGTTAACCTTTGAAAGCAAAGCTCCAGGAGCTCCACCTTCCAAACATCATTATTTGTGCTTCCACCTCCCAGCCGTTGCTTCACGCCTTCTTTCTCATCTAGAGAGGTTGTCTGATGACTGCTTGCTTACACTCTAGAGAGAATGCTTTAGATTATGGATTTGAAAAATTTGCAGAAGGTAGGAGGAGTGAGATAGAACAGGCAAACCTAGGAAGCAAGAAAGGAGTGTTCGGGCCTGTGGCAGGAGGCAATTGTGGTTTGGGAGTTGCTTGGGCAGACATTTCCCCCTATTTTTTCTCCTACAAAGACAGAATCCCAGCACAGAGCTTCTCCGCTGTCTAGCTACTCTCCCCTTTCCCTTTTTCTTCACTTTCCCAATGTACTGATGGCTGAGCAAGAAGAATCTTGTACTGATGTACAAGAATCAGTACAAGAATCTTGTACTGATGTCCCAATATACTGATGGCCGAGCAAGGGATGTGGAGAGGAACCCCACATCCCTGCCTTTTGGGCCATCAGCTCTACAGGGCACTGACTCCAGGTGGGCATTGAGGATAAATTGTTGTTAAAGAGTCCTGAAAGCCACACTCATCCCTGTTGAGCCTTCTCTTTCCCTTTGGACATGGAAATGATGTTCTAGGGGGTGTCAGGTGCATTTCCTGGGTTTTGGGCATCTAGGCCCTAATTGTCTCTGGTGAAGGGGGCAATTCTAAAGTTGGAGGTGGCTAAATGAGTGGTCATTTAATGGGCGTTTTTAACCCCTACAAGGTTATACTAATTCATTTTACAGTCATTACAGTGACAGAAGGTGAGACTATGGTGATTTCTCTTCTTCAGTTACAGTTATTGATCATCTAATTCAGTGGTGACAATCAAGGCTGACAGACAAGTGAAAACAAAATTCAGAAAGTGGCACTGCATTCATGCATTTCTCTCTCCTCTACCATCCTCTGCCATGGTTTCTGCTGCTAGCTGTGGCTAGGGCACCACATTCCACTTTAGGAACCCCTAGAGGAAGAGGATGATCCCCCTGGGTCATGGGGCTGGAATTAGGCTGCCAATGTGAATTGAACTCAGTTTTTCCTCCTCTGAGAAGGATGGTGTTGACCTTTCAGTGACATCTCCTCTCCTGGCAGGGACTCCAGTGGTCTGGCAACTACTCTAAAAATCAAGAAATTCAAGACAAAAATTAAAAGAAACATTAAGAAAAGAGAATAAAAATAATTGTGCACAAAATTTGAAGGGCATTTGATATTTTGCAGCAACCATAGCTAAAACTGCTTGCCTCCATTACACCAGATTTCTCCACGTGGTTTCTAGAGTCCAATACCTTTATTCAATATTTCTGAGCTTCTTTTGCCTGGGAGTCCCACATTTGCAGACAAAGAGGTCTAGTCTCCTGTCTGGTTCTACCCACTGGGGCTGGGATAGGGAAAGCTGGAGGCAGCGGTGGTGACGAGTTGGGGTAGGAAAGGCCCCAGGCTGTGCTGGCAGGTACCTTATAGGTCCTCCCCCATACGGCTACCGGAGGAGCACGCCGTTTGCGCTGCATGCAGGGAAGCCTCTGGGCTCCTTGCCATCCCTGGTGACTTGGGCCAGAGTGATCTTATTACAGTTATTAATGACCAGAGTGATTTCTTAAGCCAAGACCAAAAAGAAATGGATTCAAATGAAAAAAAACCAATGTAGTTCAGACTTTGTGTGAAGGCTGAGAGCGGGGGACTGCACCAGCGAACATGGTCACAGTCGCCTCTTAGGCATCCACTGAGTGCTGGAGGAAGTGGTGCTCGTGAGTGGGTTCGGTGCTCCAGAGTTTGCAGTTGTGCAGGACTGGAATGCAATTACTGGAAACAATTAGACTACACCGTGCTTATGGTGGGCAGAAAATAGAAGACACTTCTGGCACATTTAAGAAAACTTACTATCCCCACGCACCCCGCTTCTTCCCCTGCAGGAGGTTTATTGTAAGTCTCTACTTTGCTACAAATGACACCCTCCTAAAAGCTGTTGGGAGTTTGGGCAGATCCACCACTCATAGAATTAGGGACATCGCGAAGATGTAACTTAAGCTGCTTATCAGAGGCTGAGTGGCAAGTGCTTAAAGCAATTCAGAGTCAGGCACATCTGGGTTGGGTCTTGGCTTCTGGACTGACTTTGTGGTCTCCAGCATGTTGACTTCCTCCTTTATACCTTTGCAAAACAAGGATATTTGTCACATATCCTCATTGCTGTGTGTTTGTGTCTTCGGAAATTCTATTTTCTTCCTAAAAACTTGAAAAGCCATCTCCCCTCAACACTCACCATGCATGGCGAGGTGTAGCTTCCTAGGCCAGCTGTTTACCCTTGCAACACTCCCCTCCCCACCCCAAGACCCTGGACTCTGGGAACTTCACGTCCTTCTCTCTGGTCTTACAAGTGAGTTTTTGAATAGCTTTGATCTGCAATCTCTGACTTTGGTGGACAAGGTCTGAACCTTGAGTTCTGGCTTCTGCTCTTCAGCCAGTTCTATTATCATCCAGCTGGGAAGTCCACGTCCAACCCTCCCCACAAGTGATGGTCCCTGAAGCTGGCCGGATCCCAAGCAAAAACTCCAAGATGTAGCTGGAACACCACCTTCTCCTGCCCACCTGCTGCCAGTCCTCATGTATATGACTGGGGGCTTGGGAGTGGGAACGACACAGGGTCAAGCTGGCCTAAACCGAGAGGTGGACACCTGCTCTAGCTGTGCCAGAGCCCTGGGACGTACCCAGGGACCTGGTCGGTAGGGAACCACCTGAGCTTGAATTCCACTGCCCCTCCCTGAGCTGAGAAGGGTTTGAGGTCCACGGGTGCTAGGTGCTCTCAGAGCACACTCCTTCTTCGTGAGTCCCACTGTGCACCAGACCCCCCTTCTATTTTTCCACTAAGGGAAGTAAACATCTTGCATATATTTCTATAGTGATCAGACCCTAATTATGCCTGATCATGGTCCAGAAACTAGGCTGTTGCAGCCAGAGTGCACCTGGGCTGTGGAAGACGCTTGGAACTTTACACAGATTTCTTTAAAAACTGTTTTGTTTGGACCTTGTGGGGAGGATCAGGAACAGACAGGTTGGTGTCTGAAAATGGAGCAGCCTGGATTCCCCATTTTGAGAAAGGGAGGCCTTGGTGTCACCTGGCAGGTGAAAGCTGGGGATGCAACAGGCCAGTGAGCTTGTGACTGCCCCTGTTTGATCCAATCTTTGCAGCCTCAGGCCACCAGGACTCCTCCCAGGGCCCACATTAGGCCACCATTCAAGTGGGACCTGGTAAAATCTCTTAAACTTGCAGGCTTAGAAAGGAAAGGAGCCAGGCAACGGAGAGCGGAAACATCCTCTCCGTCACATGAACTTTATTGCAGATCAGGAAGTTATCTAACAGCTGCCAAAAATCTTCTGACTCCAGGGCTCCAAATGTTGACTGTTTCTCACACCTCAACACCGGGTATGGAGTCTGCTGCCTTCGGGGTTATTCAGATTTCCCATTCCCTTTCAGAGTCAAACTACCCCCACCTGCCTGGTTGCATTTGGAGATGATTTTCCTTTCTTCCATTCGCGGACCATGTGGCTCACATACTTACCTGGGCTGGCTGTTTCCCCACCCCTCCCCGCCCCACCATAAAGGGAATTCCAAATCTCTTCCTGAAGAGGGAAAGCCAGGTTGAGGAAGGGTCAGAAAAAGGAAGCTGAGTCCGAAGTCCAGGCGTGCAATACTATATTCTTCTCCGGATGCCTTTGGTTCATTCCACAAAAAAGTGCAGCACGAGAAGTAATTTTAATGGGCGCCCTCCCTTCCTTCCATTAACGCACCAGTCTCACTAGGTTCACGCGCAGGTACCTGGCTTTCCGTGGTCTTGTATCCCCCAAAGAACCTGGCAAAGATCTGAGCACAAAGTAGGTGCTGAGACAATAGATCCTGGTTGGTAGAAGGGATGCTCCGAAGGAGAAGGGGCAATTGTTTAAGAATAATTGGATGCAAAGACGCGCGGTGGTTCCTGTGTGTATCCAGTTCATTTCCGCCTCACATATGAGATTACCTCAGGAGGAACGGCTCGCACCTTCAACCTAGCGCCCAAACACAACCTGAATTCTCCTAGATAACCCATGCCTCTGCATCCAGGGAGCCCGCTCCAGCTGACCAGTTTAACAAGGGCAGAGCATCACTGTGACCTCCGCCCGACAGTAATCCTTTCCTGACCCTCTAGGGTCAGGGAGAGCCCGGCCCCCCCTTCTGAATCCAGACACCCCAAACGACCCTGAAAGAGACCTCCGCAGAGGCCTGAGCGCAGAAAGGCCGTTCTTCGTGTGCCTACTGAGAGTCCAAGGGGAGCCAGGGCTGTGCCCCATTGCCCGCAACCACAGGCGCACTGGGAAGGCTGAGGCTGCTGCTCCTGGATTCCAGGCTTTGCGGCTTCCCAGGGCATCTCAAGCCGCATCAAGAATCCCCCATCTTTGGGGCGGCCGAGAGCAAACGCAGAAGTGCTTGAAAACTAGGGCTTGACCGTGACTAGAGGGGGCCCTGGTGTAGCCAATCCCGACGTCATTATCGGCCACGGTTGTTACTGTTCCCTTTTGGCGCCAATCTCCTTCACCATTTGTGATAATCGGTAAGCGCGGAGCTCGGGCCGCGTGGCTCGCACCCCGGAAGTGCTTGCCGAGACCCGGAAGCAGCGGGAGCTCGGACACCCTGCTCTCCAGGGCCAACACTCCTCACTCCGCCCACTTTGGAGGGGCCCCAGTCTGCAAAGCGTCACGGCGTCCGAGAGCAGGTTTCGCATTTGCACCCCGCTCTTGCCCAGCCACTGGGAGCCTCCCGCCTCTGGGTTTCCCCACTTTGGGCAAGCCCCGGCCTTCTGCTCCCCGGAAGGAGAGCGCAGTTCCCTGGAGAGACCTCGAGTGGATTTAGATCCTTGCTTTTAAGATCGCCGTTTCTCCGGCGGTGGGTAGAAGGACGTAAAGGGAAGGACAAATTAACAATCGGGGAGAGTGACTATTTAATAAACTCCCCAAGATTACAGTATAAATTTACTAGGGCCTGTATAAATTTATAAATTTACAGTATAAATTTACTCCCAGCACTTTGGGAGACGGAGGCGGGTGGATCCCTTGAGCTCAGGAGTTTGAGACCAACCTGGGGCAACATGGGGAAACCCCATCTCTACAAAAAATACCAAAATAAATTTAGCTGGGCGTGGTAGCGGAGGCCTGTAGTCCAAGCTACTCCGAAAGCTGAGGTGGGAGAATCACCTGAGCCCAGGAAGTCGACAGCGCAGCGAGCCTTGATCGCGCCACTGCACTCCAGCTTCAGCAACGCGCCTTGAGACCGTCTCAAACACACACACACACACACACACAAAATTTACTAAGGGTCTTCGTTGGTGATTCAGAATTCTGCACGAAATAAAATGGGCATCTCCTTCGCCCGTATTTCCTGCGCTGTTGGCCACTCCCCGGCGAACAGGGGTGGGCGCGAACCCGGGGAGCGCCGGAGGCCTCCGGGTGCACCCCGCAGCTCTTGGGGGAGCAGGGCTCGCTGGCGCGGGGCAGGCCCTGTGACCCACCGTCGTAAGAATGCTTCAGATCCAACCTGGGCTTGTTTCCGTGACGCAGGAAACATCTGGGGCGTTTTCGCAGGGCTTTGGGAAAGTACTTACTTCCGAACTTGGCGCTAAGGTGTTCTAGGAGACACACAAACTTGAATCTCAAAGGGGGATGGGGCCAGAGAGGATGGCAACCCTGCCAGCTGCCTGGGTGCAAACTGGGGAGCTAACCGGTGGCAGGCACTTGGGTGAAGGACAAATTAAACACTTAGAGCCAGGTCCACCCGTTACGTCTCATTGTTTTAATGTCTGTAGTACTTAGGCGCAGTTTGAGAAAGAATAATGCCTTTACATTCAGAAAAACATCAAAGACCCGGTGTTGCTCAATATGGAGCACATATGGTAGTCTCTGAAGGCCTGGCCTGCCAAAACATGTTTCTCAGTATTTTTCTCCTTTCCTTTCTTTCGATCCCTGCCCCCCACTTTTTTTTCTCCCCAAATGGGAGGGAGCCATTGGCTCGGGTTACCTAGGGCGTCTTGCGTTCACGTGAGGCAGTTGGCTGCTGCATGGAGGCCATCAATGAGGCTTTTCAAGAACTGAATCTGTCCTAGGAAAGGACTTTGAAGATGGGCGGGAGTAGGGACCAGGCGGTACACTACCTGTATTCCCAGGCCTTAGCACATTGTTCAGTAGTGGGTGGGGGAGACCCTTACTAAATATTTACTGAAGAATATACTGAACTAGGTGAAGGCAATAGCCTGTCAAACCACTTTTTAAATTTCAGTCTAAGCAAGATTCATTTGCAAAGCTCCTCTTCCTTATCAACTGCTATTACTATTACTATTATTACTACTATTACTACTACTGTTATCTAAACCACTATCCCAGTTTTTAAAATTACCTAGCAGAGAGAGGCAGAGGACAGTGGCTAAAAGTTTAGGCAGTTTGCTTCTGTAATTTTTCTAGGTGAAATTTGCTCAGGGAACACGGATAGGATGGAGCTGGGGAGGTGTCCTCTTTCCCATGCCTAGTGCAGGCTGGGTTCATTACCCCACATTGCCCTCAGTGGGAGGACAGTCCAGATAATTTCATCTCTTTTAGCCTCTTCGATTAAATGGACTCCTTTCATCACCTCTGAAAAATGGTCTGAGGATGTTATCCTTCAGCTAATTAACATGCAGAATTAATATTAAAGGCAGGGGTGAATTCTTAGGGCTCCCATTTGAAAGAAGATCCATGCTGTCTCCAGAACCCGCGGCCTTTTCTAAGGCAATCCTGATGCTGGTGGGGGAAGGAAGCACACCACACATGGAGCCAATTAAACATGAATCTTACCAAATCTTCCAGCATTCTAGTGGCATGCATGACATACACAGAGACCTGTGTGCAAATTACATAACCAATAGTTAGAAAACCTGGATTTTAGACCTGGCTTTGCCATCAACTCACTGCTATCTTGACCAGTCAGTTTCTCTATATTTATTTCTGTCTCTATCTGTCTCTCCGTGTGTATATATGTGTGCATCTATACATACACACACACACACATATACATACATATACAGATGTATTATTAATTTTTAATCTAGGTGATCTGTTTGGTCAGTAAATCTGATTTCTAATCTCATGTTCTCTGATGCTGTAATGTATCAACATTCAATGAGCCCCTTACCCAGACCATATGGAAGCAGCAAAGCCAACACTGGAACCCTGCTCATTCTTATATTAAGTCCGCAGAGAATGTTAAACTTGGAATGAGCTTTAGAGATGTTTCAGCCCCTTCATCTCACAGATGAGTATGCTGGGGCCCAGGGAACTGATTTCTTCAGGTCACAGAGATGTGGCCCACAAATCTTGGTGACAGGTTTAGGTGAACACGGATCAAGTCTTTAGGCTACCTCCTCCCTATCCCCAACATCTGCAGTCCTTACCTGGCTTTCTCATTCAGACCAGGGATATCTGGGCCAAAATTGGGTTCAGGAGCATTAATGTAAAGCAAAACTTAAATGTTTGGTATCATTTCACTTGGGTGGAGCTCTTAAGGGCCATTGGGACAAGGTTTCAGTTCCTCTAATGAGAAGTACAGCAGCAAGTCTGATTTGTTTATAAGAGTCTTGAATTCAATGTAAGAGAAACAAAAATCTCTAGGCAAACTTAACAGAGAGGCAAATTATGTAAGTAAGTAAATCCAATGTTCAGAATAGTATTCAACTGATACTTTCCCTTCACACAACAAACTCCCAAATGATGGATATTGGGAGAAGGCGAAGAAGCTAGTAGGAATTACTCACCATTAAGAGTAAGGTAGGCTGGGTGCAGTGGTTCACGCCTGTAATCCCCGCACTTTGGGAGGCCGAGGCGGGTGGATCACCTGAGGTCCGGAGTTCGAGACCAGCCTGGCCAACATGGTAAAACCCTGTCTCTACTAAGAATTAAGAAAAAAAGAAAACTAGCCGGGCGTGGTGGTGGGTGCCTGTAATCCCAGCTACTCAGGAGGCTAAGGCAGGAGAATTGCTTGAACCCAGAAGACTGAGGTTGCAGTGAGCTGACACAGTGCCACTGCACTCCAGCCTCAGTGACAGAGTGAGACTCCGTCTCAAAAAAAAAAAAAAAGAGTAAGTTTTTTTTTTTTTTTTGCTTGCTTGCTTTCAGGGACTGCCTCTTGATGTGAGGAGATGACTCAAGGACTCTCTGCCATGTTGAAAATTAAGTCTAGGGCACTTCCTCCTGCTTGCCTGGCCTTGGTTGACCTTGACTAGCCCAATTAATGCTGTCTGGCTGGAATCCAAAGTATTTCAGAGAAACAGTCATGATATGTTTTCCCGGGATGTGTAGTGAAACAGGTGGTTTCCCTACCTGGAAGTAGTCTTTTCCTTTATCATCTTCAGGCTAGGGGACCTAAACAACTTGGAGGCTAAAAAAACCCACAAGTCGCACCAAGTCTGAGGGACCATAGGTAGGCAGTGAGGCAGTGTGGGAATGGGCCAGCTAGCCTTGGCAGTCACTCCAGAATGTTGTCCTAGAGAGGAATAGAGCAAGGATGGAGCTGACATTCAGCCAACTGGTGGTCAATGTGTAGCTTTCTGCATTTAAGTCTAGGTGACTGTGCTATAGCTTTGCAATATAGTAGGAAAAGTTCTGCCATTCTTCTTTTTTGTTGTTGTTGTTTTTTTGTTTTTTTGAGACAGAGTCTCACTCTGTTGCCCAGGCTGGAGTGCAGTGGTGTGATCTCAGCTCACTGCACGCTCTGCCTCCCAGGTTCACGCCATTCTCCTGCCTCAGCCTCCCAAGTAACTGGGACTACAGGCGCCCACCACCACACCTGGCTAATTTTTTGTATTTTTAGTAGAGACGGGGTTTCACCGTGTTAGCCAGGATGGACTCGATCTCCTGACCTTGTGATCCGCCTGCCTCAGCCTCCCAAAGTGCTGGCATTACAGGTGTGAGCCACCGCACCTGGCTGCCATTCTTCATAAATGTAATCATCAGGGTCCTGTTTTGGACCTCTTATATTAAACCTTCTCCCTGGGCAATACTTAATCAGAATACTTACCTTGTGAGGTTGTTGTGAGGATTAAATAAGATTATCTACTAAAATGCTTTGCACAGTGCCAGATACACAGTAAGTACTTGATGCCTGTTTGCAAATACTATTATTAATCATTATGTGGCTTCAGTTGATACCAGTGTTTTATCTCACTACAATTCAGACCTGTTCTTGGAGCAGTAGATCTGCATATCCAACTCCCTGATAGAGGACATTTCCACATAGATGTATTTAGTTTTTTAAACTCACTATGCTCAAAACAGAATTTATTTCTAGTCTCTGTTGCATACCAATAGTCTCTTCTCTTAGTCTCCATGACTGGTACCACTACCCACCTGGTGCTCAGGCTAATAACCTAGCAACTGTAATGAGCTCCTCCTTAATATCTTTCAAATTCACCCTCTCTTTTTTTTTTCAAAGAACCCCCTACCTTAGCATGACAAATATTGAGTTTTGCCTGCATCATTCCATCATTTCTCCTACTGTTAATGTACCCTCCAGTCTGTCCTCACAGCAGCTGGACCGATCTTTAATGCAAATGACATTGGATCATGTTGTTTCCCTACTTAAAATCTTTCATTCATTCCCCCATAGACTTCAAGAAAACCTCAATAATGCTCTTTATAATCTTTCTCACCACTGTCCCTATATATACATTAAGCCGTGATTCTGAGCTATATTGAATACTCTCGTTTCTTTTGCCTTCATATCTTTGCACATGTTGTCTTTCTGCCTGGGTCACACTTCCCTCCATCTTTATCAGAAGGATTCTTGTCCTTCAAAATTCAGCCTGGGCATCTACTCTTTTGGGAAGTCTTCACTTAAGCCCCAGGCTGATTGTGGAGTATATATCCTTCAGGAAGAGTAATTTCTCTTTTTTCTCCACTAGGTGTGAGTTTCTTGAAGGCAGTGGAATATGTCTTTGATTTTTGTGACCACCAGGCTTTAGTGCCTGGCACACAGTAATTGTCCATGATATGTTTGCTGGATATGAGGATGACACAGAATTGAATACATGGCTTTGGTTCTACAACTTCTCATCAAGATTTTAGGAAAGTTATTGTTCCATGCTTCAGTTTCCTCATCTGTAAAATGGGGATTAGCAATGCCTCCTAAAGTTGTGAGGACTAAATGAAAAGTGAATGCAAAAGTCTTTGTAAACAGAGTAGCAATGTACATGAATCATTCTTATAATAAATGCAAACCCATATTTCCCATGCATGTACACATTTTCATATGCGCACATAGTGTGCACATATTATATGCATCTGTGCATCTGTGTTTGTGTTCTTGACTGAATCCATGGAAAGGCAGTTTCCAAACAACTTTCTCTAGATTTCACCGTTTAAAAGTCATGCCGAAATAGGTAATTACTTTTTGACAACTGGTCCAAGTTCTAGATAAAGCAGTTTGTGGCAGTGCCCTCAAATTAATAGTCATTCTGTGAATTCATTATATCCATATGTGCAAATACAAACTCAGTGCAAATGTATAAGGCACTGAATGGATAATGATAACTTGATTACCATTTTCACTATGACTAATACGACGATATCGTATAATAATAAAACAATAATACAGTAGAAATGGTAATGTCTAAGGCACTCTCCTGCCAGTTTTTCCTTTGATTTTCCAATCACTTGGGGCAGTTACCGAAGGCCCTGTTTTCCCTATTTTTCATGTGAATAAACGGGGGCTCCGGGGCTTTATTCATTTAACCTGACTCCTTTCCAACGCTGCCACAGACAGATCAGAATCCTAGGATGGCCTTTCTCCTGTCTTCTTTTTCTTTCCTCTCAGCCGGTATAAGAAGTTTACGCAGAATAGGTGGTTGATAGAAACGAGCCAGAACCAATCAATGCGTAAATTGATCGGTGCTTGTTTATAATACTTTAAGTGCCGCAGTTATTTCTGCAATTCACGGTTGCCTTAAATGTGGAATCCACTAGTCTAACACCAGTACCAAGAGACGTTTCTGGATTTCTTGATTCCCAGAAGGGTAATTGCGTCTCTTCGCAGTGCGCGGTGGCCAGCAGCCTGGCTGCCCTGGGCTCTGAAACGAAGAGCTCCCGGGTCCTTCTTCTCGCCCTCCTGGTGCCCAAGGAGGAAAGGAGGGCGCGGGCTCCTCTTCAGCCTCATCTACCTCCTGCCTCTTGTTCTTCTTTAGAAAGCCAGGTGGCGCTAACCCTCAACCCCTGCTAGAGCTGGAGGATTTCCTTGCTTGCTCCGAGTGGAGCGTAAAGGTGAAGAGCGCACCCCGTGTTGGCACATTGTCTCTGCTTCCTCCGCTCTTTGGAAACATAGATTTGCTTTTTTCTTCTTCCGCACCTGTCGCAGGATGACGGCAACCCTAAAGGAAAACGGAATGTCCTGTGTGCCACATGGAGCTTGGGGAAAGGAAATGATTAAAGCCGTGAAGTTTCCTGGTTCTTCGCGGTGTTTACAGTGGGTTTTGATTCGGGGGAAGAAGAGCCAAAAGAGGTTAAGGTGCCAATCTACCGCATCTTGAATCTGACTGTTGCAGACGAACTGTGGGGCCGGTGGGCACTCGCGCCTGGGTGTGCACGTACCTGTGGGTGCAGGGTCATGTCTCCCTGTGTCGTGTGGGTGGCCTGTTCCTAAGTAACCAAGTATATGCGTACTTATAAAGAAGAAGAAATCTCTCCAGTTGTAAAAGGGCGGCTTTGAGGTTCTCACAGCTGAGGGTAGGAATCTATTCTAGAAGGCACGCATTTCAGTTTTCAAATTTTGTTATTTAAATATTTCCTGTCTTTGAACTACTATTATTTAACAGGGACAGGGGAGAACCTCATTTTACTATTATATTGATTAACTGGATTTAAACCAAAATCATCAAACAAAAACGCTGTTGAAACTTGGAAAAGACTTGGTAATAAAAATGTGGCCATCCACATGTGCTGCTGCTGCAAATACCACCAAATCTGAAATTAAGATGAATTCAATAAAAGTATTTTTTATTCACTAGACTACTAAGAGAATAGAGGGCAATTTTAAGATTTTTACTGAAATGAAAGGAGCACAGACACACAAACACATAGAGCACTCGGCAACATTAATAGTGATGACGGTGTGCCACTAATGCTGCTTTTTTTTTTTTTTTTTCTGACTGAGTCTTGCTCTGTCACCAGACTGGAGAACAGTGGCGCGATCTTGGCTCACTGAAACCTCTGCCTCCCAGGCTCAAGCGATTCTCCTGCCTCAGCCTCCCAAGTAGCTGGGACTACAAGCACGCGCCACCACACCCAGGGTGTGTACTGGGAAGATGACTGGCAGGCAAGATGAAAGTGCTCCTAAATTCTTTAATTTCTCAATGCCCTAATGTTCAAGGAAGCATGATTGGGAGTCCTCAGGAAACTTACAATCAAGGCAGAAGGGGAAGCAAGCACGTCTTACCATGGTAGAACAGGAGAGGGAGAGAGCAAGAGGGGGGAAGTGCCACACACCTTCAAACAACCAGATCTCAGCCAGATGGTGAGAACTCACTATCACAAGAACAACAAGGGGGAAGTCTGCCCCCTGATTCAATTACCTCCTACCAAGCCCCTCCCCTGACATGTGGGGATTACAATTTGAGATAGATTTGGGTGGGGACACAGAGCCAAACCGTAATAACAGTGACTCAAACAACAACACGGCTCTCGGTTACTTCTGAGACTTCCCATCTTGAGTGAGATTCCCAGGGAGAGGCACTGGGGAGAGCATGTGTACTGGGGCACCCTGTTCTTAGTCCACTAAGGCCTGTGACTCAGTGTCAATCCCTGTAGAAGAGTGTGTTTGTTCTTGTCCATAGCACATGGCATTGGTAGGTTTCCCCACCGCCCTGTATTGCAGGCCTAGAAGTGTAAAAACTGTAATTCCCAGTCACTTTGCTGTAAGAGATCAGGATGCAGTTTAGGTTCTGATCATGAAGTGCGGTCACGTAGGATTTGAAAGGCAGTACAAAGGAAGCTGCTCTCCCTCTTCAGCTGTGTAGGTGTACGAGAGGGCTCTGGGAGACATAAGTATGGGCAGTGGCCAGTTAGGCCACTAACTAGACTCCATGGCCCACTGTCTAGTCTCCAGCCTCGTGGGTGTAGGGGGCTCTGATGGTTGCCGCTGACTCTACTCCTCCAGCCTTTCCACTTCATACCTCCTACTAAATCCCTCTGATCTTGGCAGATCTAGAGAGTTTTCTGTTTCCTGTATTGAACCGTGACTGACACAGGAAACAAGCCTGCTTGGGTGCCTCATGCCTGAGGTCTGGATTAGTGTGGGCATGGAGTAGTGTAGACTCTGCAGGTGTTTAGATGGCTGTCCTCAGCTGTGGGTAGTTTTGGGGTGGGGGAATGAGTCCAATCCAGGAGAGGTCGTCAACAATCCCCAACCAGGAGGCTGAAGGGACAAACATTCTGGATGGCTCTCATGCTGCCTCTTTCACCATGAGGCCTCACTGCTTCTTTTTCTGACTTTCAAACCAAAGGAGGAAAAACAGCAACTTTTTAGAGTGTTTAGGCAAAAATTTTTGCTAAGGCTCAATGACTGACTATTCTGCCTGTTTTGATACTTGATTTTATATTGTCCTCTTTTTTTTATTTAAAATAAAAATGTTTGAGACAGGATCTCACTCTGTCACCCAGGCTGGAGGGCAGTCACACAACCACAGCTCACTGCAGCCTCAACCTCACAGGCTCAAGCGATCCTCCTGCCTCAGCCTCCTAGTAGCTGGGACTACAGGCACATGCAGCCACATCCAGCTAATTAAAAAAAAAAATTGTAGAGATGGAGTCTCACTATGTTGCCCAGGCTTGTCTCAAACTCCTGGGCTCAAGTGATCCTCCCACCTCAGCCTTTCAAAGTGCTGGGATTACAGGTATGAGCCACCGCACCCAGCCTTGTTCTAGTTTACGCTCTTATATCTGGACATTCACTCCCCAGTAGGCACTAAACTACTTAAGGTAAGATGGTGAGTTTTCACTTTTCAGCCTGAGGGTTGAATGACAAGTTACTGGGGAAAGTCAGCTTTGTTCAGTGCAAGCGGAGAGCTGGGTGGGCATTGCACATCTCCTCTGCAACATTACAGTCATTTCCTCTGCCCACCTTGCTGTCTAAACCCCACCTTAGAACCCTGTACTTGCAGATATTACTCAGGAGCTGATTCCTTGACTCTTCAATTGTTCCTGAGCAGAGATAAGACTGAATATATGCCACTTAAGTAATTTTTGTCCAGAGGGAATTGTTTGGTAACTGTTAACATTGCTCACAAATACATGGTACCGATCTCTGCAGGAGGAGTACACATTCCCACTCTGTGGCAGGTGGTTGTGACCATATGACTGGCACTCAGCAGTGAAATGTGAGTGGAAACAACTGCCCTTGGTTTTTAGTCCCTCTACCACCATGTCAGCAACGATACAGAGAAGTGACTCATCAGCCCAGATCCCGGAGCAAAGATCATGTGCATGCAGTGGGGCACAGGAAACCAGGATGGACTTGTTGCTAAAACTGTTAAAAAAAAAAAAAAAGAGAGAGAGAGAGAGAGAATTCTGTATTAGTTCACTTATTTCTGTGAAATAGTTAGGATTTAAGAGGCCTAATAAAGTGTGCCTCTCATCCCAGCCAGAGTTTGGTGACAGGGATCAGATTGACAGATTAAAAATGTCAGCTGTATTACTGATAAGAGCTAGATTGAGAGAGTTGCTGCAATGCCTGTGAATACTCCATCAGCTGTTAGCCACCCAGTCCCTGGCATAATGGGACACTACAGGCCTCCTCCTGCAGGGCAGGTCCCACATCCCAGGGCAGGGAGAGGACGGGACACTTGGTTCAGAAGGAGCCACAGGAGGGACCAGACTGGGCAGACTCCTTTCCTGTGGAGTTAACTCCACAGCAAGACCTGCCCCTGAAAACTTTAGTCCAGGGCAATAGAGGCTTCCAGAGGGAATTAGTTACAGTAGAACTGTATTACTCTTTGTATCTTGGAGAACATGACAGAAATAGAAATATTAGGAGAGGTTATAAACATGTTAATTTTTGTTTCATTTTTATTCTTGCATATTTTAAAGCCTAGGGGGAAACAGTCAAGTGACAGATCAAGGCATTGAAATAAAAGTTTAAGCAATGGTAATCCTAACCATTAGCACTTTCCTGCAATCGGGCAGCAACTCCACGTGAAATGGGAACTTGTGGCCTGAACATTAATATGACCAACTTTCTGCCAAAATGTCCATGACCCGCAGGGCCTGGCTAGTTGTTGTTAATTGGTGGCCTGTGGCTTCCAGTGCTGAGCTGCCTTCTGGTTCCTGGGCCTCTGAGGGAAATGGGGTTGTTTTGAAATCCAGTGTTCTTAATGAAGCAATTCCTGAACCAAAAATGTGTGAGAAATTAACCTAAAAGTGAAAAAGAAACTGGTCTATTGAAAAGTCAGTGACCCTTCCAGGGTTGCTTTTAAAAGAATAGGTTTTGTTTTACTTGACACTTTGGGAAGTGATTTAATAAGCCATAATGTCAAAGAAAATTATCCAGTGTGTTTCATGTCCTGCAGCCTGGAATATCTAAACTAAATCCTTGCAAATGAGCATCATTATTAGTGAAATTTTGTTGCAAAATTTGGCGTGGACAATTTAGAATCGTCAGACTTCTAGGCACTGTCATGGAATTGGCAAGATTCAAGGGATTTTTCTGATTTAATGACATTTTCTTTATTGTCCCCATAATCACCTGCTTTATGAACTGTGGCTAGAACTGATGTTGCAGCTGGTAATTTTCTTAGAACCCAAATGCATTTATATTTTTCCGTCTTTTTATTTCCATCATTTCTGGGAATTGTTAGTAGATGGAATAAAAAGAGAATACATTATAAACAATTCAAAACACCAAAAACAAAATTCCTTGGACCTTTTACAGATACCACACATGCAAATAAATGTGGTTTTGCATTCCAATGGCATTCAAGTGGGGATTACATTTTCCTCATTAACCTCTTTCTTAAGCAAACAGCATGGTTTTTCAAGTATGTTTTATCTAAATCTAGTTTGACATTTAAAATTAATTCACACTGACTCAGTTCAAGTGAAGAGGTAGAATGTCTTCTTCTTTTGATCCCAGCAATTGTGCAATCCTGGTTGAATTGTACCAAAGTAGGAATGCCTACTATTTTAGGATGAAATCAGAAGATTGATTGTATTGCTTGTAAAACCAAAACAAATGAACAAACAAACAAAAAAAAAAAATTAGAAACGCAGCATATGTTTTTTCCTGAACTACTGAGGAAAGAAGTGGAAAAATGGACTCATGAAGTATACTTCAGATGTGAACATGATTGCTCTCCTTATGACAAATCATTTATAAAATGAATGTACTTATTTCTAATTAAAAGAAACTTAGATCTGTTTTCAATTAGTCATAACCAATAATTCCTCTGCTAATATGTGGACCTTAATTTGAAGCAGTGGGAATCTTCTCTTTTCTCCAGGAAGTCAACAGAATTGCTTAGAAAGACTGCACAGTTTTGGTAGGAACAGAAACATAACTTGATTATTTTTTAAAAAGCTTCTGTAAACACTTATGCATGAATCTATTATCTTTGCCCTGAAACAGAACAAAAGCATACATTGTTTTCAGTGTTGATATTTGGCAGTGGATGATGAAATAATTGTGTATATTTAGGTATGTCCTTCCATGTAAAATGAATGAGACATTAAAATAACACTCAGTCTGAATTAAACCCACCAACTTTAAGAAACGTTGTATCAGCTGTCTTCACTGTGCTATTAGCTGTGTCATGTTTTGTCAAGCACTCTTTTTCATTCTGCCATCTTTTCATGCATTGTTTTCAAACTCCAGTAATCCTAGCTCAAGATGGCATGAGTTAGAGTTGGAGTAAGGACCAAGGCTAGCTTCCCTAGTGTCCACAGTTTCAAAACACACTCATTAATGTTATTTGACATCATTTTTCTACATGTGCTTTCTTTGGAAAGTGGAAAAATACACCACTGAGAGGGTTTGTCAGATGAAACCATATTGCAAAACATTTGCAAAACTGAATTATTGACAAAATGTATTTCATCCCAAAAGGGCCTGCTTGATTGAAAGCAGTTGTAGTGTTTCAACATGAACAAGTTGCTTATCCTCTCTGTTGCCTATGTGTTTGTGGATTCTGCAGACCATACCTCTGAACTTTGACTGTCCCCAGATAGCAGTTTCTACACAGCTAACTCAGAGCAGATAAGAACTAGAATTTTAGAACGCTCTATTTCTAGGCCTTTTGTTCTTTGAGTGAACATTCAAGAAAAGCACATCCTCATGTTCTTCCATGGTTACCTGTAATTCATAAGAGGCTGATTTCCCCCTGCATGCCCATAGTGTCCAACATCACCTACCAAGTTAAATAATCATGCTTGGCCAATCCCAGAATGGACTGAGATTTCCATGATGCAGCTGTGCCTTGTTCAGGGTCCCTTGAAGAGATGCTCATTTTGAGTCACGTGACTGTAGGGAGGACTTGCCACTTATTCCTAAATGTCCCAGTTTAGCCAACACTTAGCTCAGCTCAGAAAATAACACCAAAATCAGCTCTGCCACTAACAAGAAAAAGACCATTTTTTAAATTTATTTATTTATTTATTTATTTATTTATTTATTTAGACAGAGTCTCACTCTATAGCCCAAGCTGGAGTGCAATGGTGTAATCTCGGCTTACTGCAACTCTGCCTCTGGGGCTCAAGCGATTCTCATGCCTCAGCCTCCCAAGTAGCTGGGACCACAGGTGCGTGCCACCACACCCAGCTAATTTTTTCATTTTAGTAGAGATGGGGTTTCACCATGTTGCCCAGGATGATCTCGAACTCCTGAACTCAGTGATCTGCCCACCTCGGCCTCCCAAAGTGCTGGGATTACATGCATGAGCCACCATGCCCAGCCAAAATAGGCCATTTCTATGGAGAAAGGAGAAAAATAGGCTTATGGAAAATTGAATTTGCATACTTGATGATAATTAACAACTTAAATTTAAAATTTAAAAAAAGCCCAAATATGTGGTGTATATGATATGTGCTGAGAGGGAATTTTAAAAAATTCTAATGTATTTCACATCTCAATTGCCTTTTGTCTAAGAATTAACATCCTGAACACTGACTAAAAAAGGTGAAAAATAATATTTTATTTTCTCATTTTAAATTTACTTCCTTTGTCAAATTACTCTCAATGAATAAGGAAACCCATCAAGAGCAACATGGTTCATCTTTATTTGGAATTTCAGAAAAGCTAATGTCCCAAATCATGTCTTCTGAGATTTTCAAAGGACTTTTGCTGTCTAGCTTCATCTTGTTTACTGATGTTAGAGCTGTGTTGAGATTAATATCAACAATCAGAAAGTAATATCATGGTTCTGGTTGTCATTATCCTGTTTAGACATGCTAGAACTAGATTGCTTGTGTTGAAGTGTAATGGACTGGAGAAAAGAGGCATTCAAAATCTTAATGGTGAGAGCTTCAACTATCCAGCCATCTGCCAGATGTCTCATTTCCTAAATTCAGAACATCTGATAAGTCCATGATTTGCCTCAATTAGTATTCTCAGCCCTGCCTGCACATTAGAATAGTCCCAGAATTTAAAATAAAAAATTGACAGGCAGGCTCCACCCCATACTAATTAAAGCAGACTCTCTCAGGGTGGGGCCTCAGACTTTTTTTCTTTTTAAGCTCCCCAAGTGATTTGAATGTGCAGCCAGGGTAAGAATCAGTAACCCAAATGATAATTTCATCTTTCAGAAGGGAGACGGAGAGGAAGTGAGGAGGAGGATTAACACCCTGCTTCTAATTCTGGCCAACAAGGAGGCCCTGAATGGAAAATCAGAAGTGACAGGAACCCTGGAAGAGGGCCACCTGGCCATCAGAAAATTCCAGAGGGATGTGGTCACTGCCAGACACACACTCTGTTAGTCTGAGCCTAAAAATATTTCAGGAAATTATAAAAGCTTGACTTTGACACCCCAGTCTGAGATTCCAAAAAGAAGCAGAGGAGATTCCTCAAAATAAAATTCTGATGCTACTATTGTAAATGGTCCAACGCAGGAAGGAAAAGAAGAAGAAGAAGAAAAGAAAAAGGAAGGAGGTAGCCAAAAAGATTTAGTGTCTTTGGGTAGGAAGCTGTCTGCTGAGATCAGATATATTTTTAAATGGTGTGTGTTAAATGCAAAAGCTGATCTAGAAAAACAAGCATGGAAAAAAAAATCTGTCAAGAATATGTGAGAAGAGTCAGAAAGTTTAAAAGGAGGTTAACATTCTAGATGATGAAAAGGGCTGTTTGAATCCAAAGCAAGAAAGCCTACGATACATGGCCAGCTGTGATGGCATTATGTCAGTGGTGAAGGATGCAAAATGGAACACTCTCAGACTCTTTGGTAAGAAAGAATTTAAGGTTAAAATCACCTAGGAGCAGATTCTAACTGTCATAAATAAGTTTAAACACTGGCCTGGAAATAACAAACCAAAATGTAAATAGAAGTTTCAGATGAAATTGCTTTAATCTTTAAAAAATATGGAGAATGAAAGAGATGCCTAAACACTGCCCAACATACTTTTTCAAGAGGAAAGAAGAGAAATTCTCTGAACTACAGACTCCAGGGCCTGCTGATTCTTCAGTTACATAATTCTAGGATTTACTTTAAAATGCAGTTTGAATGCAAGATTTGCTAAATTAAATCATGCCTTTGACATAGTTTATGAAGAGAGTAGAGAGACAGGGAATCATACAATTTTTTTTGTTGTTTTTGAGACAGAGTCTCATTCTGTTGCCCAGGCTGGAGTGCGGTGGCACAATCTCGGCTCACTGCAACCTCCACCTCCCAAGTTCAAGAGATGCTCATGCCTCAGCCTCGCGAGTAGCTGGGATTACAGGTGTGTGCCACCACACCTGGCTAATTTTTGTATTTTTAGTAGAGGCGGGGTTTCACCATGTTGAACAGGCTGGTCTCAAACTCACGACCTCAAGTGATCTGCCTGTCTCAGCCTCCAAAAGTGCTGGGATTGCAGGCATGAGCCACAGGGCCCAGCCACAATTTTTAACAATCTAATTCAACTTCAGTAGTAGTTCATAATCTTTGAGAATCAGATAAAAATCTATGTATCCTCTTGAAGTGGTTAGATAGTATGGTATAACAAACTATCGCAAAACTTAATGGCTTAAAACAACTACCATTAAATTGCTCGTAATTCTGCAATTTGTGCTGGGCCCAGCTGGTAGTTCTTCTGCTGGGTTTGTCTGGGATCACTCAGGCAGCCTCAGTCATCTAATGGCTTACATGAGGCTGAATGGCCCAGATAGCCTCAGTCATGTTTGGTACTTGTTGTTGGCTGTCAGCTGGGCCATGTGTTTCCAGCAAGACAGCTAGGTCTGATTTACTTGGTAGTGACTAATTCACTTGGTAGACAATGAAAGCAAAACTTGCAAGGCTTCTTGAGACCAAGGCTGAGAAGTCACATGACATCATTTTTGCCTCATTCCTTTTTAAAAAAAAAATTTATCCTATATATAATATATCATATATATTACATATAATGTAATATATAATATATATAATATATTATATATTACATTATATGTAATATATATGATATATTATATATTATATAATATATAATATATAATATATAATATATTATATAATATATAATATATAATATATAATATATTATATAATATATAATATATAATATATTATATATTATATATTATATTTATAATATATTATATATTATATTTATAATATTATATATAATATATATAATATTATATATAATATATAATATAATATATAATATCTAAAATATACATAATGTATATTATATATGTATATAATATATAATATATAAAATATACATAATATATATTATATATAATATATTGTACATATAATATATATTATATGTATAATATATAATATATAATATGTATTACATGTATATAATATATAATATGTATTATATGTATATAATATATAATATGTATTATATGCATATAATATATAATATGTATTATATGCATATAATATATAATATATATTATACATCATGTTATATATAATATATAATATATATTATATGCATATAATATATATTACATGCATATAATATATACTACATAAAATATACATAATGTATAATATATAAAATATACATAATATATAACATATAAAATATACATAATATATAATATATATTATATGTATATAATATATAATATATATTATATGTATATAATATATATTATATATTATATGTATATAATATATATTATATATCATATGTATATAATATATAATATATATTATATGTATATAATATATAATGTATAAAATATACATAATATATAATATATAATATATATTATATATTATATAATATGTTAAATATATTATGTATAAAATATATAATATATAAAATATACATTACATAGAAAATATATGATATATAAAATATATATTATATAGAAAATATATAATATATAAATATATATTATATATAATATAGAAAATATATATAATATATAATATAGAAAATATATTATATATTATATATAATGTAGAAAATATTCTATATTCTATATTATATATTATATATTGTATATTATATATTATATATTATATATGGTATATTATATATTATATCATGTATATTATATATTATGTATATTATATTTATAATTATATATGTATATTATAATATATTATATAATATGTAATATATATCATATATAATATACTATATATTATATAAAATATATAATATATTATATATGATTTATATTATATATGAAATATATAACATATATTATATGAAATATATATAACATATATTATATGAAATATATATAACATATGTAATATGAAATATATATTATATATTATATATTATATATATTATATATATTACATATCATATATCATATATATGATATATGATATATCATATATCATATATATGATATATCACATATAATATATCATATATATGATATATCACAATATAATATATCATATATATGATATATCACAATATAATATATCATATATATTATATATCACAATATAATATATCATATATATTATATATCACAATATAATATATCATATATATTATATATCACAATATAATATATCATATATATTATATATCACAATACAATATATAATATATATTATATATCATAATACAATATATAATATATATTATATATCAGAATATAATATATAATATATTATATATCAGAATATAATATATAATATATATCATGATATAATATATAATATATACTATATCATGATATAATATATAATATATATCATGATATAATATATAATATATAATATAATATTACATATAATATATAATATATCATATGTAATATATAATATATAATATATGATATGTAATATATAATATATCATATATGATATATCATATATTATATATCATATATGATATATCATATATGATATATCATATATTATATATAATATATATATTATATGATATATCATATAATATATATCATATATAATATATTATATGTTATATGTTATATATTTCATATGTATATTTCATATATAAAATATACATTATATATAAAATATATGTAATATATAGGATAAATTATATAATATATATAAAATATACATGAAATATATTATATATAAAATATACATGAAATATATTACATATAAATTATATAATATATTATACATATGAAATATATAATATATTATATATTATATATACAATATGTACAATATATTATATATTTCATATATAATATATTATATGTATTATATATTTAATATATATTATATATAATATATAACATATAAAAAATATATATGAAATATATAATATAGTGTGTGTATGTGTGTGTGCATGTGTGTGTGTGAGACAGGGTCTCACTTTGTCACCCAGGCTGGAGTCCAGTGGCACATTCATAGCTCACTGCAGCCTTGACCTCCTGGGCTCATGTGGTCCTCTGGCCTCAGCCTCCCAAGTAGCTAGGATTACAGGCACACATCACCACACCTGGCTAAGTTTTCAATTTTTTGTAGAGACAGGGTTTTGCTTTGTTGCCACGGCTGGTCTCAAACTTCTCACCTCAAGTGGTCCTCCAGCCTTAGTCTCCCAAACTTCTAGGATTACAGACATGAGCCACTGTGCCCTGTGCTTCTGCCTTTGCCTCATTCTTTTGGACAGAGTAGCTGTCACAAGGCCAGCCCAGATCAATGGACAAGAAAAAAGACAGTATGTTTAGATGGAAGTTACTGCAAAGACCTGTGACTGTATCTAATTTACCACACTTCCCCTCAGAAAAATGCTTCTACACTAGTACACATGACATATGTTAATTTCAGGGGAATTTGTGGATCCTTCCAACCCAAGTTAAGAGTCTCTAACCTATTCTAACCATGGATATATCTAAATGAGGATATTAACACTCAAGAAGACTAAAGATTTGCCCAAAGTCAAACAGATATTTATTTAGTTACACAAGCACATAAGTGTGGCCTATATCATTCAGGTTTTATAACTCCCAGTCCCATGCCATTTCCATTATGCCCAACTGCTAATTACTTTATTCTTACAGGAAATGAATTCCAGCAATTTTATAATGATCACTCAACCACCAAATCAAGATAATGTAAGTCAAATGTATACAGTAAAATATAAATATTTAATTTAATCCATATACTCTACACATAAATCCAGATAGGAAAGTAGGCTGATTAAAAAAAAAAGTTGACTCTTGAACAACACAAGGGTCAGAGGTGCTGACACCCTTGCAGTCAAAAATCTGAGTGTAACTTTCGACTCCCCAAACACTTTACTAATAGCCTACTGTTGACTGGAAGCCTTACTGATAACATAAACAGCTGATTAACACATATTTTGTGTTAGATGTATTATATACTGTATTCTTACAGTAAAGTAAGCTAGAGAAAAGAAAATTTTAATAAGAAAATCACAAGGAAGAGAAAATATATTAACTTTCATTAAGTGGAAGTGGATTATCATAAAGGTCTTCATCCGTGTCCTCTTCAAGTTGAGTAGGCTGAGCAGGAAGAGGGGTTGGTCTTGCTGTCTCAGGGGTGGCAGAGGCGGAAGAGGTGGAGGATGTGGAGGGGGAGGCAGGAGAGCCAGACACACTTAATGTAACTTTTACTGAAAAAAATCCACATATAAGCGGACCCTCGCAGTTCAAACCTGTGTTGTTCAAGGGTTTGTAGATGTGAGGAGTAAATTACTTTACTAATTTGCTAAGTGGCATAATTATTTATAAATTGTGAACTGTTCCCTAAGCCTAGCTTTCTTTTTACTTATTGGTACTCACTATGCTTCAATTAACTCACGTGGAAAAGTTGATTACAACAGATAATTTGTGATTACCAGGGTTGTT
This sequence comes from Homo sapiens, assembly GCF_000001405.40. Lineage (NCBI taxonomy): Eukaryota > Metazoa > Chordata > Mammalia > Primates > Hominidae > Homo > Homo sapiens. Next base: position 173,481,304 of record NC_000004.12, on the reverse strand, counting down.
TTCACTTTAAACCATTCACTGATATGAACAGCAAGTAACCAATTTATATGGATTTAAACATAAACACCAGACACTGTTACCACTGCAAATTTTTGTTTGTATCTCATAAGATAAAGATAATTAAAGGGAAATTGATGTGGTTTAAATTATTGCCATTTTGTTGCTGTTGTTGACACTTGAGGGCTGCACCTGTGCTTAATTTTTAAAAATTATCAGTATGTTATTTTATTTTTAAATTTTTTGCTCATTTGGAAGGGTGATCTGGTCCAAATGGATAGAGAAAAACTAATTAGTTTTGAAACACCTGATTTTCATTAGCAACTAATAAAAGCTAAGGTTTTTTTCCTTACCTTTTTATCATAAAAATGTTCAAACATGCAGAGAAATAGAAAAAATAATACAATGCATACCCATAACCCAATACATTTAATTAATAATTGTTATTATTTTGCCATCTTTGCTTCATCTGTTTTTTTGTGGTTGCTAGACCATTTTAAAATCAATCACCCTCCAGTACTTCAGCATACATTTAAAAAAAAATGAGGACACCTTTTTAACATAACCAAATACCAATATATGCCACTTAATAAATTCACAGTAATTCCTTAATATCATATAATACGCAGTCCATATTCAAATGATTATCATGGTTTTATAGGGTTTTTAAGAACATACTGTTTTAAAATTAATTTTTATTTATAATTGCTACATAATAATTGCACATTCTTATGGAGTACAGTGTGATGTTTCAATGCATGTAGAATTGTATAATGATCAACTCAGTATATGTAGAGTTTTTTTCCAATTTTGAATCTAATCAAGGAACACATGTGACAATTGTCATGTCGTCCATCTTTTTTAATCCAGAGCCCAGCCCTGTTTCCCCTTTTCTCATGCTATTGACTTTTTTAAAAGGCCAGGCCTTAAAAAAAAACAAAACAAACAAACAAAAAAAACCAGTCCTGGTCTTCATCACTTTTTTGTACTGTACTAAGCCTGTCTTATAGAAGGCCCCAGTTCTAGACTTTTTGATTCTTTCTTTAAAGTGGCTTAACTTGTTCCTCCATCCTCTGTATAGCCTACACACCTAAAGTCTTGACTTGATTCAGGTTACACATTTTGAAGAATACTCATAGATGAGGCTATCTCCTTCATACTGCATGGCAGCAGCCAGGCATGGTGGCTCACACCTGTAGTCTCAGCTACTCAAGAAACTGAGATGAGAGGATCATGCTTGAGCCCAGGAGTTGGAGGCTGTAGTGAGCTGTGATCATGCCACTGCCCTCCAACCTGGGTGACAGACCGAGAGGCTCTCTCACAAAAAAAATTTTTAATAAAAATTTTAAAAACATAGTGCATGGCATCAGGATCACATTGAGCCTGGTTTTCTCACTATTAGTGATGCCAAGTTTGATTCCCAAATTAAGGTAATGGCAACCACAATTCTCTTTACTATTAAGATATATTTTCCCTTTGTCAATTCGCTAGTCATCCTGGGGTGATAATTTGGTGCCATGCAAATACTGAGTTCCCTAAAGTTAGCTTTCTTTCAAAAATAACAGGTCGGCTGGGCATGGTGGCTCACGCCTGTAATCCCAGCAATTTCGAAGACGGAGGCGAGTGGATCACTGAGGTCAGGAGTTTGAGACCAGCCTGAGTAACATGGTGAAACCCCGTCTCTACTAAAAATACAAAAATTAGCCAGGCATGGTGACACAAGCCTGTTATCCCAGCTATTTCGAAGGATGAGGCAGGAGAATCGCTTGAACCCAGGAGGCAGAGGCTGCAGTGATCCTAGATCATGCCACTGCACTCCAGCCTAGGCAACAGAGCAAGACTCTGTCTCAAAAAAAAAAAAAAACAAAAAAACAAACAAACAAAAAAAACAGGTTGTGCTTTTAATTTTAATAAGGAATTATACTCAGTTTTTCAAAGCTTTCATCAGCTGGGTATATTCAACCTAAAATTATGAAAATGAACCAGTGTCTACAATAAACCTTTACGTAACTATTCATTTTCTTCTCATATATCTATTGGTTTTAGTACCATTCTGGTTTACAGTAGTCATGCATGCTTGGACTCGTAAATTGGGCATTGGTTTCCAGAGTTCTGTGCAGGAGTCCCCTTCTTTACTCATGTTATTTTATGGCTATTACATGCCAAGTTCAGAATTGGAGCGGTGTAGAATGTGGTGGAAATGAATGTCATGCTGTCATCCATAATAAAATTAGATCAGAGATGCACCCAGTGTACGAACAAGCCAGGCCTTACTGTGGGAATGACGGCTAGTAGACTCTTAGTATAGAGTAATTGTGCCACACACTGAAATTGAAATGTGGATCCCTTGAAGTGACCTCTTTCCTTTTTTAAGCAGGTCAAAAGACATGAATGAAAACACACCAGTAACCAAACATGGTAATATCAAGCCTAATTAGGAATCAAACATCATTCCTAAAGTCTGTGTCCGTTCGTTTTCTTTATTTCATTTGTTTTTGTTTCTTCCTCATCTGTGATTCATTTTCCTTTCGTCATCTTCCACAGTGGCTTCTGCAAGAATATTGGTCTTGAAATGTACAACATGGCTCGCACCCACTTCAAACACTGTTTAAAATCTCATTTATTATTTTGTACTGTGGTCTCACTTAAAAGCTGGTGTTACTGAGACTGCAGAGTACATGCCTTTAATTCCCAGGGTGAAGGGGTGTGGGGTGTGAGGGAAGAGAGAGAGCAGGAGCAAGCAAGAGGAAAAGCTAACACTGAGACAGTCCACACAGAAATGCGAGGAAAATAAGAATATTCAGAAGTCTTATAGGCAGATGAATTCTCTCTGGACACTAGAAAACTGGAAACTACCCAAACCCAAGCTTAGTAAAGTACAGAAAAGTGATGAAGACCAGGACTGGTTTTTTTTGTTTTTTGTTTTTTGTTTTTTTCTTCCATCAAGAGGTTAGTTGCCTAAGGACCACATTCCCAGGATTACAAGGATTTGCCTTAATAGCCCAGAGAACATTTATCTGCAGTAGAATTATTAAGATGAAGAGATGAGATTCTATGTGAGTCACCTCTTACATGAGACTATATTTCAAACTTAAAATTAACACTGGGAGTAATCATAGTACATTGAGATCAGCAGGTTAAAGCTATATTAAGTCGGAATTATGTTTTTCCAATTAACTTTAATTTTCAGATACTAAAATCCAGGTGTTCTGGGGAGCCAAGCCCAGTTTTTTTCCTCAGGGATTTATCTCCAAAATCCAGTTGGATCCCAGCTCTTTGAGAGGCCAAGGTGGGAGGATTGCTTGAGGCGAGGAGTTCAAGGCTAGCCTGGGCAGCATAATGAGATCCTGTTTCTACCAAAAAATTAAAAAATTACCTGGGTATGGTGGTGCATGCCTGTGGTCCCAGCTACTCAGGAGGCTGTGGGGGGACTATCACTTGAGACTGAGAGGTCAAAGCTGAAGTGGGCTATGATTATGCCACTGCTCTTCATCCTGGGCTACAGAATGAGATCCTGTCTCGAAGGAAGGAAGGAAAGAAGGAAGGAAGGAAGGAAGGAAGGAAGGAAGGAAGGAAGGAAGGAAGGAAGGAAGGAAGGAAGGGAAAAAAAAGAAAACCAACTGGGTTTAGCATTATTCCTTTAAAGAAAAACAAAAACAAGACCCTGTGCTGAAATATCTCACACCAGTAGCTTAATTATATTTATTCAACTAACTTTCCACTTTCCTTCCTCCACTCCCAGATAGAAAATAGTCACCTACAATTGAAAGCTGCTTGGGTATGGGCTGTGCTGCCTTGGAAGAGGAGAGTATCCCAGCTCTCCATAGGGTGTGTGCTAAATCGATGCACCCCCAACCCCAAAACATTTTGGGAATGACCGAATAAAAAGCACTTACCTAATAGGAAAGAGAAGAAGATGGGAGGGAAATTTCCCTGTTCCTGGTGCAATGGATATTTGTTCTCTTTTTCTAAGAAAGCTGTGAGTCACACCTTTATAAGAATCTCAAATTTCAGACTACCCATGTGTTTCAGGCAATTAATTACTCAGCCCCTCATTGTGGCAGGGTCTTTTCATTCTGGAAGTTGCAGTAAGATATGAGACACGAGATAAGTGAGCAGCAGGCATTGAACTACAATTTTCATTCCTCTTGTTGAAGGGAGCTTGGCTGGAAGAGCCAAGCTTCCACCTTTTATCTACTGATTCATTTGAAAAAGCTCCTCTTACATGCAGTGCTGCCATTTCCAACAACAAATTTTCAAATATCTGGCAGCCAATTCCTTCCTTCTGTTCCAGGTAAAACAAGGAACCAACACATACACATCACCCAGATATGCTAATTGTAGTCACTTATGATGGAAAATCTCATACATGTGAAAAAATTACCATGGAATGTTACTATGAAGGCTCCAAGCATTAGGGTAGCTTAGAGCTGAAAGGAATGTAATACTGGCTTCTTTTTAATTTTTTATTATTTTTTTCTTTTTTAGAGATGGGATCTTGCCCTGTCACCCAGGCTGGAGTGCTGTGGTGCAATCATAGCTCACTGCAGCCTCAACCTCATTGGCTCAAGTGATCCTCCTATCTCAGCCTCCTGAGTAACTAGGACTACAGGCCACCATGCCCAGCTGTGATGGCTTCTTATATCAGGCTGGAGATTCAGTATGCAAGAAATTTAACTTTATGATGCAATTAAAATTCTATTTCAAGCCCTTATGCAGCCAGTTCAGGAACTTTCCCTGTCCATATGCTGTTACCTGTGAATTCTGGGGTGGCTCACACAGAACCAAGGCATTGGGTGGGCTCGTGTGGTTCTGTAGGTTGTCTCTACTCAGTGCACACTGACTTGCGAATCAACCTGGGTTGTCTGTGGTCACAAATTCAATCCTTATGAGGCCTTTATTTCCATCTGCCTACCCTTCAATTCATTATATATATATATATATTTTTTTTTTCCCCCTCAGAGATTTACCTAGGAAATGAGGTCCAAGTTTCCTTTGTCTTAAATCTGTCAAGGTTTCTGCCCATTCCCCAAGAGCAGGGTGCAGGCCCTTGCCCAGGAGCCCACACTATCTGCCTCTCATGCTTGCCCACCATGCTTCTTCCCCCAGCCTTCTTCAATTTTGGTACCAAGGGCAAAACAGAATTGCTTTCAACGTCAGCTCCTCTCCTTGAGTGAGTGGCATTTTTTATTTTTAAACTGTGATAAAATATATATAATATAAAATTTACCATTTTAACCATTTTAAAATGTATATAGTTCATGGCATTAAGTACATTCACATTGTTATGCAACCATCACCACCTTCTGCTTCCAGAATTTTTTCATCTTTCCAAACTGAAACTCTATATCCATTCATCACTAACTGCCTCAGGCCCTGGCAACCACTCTTCTACTTTCTGTCTCTATGAATTTGACTATTCTAGATACTTTCTATTCCTATAAGTGGAGTTACATATTTGTCTTTTTATTACTGGCTTATTTCACTAACATACTATCTTCAAAATTTATCTTGTTGAAGCACATGTCAGATTTCCTTCCTATTTAAGTCTGAATAATATTCTGTTGTATGTATACACCATGTTTTCTTTATCCTTTCATCCAATGATTGATACTTGGCTTGTTTCCACCTTTTTTGACTATTGTGAATGATGCTGCCATGAACATTGGTGTATAGATATCTGCTTAAATCTCTGCTTTTAATCCTTTTGGATGCAAAAGGATTATACCCAAAAGGGGAATTGCTGGATCATATGGTAATTCTCTGTTTAATTGCTAAACTCTTTTTCACAGTGCTGCACCATTTACATTCCCACCAGCAATGTACAAGGGTTCCAATTTTTCTATATCTTTGCCTTCCAGTAAGTTTTAACAGGGGTGCTCTTGACACTTGGGGTCAGCCCTTCTTTGGTATGTAGGACTGTCCACTCCTTGCAGAATGTTTAGCATCCTTGGCCCCATCTACTACTTGTAGATAATGGGATATTTCCCAGTTATTGTGACAAACATCTCCCCAATCCCACACAACACAATTCCAAATGTCCCCTAAGGGGTGGAAACAAGCTGCCTGGTTAGAACCCCTGGTCTATGCCATGAATCCTTGCTGCTTCCCCAAGGCCTTGTCTCTGTAAACTCAAAATCCTAGTAGAGGCTCTTTTTTTTCTCTTTCTGTCACATTCCTTTCTTGGTTCAATAAGCAGAAGATGATATAGTTTAATTGAATGGATGAGACATGAAGGGGAGAGAGAGAATACAGAGGAAAAGAGAGAGAGATTTCAAAATATTAACTCACCACACATGGATTTTTCATCTTATTTACTAGTTTAATTGAATGGAGGAGACATGAGGGGGTGAGAGAGAATACAGAGGAAAAGAGAGAGAGAGATTTCAAAATATTAACTCACCACACAAGGATTTTTCATCTTATTTACTTTCTTGTTGAGAAACTAAGGGTTTTTGTGATCTTTATTTTCTTGTCAGACAAATTGAGATTTTCTAAAAGGACCTCAGGCTTACAACATATCCTTCAAAAAAGGATATGAGCTATATTAAGGAAATGAATGTAATGATAAATACAACTCTTGTGTCTTTCCTGGGAAATGTTACACTGGTCTAGGGATGTCTCTGACTATGACTTGCCTAGTCTCTTAACTTCTCATGACATCCGACACCTCCAATGGGAAAGTGAAGTTCAGTTAAATGGTTGCCAAGTGTCATCCCTTAAAAACAGTGTAATTGTAGGCAGTGATCAGTAAATAATCACAAAAACTCACATATAATTTGAAGGAATCAAATTTCTGAAAGTGTAAAGAATTTCTGACTCTTTTTCCCACTTCATTTAAATTTTATATTACCTTTTCAAGTTTTATTTTCATAACTTTCTGATGTTCTGTCTCCCCATCCACAAATCTGGATTTACAGAGTGGTTCAATTCCTGAAAAGTGGTCACTAATTACATAATGCTTAAATTGAAATAATTTTCTCACAAAAATATACAAAAGCAAAGGATGTATTCCCATCAATTGGAAAAATTGGCTATTATGCTACCTCCCCCATTTCTGTATTGCACGAATGTGAAGTTAGTCAATAGTCTAAGATAAAATATGTAATAATTGAATTTTAAACTTTTTTTTTTCTTGAGATGGAAACTCGCTATGTCACCCAGGCTGGAGTGCAGTGGCATGATCTTGGCTCACTGCAACCTCTGCCTCCTGGATTCCCTTGCCTCAGCCTCCTGAGTAGCCGGGATTACAGACAAGCACCACCACACCTGGCTAAGTTTTGTATTTTTAGTAGAGATGGGGTTTCACCATGTTGGCCAGCCTGGTCTCAAACTCCTGACCTCAGGTCATCCACCAACCTCAGCCTCCCAAAATGCTGGGATTACAGGCGTGAGCCACCATGTCCGGCCCAGGAAGTCAACTTTTACCAGATGTGTTTGTTGTTCTAAATCACAAATCTAACCAAACCATTATCTGCCATGACTGCCACTGTGTCATATAACCGCCATCGGGATGTATTCAAGCTCTTTAGCACAACAGAGTGAGGCCTCTGGGATGTGGTGGCTGCAACCCCCCACGGCCTTATTGCCTCCCAAGCCCCTCAGACCCCACTGCCCTAGCCAGATCTGCATATTTACAATTGTCCTGCACCTACGACTGAGCCCTGCCTCTTTTTCCTTATGCACAGAGTTCCCTTCTTTCACAAAGCTCCTTTCCTTTTCTCTCTGCATCTTAAACACCACTCTCATTTTTCAGGATTAATCCCAGGATTGAGGGCTCTCCTTCTCCCACCCTCCAACAGCTAGATCATCTGTTCCCTCCATGGGCACTCCTACTGTATCTTAGAGAAACTTCTCTCACATCGCCTACACCCAGGTGGCTGCAAAATTTATTGCCCAACTTAGGGTATGTTTGCAAATGATAGAGAGCTATTCGTAGATTGAGAAAAGAGATAGAAAAGAGGACTGCTCTAGGCTAATACGATGTGTGGTCAGGCCAGCCTACCATTAACACTTTCCTCCTAATTTATTTATTTGGCTGTCCCACCTTGCCAGACAGAGTTCCTAGCTGGCAGAAACCAGGTTTATTTTCTTTGGTATCTGTGTGCCATATGCCTGGCACAGTGCCTAGCATATAGTAGATACTCAACTAAAGTTTGTGGAACACATTCATGGCTAGATAGATGAATTAATCAACACATTAAGTGGGGGCTACTTTTTTAGGATAGTTTTTATTCCAACAATAGCTTTGAAGATAATGTTGCAATGGCTAACTAATTTTTCCTTAAATTGGCTAAGCATGTCTTTAAATGTTCTATGGCCAAATACTTGAGCTTATAATATAGGCAAAATTCTTTGCATGTAAATTTATTAGCATTTAATCATATAATTATTAAAATTACTGAATCATGTGATTGAATCTCACCTGCTGTGTTGGGTAATTCTGTGTCAACTTGACTGCCCCACAGGGTGCCCAGTCATTTGGTCAAACATTACCCTGGGTGTGTCTGTGAGTGTGTTTTTGGGTGAGATTAACATTCTCAGCAAAAAAGATTTCCCTGCCTAATGTGGGTGCACTTCATCCAATCAATTGGCTAGAATAAAAGACCCAAACCTCCCTCAAGTAAGAGGTAATTCCTCCTGCCTGTCTGCCTTTGAGCTGGGACATCGGATTTTCCTGCCTTTAGACTCACACTAAAACATCAGCTCTTCTTGAGCCTTGGGTCAGCCAGCTTTTAGACTGGAACTGTATCATTGGCTCTTCTGGTTCCCAGGCCTTTGGACTCAGACTACAACTACACCATCAGCTCTCCCAGGTCTCCAGCTTTCTGACTGCAGATCTGGGGACTTCTCAGACTCCACAATCACATGAGCAAATTTCTTATGATAAATCCCTTCCTATACTTTATTAGTTCTGTCTCTCTGGAGAACCCTAATACACTTGGCAAAAGAAAATCTAATTTTGTCAAGTTCATCCACGAAGTATCACAGCTTCACGTAAAAATAATGCTTGTAAAGTTATATACTGGAGATAAAACTGGTAAAGAAAATCATAAATGATAAAGGTAGACTACATGTAAACACACCTTGCATATTATTAGTTTACTCCATGGCCATATTTTAGACATTGAATTTTATTTTTCTTTGTTTTCCTTTTTAAAAGAAAAATTCTTCCATGATATATTCACTGCATAACAGCTAAAAGATTTGTGCCTCAATTAAGGAAGAAATGGTAAGAAAAAGAAGGCACCCAAGTGTTAAGAAGTCAGTATGGTTCTTGCTTTCAAAACTCATTTTCCAGCCGGGCACGGTGGCTCACGCCTGTAATCCCAGCACTTTGGGAGACCAAGGTGGGCAGATCACCTGAGGTCAGGAGCTCGAGACCAGCCTGACCAACATGGAGAAACTCTATCTCTACTAAAAATACAAAATTAGCTGGGCGTGGTGGGGCATGCCTATAATCCCAGCTACTCGGGAGGTTGAGGCAGGAGAATCGCTTGAACCCAGGAGGCGGAGGTTGCGGTGAGCTGAGATCGCGCCATTGCACTCCAGCCTGGGCAACAAGAGCAAAAAAGCAAAACAAAACTCATTTTCCATCTTCCACCCTTCAGGACTTAATAGCCTCTCCTGGGATGGGTATGCACATAGGCTACCAGAGTGACCATTTGCCAATACTTACCAGGCAAGTCAATCCAAAAACTGGTTTGCCTGAACATTTTTTTTTTCACTCTGAAATGGCCATTTTTTAATTTTTATTTTTTGTTGAATTAAATACTCATTGGAGTATAAAATGGTGTGTGTAGCAGGATGGACGAGGTTGGTAGAAACTTAAGACAAGATTATTCCAATTTCTGTACTATGAGCTGCCTCCAGGATGGGGTGATCCTTTGTAGAAATATTTCTTATTTTTATTTAATAAAAAGCCAAAGTTAGGATACCAATAATGCCAGCGGTCAGGCCCAGTGGCGGCTTGGCCATAATCAAAAAGCCTAGAAAATTCCAGAAGGTTTTGGTTCTCTAGTCCAAAACTGCATTGTTTTCTCCCAACTGTACCCAGTATTTATTAGGAAACTACCCTACCATGTGCTTGCCATTATACAGAATGATTCTAATACTTCAAAGGACTATTTGAATTGATTCTCATAAATCAATCAGATGGTTTCTTTTTTCTGACTATGACTCTACTTAGTATATAAGTATTTCTAATCTTAGTATCCAGGAGTAATGACTTCTAAAAATTCTTTGTGCACAGTCATAATTTTATCATGTGAACAGGGTTTCCATGTTTCTTTTAATTTTCAAAAAGCATATGGCATTTTCAGTTTCTATCTCTTCCTAAATACTTAATCTTTAAAGGTTAAAAATTAGCAGACTTTCCTTATTTCATTTTAATTCATGCCCTTTGATCTTTGGGGGAAAATGTGTTGAAAGTCTGTTGCTCACAGAGGAATTTTTAAAATGTTTTCCAGAGTCCACTGATTTTTATGAAGTTTATTAATTTTATTTACCTTTTGTCACTAAACTACGAACATATGTAACTTGAAGAAACTATTAAATAAACTTGTATTTTATGGCTATTAGTTAGAATGATGGTGCTTCTAAAAATTCCCACAATGGTGAAAAATAACAAATCAAGTTACTTAATTCAGATAATTTCCTTGAACTATATTAAAAGGGTCATATGGTTACTTTAATGTTGTATAAGACAAAAACTGATTTTAGTAAGTAAATGTCTTTATGAAGTACATTTAAAAATAGAAAATGAGAAGTGATCCAATTTGGGTCTTCGTTATTTGATTTGCTTTGGTGGAATGGTAATTTGTTTCTTCACAGTCTTTATAACCATGTACTCAGCAACCAAAGACTGCCTGACACGTCAGTATGACTGAAACACTCAGTTACCTGTGAGCCGGTCTCAGTCACTTAGACTGTAAGCTCCACAAAGGAGGGATTATGTCTCATTGTCTTGCATCTCTCATATGACCTGCATGGTGGGTTGCACAAAATAGATGCCCAATATAGGTTTCTGTACCAATTAAAAGTCTTGTTATCTTCTGTTCTTATAATAGTTTATACTATCTGGTAAACACATATTGAGATGCTTACCAATGATATCTTAAACAACAACAACAACAAAAACAACACATCCCGACCACCACCCATGCAAAAAAAAAAAAAAAAAAAAAAGAAAGAGGGAGAGAGAGAAAAAAGAGAAACGAAGGGGACAGATCACAAATATGAACTCTATCTCGTGTCCCCATTCCCCCTGACTCTGTCTGGGCATTCTTCCTGGGCTAGAGATGCTCTGCCTCCCAGCAGAAGACAAGAGCCCTAGAAAGACTGTCATTCATTTACTGGAGAGAGAAATGGTTCATCTACACACACACTCAGAGCCTGGCTAGCTACAAAGCCGTGGTCCGTGGTAGGATGTACGTCTTAGTGGAATAAGTAACCTTGAGCAGACAATGGATCCAGCAGTAACAAGCCTGCCCTGATGCCGGCGTAAATTCCGAAGGAGCTGGAGAACGATTCTTCCCTTCACTTTATCTAAATCCTCTGAAGGATGAGTGGGAGGATGGTTTCTTCTCCCTTCCTGAAGCTTGTTTTGTTGGTGCCTTATGCTAAGAGAACTCAGCAGATACAAATTTATTATTTTCTTTTAGACAGCATTTTCCCTGCAGTTAGAAGAAAACAGCAGCTCACATTGAAAAATATCTAATTCCCAAAATACGTGTTTCCAATAGGGAGTTTATAGAATTTGCTTCTTACCAAAGCAAAATCTTGAATACATGAAATCTAAAATCTTGCCAATTTAATGAATGCCTAATAATTTTTAAATAGCATATATCATTTTAATACATTAAACAGTTGGAAGATTGTTGAGGGATAATTTGTCAATTTTTTATTAAAAAGAAAATTCATAAAAATTAAATATTCTACATTTATTTTATATTATTATCTTGGCAATTTTATTTTTTATGACAAAATTCTGAGTCTGTTATATTATCCAAATCCTAAAAAGATTTAATTGATTACAGAAAAATTTATTGGGAAAAATTGCTTTGCCCCTCTTTTTTCTCTAAGCAATTCCTGAGTTTTAAAAATACTCCTTAAAGGAACTAATTTATTTTTCATGGCCCATCACCAATATCCAAGAGAGTATCCAATTTTTAAATTCTGAACCCTGTCTTGTGTGACTTTCAAACTAAATGAAATGAAGAGGCCTCAGGCAGTCTGTGTTTACACAGGGTGGCAAAATTAACCTTAAGTTACTTGGATCACTGCACTGGGGACACTTCAGAGCCTCTACTCAGGCTACTTTTGAGCATACTATGTATGTCGCTGTGCAGAAGCCTACCTCTTTCACTCTAGATAAAACAAGACTTTCTGAGCACTTACTCTGAGCAAAGCACGGTGCCGCAAGTACAAAGGTGGATAAGACTCAGTCCTTGATTTGATGGTCTTTGTTGGAATAGGTTTTCAAACTGTAATGTCACTGTGTCTCCCAGGGGCCAAAAGTTTGCTTTCATTGATGGGTTTCAAAGTAGGGATGAGTTTACTTATAAGTACACATTGTGTCATTAGTATGCTTGACTCTCCATGGTGCAAAATTTCTTTCTAATGCTGATCAATTGCAAACATGATAGAACAATGAAATACTTCCAGGACATTCTAAATCACTCTCCTCCTTGTGAGAAAATAGGGTAGAGAGCCTAGCCTGGTACAGGCAGCCATCCATGTCTGATGTGGGTCATCTCTGAGAATGACACTCCTCAAAGGGCCAGAGGGTGCTCTTTCTTCATTTCCCTTACACATGGGTGTTATTCAATACTTATCTAGAGCCATGTGTCACTTAACAACTGGAATATGTTCCAAGAAATCTGTCATTAGGCTATTTTGTTATTGTGTGATCACAGAGTGTACTTACACAAACCTAGGGTGGTATAGTTCACTGTACCACCAAGGCCATATAGTGTAGCCTAGGCTACAATATACCTAGGCTATATAGTATAGCCTGTAGCTCCTAGGCTACAAACCTGGACAGCATGTTACTGCACTGAGTACTGTAGCAATTGTTACACAGTGGTAACTATTTGTGTATCTAAACATATCTAAACATAGAAAAGATACAGTAAAAATACAGCAGTATAATCTTATGGGACCACCGTTGTATATGTGGTCCATCGTTGATGGAAACATTGTTATGTGGCACATGACTGTATATGCTTCGTATATAGTGAACATTCAGCAAAGGTTTTCATCAATGAATGGATAAATTGGCAACTTTTATGGGCTTAATTGGGCTAAAATATATACGGAGTCACTATTTGACTTAACACCTAGACATTATTTTACTGATATTTTTCAATAATTCTGTTTTTGTAAAGCCTTCCTTCCATTTGGGTGCAATTTCCACTTGGGGAAAATCTCATTCCCCATCCTCTTGTAATTAAAAAGCATGGTTTGTTTGTTTTTTTAGATTATTTCAAAATGTTCTCCTCTACTAATCCCAAAGCTTGCTAGCTTGCATGACTCTATGTGACAACATAATTGGGACATCAGAACACATGTGGCTTTTATAATTCAGATGAAATGAGATTGAGGCAGATTCAGTTAGCCTAGAGATACTAAACCTCAAAGGACCATTTTAACAAGAGTGTCCTATGCTAATATTTTGCACCAGCGGGAGGGGTTCTAAGAATTATAGGTGAATGTCCAAGTTAATCATTTTTTTCTAAGTTGTTGGCAAAGTTCTCCCAAAACAATCCAAGACAAAAATCTGGCCTCAGGTGACTAGCAATTTTTGTCCTCATGTTCAGTCTTGTCTACTCTCCCCATGCTCACATGAACCTAAAAGGTAAGAGTTAGATGCTAAGGATGACTGCTTTGCCTGTGTGCTTGCCTGTCTCTTGAGTGGATTCATTCACTTTTAATCTAGTGCATTGGCTAATCACTTAGGTTAAATTCTAGTCATCATATTACATAGTATAAAGGATGTCTGGATTCTACACCAATCCCAAAAAGCTAGATGATATGATTCTTTACTACAACAGGAAAATATCTTTTTTTTTCCAATGGACTGCTTACTCACATTCAAACAAGACAAGAATAGAGGGAATTAACATGATACATTAAGAAAAATGTATTTTCTTTAAAAATATTGCTTCAATTGGTTGTACATTCCATGGGGAATGTTTTTTAAAATCCAGATGATCAGAAAATTTCCAGCCCTCTGCTTTTTATGTAGAGATATATATGTCCCTTGTCCTAATATTAGGTCCAAATTTGGAAGAGGAGGAGAAAAAACTCATAACTAATAACATTCAGAAACTAGAGAAATTAGTTGATAGCCAAATTTATTTTTTTCCTGTGGACACTCATGAGCAAGGTGACTAGATTATGTTTGCTGAGTCAAATAGAATATTGACATACTTCAAATGAAGTAAATGAACATAACATTTCCGTATTACAAAATTTTACATTTTAAAAATTGTGTAGTATTCAAATTGATATCTAATTTTATAATTCACTATAGTTTTACAGCTTTCAGTGTGAAGTACATTACTTTGTCAACTATTATATGGCTGAATGCTGAAATGTCATTATCAGATGATCCACATACTTCAGATGCAGTATCAGAAAAAAGACTGAGTTAAGCATTTGGACTCTTTCTTTAAGTTTTTGTCAGATATTTATCAGGCCTGACATTATTTTTCCATTTTCCCTAAGTGGTTATCTTGTACCAAACCCAGCATTGCCTCTAATTGGAATCCTGGTCTCCCTTAACACTAACACTGTGTTGGTTTCATAACTCTGTATGAGGTTTCAATCCTAATTCTGCCATTTGACTGTATCTTCCCAACTGAAAGACCATGGAAAAAGTGTTGTGAACAGTAATGAAAGGACTTGGACTCTCACTCTTTCTGTAGACTGAAAAATTGTTGGTTAGGAATTCTTCACTTGGATTCCCTTCCTAGAATGGAATGTAACATATTCCAGCCGACACTATTCAAGGCAAGAAAATATATCATGATTAATTTGACAAATGACTGTAGACCCAGCACTGCTGTTTGGGAATTTTCCCTTTGAGTGCATTGCTTAGGACAAATTTATGTACCAAATAAAAAAGAAACTTGTTCCATTTGGCCACGAGTGTAAGCTCTCTGAAGTTGCACAGGATTTTTCTTCTTCTTCTTTTTAACCTGTATCCCCAACTTCAGACTGGCCATTTTGTACACAAATGGTCTTTAAACCAAGGGGAAGGGGATTTGGTTCCAAATTTGTGCCAAGTATCCTTTATTGCTGGTAATTATCCTCTCTGTTTGAAAGGAAGTTTTGGAGAAAAGGAAATGACACTCCCTTCATACCTGGGAAGACGAACCACTTGCCCGATGTGCACAAAGGTAAGGTCGAAGCACAGAAAGACAAATATTGCATGTCCTCATTCATATGTGGAAGTGAAAAAAGTGGATCTCATGAAGACAGAGAATAGATTGGTAGTTACCAGAGGCCAAGAAGGGGGAAGCGGAGGGAGGAAGGAGAAAAAAGAATATAAATTTATTTATTACCATTGAACTGTACACTTAGAAATGGTAAAGATGGTAAATTTTATCTATATATAAAATCTATATATGTATGTATATAATATGTATATATACAAAAAATATATATATGTAGGTATATAATTACCTCAATAAAAAAAATCCCCTCACCTAGGCCAAATAACACAACTTAATTATAGGAATGATATCACAGGAGGGACATCCCATTACTTCCTCACATCCTGCCCACACTCAAGGTGAGGGGACTATTCAGGGCATGTATATCAATGGTTGGGAACCTTGAAGGTCATCTTAAAATTCTGCCTACCATATTAATATTCATTGTATACTACAATTTATTTATCAGTTGCCCTGTTAATGGACATTCAGTTTCCATTTTTTTGGCCATTATGAATAAATCTGCTGAAAACATCTGGAAAAAAGGGAAGGTCAGGATTTTGTGTGTGTTGTCTATGCATGCACACGCACATACACAAATAAATTGTGGTTTAATATTCATAACATTTACCATTTTCACTATTTTTAAGTGTGTCATTCAGTGGCATTAAGTCCACTCATATTGTTGTACAACCATCACCACTATCTATTTCCAGTGTTTTCACCTTACCAAACAGAAAGTTTGTACCCATTTCAGAATAACTTCCCATTCCTCTCTTCTATCAGCAGCTGGTAACCACCATTCTACTTTCTGTCACTGTGAATTTGACTATACTAGGTACTTGATATAAGTGGAATTGTACAATGTTTTCATTTTATTACTGGATTATTTCACTTAACATAATGTCTTCAGGATTTTTCCATATTGTAGTATGTGTCAGAATTTCCTTCCTATGTAAGGCTAAACAATGTCCCATTGCATGTACATACCATGTTTTGTTTATCCATTCATCCATGATGGACATTTGGGTTGTTTCTACCTTTTGGCTATGGTGAATGATGCTGCGATGAACATGGATGTACAAATCTCTGTTCAAGTCTCTCCTTTAAATTCTTTTGTGTATATACCCAGGAATAGAACTGCTGAGTTATTTAGCGGTTTCAAGTTTAACTTTTTGAGAAACTGCCAAACTGTCTTTCACAGCAGCTGTGCCACTTTACAGGCCCACCAGCAAAGCATGAGATTTCCAATTTCTCCATATCCTCAGCAACACTTGTTATTTTTTGGTAGTTGTTGTTGTTTTATAAGAACCATCCTAAGAGGTGCACACCCACCTATATACTTTTAACATTTTGAAAATGATACTTAAGACAATATAAGGGTACTATTCTGATAGTGTTTCTTTACAACCACAATGTTTGGTTAATTTGGTGGTTATTTTGTTAATTGAGAAGGTACAATTAGTGGTGCTTCCAACTGAATCCATCAACTAAACTTCCTGAAAACCCTGAATAAACACGTTCTAGTCCTGTTTTATGGACAGCCATGACCTGTGACTCTGTGTTTATTAAAGTTCATTTTATTTTTTGGGTTTAGAGGTAATGTTAAAAAGTGAACTGGGATATCTCTAGAAATTTTTCATAAAATATTGAGCTGGTTGAAATAAAAGTGATTTTTATTTCATTATTTAGGTAATTTCAATATTCTACTTTACTCATGTGTTCAGATGCTGTCAAGTAGTGAGATGCTAATAATATCTTTTAGAAGCCCCATTCTCCAACAATCCCCACCCTTCCACTGAAATAGAAGATTGTAAACACTGGTCAACTTACTTGACCACAGACTCTTTTAACAGTTTGAAAATCTAGTCATAAATATTGCTTGACTGCTGCTTGAATTGGCATTCTCCCCCCATTGTCCGTTGAATCTTGGCTCAGCTGCCTGTTATGCCACCAGCTCAGTTCCTTTGCTTTTTGATTGATCCACTGGATAGAACGCCAGCCCCATGTTACCCATTAGTATATGAGCCCCACCCACTCAGCTCCTTCTCCCCAACCTTCCAGGATTCTCAGTGTTCATTGTCACTGGTATTTCATACAGTCTATAACCACAAAGGTTTCACTGGTATAAACACAAAATCACAAAATATCAGAACTTAGGGGTCACAGAGGAAAATGACCAAGATAGGTTAAAGAGTTTATTTGGAGCTAATGACCACCAGATAAAGAATAAGAATTCCTGTCTACTGCTTCTCAGTTCAGGTTCCTTCCCTCAATGGTACAGCCTTTCTTTGGAGAGAACCCATTCTGATTACAGATACCAGACAGAACTATTAAAAACCAAGGTGGGCAGATCACTCGAGGTCAGGAGTTCGAGACCGGCCTGGCCAACATAGTGAGGTGGGCCTCTACTGAAAATACAAAATTTAACTGGGCATGGTGGCGTGTGCCTGTGGTCCCAGCTACTCAGGAGACTGAGGCAGGAGAATCACTTAAACCCGGGGGGGCAGAGGTTGCAGTGAGCCGAGATCACGGCACTGCACTCCAGCCTGGGCAACAGAGTGAGATTTCTTCTCGAAAAAATAAATAAATAAATAATAAAAACAAAAACCTGTATTCCAGGAATGCAAGTTTGTGGTAATTCTCAGAATCCAGGAAGGGTCTTCAACCTTATTCCTACACCCAAGGCAGCTCTTCCACAGGGCAGTGTAGAGCCTGTCAAGGCAAAGGGCAAATTAGTCCATTTACATTCAATGTCATTATTGATAAGTAGGGACTTACTCCTGCCATTTTGTTAGTTGTTTTCTGGTTGTTTTGTGGCCTTCTTTCTTTCTTTCATTCCTGCCTTCCTCTAGTGGAGATGATTTTCTGTGGTGATATGATTTAGTTTCTTGCTTTTTAATTTTTGTGTGTCCGTTGTATGTTTTTTGGTTTGAGGTTACCATGAGGCCTGAAAATACTATATTATAACCCATTATTTTACCCTGATAACAACTTAACACTTTGCATAAACAAACAAGCAAAAAGAAAACTAATAAAAACTTGCCTTAATTTCATCTCTCACTTTTTAACTTTTTGTTGTTTCTATTTATATCTTATTGTACTATGTCTTGAAAAGTTGTTGTAGTTATTATTTTTGATTGGTTCATCTTTTAGTCTTTCTACTTAAGATAAGAGTAGCTTACACACCACAGTTACAGTGTTATAATATTCTGTGTTTTTCTGTTTACTATTACCAGTCAGTGTTGTACCTTCAGGTGATTATTTATGGCTCATTAATATCCTTTTCTTTCTGATTGAGGTACTCCCTTTAGCATTTCTTGTGGGATGGGTCTGGTATTAATGAAATTCCTCAACTTCTATTGTCTGGGAAAGTCTTTATTTCTCCTTCACGTTTGAAGGATATTTTCACTGGATATACTATTTTAGGGCAAGAGGGTTTTTTTCTTCAGCACTTTAAATATGCCATGCTGCTCTCTCCTGGCTTGTAAGGTCTCCACTGAAAAGTCTGCTGCCAGAAGTATCGGAGCTCCATTGTTTGTTATTTGTTTCTTTTCTTTTGCTGCTTTTAGGATCCTTTCTTTATCCTTGACCTTTGGGAGTTTGACTATTAAATGCCTTGAGGTAGTCTTCTTTGGGTTAAATCTACTTGGTGTTCTATAACCTTGTTGTACTTGGATATTGATATATTTCTATAGGTTCGGGAAGTTTTCTATTATCCGTTTGAATAAACTTTCTACCTCATCTCTTTCTCTACCTCCTCTTTAAGGCCAATTACAGATTTGCCCTTTTAAGGCTATTTTAAAGCTATTTTGAGGCTATTTTCTATATAGATCCTGCAGGATCTTTTTTCTCCTCTGACTGTGTATTTTCAAATATGTTGTCTTCAAGCCCACTAATTCTTTCTTCTGCTATTAAAGGGGTTTGATACATTCCTCGGTATGCCAATTGCATTTTTTGGCTCCAGAATTTCTGCTTGATTCTTTTTTTTTAATTATTTCAATGTCTTTCTTCAATTTAGCTGATAGAATTCTGAATTCCTTTGGTGTTATCTTGAATTTCTTTGTGTTTTCTCAACACAGCTAATTTGAATTCTCTGTCTGAAAGGTCACGTATCTCTGTTTCTCCAGGATCGGTCCCTGGTACCTTATTTAGATCATTTGGTGAGGTCACATTTTCTTGGATGGTGTTGATGCTAGAAGATGTTCTTTGGTGTCTGGGCATTGAAGGGTTAGGTATTTATTGTAGTCTTTACTATCTGAGCTTATTTATAGCTGTCTTTCGTAGCAAGGCTTTCCAGATATTTGAAAGGACTTGGGTGTTGTGATCTAAACTGCTTTTGCTTTAAGGGGCACCCCAAGCGCAGTAATGCTGTGGTTCTTGCAGTCTCGTAGAGATACTGCCTTGATAGTCTTGGACAAGATCCAGGAGAATTATCTGGATTACCAGGCAGAGACTCTTGTTCTTTCCCCTTACTTACTCCCAAACATACAGAGTCTCTCTGTTCTGAGCCACCTAAAGCTGGGGGGTGGAGTAACACGAGTACCCCTGTGACCACAACCATTATGACTAAACTCATAATGAGGCCACAGTGCTGGGTCTCACCCAAGGCCTGCTATAACCACTCCATGACTACTGTCTATGTTTGCTCAAGGCCCTGGGGCTCTGCAATCTGCAGGTGGCAAAGCCAGCCAGGCCTGTGTTCTTCCCTTCAGGGCAGCAAGATTTTCCAGGCCCCGGGTGGGCCCAGAAGTGCCATCCAGGAGTCAGGAACTAGACTGAAAAACCTTAGAAGTCTACCTGGTATTTTATTGTATTGTGGCTGAGCTGGCACTCAAACCATAAGACACAGTCCTTCCCACTCTTCTCTCCCCTTTCTAAAAGCAGAGGACACCCCTGCCCCTGGTAGGCACCATCACCCCCGGCCATGAGGAGTACTGCCAGACTACCACAGTTGATCTCCTAAGGCCCAAGGTCTCTTAAGTCAGCTTGTGGTGAATGCTGCCTAGCCTGGTAATCACACTTCAGGGCAGCAGGCTCCCCTCTGGCCCAGGGCAGGTTCAGAAATGCCATCCAAGAATCAAGTCCTGGAATCGTGGACCCTAGGAGCCCACTTGGTACTTTACCCACTGTGGCAGTGTTGATACCTGAAGCCAGCACGTCTCAGAGGCTCACCAAGGCCCTCGATGTAGTACCTGGCTATCACTGCTGGTTATTTAGGGCCCAAGGGCTCTTCAGTTAGCAGGTGATAAATGTTGCCAGGACTGGGTCCTTTCCTTCAGGGCACGGGGTTCCCTTCTGGACCAGGGTGTGTCTAGAAACACTGTCTTGGGGCAAGGGCCTGGAATGGAGGCCTCATGAGTCTGACCAGTGCCATATCCTACTGTGGCTTAGCTGGTATCCAAGATGTAAGACAAAGTCTTCCTCATTCTTCCCTCTCCTCTCCTCAAGTGAAAGGAGAAGGTCTCTTTTGAAGCTGTGAGCTGTGCAGTCTGGGACTAGAGGAGGGGTGATGCCAGCACTTCTTTGGCTGCCCCAGCTGGTGTCTCAGTATGTCGCATGCCCCATGAGTCCACCATCTCTGAGCTTAGTTCGACACTAGGACTCACTGCTGCCTGGGGTGGGGCAGGGGTGGCGTCTTGGCAATTCAGTGGCGATTCAGGACTGTTTTTTGTATCTCTTCAGTGCCTCTTTCAGTGATATGAAGTTAAAACCAGGTACTTATGAGTGCTCACCTGAGTTTTGGTTCTTACGAAGGTATTTTTTTCTATATAGATAGTTCTTAACTTGGTGTCCTTGCAGGGCGGTGGCGGGGCAGCGGGGACGGGACGACAGGTGGAGCCTTCTATTCCGCCATCTTGCCCCACCTCCATATGTGATATTTTGATACATGAATATAATGTGTAATGATCAAATCAGAGTAATTAGCATATCAGTCTCCTCACACATGTATTTTTTTTTTGTGTTGGAAACGTTTCAAATCTTCTGGCTATTACAATAAATTATTGTAAACTATAGTTACCCTGTTGTGCTGTCAAACACCAGAACTTATTTCTTCCACCTAACTGTACTTTCGTACCCATTAACCAACCTCTTTACAACCTCCTAACCCCCTTCCCAGCCTCTGGTAATCATCATCCTACTTTCTACCTCCCTGAGATAAACTTTTCTTAGCTCCTACATTAGGTTGTTTATTTGAAATCTCCTTACTTTTATAAAGTAGGTGTTTATTTCTATAAACTTCCTTCTTAGATTGGCTGTAGCTGTAACTCATAAATTCGGATATGTTGCGTTTTTATTTTCTTCTGTTTCAAGAAACTTTTAAATTTTCTTCTTAATTTCTTTGTTGACCCATTGTTTACTCAGGAGCATGTTGTTAAGTTTTCATGTATTCAAGAGTTTCAAGAGTTCCTCTTGTTAGTGATTTTTAGTTTTATTCCATTGTGCTCAGAAAAGATACTTGATATGATTTTAATTATTTTAAATACATTAAGACTTGTTTTGTGGCCTAAGATATGGTCTATCCTGGAGAATGTTTCATGTGCTGATGAAAAGAATGTGCATTCTGCAGCTGTTGGATGAAGTGTTCTGTAAATGCCTGTTGGGTCCATTTGAAATACAACTGAAATACAATGTTGCCTTGTTGATTTTCTTTCTAGATGATCAGTGCGATTCTGAGAGTGAGGTGCTGAAGTTCCTAACTATTATTGTATTGGAGTCTATATCTCCCTTTAGATCTAACAATAATTGCTTTATGTATCTGGGTGTTCCTGTGTTGGGTGCATATTTATTTACAGTTGTATATCCTTTTGCTGAAGGATCCTTTTGAACCTTTTATCATTACATAGTAACTTTTGTCTCTTTTAACAGTTTTTGACTTAAAGTCTATTTCATGTGATGTTAAGTACAGTTACTCCTGCTTATTTTTTGTTTCTGTCTGTGCAGAATCTTTTCCATCCGTTCACTTTTGGTCTATGTATGTCTTTATAAGTGAAGTGAGTTTCTTGTGGGCAGTACATAGGTGGGTCATGTTTTTTTTTCTCTTAATCCTTTCAGCCAGTCTGTATCTTTTAAGTGGGGAATTTAAGCTGTTTATGTTCAAGGTATTATTGATAGGTAATGAGTTACTCCTCTTAATTTTTTAATTGTTTTCTGGTTATTTTATGTATCCTTTGTTGCTTTCTTCCTCTCTTACTATTTATCATCGTGATGTGATGGTTTTCAGTAGTGATAAGTTTTCATTCTTTTCTCTTTCGCCTTTGTGTATATGCTTTACCAGCGAGTTTAATACTTTTGTGTGTTTTCATGATGGTGATTATTGTCTTTTCACTTCCAGATGTAGAACTCCTTTGAGCATTTCCTGTAAGGCCAGTCTAGTGGTGACACATTCCTTCAGCTTTTGCTTGTTTGGAAGAAAGTAATAATATTTTAGACATGTTGGGTTAAATAAAATATAATATTAAAATTAACTTCATCTGTTTTTTTTTAATTATTTTTGATGTGGTTACTAGAACATTCAAAAT
The DNA here is from genome assembly GCF_000001405.40 of Homo sapiens. NCBI lineage: Eukaryota > Metazoa > Chordata > Mammalia > Primates > Hominidae > Homo > Homo sapiens. Next base: position 173,458,344 of record NC_000004.12, on the reverse strand, counting down.
TACATATGTAACTTGCATTATATTTCTGTAGAGCAAGTGCAGGACCAAACAATTAGTCACTATTAATCTGATTTTTTCTTTCACTGACTGGGCTAATTTTTATGCTCTTAAATTCCCCTCAGACCTTATCAGGATGGCTAGACTCACCCTGTTTTACCTCAGGCCCCTATGGCCCTATGCGTGAGCACTCAACTTCTGAGTTTGGATCATTTCAGCCAGTCCTGGGTACCCTGAGGGCAGTTAGGGATCTAGAGTTTCCCATCCTCCTTTCAGGGGAACTCAGAGGGCATTCCATTCATAGCCCACCAAAGCCCTGTCTCTGAGAGTGCTCTCATGCCTGCCAGGTGCCTGTAGAATCCAGAGAGACCCACAGTTCTTCCTGTAGTTGAAGACAGACAGAACTTTTATCAATAGAAAGCTCTCAGGGAACAAGAAAACAGTATGACTCCTTCAGGGAGCTAATGGAGAGGATGCTGGGGTGGGGTGCAGGGACTGGGGAAAAGGGACAGCAGGACACCACTACAGGATGAGCAGCACCTATGAATCAAGCTCTCCAGGTAGTATAGGTATAAGTGTCACACACTCCTTAGCTAGCAATAAGATTAGGGCTACCTTCTTTAAGCATGCAGAAATGCCTAAAGTATTAAAAATGTCAAGGTCCCATAGATAAAACCTAAGTTAAAAGTAGCGTAACAAAAGAATTTCTAGTCACCAGTTTCAAGGCAATCTCACAGTCACCAAGTGCCAGCCTTGCTAGCCCACATCTGCGGGGACAGACACCTCTCGGGAAAGAGAGTGGGAGATTGTCTGCACAACAGCCAGGCTGCAGGGATCAATTATGTTTTTAATTGATAAAGATGGTTACTCAATTCTTTGATGTTATATGGAAAACAGAGACAAAAAAAGCTTTTCTTTTTAGAACAACAAAGAAACACCAGGAATTGGCTCTATTCCAGAATCTTCTGAAATGTGAGAATATCCTCTTTTTCCTTACTTCTGAGTGTCATCAACATTAGCAACACCCTAACAGAACACCATTTATTGTGTGCCTTTCTGTCTTCAGAATTTGTTGAGTTTTCCCACAAGATTCCTAAATACTTCATTCCTCAGTGGTTGTGCAGGGCATGACCGTGCTTTGTGGAAAAGTCCCCTCTGCCCTGGTACACTTTCCTCTGCAGATGTTTTGTTAAGCGCCATGGGTCATGAAGGAGCTCAGGCCACCCTGGCCTTCAGCATATTTTGATGCTAGTTTGGGTGGCAAGGAAACAAATACATTTGCTCCTAATTCTCTTTTATCTCTTTCTGGCCTCTGATGTAGAGAAAGAGTAAAGAATCTCTCTGAGCCCTTTCACAGCTCCTCTGAGATGCAAAGTCAACTGTTGACCATAAAGCAAGCAAGTACAGTAAACCAGTCTCTAGGCTGAGAATCCCTAAGAGTCAGGGACCCTGATACCTGCTCCTCTCATCTCCTCTACCCTGATGAAGCAGAAAGAAGGGAAGTTATCTTCTAGGACACCAAGCAAAAACCTTTCAATCCTATCTCTTTGGAGCAGAGCAACTTTTCCTACTCTTTCTACTTTTTTTTTGTCAATCCTTAGAGCTGTTTTCTCTAATTTCTACCTAATTTTTGTACATATTCTCAGTAGTTCAATATACATAGATTTGCCTTACCAGTGCTGGATATACAGCATTTCTACCTGTGACCTCTGTGATTTTCAACAGGAGATGTTTTCAAATAAGTGTGCATTACATAACAAAAAGTTTGAGGTTTAAAAAATGATAAAGGAACCCAAAATGTTAATTATAGCAGCATTTGTATGTGTATGCACGTGTGTGTTATAGGTGATGACAGACAACCAAATGAAATGCTAAAAATGGAAAAGACAACTTCCTAGGAGAAAGCTTGGGGTGTCGTATGATTTTCTAATACCAAATCAGAACTTCAGATTCATTGACACAAAATCAGCTCACATAATTATCTACAACTGAATGTTAAGATATACTTTGGCATGTTTCCTGTTCACTAAAAAGAAACTTATTACCATACAGATTTTAATTCAGTATATATTTTCAATCAAAGTTGTAGGGGTTTCACAAGGACACTCTACTTAAGATTCGAATTCTGTGTACATAGAATCACAGAGTCCTAGGGTTGAAAATTAAAGTCACTTAATTCCATGATCAGCTGCTCGAGTCCTATTGCAATATTCTTTCAATGTGGTTGTGATGTCAAGGCTTGAATGTCTCAAATGACAGAGAAGTCAATATCTCCTAAGCCACCTGTTCCATTCTTGAAAAGTGCTATTAGACCGGGTTCCCCTTGACCCCCTCTCTGTTATAAATCTGTTTTTCGTGGTTTCCATCCTTTATTGTTGATTTCTGCCTACCATGCTCCTGGGGAAATCTTCCTCTTGACAACCCTCAAAATATTTGAGGGCAACTAGCATGGCCTCCCAGGTCTTTCCACATGCATCCTATTCCTTCGACTGCTCCCAAGGTGACGTGGCTTGGGTCACCTTACTAACCTATTCTGAATGCATCTCTCCTCTGTACACTTGAAAAATATATATTCCTTTTTAAGCTTGGTATCCACAATGAAAGACAATGCTTTGGGCGCGGTCATTTTCCATTAGTACACTGGCACTTTGACTGCTTTTTTCACATGTGACAGATGATTCCTTTTCTTGACATGAGCCTGCGATATTCACTCCACTTCTCCCTGAAGGCTTACACTGGCTGCTATGCAAACTTCCAGGCTCACTTTCAGGGAAGTGTCTAATGATGGGTCTGAGTAAGGCCATGGGGGAAATTGCTCCTTCACCAAGTGCTGTGGTTCCCAACTTGTGGCTGACACACCATAGGCAGCCAAAGGCCAGGGGACTTCCCATTAAAAAGACTACCAACTGCGATGCCCCTTCACTGCTGGAACCTTGGGGTTCTTGACATCAAAAAACACCACCAGCGTTCTCATTAAGTGTTGTTTAGTCCCCGCTGGAAAGCACACTACAGGTATATGTTCTGTGACAAGTGTAATGTGTTTATGAGTATGTGCATAATGAATTATTGGAAATAGCTGTGTTTTAATACCCCCTTAATATATAAAGTTTGACTCCTGCCAGTCTTGGGTCTGTTAAAAATATTTAGGGGTTTGCTTACATGGTGGTCTGCCAAAGCCTTCGATTGTGATCTAGTGGCCTCACCGTAGAATCGCTGAGGACCCAGGATTGTGGGAGGCCCCCAGAGGGTGATGCAAGCCTGGGGAACATTTAAGGTGTCACTTCATTCATTTTTGGAGAGGCAGGTGTGAGACTTGCCCGCATTTCTTACAACCAAGGAGCCAAGATTATTACATAAGAATCATAAGAAACCACTATAGAACACAGAATTCCAATCTCCAGTTAAGGTTAAGGAAATAGCTATTTAGCACTTACTTTATCAAGGGCTCCTCTGTTTAAGCCATTTGGTTGTTAGTACCCTACGTCTTCTTGAGGATGTGTCCTTTAAACTAACTTTCTCACATTGAACCTGGTACTGTAACTGGTCTTCTATGTGCAATAGGTGTCACGTCTATCAGTCTGCCCCACACCAAATCTCTCCCTTATCCTGCCAGAAGGGTATGCCCATGAGCTTCTCTAGACCTGACCCCTAACACCTTCAGGGAAGTGCCTGATCCCAAAATGTATGGCAGAAACCAGCTCTAAACACATGTGGATGACACCCTCTTGGATGAGAAAGGTTATGAAGTGCCACATAAGGTAATAGACTTATTAATGATACTATAAATCAATCCTCAAACATACAAAATTATCTACCAAGTTTGCCTTGGTACTCTTTAGTGAAGAAAATAAAATTGAGTAAATACAGGTATATATCCCATGTGGAAAAAATTCAGGTATTCCACACTTCATGCTCAGACCCCTGCAATACCTTCCCTTCGTCTCCTTGCCTTGCCCCTAACCTCCCCGACTCTGGCCCATCCTCCTCTGTGTTGCTGGTTAGCACTGTTACTATTCCTCCTCATTACAGTGGGAAAGTTTCTCCAGGCCTTCCAGAAACCAATCCTAACCTCCCTCAGCTTTCCTACGTGAACTTTCCCTTCCACCAAACTTGTCTTTTGTAGGTTTTCAACTGCATTGCCTGTCTTCACACCTACTTGAATAAGTAAAAGCGATCTCCACCTTCCCTGGCCCAGTTTCTCCCTTCCCTGGCCCAGCTGCCTTCCTAGATCGCACAGCCTCCAGTGGTCAGTTCTTTTTTTTTTTTTTTTTAGACGGAGTCTCGTTCTGTCACGCAGGCCAGAGTGCAGTGGCACGATCTCGGCTCAGTGCAACCTCCACCTCCCGGGTTCAAGCGATTCTCCTGCCTCAGCCTCCCGAGTAGCTGGGACTACAAGCACATGCCACCATGCCTGGCTAATTTTTTGTATTTTTAGTACAGATGGGGTTTCATCATGTTGGCCAGGCTGGTCTCGAACTCCTGACATCCAGTGATCCACCCGCCTCAGCTTCCCAAAGTGCTGGGTTTACAGGCATGAGCCACCACACCCAGCTGCTCACTTCTTACTCAGAAGGTGAATGTTTGTCATATTTAGTGTTTCTGGTACTTGTGTAGCACGTGGCATACATAGTTATGCACCGTATAATGATGTTTTAGTCAACGACAGACCGCATATATGACAGTGGTCTCATAAGATTATCACACCATATTTTTTAATGTACCTTTTCTATGTATAGATATGTTCAGATAGACAAATATTTACCATTGTGTTGCAGTTGCCTGGAGTATTCAGCACAGTGACATGTTGTACAGGTTTGTAGCCTAGGAGCAATAGGCTATACCATATAGCCTAGGTGTGTAGTAGGCTCTACCGTCTAGGTTTGTGTAAGTACATTCTATGATGTTCGCACAATGACACAATCACCTAATGATGCATTTGTCACAACATCTCTGTTATTAAGTGATGCATGATTCTACTGCCTTATATCTGCTGGAGACAGTTGTCCGGAGGTTTCCATGTCTCTGCATCTCTTGCCAGCAGGGATACTGACTGCGTTTATTCTGAACTATGATTACAAGGATGTTTATACAGGGGATAGCCTTAAAATATGAAAACGAAGTCTGTCTCTGGAGAAAAGGGCAGGTATGCCTGCTGCCCATTAAGACATGGGTTCCTTAAGTGCCAGGTTTCTCTCCTATAATGCAACTTACGTCATGTGCTGGTGTCAAATGTCATCTGTGTCACCTGGTGGGAATTGGGGCCTGGGGAAGTCACAAGAAAAAGCTGGTACTGTGACTATTGCTATGGCTATAATAAAGGCATTTATGTGTGACCCAGGAGTCCTGTGTCTTCTGCCAGCATCCATGACACTCTAGGGTAAAAATCTCAGACCTTTCACAGTTCTTGACATTATCTTTCCATGGGAGCTTCAGCTCCTCTAAATGAGAAAGCCAGAGATTAGAGATAGAAATCTGTATTGTATTTCTTAACATCTCTGATATTTTTCCCTATATATTCTAAGTACACAAGAAGTTTTGTTAATGATACAAATGATATTGAAAATAAGACAAAATCATCATAGCAAAAAACTCTCTAGTTTGACTCAGTTTCAGTCCATACTCATCCTTTCTGCTCTGCATGGCCCCGGATTTTGAGCAGCAGGGTCTTTAAAAAAAATACATGTGTGCAAGAGGGAATAGGAAAGAATGAATATGAGGAGCACAGGGAACAAAATCCAGGAAATGGGTTTGAGAGCCAAACTGTGACAAGGATGCCTAATTGCCTCTAAATATTAATTCTGCATTTTTCCGTTTGTAAAAAGAATGCTGATTTTTTAAAATCTGAGAACATTGCGGCTAGCTAAAATAATACAGTTGGCCCTTGAACAACCCAAGTTTGAACTGCATGGGTCCACTTGTATGTGGATTTTCTTCTGCCTCTGCCACCCCTGAAACAGTAAGACCAACCCCTCCCATCCTCCTCTTGCTTTTGCTCTTCCTCAGCCCACTCAACATGAAAATAAAGAGGATGAAGACCTCTCTGATGATCCACCTCCATTCAATGAATAGTAAATATATTTTCCTTATGATTTTCTTTTTTTTTTTCTTCTTTGAGATGAAGTCTCACTCTGTCACTCAGGCTGGAGTGCAGTGGTGCAATCTCAGTTCACTGCAACCGCTGCCTCCTGGGTTCAATCAATTCTCCCGCCTCAGCCTCTTGAGTAGCTGAGTCTTGAGGCCCCATTGTGTCTCATGTCATGAAGATGGTGACAATCAACACTTAGAAATTCAATGGAAAAGGAAGGAAACTACATGGGATAACCTATTGGGCATACATTAATTTTAGAGGGATGGCATCCTTAAAATCAGTAAACTCTTGGATGCCTATCAACCCAAACTTATTAAGATCTTCTTGCAAGAGCTACCTCAGAGACTATTTCCTTCTGACCTCTTGTTCAACACACATAGTGGAGGTTAAGGGTATTACTTCGACTCAACAAACCAAACAAGCAAATTTTGCATGATTCCTTCAAAAAAAGCCAATGGACAGAGGTAGTATTTAAAAGCACAAGAGTCTCTTGAACATGGAAGGCAGAGATTACAGTGAGCTGAGATCGTGCCACTGCACTCCAGCCTGGGTGACAAAGCGAGACTCTGTCTCAAAATAAATAAATAAATAAATAAATAAATAAATAAATAAATAAATAAATAAAATAAGTAAGTAAAATAAAATAAAATAAAATAAAATGGTACCACTGTAGCAATACTACTCTTTACTATTTTAGTAGGCCATTAGAGATAGAGTTGAGGCCCATTCTTTAGTTAATGGTCTCTTGAACTTCATGAGGAGAACGTGCTATCTTCTTGGTATAGTCAGAACTTTTGAGAATAACCCTAAAGCTCTGTGACAGAATAGGAGGAATAAAATTCAGGCAGCTTTCTGAATGGAGCTAACTTGCGGAGCTGCTCACCTCAGCAGATAGGTCTCAGTTTCAATTTCAGCTTTGCTTCTTAGCTCTTAGGTGCTCCTGGTTCAATAACTAAACTTCAGTTTCCTTATCTATATTATGGGAATAACAAAGCATTCCTCATACTAGATGCTGGCTTACCCTTATTCCTTTTCCTCTTAGCTCTTCTCAAAAAAACAGGATAACTAGGAGATCAGAGGCTGTTGATATATACACTGGATCTTAAGGAATCTCTGCCTGACTTCTAGTGTCCTTGGAGGACCAAAGAGAGCTTAAAGCTGATTCAGAGACATTCCTTGGAGAAACGACTTCAAAAATTATGTCAGATAGGACTATACTGGATAACCTCAAACCAAAGAGAGGCAAAATTGTGATGTGGACAAAGTACGTCTTTAGCTCCTCCCCCTTCCTACTTTCAGGTCCCCCTTCTCTCTCCTGGTTGGGTGTTCTTTCTTGGACACCAAGTATCCCTTTGCTGCTCGTGGATGCCCTGGGTCAGGCCTTTCCCCTCTGGGGAGGCCCAGTGACCCAGACTGGGTCTCGCTTCTCATCCCTCTTATGTCTCAGCTAACCTCATCACAGCTTTGTTATGCGTGGAACTACTCTTAGTTGAGGGTCTTCTCAAAGAAGAGCTGATAAGGCAATTTACTCAAAGGTTAAATCGCTAATAAGGCTTTTTGGGTTTCCCTATCTGAGAGTCTGAGAGAATCTGCAGTTCCTCCTGCAGGAGGTTTTAAGACTAAGGGACCGTCAAGGAGCCCTTTTAATAGCCTTCATAATCCCCATCCTGAACCCACAGGTAAAAGCCAAAGAGGCAAAGTAACCAACTGCTAGCAGTGCTTGCTATCAGCATGAGATCCCAATGCTGCCCATGCTCTCAACTAATCACTGCCCAATATGAGTCATCTGAGCCACTAGCACAGAAAGGCTCTCTAAGATATTTGCAGTGGCTCAGGAACGCCCAGGATCAGGCTCCAGAGATGAGCTTTTGGGGACTTTCAGCTTTAAAAAAAATATCTGGAGTACAGGCTTGATATGATTTGGCTCTGTGTCCCCACCCAAATCTCATCTGGAATTGTAATGTCAAAGGAAAGACCTGGTGGGAGATGATTGGATCATGGGGGCGGTTTCCCTCATGGTTTACTCATGATAGTGAGCAAGTTCTCATGAGATCTGATGGTTTTATAAGTGGCAATTTCCCCTGTGCTTGCTTTCTTCCCTGCCACCTGGTGAAGAGTTGCCTGCTTCCCCTTCACTTTTCACCATGACTGTAAGTTTCCTGAGGCCTCCCCAGCTATGCAGAACTGTGAGTCAATTAAACCTCTTTCCTTTATAAATCACCCAGTTTTAGGTATGTCTTTATACCAGTGTGAAAACAGTCTAATACCAGCCTGATATGGAAACAATTTTTTAATCAGTTTAAACAGTTGTTTTTCCTCAACAAACTGTATAATGTCAGACTATTCCACCTACAGGAGAGGCATATCTCAGCTCCTCTGCTTTTCCTATTCCTATTCCTGGGTCAGGCAAAACTGAGAAGGGGCGTGCAGGAGGAATTATCTCAGCACCTAAGATGTTTCCAGTTGAGAACACTCAAAAATGTCAAATGGCAGAATAAAATCACCAGTGAATGAAGCTATTGAGAAATACTGCCCACCTCAACATAATTCTCACAGAAGTCACAGCATGGGAAGGAACTGTGGCATGTGCCTGGCTTGCTTTGGCATGGGGGATAGTAAGCAGATCAGGTAGGAGGTGTAATCTTCATAATAGTTCAGGAGAGAGACATTCTAGCTATTCAAGCCACGTTTTTGGAATGCAAGAGCCAAGAGGCCAGTGCCAGAGCAGCAGGTTCTGCTGCAGACAGACACGATGACTTTGTGACAAGGCCAGCTATGCCCTGGGAGACCAGGAGATACAAACCAAAAAAAAAAAAAAAAAAAAGATTTATCATGTATGCTCTGCAGAAAGCCCTTATCATCTGTCACATTCGGGTATTTTCAGCCACACTTACATACAGGGATAGCCAGAGTGTCAACAGTATCATCCTTGACTACAAAGGATGACAGTGACAAATCTCAGGGTCCTTTGAATTTGAAGATAACATTGTTCACTACTGTGAATGCCAGACTTTTATTGTCAACAGAGCTTCTCAAGTTATTTATGCCTGCAACAACTTGTATTAGATCACCCACCTCTTTCAGCTGCTTCCCTGAGATGTGTTATAGTGAAAGTGAGAGTGTTGTCAGCAGTAACACGTCCTACATTGCCTAAACGACCACTGAAATTGGAGTTCCCAAATGTACACTGGAGACCTCTCACTCTGTTAGCCTCTCCACTTCAGCCTGTCTCTGTGATTCCCTTGGGAACTTAGCAACATCGCAAAATGCTATCTCATTCTTTATTCTGGAAACTGAAAATCTTCCAAAAGAATACTTTCTGAGACTCTTTAAATGCATGGTCCTAAACCATTCCTGTAGAGATTTTGGAAGAACCTGTACAAGGAGGCTATTGTATGCATGTACAAATAAATGACACAACTCAATGGTTTAATACTATCTGCCAAGTTAAACTACTGCAGAGCAGCTGTGCATATTTAAAAAGATGCCTGGCACAACTAGCGATCCATAAATCATCAGCTGCATACTTTCATCCAATTAAGAGAGTTAAGTAAGAAAAAATCCACAAATTAAGATGTGTGTAAGGACATGGATGACATCATCATTCCTCTCTGAATGCAAAAATAAATAAAAATAAAAATAAATCCTCATTTTGCTGATGTTAAGGCTAGAGTTACTTTTCTAGGGACACAACTTTTCCGGTATTTCAAATCCCAGTGTAAAACCTTGTTCACAGAAGGGTCATTTCAGGCTTGTCGGTTCTCTTTCTGTAAGTACTAGAGCAAAACAGAAGTAATGACTTAAACTGAAAAGCAATCCTTCTTCAACAAGAGCGGATGGGTAAGCCAGGATCCTAAGGCTTTCGTGGGGCAATGATAGCCATGTCATAGGGTTGGAGCACTGTCTCTCTGCAGTGAATCCCTTTGTTCTGGTTTGTTTGTCTGTAGCACAAAGATGCTCAAGAGCATGGCAGATGGCCAGGCCAGCAGATGCCTCATTCCAACTCCAGTTGGCCTTGAGTTTATAGACTTGGCTACAGAAGCCAGAGCAAAATAAAATGAAAAGAAGTTGCATTATTATAAGTTGGGTCACTGTAGGATAAGGTGACCCCCCATCCTGATGGGTTTTTTTGGTTTGTTTGGTTGGTTGGTTTTTGAGACAGAGTTTCCCTCTTGTTGCCCAGGCTGGAGTGCAGTGGCACGATCTTGGCTCACAGGAACCTCTGCCTCCCTGGTTCAAGTGATTCTCCTGCCTCAGTCTCCCAAGTAGATGGGATTACAGATGCATGCCACCATGCCCAGCTAATTTTGTATTTTTAGTAGAGACAGAGTTTTACCATATTGTCCAGGCTGGTCTCTAACTCCTGACCTCAGGTGATTCGCCTGCCTCGGCCTCCCAAAGTGCTAGGATTACAGAGATTAACACAAATAACTACAAAAGTTCTTATCCTCCTGACAACTGTCATGCTTTGGTACACAGCAGAAGTACTTTATATGTGCTTCTCATTTTGTGTCACAGAATATTAAAAACATGTACACTGTGCTTACTTCAGCAGCACTTATACTAAAATTGGAAACTAAAAGTGAGCCACCATGCCCGGCCAGATCCTGATTGTCTTGTTCAGATAATTGAAGCTATTCTTCTTTGATATGCACAACAATTTGAAATGTGGTAGTTTGTTAAGCCTTATTTACAATGTGATATCTGAAAACTAATCAGTGAATTTTGCGTTCCTGTTTCATTAAAATCCATGGATCCATCTTGCACAAATGTTGACATATTACAATCACAATCATTAATAACAATACCACTGATCTCATCCAAAATGTCTCTAAGTATTGGGAAGCTGCGATGGACTGAATGTTTGTGTCTTCCTGAAATTTACATGTTCAAATCCTAATCCCAGTGTGATGGTATTTGGAGGTGGGGTCTTTGGGAGATAGTTAGGATATGAGGTGGAACGCTCATAAATGGGATTAGTGGCATTATGGGAAGAGACCAGAAAGCTAGCTAGCCCTCTTTTCACCATGTGAGGACACAGCAAGAAGATGGCTGTCTATAAATCAGGAAAAGAACTCTCATCAAAAACCCTGCCATGCTAACACCCTGATCGTGGACTTCCAGCCTCCAGCACTGTGAGAAATAAATGTTTGTTGTTAAGCCACCTGACCTATGGCAATTTGTTATGGCAGCCTGAACTGCCTAAGACAGAAGCTATGAAGCTCACAGTGGCAGATAAAAATTTTCTAAAATTCATATTTTCACTTGTAAACTCAAGATTTTATCACTGGCAACATTCCTTGAAGTGACTGTCTCACATGGTTCATTTTAGAGAAAATATCTGCCAAAATTCAATCCAAATTAACCATAGTCCGTCAGTCATTCTTTCAAGTAAAGATGGCAGTCTATGAAAAAAATGAGGCTTGTTAAGCTCATAACACAAATAATTACAAAAGTTCTTATCCATCTAACAACTGTCTTGCTTTGGTGCATAGCAGAAGTACTTTATATGTGCTTCTCATTTTGTGTCACAGAATATTAAAAACATGTACACTGTGCTTGCTTCAGCAGCACTTATACTAAAATTGGAATGACGCAGACAAGCAGGCCCCCTGCACAAAGATGATATGCAAATTTGTGCAGAGTTCTATATTTTGCTTTCCTTTTCTAATGTTTATGGGTATGGAAACTGAGTGAGGTAACTTGACTAACTGAGAAACCTTCTGGCTTCAAATCCTACCCCCAACTCCTCCTCCAAAACCAAAACATATATATATTTAAAGTTGAGATTTAATAATAGTAATAATTTTATTGATTCTTTCAAGACCATTCTTCATTAAAATTGGCTTTTCCCCCCGTGAGTGCATGACATCAAAGAATACAATGACTATTAGTAGAGTTAGGTGTCATTGCCTTGTTTCATGCTAAAGTGCCAGCAGTTTTAACCAGCATTGCTTTTGCACCATCAAAATGCAAACATCAACCAAATGAAAAAGGCAAATATATATTATTACAAAAATGGTTTTGACCTTATAGACCCTCTGAAACTTAATGCTTATGTTGGAAGCAGGGTCATCATAAAGAAAATAAATGAATATTAGCATCCTCAGGGGCACAAAAGGGAAACCATTATCTTATAATTCTGTATCATTTGATCCTTTATGATTTTTGTAGTTTTAAAAAAATGAACAAATAAATATACCTGGAAGTGTCTTCATTAAAAAGTGGGAGGGGGACTGAATGATGTCTCAAGAACTTATCGTGTGAACCCAAATCTCCTTAAAAGTCTCCTTAAAGGCCAGGTGCAGTGGCTCATGCCTGTAATCCCAGCGCTTTGAGAGGCCGAAGTGGGTGGATCACAAGGTCAGGAGTTCGAGACCAGCCTGGCCAACATGGTGAAACCTCGTCTCTACTAAAAATACAAAAATTAACCAGGCATGGTGGCGTGCACCTGTAGTCCCAGCTACTCAGGAGGCTGAGACAGGAGAATCGCTTGAACCCAGGAAGTGGAGGTTGCAGTGAGCCGAGATCCCGCCACTGCACTCCGGCCTAGAAGACAGAGCAAGACTCCATCTCAAAAAAAAAAAAAATATCCTTAAAGAGTCTTGTGAAAATGTCCCCTAAAATCCTAATGGATTCAGTGACTTGCATGAGTATTTTCTTTTCTTTTTTTTTTCCGAGACGGAGTCTTACTCTGTCACCCAGGCTGGAGTGCAGTGGCACGATATCGGCTCACCACAACCTCCACCTCCCGGGTTCAAGCGATTCTCCTGCCTCAGCCTCCCAAGTAGCTGGGATTACAGGCGCCTGCCACCACACCCAGCTAATTTTTGTATATTTAGTAGAGGCGGGGGTTTCACCATTTGGGCCAGGCTGGTCTTGAACTCCTGACCTTGTGATCCACCTGCCTCAGCCTCACAAAATGCTGGGATTACAGGCATGAGCCATCGCGCCCGGCCTTGCATGAGTATTTTCTATATTTTCTGTGGTAAAACAATGTAGAAATTATGAAGATGTAAGATAAGAACTTCATATAATATACATATACATATTAATTTCAGTTTGGAGTAGCTAATTATATTGCTCTAATTCATCAATTTCTATGTACTATAAAAACTTTATATAAATGTAGCTGATTTGACATGGCTTTTTTTATCATTTCTGTTAAAAGTTGGGCACTGTATTCTTTATCAGAAATGTAATTCAAAGCATATTACTTTGCCCCATAGAGAAGCCAAACTCAACTTATATCATTTTGGTATCATTTTAACATCTTCTTTCAGGAATACAATAGTATCAATTATTACGCTTTCTTGGAAGGAAAAAAAAGACTAAATGATTTACACAGAAGGACATTTATTAATTTCCATAGCTTGGAGACCAGGACAGAGTGGGCTCCAGGTCATGTAGGTCAGGGTCTCTCTCTTCTCGGAGATTCTCTCAGCCTGTTGTCTGCCTCAGGTAGGTGGCAAAATGCCTGCTCCCACCACAACAAGATCCAGAGAAAAACAAGGGAGAGGCTCTAACTGCATCTCTTTAGAATTAAGGAAACCTTTCCTAGAGGTCCCCACTAGATTTCCTTCATGTTTCCTTGACCAAGATTGGGTCACATGCACGTGCCATTTTGACCAAGTCACTGTTGAGGGAAATAGTATGACCAGCAGAAATCAGAAACCAGAAATCAGAAAACTACAACCAAAGGCCAAAGCCGGCCCACAGCCTATTGTTGTAAATAAAGTTTTATTGTAACACAGCCATACCCATTCATTTATATATTGTCTGTGGCTGCTTTCTCATGCAACTGCACAGTACAATGGTTGTAACAGAGATCATGTGCCTGCAAAGCCTAAATATGCACTATGTCCTTTATGGAAAATGTTTGCTGACCATTGGTGTACAGAATTACATTCAGGGAAGAATAGATGATGACAAGTCAACCACAATGACTACTACAAGATAGAGTGGTTCTAAAAAAAGCAAGCTCTTGGCCAGGCGCAGAGGCTCATGCCTGTAATCCCAGCACTTTGGGAGGCCGAGGCGGGTGAATCACCCGAGGTCAGGAGTTTCAGACCAGCCTGGCCAACATGGTGAAATCTCATCTCTACTAAAAATACAAAAATTAGCCAGGCGTGGTGGCGGGCACCTGTAATCCCAGCTACTTCAGAGGCTGAGACAGTAGAATCTCTTGAAACTGGAAGGCAGAGTTCGCAGTGAGCCGAGATCACACCATTGCACTCCAGCCTGGGTGACGAGAGTAAAACTCCATCTCAAACACACACACACACACACACACACACACACACACACACACACACAAAACAAGCTCTTTGCCCTTGAAATGTTAAGATAAAGCTAACAGTATATATGACACGGTCCTGAACATATAAACTATGTGGCAAAGATTGCAAGTGCCATAAAAATGCAGAAGAATCCAAGTATAGTGACGCAAGCCTATAGTCCCAGGTATTCAGAAGGCTGAGGTGGAGGACTGTTTGAGCTCAGGAGTTCAAGAGCAACCGAGAAACATAACAAGACCCCTTCTCTTAAAAAGAAAAGAATTCAGAACAGAAAGTGATCAATAAAGGCAAGGCAAAAATATTTTCAGTTCAAGACCAGCCTGGACAACATAGCAAGACCCCTTCTCTTAAAGAAAAAAATTCCAAAGAAAAGTGATCAATAAAGGCAAAGCGATAATATTTTCAAAGTATACAAATTCTCCCCCAAAATGTTTCATGAGACACCTATACAGAATGCTGGTCTGTTTTGACTTAGCTTCCTTGTGTTTTAGTGTTTTCTATTGACAGGCAGGTGAGCAACATGCCAAGGGGTTGTTTGGCATCTTTCTGTTCATGGACACTATTACAGTATTACAGGCCCTGTTTTCCCCCAGGCTTTCTTATGTCTTCTTTAACCTTAATCATTGCATAATACAAGGGCTCATTCTAGATAAAAATGTACAAATTTTATCTTTGTTGTCCAGCTTTGTTGATACAAGTCTCTCATCATTTCCTTTCTATTCTGTGATATTTTTCTCTCCTTTCCACCTATTAGAATGTCTTACATGGATCTCATAAGATCTGAAAAGCATTCATGGTAGAAGGTAAAACTAGAAGCCTCACTCCAGTCAGGAGGATATGCATTAAAGAGAATAGAAAATCCTCGAGTTAACTAGAAAGGAATCTGTGTCTACTTGTTATCCTCAAAACTACCACTTTTAGGTACTTTCCTAACCTCATACTTCAAATGTGCACTATTATGCCCCCAAGCATTGCACTGAAAGATAAGTACTGAATGGGGCTATGCTTTGAATGTCCCCTCTAAAACTCATGTTGAAATTTAATTGCCTGTGTAATGGATTGGGAGATGGGGCCCTTAAGAGGTGATTAGGTTGTGAGGACCCTGACCTCATGAGTAGATTAATGCCAGTGTGTTAATTACCTCAGGGGTGGGCTCCTGATCAAAGGATAAAGTTCAGACCCCATTTCTCTTTGTCCCACGTCCTCACTTGCCCTTCCACGATGATATGACACAGCAAGAAGGCCCTCACCAGATGCGGCCCTTTGATATTGGATTTTCCAGCCTCTAGAACTGCGAGCCAAGTAAACTTCTGTTCTTTACAAATTACTCAGTCTGTGGTGTTCTATTATAGCATCAGAAAACAGACTAAGACAAATGGATAGAAAAACATGGAGACATGCTCTTCAAATTCCTATCCCATCTGCTCTACAGGACTCCTCAGAACACTAAGTTTGAACGTTAGGTGATGACTCCAGATATCTCGTGAGTTCCATGAGATGAGAACTAGACAGGGAGCAGCTGAAGTCGTTTGAAGAAAAGAGAAAGGTCCTGCATCATCTGTTCCGTCACATGATCCCGAATGTATTTGCCCCAGCAGTGACTCTCACTCAAGCCATTAGCAGGAAGCTCTAAGAGGCACATCAGAGACATGGTTGCTCCTAGGAAGTTGCACGTCTTCACTCTAAACCTAAAATATAGATGAGGATCTTCTTTCTAGCAGAAATAAGGCAAGGCAGCAGAGATCCCAACAAGATTAAATATTAAATTTCAAAGCTGAGAATGAATCAAAGGCCTGAAAAATAAGTACATTTTAGAGATCTAGGCAGGCAAGTTCCCAGAGTGCAGCTGTCAGGGAATTTAAGATCCGAAATATTTCTTCCTGCCCGATAATGTTTAAACCTTTTTATTCAATTCAGTAACTATTTCTTGAGTAATTATTGTGAGCCAAAAGTTGAACTTTGTGTGGGATAGAGCCATAAACAAGGTCAACATCGTCTCCTTTGCTATGGATTTTACGGTCTATCATGTATATTACTTGTTTTGCTTTCCCTTATTAGACCGCAGACTTTATTTTTTAAATTGAGAGACAGGGTCTTGCTGTATTGCTCAGGCTGGAGTGCAGTGGCATGATCATAGCTCACTGCAGCCTTGAACTCCTGGTTGGGCTCAAGTGATCCTCCTGCTTCAGCCTTCCAAAGCATTGGGATCACAGGTGTGAGCCACTGCACCCAGCCTAGACTACAGACTTTTTGAGGACAAGACTTATATTGTATTCATCTTCTTAATTGCCTCACATCTAGCACAGTGGTTTACACATAGTTAATACTCAACAAAGTTTATGGAATTAATGAATGACTTGACTGAATAAATGAAGTTAGTTCTGATCCTAATACAGTGATCCTTTATACTTTTTATGAGCAAAAGTAGTCCCAGACCCAAAATTAGAGAAAAATAAGAGGTCTACAGGTGTTCCATGTTCACAGTTAGAATCAGGACAGAGGGGGTGGGATTACAGAGAGACTTTGGCACCAGGAAGTGTTAATGCGATATATATTTAGCACATGGATTCTAAATATTTCACAGCTGAGACTACAGTAGGATCGCCTGGATTAGAGCCGTGACGGAGACTTTGCCACAGGAAAAAGACAAAGTAAATGTTTGAGACTGAACCTACTGTTAACTAAAATAAGTGACACAATAAAATTTTGTGTGTAGAAGGTGTTTTTAGCCTCCTTTACATGTATCACACATGTTTGGGTGATGAACCATCTTATTTCTCTTTTAACTTTCATTTACCCTTCAGGATACAGCTCAGCTTCTTTTCTAGGAAACATCCTTTGATCATCTTTCTGACTTGCCCTCATCTGAACTCAATGCCCTATACTGCTTTGAATAGTCCCCCCACCCACCCCCAAATTAATGTCTACCGGGAAACTGTGGAGGTGACCTTATTTGGAAATGAGTACTTTCAGACCGAATCAAGTTAAGATTAGATCATACTGGATTAGGGTGGGTACCAAATTCAGTACGACTGGTGTCCTTCTAAGGAAGGGGAAATTTGGACACACACAGAAGAGAAAGCCATATGAAGATGAAGGTAGAGATTGGAGTGATGCATCTACAGGCCAAAGAATGCCAGAGATTCTCAGCAGCTACCAGAGGCTAGAAGATGGAGGAAGGATGCTTCCTTAGAGATTTCAGGGGAAAGGTGGCCCTGTTGACACCTTGATTTTGAACTTCCAGTCTCCAGAACTATGAGAGCATACATTTCTGCTACTTGGTTTGTAGTGATGTGATACAGCAGCCCTAGGAAATGAGTAGAGAGCCCTCTCCTCTTACATCCACCTATGCCCAACACTGCCACACCATATTGGATATGTCTTTTCGTGTATATGTCTCCGTTCCCAGATTATGACTTCTTGGAGAGAAAAGCATAGCTTACTAATTTCTGTGTCCTCAGCACCTAACACACTATCTGTCAAAATAAATGTTATTAAAGTAAACCAATCAAGCCAGGACTGGCAATTCCAAATGTCCAACAAAATTCAAATTTGCCATGCCTGCCAAAATTTCAAATTCCCACTAACCCATGTCAAAGCCGTGCCCATTCCCCTAGAATTAGCCTACATATTCCATGGTGAGGAGTAGGAGAGAAGTAACAAAATATGGAAAAGCAAATTTATTACTACTTTGTAAAGCCTTTAGTAAATGAAAAACCTTTCAATCCACACAGATTCTGTAGAGAGCAAAAGTTAGAAATGAAATTCTTTACGGTAAACATACTGCTAACCACTCCCCTAAGCAGTTGTGTGTGAAAAACAAACAAAAAGAAACCTGTAGCGCTTCTCATTTGCCAGGCAGTGAAAATAGAGAGAAACTGAGTTTGCTTAAATACACCATAAAACTAATTTTGACAGAAATATCACCATATTTTTGCAGAAATACAGCTGACATGTCAGAAAGACTTCTCTGAAGCTTCACCTAGAGATGTTCACAAGTTGACTAGTTGGATTTAGAGCTGCAAAAGAAATACCCCTATTACAACCTAAGAGGAAAATAATTTCCATGAAGACAGTGTGACGTGTCCTTGTTCAAAACAAAGAAGGAAGAATCATTAAGCACATCATTCCCTCAAGTCCCTCAAGTATCTGGCAGGAACATCTAATTGGTTGAGTCAGGCCACATGCCCGTGCTTTTGCCAGAGAGAAGGGACAAGAATTATCTATCCACCTTTACCTATCGTGGTAAGAGGGGAGGACATGTCTCCATGTATTTGCCCCAAATAAGAAAACTTTTATATATCTAAATATAGTTTTCTGTATTTTTGCAATTACATATTTATAATAATTTTTGAAATTATATAATAATGTATATTTTTATATATTTGTATTGTATATGATACATATATGTGTATAATGCATGTATATTAAAAAATCTTTTTTTTTTTTAAACAGGGTCTCTCTCTGTTGCCCAGGCTGGAGTGCAGTGGTACAATCAAGGCTCACTGCAGCCTTGACCTCTCAGGCCCAAGTGATCTCCTCCCAAGTAGCTGGGACCACAGGTGTCCTCCACTGTAATTGACTAGTTTTTTAAAATTTGTAGAGACAGAGTCTGCCTATGATGGCCAGGCTCATCTCAAACCCCTGGACTCAACTGATCCTTCCACAGCGGCATCCCAAAGTGCTGGGATTATAGGCCCAAAAATCTTTAACACACAAAAAAGTTTATTCTTGGATCATTTAAATGGGTATTCCTGACTCGTTGGAAGTGTTCTTTCAAGCAGTAATGTTTTGGGACCCAGGTTCCTTCCATCTTGTGACTCTGCCATTTTCAACTGTTTCCAAGGGGCCTGAACTTATTTGCATTAAACTGGAAGAAGAGGAAAGAAAGCACGTGGATAATCACTCCTGGGAGGCTCATAAGAGGACAGCCCCAGAAGTGTATACATCACATCTGCACACATTCCATGCACCAGGACTCAGTCTCATGGCCACTTCTAATTGGAACCGTTCCTTGGAAACCATGTAGGTGTCCAGGAAGAAGAGGAACCCAGTTTGGTGAACAGCCAACACGGTCTCTGTTTTATTATCTACGATAATTATTGTCCACTACAACATCTCAATTTTTTATGAAGTCTTAAATAGAAAGAAGTGAAATATCATGATCAAGCTTTGCAAGAATTAGGTAAATCTATTAAGTCCCAAAAGCAATAGTTGAAAGAAAAAAAAAACTGAATTAAAAAAAAGATTTATTGAAAAATGTGAACTTTGATAAAAACAGGGCCTGCAAATATTTAGAATCCCATCAAACATTTCGATGGTATTTTTCTAACTTTCTTCTCAATGTTTGTTATTAAGAAACTCATGATTAATATATTAGTCATTGATTGATCAATATGTTGCTCAGAGTTCATTATTTTATCAAAAAATCTCATTTCCAATCAAAGTTTAAAATTTAAAATAATATAAATATAACAGATGACAGCAATTTTAATTGAGATTTAGTTGAAACTGCAGGCTCCCTTATAAAAAGCTTAGTTGGTCAGACAGAGTGGCTTACGCCTGTTATCCCAGCAATTTGGGAGGCTGAGGTGGGCAGATAGCTTGAGCCCGGGATTTCGAGACCAGCCTGAGCAACATGGAGAAAGCCCATCTCTACAAAAAAATACAAAAAAAAAAATTAGCTGGGCATGGTAGCAGAGGCCTGTAGTCCCAGTTACTCTGGAAGCTGAAGTAGGAGAATCACCTGAGCCCAGAAAGTCAATACTGCAGTGAGCCCAGATCATGCCACTGCACTCCAGCCTGTGCAACACGCGTGAGACCCTGTCTCCAAAATAAATAAATTAATTAATTAAAAAATAAAAAACTTAGTTGTCAACCTTAGGTTACCAATTTTTGCTATGAGAATGGCTGAAGCTACACAACCACAATTTTGATCAAACCAACTGACCTTTCTGATAGTGTCCATAGCAAAGCTACAAAGTCTTGGTGTTTCTTGGAATGATGTGGTATAGCAGGCCTTATGGATCAACTGAAGGAAAGCTAAGTTCAGTGTGATATTTGAAACCGTTCTCTCTTTGTGCATCTTGGCACTGCCTATGTTTTTTCATTTTATTGTTGCTGCTGTTTTTAAATCCGTGTTTCTATACTGTCTTTTCCTGCAATTAAGATTAAGGTAGCCAGGCGGGGACTATGTCTAAATTGTTTATCTTTAATATATAAAGGAAAGATTGTCATCAGCCTGCTTAAAAGATACCATATATGAACTCAAACAAGATCAGCCTTTGGTAATTCTAGCTTCTGATACAGCTTTTCTTTTTTTCTGTTTTCTTTTCAGCTAATGTATGACCCTAATAAATTACCACTCTAATTGGGTGTTTGCTCAGTCAATTGAAAAATAGAGTTATTTAGGAGGGCAAATGAGTTAATAAGACCTTTTGTTTTTCTTAAGGCATCTCTTAAAACCTAAACATTAATTACAAACCATTATTACAAACCTTCTTCCCTTATTTGATGACATCCTGTGGCTAAATGTTTGGGCCTTTCTTTGTGTGTAAGTTATTGCGTTAAGTACTGCCAGATCAAATAAGTGGTATGTGCTTTATTAAATATGCTATTCAGCAGGTGAGGTTTGAAAAATTAGAAAGGATGCCCACACTGTTTTGTTTTGACCTACTCTGTGCGTGTGTGTGTGTGTATGTGTCTATTTTGGTTTGTTTTGAGTGTCTTACATAGTAAATTGCCCTAAGATTGCTCAGTAACACAACTTCATGCTCTGGTAAGGTGGGGTAACATTTGCTTCTTCTCTAAAGTTAGTCAGCAGAGAGCGTATAATAGAACAAAGACGAGGAAAGCAGGAGTTGATGTTAACATAGAGACTGCCTTTTATGTCTTCCTGGATTCCGCAGAGAAGAATTGCAGCCTCATTACTGAGCAATGAATGTTTCTGGTTATTTTGGGTATGGAAGCAAATGAGAAGGGGAGAGGGGAAAGCCAGCAGCAGGCTTGGACGGCTAACTAATCTATTACAGTCTGGGGAGATGCTTAAATGAGTGAAGCAATTAAAATCAACACACCTGGGACACCAGGGGAAAAAACTGGAGAGGAGTAATTAGTGAAAATCCAAACACATAAACAGTTGTAGTGTCTACACGAAGCCTGCGAAGTTGGTGGTTCAGCCAGGCATGAAGGTGTCTTACTCCCTTACTGAAAAACAGGTAAACGTACCCTACAACACACACAAATGATTTGTGTACAGATGCTGACATGGCTTCCAATTTACCCATCCCACATACACAAATAGCTTATGCACTTTAATGGGCAGTATATATGTTTATACCAAAAAAAAAGAACCCATAGAGAACGATTGTTTTGCTTCAGTGTTTGGTGAATGTTGATGGAACTTAGTAAAATAGAACATTTATGACCATGAGAAATGGCTCTCTGGGGAGTCATTTCCCTGCCCCCGGCTGGAGGTAAAAGGCTACAGTGACAGCACTAGGTAAGAGAGGGACAGAACAACAGGTTCTGCGAGTTTGAGAAGCAGAGGCTGCTCTGACTGGGTGGGTGGTAAGAGCATCAGTCCTGAGCAGCACATAACTCAGAGAGAAGTGATGGATTCGTGTGGAATGTGGACATAACAAAGAGGGTAAAGCAAGAGCAAATTATGAAAGTGCACTTGAATCACCCAGTGTGCTGAGGACTTTTCCTGCCAACAAGATTCCACTACTGAAAAGCCACACGCCTGGTGGATTTCCTGATCAAATCCAGAACACTAAGTAACACGAACTAACCCAATGATATAACCCAAACCAGACTCCACCAGGCGATTGGCTGACTGAATCAATTAGAAAACGAGGAGTTTTTTTCATCCTTTTAATTGAAATAATTAATTTTGTTGTTTGAGTTAAAAAGAATTTTAATATAGTTAAATCATTGTGCCAGTGTATTCCAGCTGTTTCACTGCCAAAACTGGGGGCAGGGGCTGCTTCAGTTTCTCTGCCTTCTCTTTGTGATGACCAAGTTATAAAGGTATCTGTTGCACTGAACTTGTAAATTCACATTATTCTTATATTTCTTGATCCTGAGTTATTTGGCATCCTTTTGTCTGTGAGCAGAAAGTCCTTGATTTTCTTAATTTTGAGAGGCATGGCGACAAGACAGGTCTGCACCAGCAGTGCCAGGGAAACACCCTTTTCCCCTTTCACAAGAGTGTTTAAAAAACCTCAAGACTCTCCTTTGCTCTGTATTTCATTTCAAAGTCACAAAGCAAAAAAAATGGACTCTGACTAAGTTTAAATTCTACTCTTTCTTGCTGCCTACCTTGGCGATGTTCTTATATTTATTTCATTTTCCATTCACCTGACAAGCCCCTGGCAGTCTCTGTGGACAGTTTTGAAGTCACCTGCCTGGTCACTGTATCTCAGACTCACACACAGGTAACAGCCTGGGAAAATCACTGATGAGTGAAAGGCCCACTTTAGACACTCATATCCCAGCATCCTGAGAGCAGGGCACCCCTCGGAGCCCCGGTGACCAGACAGGGATGTCCGACGGGTAACCACAACAGAACTTGCCAGGACCTCCTTGGTTCTGAGGATTCATGACTGGCTTTGACACTGGGTGGAGGATGATCAAAAGCCCTTCAAAAATCAGTCTCCTAGGGAAGCTCCATTGTCTTTCATCTTTTCTAATCCAGTGTTTTCCCAACTGCCCCCTGCCAGGATAGGGACTGTCAACACTGTATTGCTCCTAGCTCCTCATACTTTAAGTGGTGGTGGAGGGGAAGTTGAATCTAAGTTCTTTAAACACACACACACACACACACACACACACACACACACATAGATATATATGCATTTATAATTAAAAGATTTTTATTCTATATAATAGTGAATCCTAAATCTGTTAATCATTGGATTTCTTTGATCGCATAAGGTGGTTTTTCAAAAAATATCAATTCCTAGGATCCCAATCCTAGCATCTCAACTAAGACCCCAGCCTGAACCCCTGGGCCTGGGATCAAACTCAGCAATGTGGAGTTTTAGTGCTCCCCAGATGATCCTAATGATCACTAATATTTACGAACCTGAGACTTAATTTAGTTATTTTTTATATTTATTTATTTATTTAGAGACGGAGTCTCACTCTGTTGCCCAGGCTAGAGTGCCGTGGCACGATCTTGGCTCACTGCAACCTCCGCCTCCCAGGTTCGAGCAATTCTCCTGCCTCAGCCCCCCAAGTAGCTGGAATTACAGGCGTCACCACGACACCCGGCTAATTGTTTGTATTTTTAGTAGATACAGGGTTTCATCATGTTGGCCAGGATGGTATCGAACTCCTGACCTCAGATAATCCACCCGCCTAGGCCTCCCAAAGTGCTAGGATTACAGGCGTGAGCCACCACGCCCGGCAATTTAGTTATTTATTAAACCAAATATTTTAAAATGTATCTTTGGAAATTCCATTTAGAACGTATTGCTTGCACTTCACTCCTGATTCCAATACTTTACCAAGTCACACGATCTCCTTCCCCTTTCTTCAAATATGTGGTTTACAGTTGTGGCAAATAGAGGCCTGAGAAAGGATTCCTTTAGTTCCCTTTTTACTAAACTTGTGCAATAACATAACACCTTAAATCAAAAAGAAATTAATAATTCTACTTTTTACCACCCCCCAGATCATATCCTATTATCTCAAGGGATATTGTAAAATTTTTGAAATGAAATTCCTCTGAGTTCCTTAAATTTCTAACATTTGAAAAACACTGCTTTAGATTCAAGGAAAGAATTCAAGGCTTCTCCTCCACTGTCTCCTCTACCCACCTTCCCACCCTGGCCCCATCTCAGAGCCACTCCCTTGGAGGACTGCATTCTTTTCCATCGAGGTCCGGTCGAGAAAATGGACA
Organism: Homo sapiens; assembly: GCF_000001405.40. NCBI lineage: Eukaryota > Metazoa > Chordata > Mammalia > Primates > Hominidae > Homo > Homo sapiens. Next base: position 173,434,055 of record NC_000004.12, on the reverse strand, counting down.
CCACACTAGGTATTTTAACAGAGGGAATTTGATATGGGAAGTTTATTACAGATGTTGAAAGGCTAAAAAGCAAAGAGGCACTAAGATAACAGAGATAAGTAAGAAGCAACTACCACTCTTAGGGAAGAGGTTGGAGTTTCCAGAACTGTAAGTTAGATGAGAGCCTCATAGAGTAGGGACCCATGTCTTGAGGTGGGGCCACTGCCAAGTCATTCCTGATACATCAGGAGCTTGTAGGACAGGTTTCCTGGATCTGGGGCTCTGACCTCCGACAGAGGCACTAGCTGGAGTCCACTGCTCCTTCAGACAGATTGCAGTGAGGTTCTAAGAGCAAGGAAAGAAGCTGAAGACAGAAGATGACTAGTGCTGCCCAGAGAAAGGCCACTGATAGGGTGACACCTAGAAACAGCAAGCAAACAGAAAGAAGGGAAATCCCCATCCCTCCTCCTGCAGTCCAGAGTCCCTATAGGGCATCCTAAGAGGAAGCTCACAGACCAGAGCGAAATGCACTTTTCAGAGTCTTGGCCCCTGCATCACACAGCAGAGTGTACAGGGCGGGCTATGTCACTGAGATTAATCCAGCACAGGATCAGACAATCTCTTGGGTCAGAAGAGCAGCAGAACTTGCATTGGTAAACACAACAAGCTTAAAAGCTTCTGTTTTCATGACTATGTTTTTTGGAAGGTCAAATAAGTTTGGGAGAACTATCTTTACAATTTGGAGTATCACAAAGTCTATTAGTATATTAAAGGATCAGAGAAGTCTTGCAGTAAAGGAACTTGCTTTATTTTGTTTAATTATTTCTAAAATTTATTCAGTGTGAATTCCTTTCCCCCCAACACACATATAATATTCCTCAGAACATGCAAACTGTTCTAAATGCTGCTGTAAAAAAAAGTTACTAAAGTCCAAACTGCTTTTGTTGGTTTGCTTCTAAAGCTAGGAAAAAGAGAAAAGAATATGTATATAGGTGAAATCAAATAATTGGGAAGAAAAACAGAATATCTGCAAAGCATTAAATCCAATTCTATTTTTTTCATGCTTTCTGATATCTGTAAAAGGGAGATCCTCCTCTGCCCTTTACCACACCATTAGAGAAAAAATTCCTCATGTAATCCTCAGATAAATCATGAACCACAAGCTATAACAAAGACCACCAGCTTCAACCAAATCTAAGAGAACAGGGTAGTGTTACGTGAATCTGTACAAATAAATCACACAGCACTCTGAGATGCCCAGCTGCCTTAAACATATAGGGTAGCTTGAAAATTATCCTGCAGAGCAAAGAGTGGCTGTATTTCTACTCAAGAAGGTAAAAAGAAACTCTACTCTCTCCCTTTCTATACATTTTAGGACTATGACTAGTTTCCACTCCCTCCATGCCTGCCTCAGACAGGAGGAGGCACCTGACAGAACCGAAACCTAGAGTGTGGCACACGGTAAACTCTGGGGAGCTGGGCTGGAAGGTCATGTAGACACATGGGCTGAGGCCAGCATTCAGCAGATACCGGCGAATGGGTAGAAAGTGGGTAGAAAGAGTTATCCACAAAGACAGATACTGAGAGAAAAGGAATGACCGGGATGGAGGGAGTGGGGAGAGACAGGAGAGGAGGAAGAAGGAGGAGAAGGAAGGGAGGAGAGGGAGGAGAAGGAGGAGTAAGGGGAGGAAGAGGAAGAGGAATCTCCCTTTTATAGATGTCAGGAAACATGAAAGAGGAAGGAAGGAAGGAAGGAAGGGAAGGAGGGAGGGAGGGGGGGAGGAAGGAAGGAAGGAAGAAAGAAAGGGAATAAGGAAGGAAGGAAAGAAGGAAGAAAGGAAAGAAGGACCTGTAAAGTAGATAGAAAGAGGGAGGGAGGGAGGGAAAAATTACTGCTGGCTGATTTTCCAGATCCCATGATACTGGCTCTAAATTCTTCCTACTCAACTAGAATGCTTCATTTGACAACATCACAATGTGCAACCACTATATGGATCCTCATCAAGTTATGCTAATCTGGCTTTTACCTCTAAGTTGGATTTTGTCCGTGAAGACAAGTGATTCCTATCTGGAAATCTGGAAGTTTCTTAAGCAAACAGTTTGAATTGATTTTATTTATTTAATTGACTATTCCATTCCTTATCAAAAAACAGGTACCAAAAAGTTCCAAACAGTTGAATGTAGATGAAAGTAACCATCACATGTCTTCAACACACCTCCTTGCATGGTGATGTATTACCTACAGACCTGGCATGACACTAATTCATACTATGATAAAACATCAAGGCCCAATTCTAGTGCTAAGAAACTTTCTGTCCCATTCATTGGGAAGATGATCAGACAGAAGACCCTGGAAGTTTTGCCTCTTATACTCACATAACAAAGGGCAGACATTCCTGGGGCAGGGATGAGAGAAACCAACTCTAGTTAAATATCTATGGTTCAAGGCATTGAAATTTGCTATTAATGCCCCAGCATAGTCTCTTTTATTGGATCTGGCTTCACTTTACAGGCAAAGCAATACCTCTGACTATTGCCCCAGCAAGCTTCCAATCACAGACTTCTCTAAAGGTGACTTATAAACAGGTACTTATATTTGTGTATTTTTGCCTTAGAGTACACACCACATCTTCCACCTTCTAAATTCATTGGGTTTGTCATGCTTCACTTTCATTGGGTTCTTGCTGTTTCTACCCTTTTGGAATTAATCAGTCTGCTTTCCAAACTCACTTTCAGCTGGAGTACAGACTGAAACTTCCCTTTGCCCGCTGGTCCACAGTCAAAGGCCAGGAGCCCTGCCCACTCCCATGCTCAGTTCCCCTGCTTGAACCCCAGCCTATGCCACAGGAAGTGGTCCCCCAAATAACATGCAGTACCCCTTTGCCCATCAGCAGAACTCTGTTTGCCTTTTCTCTTTAACAATTTTAAACATACTTCTTTTCTTTTTAAAAATTATTTTAGATTCCAGTGGTACCCGTGCAAGTTTGTCACATGGTGGTACTGCATCATGCTGGGGTTTGGGCTTCTACTGAACCCATGATCCAAATCATGAACATTGTACCCACTAGGTAGTTTAGGAAGTTTTTCAAATCTTGCCCTTTTGGAGTCCCCACTGTCTATTATTTTCACCTTTGTAAACATACTATTTTCTAGTCTCTTTCTAAATGAGGATCTAATTATAGTGGCTGTTTTTTCTGATGACTATAGATTGTTTTTCCCTGTATTTTCTCTCCTCTCTCTCTCTCTTTTTTTTTTTTTTTTTTTTTTTTTGAGACAGGGTCTCACTCTGTCACCCAGGCTGGAGTACAGTGGCATGATCATGGCTTACCATAGCATCTACCTCCCAGGCTTAGGTGATTCTCTCACTTCAGCCTCCCAAGTAGCTGGGACTACAGGTGCATGCCACCATACCTGGCTAATTTTTGTATTTTTTGTGGAGACAGCATGTTGCTGTCTCTACATGTTTCAGTATGTTGCCCAGGCAGGTCTCAAACTCCTGGGCTCAAGTGATCCTCCTGCCTGGGCCTCCTAAAGTGCTGGGATTACAGGCATATGCCAGCATGCCCTGCCTTTCCTGTATTTTGTAATTTAGAATTGTGAGTTCATGTTGGGTGGCACATTACCTATAGGACTCCTGTGCAACCTAGGTTGAAAATAGGTCTTCCTAGAGAAGGCTTTTAGTCACTCATATTAGGGGGCACCAGTATTGTTATCAACCTGAGAATGCTTTTTACATTATTTTGTGGAGAACCTAGGTGTCATCCAGATAGTAAAAACTCAAACCCTAAACCTGAGTGAGAGCAGCCTAGGGTTCAGGTTTTCTAATATCCTCAGGATTTTCCTTTGCTTCCTCTTTTCCTAGTAGATCAGGCCAAGCACAAAAGTTTGTCTCCTACTGGGAGAAGATAAACATTTTCAGTTCCCCCGCTTCACAGATCTACAGTAATTCAAAAGTTCTTTATTTAAGGGTCTTAGGCCTAAATTTCTGCCTTTCATGGGCCCAAAGATTTGTCTCTTGTACTTTCATGGCCATTAAAATCCAAACCCATTGTTAATTATACTGACAAAAAAAAAAACCCATAGCCATCAAAAGATCAGTTTGCAGGGTATTTTCCTTACTTTCTTTGTAGCATTTAAAAGCATGCTTATTATATTTTAGCTTATCTAAGTGATTTATAGTAACAGAGCTTTCAGATGAACTTGGCAACATTGCTAGAAATCAAGGCTAATGTTATACTTTGAACATTTTTGTTCTTATTATATGTCAGGATTCCTTTGGATATGGAGTCCCTTCTGGAAGTGGACTGGTTTGATAACCACGTTTGATTCCTTATAGACTTACATTGAAAATGTCTTCTTAGGCAAAGTGAAAAGAAAATTTGTGCAATTATGTGCCTGTCTCAATCGACAATACAATCCATATGGAGAGAGCAGCTCCTCCTTCTGCTCACCCCTCACGAACAAGGTTCAAAATTTTCTCAGGATGGGTTCAGTGGCTCATTCCTATAATCACAAGCTTTGGGAAGCTAAGGTAGGAAGATCACTTGATGCCAGGAGTTTGAGACCAGGCTGCGCAACATAGCAAGACCCTGTCTCTACATAAAAAATAAAATAAAATTAGCCAGGCATGGTGGTATGGACCTATCATCCCAACTACTTAGGAGGCTAAAGTGAGAGGATTGCTTGAGCCCAAGAGTTTGAAAGTTTGAAGCTATGGTAAGCTATGATGGCACCACTGCACTCCAACCTGGGTGACAGAACAAGACTTTGTCTCAAAAAAAAAATTTTTTTTCTCATACCTTCCAAAACAAAACAAGAATGGTTTCTTACTAGAAAGGTTCCTTGAAATCAGTTTTGCAAAAATAAAAAGAATGGAACAACTCATTCTCAAAGAAATCCAGCTGTCCCTGGGGAAATCAGGATTTAGATCTTAATTCTAATATTTGGAATTCTTCTTTCCATTTTCTATTTTTCTTTGGTATGACTTTAATAGACATCTTTGAGTGGGAACATTACAAGATCATGTCTTTACAACACCAAAATTAACTTTCAATTTGATCAATTTAGTCAAACCCAACAATACATTTTTTAAAAGTATACTATATTACTGAATTGAGTAATAATAATTAGAGGGATTATTTAGAAAAAAATTAAGAGTGATCTTGGAAAAGTGAGTAAGGGAATGCAAATTTACATGTTGGTTAGAATATTCAGAAGGCCTTATGATTTTTGAATTTTAGCAATGCTATTTCTATCAAAATTTTACAGATCTCCCTTAAAAAGGTATTGTTTAGCCTCTATTTTACAACTAATGTACTGGTTACATCCACCACATAATAGATGGTGGGCACCTATTTCACTGGTTACCCATGCAGTCAGAGAGCATTTGGATCTAGCCTAAATTCTTCCTTCTGCAATTCAAATGTATTTCCTCTGGCCCTATTCTTAATGGAGATCAGATTCTTACAAACAACCCTCCTGTTATTGAAGGCTCCCCTCTTTTTCATGCATTCCATTTCATTGTCTTAGGTGTACAGCCTCCATGAAGGATGTCCTGAAGGGGAGAGTTCAAGATCAAATAATATGTCTCTCTTCATAACCTAACAAATATAATTTTCTTCTTTCTGGTTACATTAACAGTGAGAATTTCTCTTCAAATAACACATGGAAGCCTAAGGTGCCACAGAAAGTGTACCATTTTAAACCCCACAGAGGCTTCAAACTGTTACTCCAGTAAACGTTTCCCCAGCAATGCTGTTTGTTGAATAATTATAGTTTGAGTTTTTCTGTCATCAAAATCAAAGAAAAAAGTTCTGACTATTTCTGACATGAATTATATTGTTAAGGGGTAAATTGTGATTCCCTTTCTGTCTCCCTTTGACCTGTTTCCAAAGTGAAGTTAAATGGAGTGTTAACCCAAAATCAGTCAATCCGGACACATTCTATCACATGTATTCACCATCTATCCTGTATCCCTGCTCTGTTCCACCCCTCCACCCCAAACATATGCATAAAGTCTCTCTTTGATCTTCAATAATTGATTCTTGTGTCTAACATTTTCTGATATTTACACACTTTTATTTATACATATGCATAGGTCGTCTATACATATGTCCATTTAATCCCAAAGTAACCATTCCAAAAGAGCAGAGGACAAATCATTAATAACTATAATATCTGCTAAGTATTAAGTAGTTCTTATATTCCAGGATTTCTGTTTGGTGCTTCATATAAGTTACCATACTTAACTCTTTTAGCAACCTGCTATAAGTTGAATTGTGTCCCCAGCAAAAACATATGTTAGAGTCCTAACTCCCACTACCTCAGAGAAGGAGGGCCAGATATGCCAAGAAAAGGCCATTACTTATAGAGGTGTGGGCTGTCCAGTCCATGAGGGTGCCTGGCCAGAGCAGCAAGTGCAGCTAAGATTCAGTCTGCGCTCCTCCTACCAGGCTGTGTGCCATGGAGCTGCACCATGTCTGACCAGCAAAAGGTGCCTCTTCCCATAGGCTATGTGTGGCCCTATGCAAGAAATTATTATCTCAAGATCACGGCATTCGCATTGGACTCTCAGACAAGATGCAGAATAAAAAGATCTTTGGTCATTGTACAATTAGAAAGCAGTATTTTATAAACATGATGGTTCTGTGCTTTTGAGATTCTTTTTGTTTTTCTTCAGTTTTTCCTTTACCTTTTGTTGCTAGTGTTGAAAAATCCCTTTTGTTGAGCTAAAGAAGAAATGTATTTCTTGTTTTTGCTTTTTCCACACTGAAACCAAACTTCAAGAGGAAAAACATACCACACACAAACTGTATGAACTGCTAGACAGCAGATAGGCAGAAATACATACCAGTGATGTGCCAGGGCTCACGAATTAGTCAGATCAACATGTGAAGCCCAGCTCTGGGGTGCAAATGGGGCAAACTAACCTCCTAAGTCTCATTTTCCTCACTGGAAAAGTCACTCAACACATTTTTACTAGGCAGTGCCTGGCCCTGTTTTAGCATTCCCAGGTTAGGGTCTATATGCTCATGAAGATTAAATTCTAGATTAGGGTGGTAAAAAAGGGGAAGACAGACAATGCTAAAACATGCATATAATTTAATTTGCAAAATCCTCCTCCTCACAAATACATCAGTATGCATTTCTCTTTTGCATTTCTTGGTATCTTATTAGCCAGAGAGCCATTGATCTGCAAGGGTACCAGGGAGAGATCAAAGTAAAGCAATAGGAATGCAAAAGAGTTAATATTTAGTTTCTGGCATCCAAATAAGCTTTCCAAATCAACAGCAAGAAAATAATTCTTGATGCCAGGTAAGGTGCCTCACATCTGTAATCCCAGCACTTTAGGAGGCCAAGGCAGAAGGACTGCTTGAGCCCAGGAGTTCAAGACCAGCATGGGAAACACAGTGAGAACTTGTCTCCACAAGTACTAATTTTTTAAAAGTTAGCTGGGTGTGGAGGAGCACACATGTACTTCCAGCTACTAGACAGGCTGAGATGGGAGGATCGCTTGAGCCTAGTTGAGGCTGCATTGAGCCATGATCGTGCCACTGCACTCCAGCCTGGGCAACAGAGAAAGACCCTGTCTCAATAAAATAAAAATAAATAGGACTGGCTGACTAGATCACAGATTTTATGTATACTGGGCATCTACTTACACCTGGAGTAGGGACACAGATATGTGGTGGATGGAGTTGAAAGTACAAGAAGTCGGGGAGGGGAGGAGAAGAGGAAATCAGACACCAGTGTTTTTTTTCTCTGCTTCATTTCCTGGGACCCAACCTCAAACATCCGGATGAATGAGGAGAAACCTGGGCACATTGGGGTTTGTGGCTCACTTCTACAGATGTAGTACAGACAGTACCAAACAGGGCTGCAAGGTAAACAACAGGAAGCCCAATTAAATTTGTATTTCAAGTAAACATAAATGATTTGTATTATAAGTATGTCCCATTCAATATTTGGGACATACATTTTTTCCACTGTTTCTCTGAAATTCAAATGTAACTGGGCTTCCTATATTTATATTTGTGAAATCTGGCAAACTTACCCCAGGAGAACTGTTAGCTTGGGGCCTCAGCCCCCCATGGCATGGGCATGATGGCACAGAAGTGGCAGTGGGAGTGTTGACAGCTAGGCCTAAGGAAGCATTCTTGCTCAATGTGTGGAGTTCTTGGATTGTCTGGCCCATTGTAAGTGCTCAATAAATATTGCCTATTACTATCATTATAGCAATCAGTGGAACACCCTCTTAGGTCCCTGGAGATATGGGAGCAGGGGAGGGAGAAGAATGCAGTAGACAAGAATAGAAGAAATGAGCTAATATTTTTCCATGAGTGAATTGGCACTGGCAAGGCTCCTATTGGATAAAAGATTGATGAGGCATTCTGGTGTCAGGAACGAATGTTCAGAATCCAGCCCTCATGCTGATCAGAGAGTCTCATTGGGCCCTGGGCCAGTGGACTAAAAGAATACAGAGCTCTAACAGCACAAAGAACTATAGGCCTGGAAATACAGTAGTCCATCATACCTGCCCCCTAGGGAACACAGGAAGAGATCCAGTATATGTGTGAGAGACACAGAGTGGATATCTTTTAAAATAAGTGGGGTGAATTAGGTTTACTGCATTGGAAAACTACTGGAAAGCCAGCTACCAATTAAAAGGACCAGAAAATTCCTTGCTGTTGACTCAAAGTCAAGAAAAGCATACAGTGATCTTTTTGAACAGCTTTGCCTTCTGAGTTTATGGCAAAATCCTCCTAATTAGTCATGTGAAGTCTTTTGGAAAATGAAAAGAATGTCCTAAACCCAAATTAAAAAGGCAAAACGGTGGTCATGAAATTGACAACTTACTGGTAACTCTGCCTTTTTTGCCCTGTGAAAATGCACTTTTACTTATGGATTACTCAGCCTTAAGTTTTTCCAATGATGTTACAGAACCATGAAAGTATTTCCACACCAGCATATTCCTGTCAGCTAAGAAGTCATAAAGTGTATATGTAATCTTCTTCCCAATGATTGGCATAGGAACTTGGAAAGTTGGCAGAAATAAATGATGACTGACAATTTCTACATAGCATCTTATTGTGCTTGGGTTTACAAAGTCATTCAACATTATATGGGCTTCACACATTTATTTTGTTTTGTTTTATTTTATTTTATTTTATTTTATTTTAAGATGGAGTCTCACTCTGTCACCCAAGCTGGTGCGATCTCGGCTTGCCACAACCTCTGTCTCCCAGGTTCAAGTAATTATCCTGTCTCAGCCTCCCGAGTAGCTGGGATTACAGGCCCATGCCACTATGCCCAGCTAATTCTTGTATTTTTAGTAGAGACAGAGTTTCACCATGTTGGCCAGGCTGATCTCTAACTCCTGACCTCAGGAGATCCACCAACCTTGGCCTCCCAAAGTTCTGGGATACAAGCGTGAGCCACCGCGCCCAGCCTAGCTTCATACATTTCTTAAGCACAGTATAGTAGAAAATGGCCTTGCATATAGTATGGTCCAGAAGGTAGTCCTGCATCAGTTGCTCTTTAGAGCAATGATCTGTGCCAGTCAAATGCATCCTGGCCTCATGTATCCAAGGTTTATATCATCTGCTTTTAATAAGGCTACTGTGGGTTAGAAGAAACAGCTAATAATATTTTTTATTTCTAAGTGACATGTTGACACACAATGGTATTAATTATTTGTAACAGGCTGAATTGTTGCCTTGTAAATTTTTATATCATAGTTTTGCCATTTTGAGAATAAATACAATTTCTATTTTTTTAAGAAATTAGAGTAAACCAAATAGCTAAATGCTAATAGTATGAAGCACCACAGAGCATGGCTAAATAAGCCATTTATGTTGTCCTTATGTATCTGAAGTTTTTGTGGTCTGCTCAAGTTTTTCCCTAAAAACTTCCCTCAATATGAGCTGTATATTAAGGTTCTGATATGGTTTGACTGTCCCCTCCAAAATCATGTTGAAATTTAATTGCCATTATAAGAGTATTGACAAGTGGGACCTTTAAGAGACAATTAGGTCCTGAAGGCTCTGCCTTCATGAATAAATTTATGCTGTTGTTGGGGGAGTGGGTTAGTTATAATGGGAGTGTGCTCCTGATGAAAGGGTAAGTTATTTTCTATTCTTTCTCTTTCTCTTGCATTTGTCACTTGCCTTTCTGCTTTCTGCCATGGGATGACACAACAAGGAGGCCCTCATCAATGGCTGAGCAGACACTAGTACTATGCCTTTGGACTTCCCTGACTCCAGAACCATAAGCCAAATAAACATCTTTTCTTTATAAACTACCCAGTCTGTAATACTCTGTTGTAGCACCAGAAAATGGACTAAGACAGGTTCCATCAGAGGTATTACAGTCACAACAAAATGCTATAAGGAAAAAATAAAAAAAAAATTAAAAAAAAAGAGATAAAAGACCAAAAAAAGAGAATTATAGTATATGAAAGTATTGTATTCACAATAAGGATACAAATAAAAGGTTTTTTTATTATTAATAGTTTAAAATAAATTTCAAATTTAGAATAATTTCTCCAGATTACCTTCATTTTAACTTTTTTAGCAAACGCTGTCTTTATCAACCATGCAAGTGAATGTGCTAAACTGATTAGGGAAGACTGGATAAAGTACTGAAATGGTAAAGCAATTTTTCTTGGTAACACTGTTTCATTTCAATAAAAATATCTATAGGTCCAACTAAGTTTTTTGGCCTCTAGAAAAACAATAATGACTTGAAGAGTTAGTCCATGTATGAACTTAGATTTGTGTATCTTAGATGAATCCTTATCTTTGCATTAAAAACATCTTCAAAAGACATTTACTAAGCAACACTATTGGTGATAAATCAACTCTATAAGCATTAAGTGTGTTATTAAAAATATTTGAAACTAACAAAGTCACTTTTTTAAGAAAATGTACACTTAGTATATTAATAGTTAAGATTTTTTTCTTAACCAATTTAATGTCATGAGGTTCATAGCAGTTTCTTCCCAATTATTTTATGGAGAAAACCAGGTGAATCGTGAATCACCGAAGTCTCCTTGAGGTTAGCTGAAACCAACACCCATCCAAAGAGAAAACATAATCCTTGGAGACTGCTTTTTATAAAACAGTAAATTCCAAGACTCTACAGAGAAAATGTGAATTTAGATCATCTCTGATAGACAATTTTTTCCTTTTGTTTCCAGCTTTATTGAAAAGGTAATTTTTAATTGTCCAGCGTTATAATTATAGCAATTAAAATATAAAATGAAAAGCCAAGATACTGATAATGATTGGTATCATATATGGTCATAGTCATGATAAAACTTTTTCAATTCAAGTTGCTAGATTAGACAAAATGTTAATCTCCTGTCCCTTTTCAAATGGTTTTTAACATCAGATAGAATCATAATACTAAATTCCACTATACAAAGGTCTCTTGTTTAACAATTTAGAATCACTGTTTTTCTTCATTATCCTTCCTTTTGACTTTTTCACATCTAAAGATGTGTCCGCTAGTAATGATCAATGGAAATAGGTGAAATTCAAATGAACACTTATTACAATTCTGGCAAAAGTAAGGATGGGAAGGGATGTGAAGTGAGTGGCTACAATTAGTAACAAATACATGACCCTGAATATAGAAGTCACTCTATAAATCCTTAATTAAATAATTAGGGACCTAATTAATTTTTGCCTTCTGGCCATTATCACATCTAATCAAAAGTTGATTATAACTATAACACCATGTGAAGCTACTCATGATCATAAGTTATATTTTTAAAAACAATGGGAAAATTAATAACCACTTAAAATGCACACAACTTTATTATTCCAGTCTCACAAAACCTTTGGAAACCACAGCTGTTGATAATGTTTTTGATTTGCCAGATCCTGTAACAGTCCACTTACTTTGCCTTGAACATGGCATTTGTACCACATTAAAGTTTGGCAAGCTTAATCTTTGCTAACCACTGGCAAATGTGAACATGCTATAAAATATAAAAATATGTTTCAGCCAAAGCCATTATCAGGTACATATTTGCTTGGATTTGACTAAGAAACCTCTAATTTGTTCATGCACACTTGGCATCTTTACATTCTGTGTGATGATCATGCTTGCAATTTATATATTATGTGTCTGACAGCCAACTAAAGCTCTAAGTGCTATCGAGGAAGAAAACAAAAAGGAGAGGAAGAAAGAAATCCTATTTTACTTCTGTTAGTGTGAGAATGAACTTCCATAATCTTTTAGAGGAAAGTCTTCCAACAGTGATCTTCCCCATCCTCCCACCCTACCTGCCCCATACTAAAGATATTTTTGAAAAGCTGGCATATTCTCTTTCTACATCATCCCGTAAGAGAATCTACCCCTGCATTTATCCTTTCAAATATGGCATCTTACATTTATCTCATGACATGTTGTGAAGTAGAAAAGGTAGGAATTATGTAATGATTTATCATATATAATCAAAGGGAATGGCTAATTTTCAGAGCAGGACCAGAATTAACATCCCCTCGTCCTAGCTCTCCATCCAGGCCCACCTTTCAGTGTCTTGTGACAGGGACCACATTCTATTTACTTTTCAGACCCAGGAGATGGATGCCTGTAATGAATATAAAACACTGAACATAAACATAAAAAAATGCAACAAATCAACCCCCCCCCAACAAACTAAACCAAAACAGAGAAACAGATGCTTTTTCCTAAGAGTCATTTACTGTTCACTGACTCATTCGACAATTTATTGAGCTTCTACTAAGTTCTAGATGCTATCTTTGACATTGTTCACTTCAAGGAGTGAGATAACATGGAAGAGTAGCTATCACAGTGCCTGATGTGTGGGGGGCAATCAATAAAGTACATTTTCTTCCTTCTCAAATGTTTATCCTTGAACTAATCAATCTATCAAAATCCATATGCAATCAAAAGAAAAGTATTCACTTCTGATCCAAAGTCATCATTCCTTTATACCTCCATATCTGTGGTTACATACCGTGATATTTAGGCACGAGCTATCAAGCCAGAGAGAATAAACCACACTCAGGCAGAATCATGGCTTATGATTTGTGGTCTGCTGTTTTTTGTGGTAAAAGGGAAGAGGAAAAAGCCAGTCAAGTGTCCTGGTATTAACAGGCTTTATCAGTATATACTCCTCCCCTGCCCCACCTCACACACTCACACAGACTTTGGGGAGGAGGTATTATTAATCTAAACAAATAGCTTGCAATTGACAATAAGCATTCTACTATCTTCTCTGGTTATTTAAATTTAACTTTCATTTACAAGCAATTTATAGAGACAGACATAGCCTTGAAGCCAACACTTTCTGCCCTAACTTGCATCCTGTTTTCTATTTGCTTTTCTTTTTTTTTTTTTCAGCTTGGCTCCCAAGACTAGGTCATATATGAAGGGGAAGCCAATCTGAGGCATCATTAATGTGCAGTTTTCATGATCGACGCTAATCACTACCGCCAAATTGTTTGTGCGGTAATCCACACTGATCACCAAGACATCTAGAATGAATAGATCCTTGTATAAACAGACACAATAGTTGTAGCTCCAAGATAATTAAAGAACTCATCTATGACCTCTACTGGTCATGTTACCAAAATACAACAGCTACCATTCTTTCAGAAGTGTTTTCATTTATTAAAAATATATTTCTCAGCACCTACTATGTGCCAAGCATTGTTTAAAAGATTGCAGTAAACAAAACACACAAGACCCTTTCCCTCTTAAATTCAGCAAGGGAGACATTCAAACTATAAACATTATAAGTAAGTTCATTGTAGAGTATTTTAGAAGGCAATAGGTGTTTTCAAAAAGAGAAAAAAGTAGATCAAGGTAAAGGGAATCAAAAGTACAGAAAAGGGCCCTTTTCCCCCACTAGGGCCGGGCCTGAAGGTCTCTGTTGAGCCACGGATGTGGGTCTCTGTTCTGCAGGATGGGGTTTGTTAAAATTGTTAAGAATAAGGCCTACTTTAAGAGTTACCAAGTGAAATTTAGAAGATGATGAAAGGGTAAAACTGATTACTATGCTCAGAAATGCTTGGTGATACAGTATAAAAATAAATACAACACACCCAAATACAGGATGATAGAGATATCATTTGTCAGGTTGCTTATGCCCGTATAGAGGGGGCTATGATAGTCTGCACAAAATATGGTGTGAAGGCCGGCCTGACAAATTATGCTGCAGCGTATTGTACTGGCCTGCTGCTGGCCCGCAGGCTTCTCAATAGGTTAGGCATGGACAAGATCTATGAAGGCCAAGTGGAGGTGACTGGCAATGAATACAATGTGGAAAGCATTGATGGTCAGCCAGGTGCCTTTACCTGCTATTTGGTCGCAGACCTTGCCAGAACTACCACTGGCAATAAAGTGTTTGGTGCCCCGAAGGGAGCTGTGGATGGAGGTTTGTCTAACCCTCACAGTAGCAAACGATTCCTTGGTTTGTCTATCCCTCACAGTACCAAATGAATCCTTGGTTATGATTCTGAAAACAAGGAATTTAATGCAGAAGTACACCGGAAGCACATCATGGGCCAGAAGTTTGCAGATGACCTGCGCTACTTAATAGAAGAAGATGAAAATGCTTCCAAAAAACAGTTCTCTCAATACACAAAGAACAGCGTAACTCCAGACTTGATGGAGGAGATGTATAAGAAAGCTCATGCTGCTGTACGAGAGAATCCAGTCTATGAAAAGAAGCCCAAGAAAGAAATTAAAAAGAAGAGGTAGAACTGTCCCAAAATATCCCTTGCTCAGAAGAAAGATTGGGTAGCTCAAGAGAAGGCAAGCTCCCTCAGAGCTCAGGAGCGGGCTGCCGAGAGCTAAACCAAACAATTTTCTATGAGGATTTTTCAGATAAAGACAATAAACTTATGAACAGAAAAAAAAGATGGAAGAGGTAGAGCTGGAGAAGTACACTGCAGAATTAAATTAGGTGCTCAGGATAAGTGTCAGTGATAGAGTGGAATTCAGCAAAGCCTTGAAGGAGGTGAGAGCCTCAGCCACTACTAACACTAGTAGGTTCTCAAATTAGTTAAATTAGACATTGTATTAGTATGTTCTCAAATCGCTACAAGGAACTACCTAGGACTGGGAAATTTATTAAGAAAAGAGGTTTGATTGAGTCACAGTTCTGCAGGCTATACAGGAAGCATGACTGGGAGGCTTCAGGAAACTTACAACCATGGCAGAAGGTGAAGGGGAAGCAGGCATGTCTTATATGGCCAGAGAAGAAGAAAGAGAGTGAAGGGGGAAGTGTTACACACTTTTAAACAAACAGATCTCATGAGAACTCACTATCATGAGAACAGCAAAGGGGAAGTCCGCCCCACCGGTGATCCAATCACTTCCCACCTGGCCCCTCCTGCAACACTGAGAATTACAATTTGACATGAGATTTGGGTGGGTATACAGACCCAAACCATATTAGACATCATCCTGGAAGTAGTGTCCATTTTCACAGAGAGTTTCTAAAATGGTTTTGGAGTCAACCAGACTCGTGTTCAAACTCCGTACTGGTCAGCTTTTGGTGCAGCAACAAACAACACCAAATTCTCAATGGTTTTAAAAACTATTTATTTCTTGCTTATGTTTCATGAGGGCTGCAGGTTGACTGTGGGTCAGCTGTGACTCTGATGGGCTCAGCTGTGCTGGATTTGGCTCAGCCACAATTATCATCTCCTTCCAGGAGCCAGGACTGAAGGAAGAGCAACTCTCTAAGGTGTGCTGTTCTCACGGGGGAGGTCAAGGCTGAAGCAGGTCTCACCAAACCACACCACTGAAAGCTTCTGCTCTGGCAGCAAATATCAAGTTCACACACATTTTATTAACCAAAAGAAAGTGGCCAAGTCCAAGGTCAATGCAGGGAGGGCAATGTATTCTGCCTGCACAGAAGTATGGAAAAGGCAAGGAAGGAATGAGTAATTGTGAACAAATAATACAATATGACCTTACTGAGCTCCTCATTATCTTTTATTTTTTGGGATCTATGCCAATTGCCACCACCAAATTATTCATCCAGCCAAGCTGAGCCCATCAGAGTTATAGCTGACCCACAGTCAACCTGCATTTATCATGAAACATGAGCAAGAAGTAAATATTTGTTTTTTAAGCCACCACCAAATTATTCATGTGGCAATCCACACTGACCACTGAGACAACTGGAATGAACAGGTCCTTATAGAAACACAGACATAAAATTACTTGCAGGTCCAAGGTGTGTTGCAGGTCTCTGAATTTTACTTTGTTCATCTGCGGAACAAGAATAAGATCACCCTACTGCAGTGGCTCACACCTGTAGTGCCAGCTACTTGTGGGGCTGAGGTGGTGGGAGGATCGCTTGAGCCCAGGAGTTCAAGGCTGCAGTGAGCTCTGATCACACCACAGCACTCCAGCCTGGATGACAGAGCAAGACCTCCTCTCTGAAAAAAAAGAAGGAATGAAGGAAGGGAGGAAGGAAGGAAGGAAGGAGGGAGGGAGGGAGGGAGACTAGTTATGAAGAAGAAATGAGATCATGAGGTCATGTCTGTAAATGCATTTAGCACAATAACTGGCTTATAATAAAGGATCAGTAAATGCTAGTATTCTTTTTTTGTCTTTTTCCAAAGGTGGCATCCCTCTAGCCCAATTCCTTTGGAGGCTTAGGGGGCAACTGGGGCATGCTGGAAAATTGAGGAGTCTAGAATTCAAGAACTATGGATTCAATTCTGTTTCTAAATCTGCATACATTCCTAATCTATAAAATGAGGCATCTGTCTAAATGATCTCTAAGGTTCCTTCCAGTGCTAAAGATCCTCAATTTGGGGTAAAACATGCCTGTAGATGCTTGTTTTTTCTCCAGAGGTGCTGTTTAGTTTTAACACCAGGTGGCGCTAAATAACAACTAAATGTAAAAAGACAAAGGCTCTGTGTGTGTGTGTCTGTCTGTCTGTGTGTGTCTCTCTGTCTGTGTGTGTCTGTGTGTGTGTGTGTTGTGTGTGATGATGTGATTGTGTTTGTGTTGTGTGTGAAGATGTGATTGTGTGTGGGGTGTGTGTGAAGATGTGATTGTGTGTGGGGTGTGTGTGAAGATGTGATTGTGTGTGGGGTGTGTGTGTGGTGTGTGTGATGATGTGACTGTGTGTGTGTGTGTGTGTGTGTGTGTGTGTGTGTGTGTGTGTTTGGGTGTGTGTGTGATGATGTGATGAAATCCGGAGAGTTCTAGGCTATTTCTATTTTCTTCTTATGTGTATATTCTTATAAAGCAGAACTCTTGCAGCTGATGGTTCCTCAGAAACCATCACTCTGAGGAAATGGCTTCCAAAAACAAACCAAGCACGCTAGTCCTAGAGGCCGTCACACGAAGGGAGAGGGCCCCAGGAGCCGGGGGATAGCCCCAGACGCTTTCTAGGTTTGACTTTGAAATTTGGTTTCAAACTTTTACAATTAAAATAATTTATTTTTATTATTTTTAAGAGACGGGGTCCCACTCTGTTGCCCAGGCTGGAGTGCAGTGATGCAATCATAGCTCCCTGCAGCCTGCAACTCCTGGGCTTAAGCGATCCTCCCACCTCAGTCTCCTCAGTCACCCGGACCACAGGCGCGCCACCGCGCCTGGCACTGGAGTTTGAAATTTGGAAACTTCCTTCCTTTTGAGCAGAGGTATGAGATCATCGGAGCTGTGCTGTAGGACGATATATCTAGCAGCCACAAGATGGGCACAAGGAGTGGCTGGCAGCGGGGAGCATCGTTTGGGAGGTTCTTATGGCAGACAGGATCTGCGCACAGGCGTCTGAGCCGTGCGTTGGGAGTGAGCATGGAAATGAGGAGGCCGTTGTCGGGACAGAATCCCTCCCACTTGGCAAATGTTTAAATAAAGAGGCTTTGAGCAGGATAAGTCATCGTAAGAGATGACACTCAGATAACTAGGAAAACGTTAGGGCCTCTGACTGGAAGTGGGCAGATGACTTTGGGGCGGCAGTATTGCTGCTGTCCCTCCCTGGCTCATCTACACTGCGGGAGAGGAGACTGCACGGCCCCTGCCCTCCCAGGTACTCAAAACACCCCGAGGCGCACATGCTGGTCTTACCAGGGCCTCCTAGAGACTTGCCAGTGGGGCGCTTCAATATGACAATCAGCCTTTTTTTCAAAATATGTTTTCTTTCGCATGATTTTATTGGTGGTGCTTTAAGACCCTATGTCATTTCTCCAGCTCTTGGTGTGTTCATGCAGCCACACAGCACAGTGGAAGGAGCAATGGATTTGGAGGCAGATAGGCCTGGTTTAAATCCTGAAACCTCACTTCTCCTGTATAAAACTGACCAGAAGAGATCATGTTTGTTTTAGGCTTCTAAGGTTCTTAATTAAGTAACTTGGGCACGCTATTTGGTTTCTCTGAGCCTCAATCCTATCCAGAACAAAGGTGAAATACCTGTAATACCAATGTCACAGATTTGCCATGAGAAATAAAGGTCGTTTGGAGACAGACTAAGTAATTGGTAAATGCCAGTTCTCTTTCCCTTTAAAGAAAAGGCTATTTGGAGGCCCCTGTGTGAGTCTGTCAGACAAATTCAGCATCAGCACAGAGACTGATATAATGGCCATGGTTATCTGGGGCCACTTTTTGCAAGAAATGCTGAGCTGTCATGATACAAAACACTCAAAAATTAAATCTACTAAGCTGGCGTACAGTTTGGGACTTAGGATATTCACTGGTCCGCAAGAAATAAAAAGGAAACGGGGGTTACACAATGCATCTCTGTTCTAGTTACTCAATCTTTACCCAACTGAAACCTCACTTCACAACAGATTAGCCACAGCCCCTAAGGGCAATAAAATCCTGAATTGCAAACCCTGTTTTGCCACCTCACAGAACTTTCATAAATCTCAGCTGCAGTGAATGCATCTCCTATTTAATTTATGAAATGACTATTTTGAGAGACTATTCACACTAGTCATCTTTATTAGTCCTTCTGCCAACTCTCCAATTTGGGGGAAGAAGAAATTAACATGCAATATTAACGCTTTTATTGTGCATATAAATTTGCTGTTTTCAAGGGATATAGGGCAATATATGGGATGTGAGCCTGGTAGATAATTTCCAGAGTTGGGTCACTGCTGCTTCCCTCTTATTCTGGAGACAGGCAAAAACTACTGGTTACCAAAATACCAGTGAACAAGTGTCCTATAGCAAGCAAGCACGCAGTGCCCACCAAGGAGTGCACGATGTCAACTATTCACACCCTAGGGAGGAGAAAACTAAGAGAGAGTGCTTGAAGTGATGATGTTGCACCTTTACAAGAGTCAGGGATGAGAATGCCAGCACCAGCCACAGAAGCACACACTCTTTTCAACAGTGGAAAAATGGGGAAAGCTGTGCACCCAGCCACAGCTGCTGTGAACACAGCTGACAAGAAGCACCCTTCTAGTTCTGCTCTTGTAGATGAGAACACCCACCCCTTTCTTCATTTAACCTAAGCCATCCCCCATTCAAACGACATGATCAAGAGGGCATGAGGGCTCTGGGTTGGAGCTGTGCTTGGCAGCGTAACCTTTCCTTTCCAACTCCTTGCTTAAGGATCCCCTGTACGTCACCATGTGGCCTCACCAAGACTCACCCCATCAGGGTGAAGAAGACAGCAGGGACCACTGCAGGAAGCTGAGTTTGCTACTTGGGTAGATGCTCACAGAGTGTGAGATGCAACTTGTTTCCTAAGGTTCAGGGCTATGAGACTCCAGAATGCATTACAGAAAACATTACTTGGAATTATCCTCTGTTGATTTTAAAGAAACTGGTGAGGAGATGACTTTCTGGGCTGATTGTGTTAAATTTAAACAGGCACAGATGTCAGGGAGGAAGGCCCAGGCTGCTCCAGTGGAGCCTCACAGGATGGCAATACAGAGGAGTGGCCAAAGTGTTCCGGGGTCTGACCCTCAGCCATGCAGGTCCCAAGAGAGGATTTTGTCTGTGTTGCTGGGTGATTAGGTTGAAACTGACCCGTGCTAACCAAACTCTCAAACAAAACCCACATTTATTTATTTGTAACAGGTACACAATAAGCCTTTCCAAGGATCTCCAAACTTGTTCCCTCAATCTTGGACACATTCTGCCCATTATCAAGGTACCTGGGAGACCAAATTCATAATCAGGTTGTTGCTTGTGAACAAGGATTCAGAGCAAAAGCATTGCATAACCTTAAGGGGTGCAGCATCCAGATATTGGAGAAGACTTCTGAATGAAATGTACTTTCTAGATAATCTGAACATGAGTAGCTACCAAGAAACATGTCTCTCTCCTCTGGAAAGTTAGATAATCACAACAAATTCTCACTGCCTGGCCTCCTCTTACCTCAATATGTGCAGATTTTCTAGCTGCCACACATCCACTCACATGATTCCCCTTTTTCTTCAGATGGATCACAGTTCCTGCTGCCTGTAATCTATTCAGTCATTTTCCTGAACCTTTACCTGGCTCATCTTAACTATCCCCAATATTTGTTGCTGTTCATTACCAGCTCTCAGAGAGGGTTACTGATGGTTGCTGTTGTCAATGACTCGTTGGTTCTTATTAGCTCCTCTGATGGAATGGTTTTCGAGTTCTGGGGGCACTTTAATGCATGCATGACAAGCTCCTACAGCTTTCCTGGAGGCTGGAAGATGCCTCCTGTAGACTTGTTCAGCACCAATTGTTCTGTTCATCTGTGGAATGAGCTTGTAATGTGTTTTATTTATTTTGTCTCCACACGTTCTCACCTTCCTAGAGGAAGAGGTGAATAAACTGCCCTGCCTATCCTCACAAGAAAGTAATTTTTTCACCTTAGGTGGGCCATCTGCTTCTCCTAACAACTCTGCTTTGCCTTGAATTGAATACATCTTGTCCCAGGCATTTTGCCAGCTGTAGGCTCCAGGAAATGGAGCAACTAAAAGTGGTTTCCTTATGATGTCAAGGTCTTATTATTTTCTTTCTTTTTTTTTTTTGGAAATGCAACTTATGAGATCAACCCAAAGGAAATTGTGCATCAGTGTCCATAGGGGTGGTTCACAGAGTGGCAGGAGTCTCTGAGCAACAGTCTAAGCTGTATATGAATTTCTTAAGAATTAATCCCATTGCACATGTCGGTAGATGTGGCAGGGACCTGACAGATGGGGGAAATTGAGTATTTCCTTTAGGACTCAAAAGAGACTCCTAAGCTAGAGATTCTCAACCTGGGATGAAGATCCAAGTCACCTGCGAGGTTTTCAGTCTTCATGCCTTGGTCCCATTCAGCTGGCTGCTTCTGGTACCCAGCTGTGTGGAGAACAACTCTCCTAAGCCACTTGGAATCAAAGCTCCCAAGTTATTGGGGGAAAAGATTACCCAAGGCAAAGAGCCAGAATGTGCAGTCTTAATTCAGAAGATGGGAAGCAGTGGGACGCAACAGTAAACTGAGGGCGTTTTCTGATGTGATCATCCACAGACTCAGGATTATAGCAAGCAGTAAGTCACGAAGAGCATGAGGCAGCCTTGGGCTGGTGACCATGGGCCACTCAGGCCAACAGAGGGGATTTTCTCCTGCTTCAGCTCAGAGACAGAGTATCAGCAAGGGCAGCATCACCTGAGCGATGTTAAGAGGCAAAGCAAAACAGTAGCTCCTTCCGGGAATCAAGGCATCAACATGGGAGCCATTTTATTGAGGTGAGAAACAGAAGAAGAAATGGTAGGGATCATGAGATAGAAGAAAACAGCATTCATGGCCTTGTTCTAACATAAATGTGAGAGATGGCCTTGAGATTTGCGGAACTACTCAGAAGAGACGGGGCCATGGCTTATATTCAGCCAATACACACAGGCATGATGTTACTGCAGGTAGAAACTGGAAATTCTGCCCTGATGGTTGGTAAGTAGCTTAAGTTAGACCACATGCCACCAAATGACATCATGCAGTGGCCACTGCATGAGTGGTTTTGGGACTTGGGACTGGTGCATCTGGACAGGGCAGCATGATATAAGAAGACCAAGGTGGAAGCTGAGACAGACACAGTGCCTACTTGCTGCTCAGGAGGGGTCCAGGGTTGGCAGGAGTAGCAGAACAAGCTGGGCTAGTGACAGGGTTGTAGATGGGGCAGAAGCAAAAGTACTCTGGGTACACAGATGAGGTGAAAAACGCTAGCATTCTAAACACAGTGGGCACCCCACCCAATCACTCTCCTGCTGAGGCACATGCCTGGGACCACACCTAATAACCATCGACACAAGGAGAAGCCATTGGAAGCATTTAGTACAGTTTCCTCCATAAAACTGTAGCTTAGAGACAAGCAGCATTTAGTTTAGTGAGAGCTTACCAAACATAAGACCATACCATTAATTTCTAAAAATCAATAATGATTTAGAAATTATTAGAATGATTTGATGAAAATGTTGCCTTGTAAGCTACATTACACTGTAAACAGTTTCATGATACATAGTTTAAAGACTAGAAAGGAAATATTTTTAATTTTTATTTATATACTGATTTATAGAAATACATTTATTTATTAAAATATGCCACCATACAGGTTGCTAAATATGTTGCAATTTATCCTCAGATTGAGCAATGTGGAACTAGGGGGATGGTGATTCAGCTGATGTGGTTTGAGATGGTTGTAACCCCGACCCCCATTCTGGGTTGGTCCAACCTGGGAAAAGATAGGTTTCACTTGATTTACAAATAAAACATTATTTACTGTTTGCTGCTGAGGACTGGGCCCACCAAACCTAGTTAGTAGTTCCAAGTCATCACTGTTCTCATACTTCCTGAATCTTTGTAGCCACAAGGTACAAACTGTACAAAAGAAATTGCTAAGTTAGGCTTTTAGTGTCTTTGCCAGGACAGTGTTAGATCAGAAGTTCATTCATTTGATAAATAGTTATTGAGTACTTAAACGGTGCCTGGCACAGTTCTAGACACTGAGGATGCATAAAACAATAAAACGGGAAATCTCTACTCTCATGTAGCCAACGAGCAATTGCAGGTGGTGGGCATTATTCAAAGGCTAATAATGATAGATGGAGCTAAGGAGGAAGTTGGAATCCCATCTCAGCACTGTCTCACTGCACACTCTGCCCTTCTTGGGTTAGAGTCACTAGAGCAACATGATTAACAGCACAGAACCCCAGAACTAGTCTACTCTGAGACAGTCAAACAACTATATGGGTGGGTGCCAGGAAAGGGCCTCTGCTCCCAATGTGCTGCTCCTTTGTCATGACCTAATATCTAAAATTCTGTCACCGAAGAAGCATTTTCTATTATAACAAGTGTTCCTTAGAGTCCAGTCTCTTGAGATATATAGTTTTTTTTAAAAAGTCCAGTAGTCAAACAAATTTAGCAAACCCTTCAGCTCTTAGAGATTCACAATGAGTTAGCATATTAAATATAATCTGTAGGGATCTCGATCAGTTTAGGACGAAAAATTTGGGGATCTCTCTTTATTTTTCCAATTGCTTGCTTAAGCCTCCATTCCTCCATATAGTAGGTAATTTGGTTTCTCTTTCTTAAGGAACCTTCATTCTCTCTGTTGTACAGAAACCTGAGAATTAACTTAGTCCAAAGGTAGTAGTCTTGTTTCAGTGGTCCATGTGACCAGTCCATTAACAGGTTCTGGTTTTAAACATAACTTCTGTACAATGTCACTGTTGAAAACTGATTCCATCAGGCTTCAGTGAGTCCTTGTCTTGCTGTAGGAATGGCCTTGCTGCTATGGAACACTGCACAGGCAGCAGGGTAGCACTGTGCATATGGACGCCCAAGACAACAGCTTATTGGGTTTACACTCACACAATCAGCCACTGTTCCCTAAACATGACAGCTTTGCCAAAGTGGCTGGGTATAATTGGGCTTCTAACCACAGCTACACACAGGATCTAGAACAAGCTGTCCCCACAAACCTCTACGCTCTGGTGTTGAACCTGTCACTGAGCCAGACTCTCTCTTCTTGGGAGACCTCAGTCAGAGCTATCTTAGCCCTTCAGAAAGTTTTACTTAGGTTGAATCTCAAATGGGACGGAGATCCCTTCCCCAGGTCTTCATCCCTTTCCTCCTGGAGGATCTTTAGCACTCGGTAAGTTTGTTTTGCCATGTCAGGGGGATACTGAAAAGAACATCCATTGTAAGGCCACAAAATGTTCTTTTTCCAGTGACATGTATATCCACTCACCTAATATTGGCATACTTAAGAGTATGCAGGGAGGCTGGATGCAGTGGCTCACACCTGTAATCCCAGAACTTTGGGAGGCCGAGGCGGACGGATCACTTGAGGTCAGGAGTTTAAGACCAGCCTGGGCAACATGGTGAAACCCTGTCTCTACTAAAAATACAAAAATTAGCTGGGTGCAGTGGTGTGTGACTGTAATCGCAGGTACTTAGGAGGCTGAGGCAGGAGAATCACTTGAGCCTGGGAGGCAGAGGTTGCAGTGAGCTGAGATTGCGCTATTGCACTCCAGCATGGGCAACAGAGCGAGACTCTGTCTCAAAAAAAAAAAAAAAAAAGTATGCAGGGAACTACCAACGCAGATCCAGGGAATTCATATCTTAGTCTATCTTGCTGCTTCTCCAGCTTCAAATGGGACATGAGTCACAACCTGGAAGGATACAGAGCATAGCACAAATAGTTTCATGGGAGCAAAAGGATAGGAAGAGACATGGAGAAAGAGAGATAAAGATGAAAATCAAAGGACAGAAAGAGATCCTAGAATAGGAGAGGCAGCTAAGCATCTGAAGGGCCCTCTGTCACACAGGTAAGGGGTATGAAAAAAGAGGTAGAAGGAAGATTTCCCCTGTTATAATGTTAAGAGGGACATGGTCTACCACAGAAGCTCCCATCTAATGTATCATAACATGTGACTTGCTTCAGGGAGAATCACATTCCCAGGGATTCTCTCCTGAATTCCTTATGCTAAACTAAAGCCCTAAAACCTCCAGGCTTATTGGTTAAAAAGTCCTCACCTCTCAGTGAGGCAGGCTTCTAATGGAGAAATCTCAGAACCTTTTAGGTCAGGAAAGAAAATCCCATTATTTGCTGAGATAGCTTTAGACTCATTAATTTTCTTTTTCTTTTCTTTTCTTTTTTTTTTTTTTTTTTTTTTTGAGACTGAGTCTTGCTCTTTCGCCCAGGCCGGAGTGCGGCGGCGCCATCTCGGCTCACTGCAAGCTCTGCCTCCGGGTTCACGCCATTCTCCTGCCTCAGCCTCCGGAGTAGCTGGGACCACAGGCGCCCGCCACCACATCCGGCTAATTTTTTGTATTTTTAGTAGAGACGGGGTTTCACCGTGTTAGCCAGGATGGTCTCAATCTCCTGACTTCATGATCCGCCTGCCTCAGGCTCCCAAAATGCTGGGATTACAAGCGTGAGCCACGGCGCCTAGCAGACTCATTAATTTTCTGACACTAAAATGGTCAAAATTTCTATGGGGAGGGGAAAGACATTGAACTTGTGTGATATTCTTAAACCCTTCATTCTCAGATACTTATCCTTCTCTATTTTCTCAAATATTTTACATAAAGTAACTTAAGACATAAAATAAACCATAGACATAAGATAGCTTAAGACACATAATAAATCACTTAAAATTGTTAAATCTTTCTAATGTCAAGATATTTACACTTGAGCCATACTGGACCAATCAACACGAGTCACTAACATAGAGTGTGGAAGCATAGTAAAAATTCTGTAAGGTAGTAACAATCCAGGGGCAATTTTTGTTAATTCACCCCCAAAGAAGGAGGCTTATTTAGAATATTAGTATTAAAGGCAAAGATTAATTTGATCAAATTGTCATTTGATAGAAGACAGTGTTATAGAAAGGTGTGGGTTTTTTTCGTAGAATTGTTGCTATGCTTTAAACTTTCAGTGGACATAGGTGACTCTCTAACACATACCCAATCCTCTGGAATAACAAGTTATATTTCATCAGGATTATACTGTATGTAATATATTTCATGTGTTTAGAGATTAAATATCCAGAGAAAATATCATCATTGCCTATTTCCTGGCATTTCATGTGTCCTATCTGATATGTATACACATAAAGGGAGCAAGTTTTAGTTATCTAATACTGTGTTGTATTTATTATTTCAGTTTGAAAATGCTTTTATTTAGATTTCCAAATATGTAATTTTTAATGTTTTATTAGTAAAGGAGCAATAAAGGAACAATTTTATAGCAAATTTAACACCTATAAATTTCCCTGTTTGCAGTGTAAAAGAAACAGCTTCCATAGACCACAGGTCTGCTCAAATTTCAAAGAATGTTAAATGAAATACTGCTAAACTGCCCTAAAGTTATCTTATTCCATAAAATAATTGCAGGTTCATTGTTTACACTTTTATACAAAATGGTGTCTGATTCTGAATGGATTTATTATATGAATGTGTTTATTATTTTTAAAATAGCTATATTTGAGAAGCTGCATAAAGGCTAGATTATTACAAATAATGATTTTAATTGACCTGAAAAATAAATGTTAAAAAGATATTGAAAACTATGTCCACACAAAACGTGCATACAAATATTTATAGCACCTCTACTCTCTTTTTTTCGTTTTTAAATGAAGTCTCACTCTGTTGCCCAGGCTGGAGTACAGTGGCGCTATCTCGGCTCACTGCAACTTCCACCTCCCAAGTTCAAGTGATTCTTCTGCCTCAGCCTCTCCAGTAGCTGGGACTACAGGGCGCTGGCCACCATGTGCGGCTAATTTTTTTTTTTAATGTATTTTTGTATTTTTAGTACAGATGGAGTTTCACCATGTTGGTCAGGCTGGTCTCAAACTCCTGACCTCAGGTGACCTGCCCACCTCGGCCTCCTAAAGTGCTGGGATTACAAGCGTGAGCCACCGCATCCAGCCCCAGCACCTCTATTTTTTTTTTTTTTTGAGATGGATCTCGCTCTGTCGCCCAGGCTGGAATACAGTGGCATGATCTCAGCTCACTGCAACTTCTGCCTCCCAGGTTCAAACAATTCTCCTGTCTCAGCCTCCTGAGCAGCTAGGATCACAGGCATGTGCCCCCATGCCTGGCTAATTTTTTGTATTTTTAGTAGAGACAGGGTTTCACCATGTTGGCCAGGCTGGTCTCAAACTCCTGACCTCAGATGATCCACCCATCTCGGCCCCCCAAAGTGCTGAGATTACAGGCGTGAGCCACCATGCCCAGCGCGCACCTCTGTTCTTAATTTCCAAAACTGTACGCAACCAAGATGTCCTCCAACAAGTGAAAGTATAAACAAACTGGTATATCTATACAATGGAATATTATTCAGTGATAAAAAGAAATTATCAAGCCATGAAAATACATAGATGAATCTTAAATGTATATTGCTAAGTGAAAAAAGCCAGTATGTAATGGCTACATACTACATGATTCCAATTATATGACATTCTAGAAGGGGTAAAACTATAGAGATGGTAAAAAGATCAATGGCTGCCAGGAGTTCAGGGTAGGAGGGAGGGGAGGGTTGAATAGGTAAACCACAGGAGATATTTTAGGGCAGAGAGACTATTCTGTATCATAATGTAATGGTATGTACAAGACACTATGTGCTTGTCAAAACCCACAGACCTTTTCAGCACAAAGACTGAACCTTAATACATGCAAATTACTAACAATTATTTAGGAGGTTGGACAATCCCAGGATAAAAACAGAATGTGACAAAACAATCTAACTTTATTACTCATGTATGAAACAACCTCACTGAAAGGCGTAGTGAGGGGGAAGTTGCAGACCTATGTAACTTTGGAAATGAGTAGAGTCTGTCAAACTAAAGGTAAAAGACACCGTATATAAACACTGTACTCCAGCTGATAAAATTGTTTACCATGAGGTATGTGCCAACAATTCCGATGCTGCTATACATGTATACTGGAAATGAACAATTAAATAAGTGGCTGATAGTAGGAGTTAGGTTCCCACTGCTGGAGCAGGAGGTTACAGATGAGCAAGAGGAGGAAGCTCAAATGATTCACGTAGTAATGGATTAGAGTTGGAGGCATCAGAATAAACTCATGTTTAGGTTGTTGTAGATACAGACAGTTATGCATAGCAATATTCATAGATATGTGTATTTACACAGGTTGGTATACACAGTATATTTCCTTGCTCTGTCAGCTGAGAGGAATGAGAAGCTATGACACACCAGTACTAGTGAGCACACCTAGCTCCCAGATCTTGGTTTCTAATTTATTCTTCAATGAAAGGAACCAGGGCTCCTTGGAGAAATGGCTGATTCTAGTACTGGGACAGGAAATACACAAGATGAGCTTGGAGCAATCTTTTAGTGCCAGAAAGGAAGAAAGTGCACAAAAACAAAACAAAACCAAAAACCACGACCTTGATGGGGCATGCCATAGAGACACAAGAGGCAACTAAAGGAGCCCCTAAAGGCAAAAGCTGGGACAGTTTGAGCAAGGAATATTTTAATCCAAAGTATAAAATAATCCAAAGTATAGAATAAATATACATGAGTTCATCCTAATACAAGTAAATAAATAAGCAATGATGGACAAATTTCATGTGAAGAAAAATTCTCCAAAATTTATGTAGTTACTCCGCCCTCAAAGAGGTAGAGCATAACTTCCCACTCCTTACATATGGACCATGCATAGGGACTTCCTTCCACAGAGTGTACTATGGAAAGGGGGAGAAAAAGAGTAAATGTGCAGTGGAGCCACATAACGAAAACGACTTGAGCCAGGTGATTGAAGTTAAATCAATAGTGATAAGTCACGTTCCTGACCTGTATGTTCATGTGTGATATGACATGATGGAAATGGCACTTTAACTCTGTGGTCCTCTTTCTACAAACACATAACCCAAGTTTAACCATAAGACCAATATTAGACAGATCTAAGTTGAGAGGCATTCTACAAAATACTTGACCAGTATTCCTCAAAACGGTCAAAGTCATCAAAAACAGGCAAAGTCGGAGACACTGAGGAGCCTGAAGAGACACTACAACTAAATGTAATGTGGTGTTCTGGGCAGGGGATCCCGCAACAGAAAAGGTAAAAACTAAGTACAAATAAATAAAGTATGAACTTTAGTTAATAATAATGTATTAATGTAGATTTATTAATTATAAAAAATGGACCACACTAATGTAAGAGTTAAATAATAGAGGAAACTGGATATAGGGTATATAGGAAGTCTCTGTACTAAGCTAACAGTTTTTCTGTAAATGAAAAACTATTTTAAAATAAAAATGTTTGTTTAAAAATGATATTTAGAATCATATACTCATAGAAAAATGGGAAGTAGAAGAGCAATAAAAACAATCAATTAAACCCCTTATTTTACAAGGGAGAAGACTGAGGGTTTACATTAGGACTCAGCAGCCAGGCTGGCCAAGTAGCTTGTGCTTTGGAGAGGACCTTGAAGAAATAGTGATCAGTTGCTGAACTTTGCCTTCAGCGACACTGCAATATCATTCATGGTACACAGCAGACACACAATAAATAATTATGAATGATTACTTCCCAAGAACCTCTCCTGTACCCAAGAATCTAATCCCCTCACTCATTTATTCATTAACTCATTCATTCATTTAACAAATATTTACTGAGTGACTGGTTTTACTCCTAGAATTATAATCACTTAAAAACTCTGTCCCAAGGACTGATATTTTGGCAACTGTCCATATCTGACTTTGTAGAAAACACCATTCAGCTGCTTTAAGTTTCTGACTGTCCAGTTAAGAACTGTTTCAAGCCAAATATGAACAGAAGATGGACGGAGGAAACACAGTAAAAGAGAGACGACTCTGTGGCTCACAGAGAGCAGGTGTGATTCATGCACATTCAAATTATGGGCTACAATTTTTTAAAAAGGTACTGTTGTTTTAGGTTCTCCAATTTCTCATTCTATTTCTTTTGCTATTTATTGTGGCAGCAGGCTAAGAGCACAGTTTTGTCTTGGTTTCCAGTTTGTGCTCCACTACTTATCAGCTGTGTGATCTTGGCCAAGTGCTTAATTTTTTTGAACCCCAGTTCCCCCATCTGGAAACTACCTCATGTAAGTAAGTTGCGTGTACTAAATAAGACAACATTTGCAAAATGTTTAGCACACTTGGCAATGCAGTTAATAGCATTATTATTACTAGTATCATTGCTATTATCATTAACATTATCAACTCACCAGATGCTTGTGTCTGTGAAACAGCTTTGAGAAGATTAGGGCAATAACTCAGGACCTACGAAAGAATACACGTTGACACACTTAGTCAATCTTTCCATCTTTCTAGGTTTGGTAAGTGAGTAGGTTGTCTCCAATAAATCATAAAATTATTGCTAGGCTCTGGGCTGTGATTCCATGGACCAGTCCAATGCCCCTTAGAGACTGCCAGGAAACTAAAAAGGTTATTTTCATGTTCCTTTCCTTCTTGGCCTCTTTTCTTGCCAAAGTTTATTTTCATATTAACATTACCATTCATTCTAACTATTCCATGGGCTCCTAAAAGTGGATAGTTTTCTTGGACACAGGTCTCTCCTGATGTTCATTTTTCTGACTTTATTTCTGCAGCATTGAAAATCATGTTACTCATGGTTACATGAGTAACCTTACAGTCTCTATGTATCAATTCTGTTAAAAAGCCCAGCATTCCCGGGGCGGCGCAGACGAAGGTGGGTGCCTTACTCTCTATGCCCAGGGAAAAGAGAGCTTGTGTTTGATATTCTGACTAAAAGCATTTGATCAAGAAGACTCTCCTGGCTATCCCCATTATAGCCAGGGTTGCCCATCTGGGAATCCTAGCCATTCCCAAGTACATCATACCATCGAAATTGCATTCCAATATGAATACCTCATGGAAGCATTTCTCTCCCTGCAGGGGAGGTGGCATCAGTTCACCCTCTTACACAACAGCTACTTGGTGATTCTGCTGTCTCTTCAAGGGCCTTACTGACGATTCCTCAGTAGAACCTGTTTTCCTGAGTCTCACTTCAGCAACATAAAGCTAAGTTTGGGTAATAGAGGTTATGTTGTTCAACCCACTTTCAAAAACAATTCTAAGCATAAATGTCCAAGGTTCAGTGGATATCTTAAGGGAAACTTTATATAGTTGTAATCAAAGAGGAAACTCTTTTACTGAGTTCAAAAATAAGTTAGTAAAATAGCTTGTTTCTTTTTAACTGATGAAAGATTTTAAAGGTAGTTTTAAGAGGTGATTTTGTCGCAGTTCATCACCATTTCAACAAGCATATTGTGAGTTAGTTTTCAATAAGTGCAATTATTTTGAGGCTCCTTTTGTCAAGGATACTCACATAAAAAAAGTCCTACCTCTCTCCTGGGAAGATGTGAGCTGTGAAGGCCGAAACCAGCTGCTGCTTCTCCCCATACTGCCAGCCTTGGTGAGCCCAGAAGGAGTCAAGCCTGAGGGAAATGAGAGAAAGGGGTCAATCATGGAACAGAGGAGCAGCAGATTCTAAATTAGGGTGAATGCATGAGCTCCCAGGTGGACATCAGAGGAAGAACTAATGCATGTTCCATTTTTTTTCTCTCACAAGCTTAAGATGTCTGATATCTGAAATTATTTATATCTGAGACATCTCTTCAGACTTCACCTGATTGGAAGGATTTTGCTGTTTTTTGGTGTTTTTCTCAATTTTTCAATTTTGGGAGGTTTTTTTTTTTTTAAAAAGAAATACTAATTAGGTCTCTTTACAAATTTAATTTCAGTACTTTGAATGTAATTGCTTAAATTCTGTATAAAATGTTTCTCTACTCACGAATTGGTCTTATCACTAATTTGTGAGGATTTTCTATTTCTAACAAACCTGACTGCACCTAAGAGTGATAACATATACCTATAGAAATAAACACACACATCATCATCACCATCGTCATCATCATCACATAAAAATACATAGCTGGACATATTTTCTGGAAATCTGTACATTACATTTGGATGGTTTTACTTAAAATAGAAGCTCTATGTCACATAAAAGATTCACTTTGGGAGGCTCCTGAGGCCGTCTCAAAGAAACAGGTGGTCTTCAGAGCAACATAAAGCGGGTTCGATAAGAGGTCTGAGTAACAGCCCATCAGGAAAGAAAACTAAAAGGCCTTAAGGCTCCATTTACAGGAAAACAAAGAGTGGTTTCAGATTTGAGCCACAAATTAAAAACCACAAAGGCAGACTCTGTGATTGCAGGCCTTGGTTTGGAATTGAACTCCTTCTCAAAAGGACATCCCCATGTAATGGACATCAGGATGAATGACAAGCAATTATAAGTTTGATATTGTTTAATGATTCTTCCTAGAAATGATAGGAAGTCCAGCTAGTAATAAACACATGTTTGAAAACACAAGGGATTTGGAGGCCAGGGTCCAAATGTGCTTCTTAGGGGAAAACTTTCCTAAGTGGCTCAGAACATGATCCAGAGATGATTAGATCATTACCAAGAGCTGCTGTGTACCACTTACAGGCAGCATTCATAAGCACAATGCCAAGCATATTGTATGGATTTCAGTGTTGCTGAATATAAAAATGAATCAACTATTTTGAGCAGCTATGAATTCAGACACAAGGAGACAAAATAAGCAACACAATAAGGGAAATTTAGACAGAATTAGACACACAGGGAAATAAGAGTAAAACAGAGTAAAGAGAGGATCCATCTACAGGGAATGTTGATTTGCCTTGGCACCATACCTCTGTTTAGATCTACCTGAGGTAAACAGGACGGATAGCTCTTAAAGTGGAATAAAGGCTAGTTTCCATTTTCCTCCTCATATTCACATATTTATATACATTTAAATCATGCAAACAAATTAACTCCATCTGTGTATGGCATCATCTTTATTTAGTAAGAATCACAGCAGACTTGTTTATAAATATGCAAAGGAAATGTGCAGTCCATTGCGCACACACCTCTCATCTCCCTTCCTGAGGTCCATGCCACTTGCTCCAGTTTCAGCGAAATGGAGACCAAGCAGAGATTTGATCTCTGTCAGGGCTGGAACTGCTTCTGGTTGTATTGACCTTCTCTTTGCTCTGCCTACCTTCATATCAGGGTGTGCACGTGTTGTTCTCCCAGCACTGCTGTCATTAGCAGCCTTCCATTCACCTCCATTCTCTTGAAATACTCTTCCTTTAACTTCCATGATGACACTCTCCTAATTTTCCCCTACTTCTTTGGCTACCTCTTCTCAGTTTCCTTCCCAGTTCTCTGCCCATTCCTTGAATAATTCTGCTCTCAGTCGTATCATGAACTTTATAATCTATTCTAAGGGGCAGTACAGCATAATGGTGGGAAACAAAGACACTAGAAACACACTGCCAGGGTCTCGCCATTTTCTGGCTGTGTGTGTGATTTGGGGCAGGTTACCTGACATCTCTGATGTTCCCCTCGTTTATAAAATGGGACTAATAATAGTACCTACTTCATAGGGTTGGAAGGAGAGTGAACGAGTTCAGACGTATGAAATGCCTGGCACACAGTAAGAGCACAGTAACTTCTTAGTGGTACAACCATGACTTCGGCTATCATTTAGTTGAATACCTGCATTAGTTATTTAGTTGAGATTATTTGATATTGAGTTGATTGGTTGATGAACTAATTCTCTAGACCAGGCTTTTTCCTAAGCTCTAGGTCTATTTAACCAACTGCCTACTAAACATTCTCAACTGTATTTAGGGTTCCTTAAACTCAACGTTCACCAACTAACTCATTTCTATTTTCCCACTCCTCCTCCAGCCAAAACTTTTGTATTCTTTTTCCTAGATGAATAACAGTTATTCCTTTTATATCCTTTTTCTAGATGATTAACAGTATCATCGTCCAAAGGCCCAAGCCTTTGAAAGTTAATAAAATTTCCTATCTCTATGCTAAACATAAACACTTAAGTGGTCATCAGGTCTTTTCAGTTTTCCTTCCTATCTTCCCTTCTGGACTACAGCAAAAGCCGGTATTTTCTGTCTTTAGTCTCCTTTCCTCCCAGGAAACCATCCTTCTTTCACACTGCAGTCAGGCTTTTCATCCTTTTTAATATGTTTTCATCATCTTTCCATTCATCTTCACGATAAAAACAATTTTTTTAGCATGGCATATGAGGTAATTCATCAATTTGCTGCTTCTTGTCTCTCAAATTTCATCTCCTACCACCTTTGGTTTTAGCCAAATGAAACCACCTATAATCTCCGAAGTTGTCACCCTCTTTTTCACCTTCATGCCTTTGTAATTCAACCTGGAATGCCCTTGCCTCAATTGTCTGTCTAGATAATTCCAACTCCATTACAATATAATATCTCTAATTCCCAAAACACTACTCCTAATCGAATTTTTTAAAAACCTAAACAACAGTTAACAGATGCTAGAATTCCAGTATAGTTTGCTGAAAACAGAATAAAATTTCTTTTGTGCTTTTATTTCTAAGGCACAGAATACATTTCTTTTTAGTCATCATTTTAGCTTTCCATTGACTACTAATGAGTCTTTGGGTGAGAAATGGAAGGTGAATTGGAACGTATCTTCTACCAGGATTTTGTAACAGATCTAGATGGCTAGGAAAACTGTGAAAGGGGAAGAGGTGCGCAGCTAGCCATTCCCCACTTTCCTCTTCTCTCTCTCTCTCTCTCTCACACACAGACACACAAACACACACACACACACACACACACACTTTTCTTAAGGGAAAAATCACTCTGTGTTCTTTTAAAATCCCTCAGGTTTTATGTTTTATTGCTACCAGAGTCTGCCTCCCTGAGGTTCTTGTATAGACTAGTTATTTCCCTCTGTAAAGAAGCTGTTCTATTCGTTCTCGCCTGGTTTGGAACAAACTGAACACTTCCAAAGGAGGCAGTCCTTGCAGCCTTGTCTCCTTCCACTCCCCTCCTCCCCACAGTCCTGGCTGGAGCAGCGAGTCTGTCGATCCCAGGCCAGAGACAAGGCAGACAAAGGTTCATTTGTAAAGAAGCTCCTTCCAGCACCTCCTCTCTTCTCCTTTTGCCCAAACTCACCCAGTGAGTGTGAGCATTTAAGAAGCATCCTCTGCCAAGACCAAAAGGAAAGAAGAAAAAGGTATGTAATTTTTTCTCTATAAAAAACATCTTATGTCAGTTGTTCTACTCCAAAGTATTACTGTAGATTAGAGCAGAAATGTATGTATGTGTTGAGTCAGAAGAGAAAGACAGAGATCCTCTGAGGAGATGATGCAGGCACTTTGAAAAATATGATGCTTCCTAGTAGAAAGGCAAATAATCAGATTAAAAAAGAACAGAAAATGTATATTTCTTGACTAGGAAAGTCATTTCATTACAGGTTTAAAAAGAGGCAGATTCTTCACTATCATTTATTTAATGCCCAAATTTACTCTGAATGTTGTCCCACACAACAGGACTTATCCCAGTCCTCAGAACTATGTGAGGATGATAAAGTATATAGGATTGTTTTAAATGCAGCAGCTATATTACCTACACTACATGAAGTTAACTGCAACATCTAAGAAAGAAAATGTTTTTTGCTTTTAAAAATCCTGATTTCTGAAAAGAACCTGGTACAAATGTGTGATACAAAGAGGGAATTCATTGAATTCATCCTTGGTGTCCATTCTTGGAACACAACAGTGTCTGTACTGCTAATATAAAGAGAACACTTTTTCCCTCTGAGACTTAGAAAAATTCCTCTTTAAAATTCCTTAACTTAATTACACAGGCTATGAAAAGCTCTCCCAAATGCTGGTCCTTTTCTCCAGTGATGATGATTTACTGTGTCCAGGAAAAGAAGGAGAATGATGCAAGACTGAATATTAATATCATCTTCTGGCATGCTCTAAAAGCCTGATCACTTTTAGGGAGGATGTGGATTTTGTTTTTCTATGGATGAAGGTATCTTAGATATTTAAGATGATATGTCTGTTTTAAGGATCTTTAAGCAGCTTATTCACTTTTTAATACTGCTTCTGTTCTTTAACACATACTTTGGGAAATTTCACTTTGGGACTCAGTCATTCTAACAAAAACATTTTCTAAGGACTCAGTCATTCTAACAAAAACGTCTTCTAAGGCAGCTAATAAGAAAAAAAGAGAACTTTAAAAAAACAGTGATTTTCATCCTCCAAGAGAGATGAGTGGAAAACATCACAGACTGGGCAGCAATTTTAATCTCTCCCAACTATAATTTTGATATTTCAAATGTCAAGTTCTGGGCTGGAGTTTTCATTTGCTTTTGCAGCTTTGCTTCTCTCTTGCTGCTTTTTTGAAAGCAATCCGAAAATGGACTGTCTTTTCTGTCTAATTCATCAACTCTGTTTCATGCCACTGCTCTTAATACCAGTTCCCAGAACTGACATCAGCTGCCTGTATGAGCATTTGCACCATAAATGTCTGAACACTTAAACTGCATGGTCCTGTTAGTTTTGGCAATTAAATGGGATAATTTTTCTTTTTAAGTCTCCATTTAGCTCCAGCCATTCAAAAGCTTGCTTGTGCTAAATGCCCTCAGACAGAATCAAAATTTGCAACTCCCTACCAAAGGATGGTAGCAATGATTTATTGTTTAGTTGGAAATGTCTTGCTCATAATCCTGTATCCTCTGCAATGATCTATTAAAACTTACAACACTATTAGGATATAAATGGTATCATACAACATTTGGAACAATGTTAATTACATAAAATCGAATTAAAAAAATGGATAACTACCTAAGCTTCTCTTGCTCACTCCTTCTAATTTTTAGTAGGTAACTTTGTTTTCTTTTGTAATTTGGGTGTATTCCAGGAGGGATTTTAAGTACATGTACCTCAACTGAAAAAGAAAAAAAAAAGACCAATTTTCTTCAAATTGGCCAAAATCATTTCACTCTTGTTGGCACTTGAACATATATGGTTTTGATGGATTGCCAAGGATTAAGTTTGGTATCCTTTAATGAAACAACAACCAATGTATCCCAGGAACACACTGGGTCAGAAATTTTTCCATTTGCTAAATAATAGTTAAAGCTATTTATCTGTACTTAAGTAAAGGAAGAAGAGAAGTCTGCATTTAAGACATGTAATTTATTTTATTTTATTTTGTTTTATTTTATTTCATTTTTTTGAGACGGAGTCTGGCTCCATCGCGCAGGCTGGAGTGCAGTGGTGCAATCTCGGCTCACTGCAACCTCTGCCTCCGCGGTTCAAGTGATTCTCCTGCCTCAGCCTCCTGAGTAGCTGGGACTACAGTCACATGACACCACTCTCAGCTAATTTTTGTATTTTTAGTAGAGATGGGGTTTCACCATGTTGGCCAACATGGTCTCAATCTCTTGACCTCGTGATCTGCCCGCCTCGGCCTCCCAGAGTGCTGGGATTACAGGTGTGAGCCACTGTGCTGGGCCAAAACATGTAATTTATAATGCATACACACACACACACACACACACACACACACACACACAAAACTACCAGTAGGTACTTGCTAGGTGTGGAACTTTCCATTGTAGTATGCGACTTAGACTGTGGCAAAAAAATGATCTTATGCTCTGGCATGAACACAGAAGAGGTATGTGGTATGGCAATTTACTTACTTATTTTACCAGCAATTTATTTGTTCATTTCACTGAAGGAAATTTTTTCAACACTTACTGTGAGCTCAGCATTGAAGCAGGCACTCTGCTTCAATACAAAAGAAGTAGAAGTTACAGTCCTTGCTGCCTTGATGCTGGCATCTCCTCTTCTAGTCCTCTGAATATTGAATTGCCCTGGGCCTCAGCCCTTTGCCTCATCTCTTCTGGATCTACCTTTACTGCCCTGCCAGACCCATAGCTATAGATACTATCAATAAATATCCTGATTACTCTCAAATTTGTATTTTCACCCCTGATCTTTAGACTCACATTCAACTGCCTACTCAACATCTTCACTTTAATATCTAACAGGCATCTCAAACCTAACTTGTCTAAAAACTCATTTCTGGATTCCCCCCAAAATTGGCTCCTTCCAATTCTTCCTCAGTTCAACAAATGACAACACCATTCAAGCCAAAAGCCCAAGAGTCATCCTTGATTCTTTCCCTCTTGCTTCATATATCCCATCAGTTCTCACCAAAAGCCTGTTTTCTTCTATTTCCAATCTTGTCCCACCACAATACATCTTCACAGGCCAGCCAGGGATTTTTTTAAAAAGGCATAAATCAGATCATGCTACTGTTCTGTCAAAATCTTCCAATGGCTTCTTAATATACTCAATAAAATCTAAACTCTTTATCATATCTTCTAGGCCCTTTATGATTGTTCCCAATCTTCCTTCTTGGCTGTAGGTAAATTCACATAATAACCAATTCACTAAATAATTAATCAGCTCTATGAATTTCCCACTCCCCATATCCAATTGTAGTCATATTCTCCAAATGGTTAACCAGCTTATAAAAATGCTGACAATGACAAGGCATTATTTACTCAAATTCACAGTTCTTGTAGGCCAGATTATATATAAGTGCTTTGGGAACATAGAGCAAGGGAGCTATGAGAGTAGTATTGTCTGAAATCAGGGAAGGATTCTTAGAAGATATGAGTGTGAGGTTTGTCCTTCATGGATGCTTTGGTCAGAAATTAATATCAAGGGAAGGGGTGAGAAGGAACAACAAGGCAGAGACACATACATAGGATTAAAGAGATGACTGGCTTGACTGCCCGGCTAGCTGAACAGGAATAAATGATAGGCATGGAGACAAAGTGAAAGGAAGGCCTTAGGTTAGCCCAAGAAGTCCATATATTCTTTTAGACAACATAAGACCTCTATAGGCTCTTGCCTAGAATAAAAAATGTGTTTTTGGAAAATCATTCATTTTCAAATATGGGCCAAGCATTGTATTAGCCACTGGTGTATGGTAGTGAACAAAATAAATTGTTGTCATGGAGCCTTCGGTCTAATGAGAATGACAGACATAAAATGAGTAAATTCACAAATATATCATTTAAATTGTGATAAATATCATTAAGGAAAAGAAAGGGCGCTATGAAAGAACAAAGTTGAAACTACCTTAGACTGAAAGGCCATTGAAGGAATGACATTTAAACTGAGACCTAAAACTCAAAAAACTAGCCCAAAAAAGAACATTCCTGGTAGAGAGAGCAACATATAGAAAGACCATAATGGAAGAAAAAGATTTCTTTTTAATTATAAGGAAATACTCTATACATCTTTATTGTTAAATGCAACAAAATAGCATAAGAAAATATGAAACTCATTGATAAAGATAAGTGTATATACAAATACTGACTACTATATTACTAAAATGGTGGTGGTTGAATTCCATTTGATTCTAGCATAAAAGTTGAAAGACAAAAGTATTAAAATAACTATAATTTAAAATATGTTTATGGATACACAATATAAATAGATGTAAATTGTGACATCAAATAACATAGTGTGGTGAGAGAGAATTAAAAGTGTAGAGTTTTTGTATGTGATTGAAGTTAAGTTGTTATTACCTCAAAACAGACTTATAATTATAATTTTTTTTTTGAGACGGAGTCTCTCTCTGTCACCCAGACTCAGGTGCAGTGGCACAGATCTCGGCTCACTACAATCTCTGCCTCCTGGGTTCAAGTGATTCTCCTGCCTCATCCTCCCAAGTAGCTGGGACTACAGGCGCTCGCCACCACGCCCGGCTAATTTTTTGTATTTTTAGTAGAGACAGGGTTTCACCGTGTTAGCCAGGATGGTCTCGATCTCCTGACCTCGTGATCTGCCTGCCTCGGCCTCCCAAAGTGCTGGGATTACAGGTGTGAGCCACTGCGCCTGGCCAATTATAAAATATTTTATGTAAGCCTCATGGTAACCACAATGGAAATACCTATAGCAGTTTACACAAAAGAGAAAGGAATCAAAGCATATCGGAAAAAAAAAGAAGAAGAAGAAGAAAAAGAAAAACACAACCAACAAAACACAAAGGAAGACAAGGCAGGGGGGAAAAGCACCAAAGAACTAATTACAAGACAACTAGAAACAATAAGCTAAACGGCAATAGTAAATTCTTCCCTATCAATAATTACTTTACATGTAAATGGATTAAACTCTCCAATCAAAAGACTTAGGGTAGCAGAAAGAAAAAAAAACAATATATAACTATATGATTTCTACAAATGACTTACTTAACATTTAAGGACACACACAAGCTGAAAGTAAAGAAATGAAAAAAGATACTCCATGCATATGGTAACTAAAAGAAAGCAGAGTGGACTATTTCATATCTGACAAAATAGACTATAAGTAGAAAACTGTCACAAGAGACAAAGAAGAAAGTATAATGATGAAAGGGTCAACCCACCAGGAAGCTATAACAATTATAAATATATACACACTCAATATCAGAGCACATATATATATATAAAACAAATATTGACAGAACTAAAATGAGAAATAGCAACACAATAATAGTAGGAAACTGCAATACTCCACTTTTAGTAATGGTTAGAATAACCAGACAGAAAATCAACAAAGAAAGAGTGGACTTCAACACCAGTGTAGACCAAATGGACCTAACAGACATATACAGAATGTTCAGTTAAACAGCAGAAGAATATACATTCTTCTCAAGTACATACAGAAAATTCTCCATGATAGATCACATATTAGGTCACTTAAACCATGACCTACAAAAAGCCCATTGGAAGATATCATTTATATATGCTGGATTGTGATGCACTGTAACACTGCAATGTCTTAGTCCATTAAATCTGAAAATATATAAAATGAGGTAGATCTCATTTTAGTCTTTTCTTTCACTAATGTTTGGAGGTAGGAATTAAATTGGATATTGATAATTCTAAGGAAATATATAGCCAAAGCCAAAAATGGCTAACTCAAATTAGAATGTGAGACAAAGAAACTCTGAAACTCTTAGGAGTATGAAGAAATACTTTGTTTCTAATCTAAAGGGAAAAAAGCAATAAATGTATTTATTTAAAAATCCATTATCTTATCTAAAATGACTTACCTTTAAAAGATACCTAATCACTAAAAACTTTATACCAAAAATGTCCATTGCACAATATTGCTTTCTTTTTTTTTTTTTTCGAGACGGAGTCTCGCTCTGTCATGCAGGGTGGAGTGCAGTGGCTTGATCTCTGCTCACTGCAACCTCTGTCTCCCAGGTTCAAGCCATTGTCATGCCTCAGCCTCCCAAGTAGCTGGGATTACAGGCGCATGCCACCATGCCTGGCTACTTTTTGTATTTTTAGTAGAGACAGGGTTTTGCCATGTTGGGCAGGCTGGTTTCAAACTCCTGACCTCAGGTGATCTGCCGGGTTTGGCCTCCCAAAGTGCTGGGATTACAGGTGTGAGCCACCACGTCTGGCTATTCCACAATATTGTTTTCTTTCCAAGTACAATGTCCTCCATCTGTTTTCCCTCTTTCCAAGGAAGGAAAGATACTTTGGCACCTGTTAACAAGATAAAATCTGAATGGCTCTGGATTCTAATCCTGGTTCCTCCACTATTTTGCTATTCTTCCTTTACTACAATAGTCTCCATTTTCTTCACATCTAATGTAGAAACCAGAGAAGTCTAATTAGATAGATATTTAATATTCTATACTTCTATGCAAATCCTGTACTTGAAAAATTATCTCCTGGAAGAGAAATTAGAATTGTTGGTATGACTTCAGGGTTCAAACTAGGATTAGTGGGTGGAAGCCACAGAAAAGTATTTTACAATAAGGGAAATGTTAGAACTGTATCAATGGGATATGTTGACTTAGTTAATAATGAGTTCCCCATCATGGTAGGAGTTCATGGAAGGCTAGATGATTATAACGCAGGAATTCAAGCCTTCATTTTCAACTGCAGCTAAGAGGAAGTAGTCTATGTGGGATAAAAATCCAAGCATTGCTAAAAATTTGCAACCATAATGTGTACTAAACTACTTCTGGAAGTTAAAAAACAATCAAACTATAAATATATCTATACACTATCATCTGTCACTATCAACATAAATGGGTTTTTTGTTTCTGTCAGGATGGGACCCAGGTACTTTGACAATGTTGTTAGGATGTAAGATAATGTAAGGTAAAGAACCACTGTATTCAATTATGTTATTTGTTCTAGAAATTTGCCTGAGTTTATACCACCTTAAAAAACAGTTGTTCTCTACTGAATGTTCAAAAGATATATAGCTTTGGGTACTTCTTAAATGCAGATTGCAGCCCCCACCAACACTTCCTCCCTGCCTACAGCCTGTGCGTGACTGTGTGTGTGTGTGTGTCAAGGTCTCACTCTGCCACCCCCAGTAGAGCAGTGGCACAATCATGGTTCACTGCAGCCTCAAACTCCTGGGCTCAAGTGGTCCTGAGTAGCTGGGACTACAGGCACATGCCAGCATGCCTGGCTAATTTTTTAATTTTTTGTAGATACAGGGTCTTACTATGTTGCTTAGACTGGTCTCAAACTTCTGGGTTCAAGCAATCCTTGTACATAGGCCTCCCATGCTGAGATTACAGGCATGAGCCACTGTGCCTGGCCCAGAAGCCTGCGCATTTGATTTTTAACAAATATTCCAAATGGTTTTTTATCATAGATGGTCATAAAACTACACTTTGAGAAACACAAACAGGATTGTAGAAAAGCCCAACTCCCATTCTTTCTATCCAAGGGTTTATAAGCATGCTACAGAACTTCATTCAGATGAATTCTATCTTTAAAAAACAAACATTGACACATTTTGGTCTTTCTTCTATTTCAGGGCCAAAAGCCAAAATGAAACTGATGGTACTTGTTTTCACCATTGGGCTAACTTTGCTGCTAGGAGTTCAAGCCATGCCTGCAAATCGCCTCTCTTGCTACAGAAAGATACTAAAAGATCACAACTGTCACAACCTTCCGGAAGGAGTAGCTGACCTGACACAGATTGATGTCAATGTCCAGGATCATTTCTGGGATGGGAAGGGATGTGAGATGATCTGTTACTGCAACTTCAGCGAATTGCTCTGCTGCCCAAAGT
The DNA here is from genome assembly GCF_000001405.40 of Homo sapiens. Lineage (NCBI taxonomy): Eukaryota > Metazoa > Chordata > Mammalia > Primates > Hominidae > Homo > Homo sapiens. Next base: position 173,391,170 of record NC_000004.12, on the reverse strand, counting down.
AAGGAAATGGTATCACAAAGTGTATTGCCTGGAAATGTATGCAGAACAACTTTTAGCTACATCTTCATAATAGGTTTGCTGAAATTAATAACCCTTTTAGTAAAATCCTGTTCCAATCCCAGCTCTTTTCTAGAATAATCACTATTGTGTAAAGAACTAAATGTTTTCATTTAAATGAAAGTTCAAATGGAATTTAGCTGAGTTTAATAAAAGTAAATTAAATCCAGAAAATAATACTTCAATCTATTAAATTCTAAACTCACCATCTGATTTTTACCCCCCCAAAAATAAAAATCTACCAGTAGCAGAAGTCAATCTCAAGGTTGAACTCTTAAACCAACTTGAAAACCAGTAAAAGGTTTTAGATAAAAGATCCCAGTGAGGCTGGGCCCGGTGGCTCACGCCTGTAATCCCAGCACTTTGGGAGGCTGAGTTGGGCAGATCACCTGAGGTCAGGAGTTCGAGATCAACTTGGCCAACATGGTGAAACCCCGTTCTATGCAAAATACAAAATACAAAAAAAATACAAAATTAGCTGGGCGTGGTGGCATGTGCCTGTAATCCCAGCTACTCAGGAAGCTGAGGCAGGAGAATTGCTTGAACCTGAGAGGCTGAGGTTGCAGTGAGCCGAGATCGCACCATTGCACTCCAGCCTGGGTGACAAGAGTGAAACTCCATCTCAAAAAAAAAAAAAAAAACGAACAACAACAACAAAAAACTCAGTGAATGGATCAAGTAATTAACTGAACAGAAAAGTTTAGTAACGGTCAAAAATAAATTTCTAGCTCTATGTATAAGTTAACCAGAAATGAACTAGATAGAAGTTCAAGACAATTTATCTACCATTGTTTTCTATTTATATTTTAAGCTTAAATATTTATTGATTTATCTACTATCGTTTTGTACTTAAAATACAAGTATACGTGGTGAAACTCTGTCTCTACAAAAATACAAAAAAAATTAGCCAGGCATGGTGGCACATGCCTGTAATCCCAGCTACTTGGGAGGCTGAGACAGGAGAATCACTTGAACCCAGGAGGAGGAGGTTGCAGTGAGCCTAGATCGTGCCATTGCACTCCAGCCTGGGCGACAAAGCAAGACTTAATCTCAAAAAAACAAACAAACAAAAAAAGGTATAAAATGATGGTAGATAAATTCATAAATATTTTTAGTTCTTGATTTTAAAATCATTTCCCCCTGGTTATTGAGGAATCTTTCAAATCCCATGGTCTTGGATATTTCATATTGAAATTAGCTTTTTCAAATTACTTTCAACAGATGTCATCATATTTTCATCCTTCTAAGAAATCTGTGAAATAGAAAAGGTAGATATAACCATCTTACCAAGGAAAGGTGCAGAGTTGAAGTGACCAGTACTATCCCACATAACTAGCTAATATCAACACTGGGATTAGAACCCACGTGTTCTGATTAAGAACAGATTTTTCTTCTACCAAGCCAGCTGGTTCTCAAAGTGTGGTTCCCAGAACAGCAGCTTCAGCATCACCTGAGTTTTTAAAATTGCATATCCATCCTTGGACTCCTCCCCAGACCTACTGAATCAGAAACTCTGGAGGTAGGACCCAGCAATTATGGTTGTTTGTTTGTTTGTTTGTTTGTTTGTTTGTTTGTTTTGAGACGGAATCTTGCTCTGTTGCCCAGGCTGGAGTGCAGTGGCACGATCTCGTCTCACTGGAAGCTCTTCCTCCCTGGTTCACGCCATTCTCCTCCCTCAGCCTCTCGAGTAGCTGGGACTACAGGCGCCCGCCACCTCGCCCGGCTAATTCTTTTTGTATTTTTAGTAGAGAAGGGGTTTCACCGTGTTGGTCAGGATGGTCTCGATATCCTGACCTCGTGATCTGCCCGCCTTGGCCTCCCAAAGTGCTGGGATTACAGGCGTGAACCACTGCGCCCGGCCGGGACCCAGCAATTATGTTTTAACAAACCTGCCAGGTGATTCTAATGCATAGTAAAGTTTAAGAATCACTGTACTAAACAATGATGCCAAGAACTTGAGTTAATTAATCTCATGAAGTGACAGTTTTTCCTGTACTACATAAATGAAATGCCAACTAATATTAAAATGCCATGTTTGCTTTTTTTTTGTATGACTTGAAAACAGTTTACTGAAATGGACTTACATTTATATTATGATATAATTTTGTGATTATGTCTGTTAAGGGATGAGAACAGCAGTGTGGGTATACTTGATTTTGGGAAAATCAAAGAGAAATACTGCTAAGTATATTTCTAATAAGCCATAATTATAATATCACCTTGCATTTGTATATAATTTTGTATTATTCCATGCATTTTTATATATTACTTTATGTGATCTTTTCAACCAGGGAAAGTTAAGTAGCTTTGTAACATTTCTCCTTTCCCCATAAAACCTAGAAATTTATTTAATAAACAAGAAATGTTGAATCTTCTGTTTCCTAACTGCAGATTTAAACTTCATGGCCTATCCTCATATAAGAGACATGAAATTGTATACATGACCATAAAGTTTTGAAATTACCTAATATTTCTTTTTCTTCGTAAATGACAGCATGATATCAATGGCAAATGCGGGGAAAGTAGACAAATCGATTACCTTCTCGGTCTTTGTTGCTTCTGTGGCAAGTCCTCCCACTCATCTCTTTACATTTTAGTCACCTAAAAAGAATAATCATAACTGAAATCCTGGAAATCACTGTCTATTTTTAACCTAGAATAGACTAACTAATATCTTAGCCTTAAGGTGAATTTAATTGATGCTCTATTTTCTTTCAGAGACGTTTTCTTTGGACCAAAGATCTCTTTCGTGATTCCTTGCAACAATCAATGAGAATCTTCATGTATTCTGGAGAACACCATTCCTGATTTCCCACAAACTGCACTACATCAGTATAACTGCATTTCTAGTTTCTATATAGTGCAATAGAGCATAGATTCTATAAATTCTTACTTGTCTAAGACAAGTAAATCTGTGTTAAACAAGTAGTAATAAAAGTTAATTCAATCTAATTTTTCTCTGTGGACATTGTTGGCATTGGTTAAAAATTTTGCCTAGAAAATGTAATCTATGAGGTGTTCATTATACTCAGTTAAAGAGTTCTGTCCCCCAGATGAAGAGCCATAGGCATGGCTCAAGGATTGAAAATACTTTCAGTCCTTAGTTGACAGTTATTAACCACATATTGAAAGAACCAGGTATAAGCTGAGATTCTTGGAAGGGAGCTAGAAATTTTCTAGTAAGAAGGAAAAAGGGACCAGCCTGGGCAACATAGTGAGACCCCCTCTTTACAAAAAAATTAAAAAATTAGCAGGTTGTGGGTGCCCACATCTGTAGTTCTAGTTACTCAAGAGGGTCATTTGAATCTAGAATTTCGAGTCTGCAGTGAGCTATGATTGCACTACTGCACTCTAGCCTGGGTGACAGAGCAAGACCCTGTCTCGAAAAAAAAAAAAAAAAAAAAAAAAGGAAAAGGGAACAATATTTGAGGGTATATTATGTATGCTAATAACTTTAAGTACATTTCAGGCTGGGACTGGTGACTAATGCCTGTAATCCTAGCATTTTGGGAGGCCAAGGCGGGAAGATCACTTGAGTCCAGGAGTTTGAGACCAGCCTGGGCAACATAGTGAGATCCTGTCTTTACAAAAAAAATTTAAAAATTAGCTGCATGGCGGCATGCACCTGTAGTCCCAGCTATTTGGGAGGCTGAGGTAGGAGGATCACTCGAGCCCAGAAATTCAAGGCTGCAGTGAGCTAAGATGATGCCACTGAACTCCACCATGGAACCACAGAGTGAGACTCTGTCTCAAACAAACAAACAAAAACCAAGAACTTTAAGCACATTTCATTTTACTCTCTTAAAAAACAACAACAAAAGCCTTCAAGGTAAATATTCTCAGCCCCATTTTTCAGCTGCTAACTCAAGTTTAAGATATTTGCTAAAAATCAAGGCAGATTTTCAAGAGTTCCAATTCCAAAGCCCATATGCCACACACAGATGTATCCTTAAAACCATGATACATTTCCTAAAGTATCCATTTTTAAGAATAACAAAACACACATTAAAAGAAACATAATGGATGAGAATTTAAAAGTATCATACATTTTAAAAGTAAATAAAACAGGGAACTTCAAAGGTATTTTCTGATTGTTAGAGGAGACAGCTTTGGATTATGCCCCATAACTTAAGAGGTATGTGACTCATATTGCCATCAGAGGTAATGTCAGAAAGTCTTTCATGTTATAAAAATGTATTCAAAGCCTGCTAAGTGCCAGCCATTATTAAGATCTGGGCATACAGTAATGAATAAAATGGACTTATCTTCTTGGAACTTGTGCTCTAACAAAGGTGTGATTGCTATAAACAAGTAATTATTTATAAATGTGAAGCCTGCTACAGAGAAGTATAGGGTGCCATACAAAGTATTGTGGGGAAATGTTTGAGAGACACCATACCACACAGGCAATCTGGGAGATATCATTTTATGAATAAAAGTGACATTATTTCATTAAAATATATCCTTGGAGGTCCCTGATCTGTTTCTGGAGACCACACCCAGAACAGTATCTGGTATCTAATCTGTGTTTAGTAAGTGTTACTGGGCTGAAAGACCACACCCAAAACAGTGTCTGGTATCTAATCTGTGTAAATAAGTGTTACTGGGCTGGACCAAACAATTTTGAGGTAGTCACAATTCAGTGTCTTAAAGTGTATATAAACACGGCTGGGTGCGGTGGCTCACGCCTGTAATCCCAGCACTTTGGGAGGCGGAGGCGGGCTTATCACGAGGTCAGGAGATCAAGACCATCCTGGCTAATACGGTGAAACCTCGTCTCTACTAAAAATACAAAAAAAAAAAAAAAAAAAATTAGCTGGGCGTGGTGGCAGGCGCCTCTAGTCCCAGCTATTTGGGAGGCTGAGGCAGGAGAATGGCGTGAACCCAGGAGGTGGAGCTTGCAGTGAGCTGAGATCGTGCCACTGCACTCCAGCCTGGGCGACAGAGTGAGACTCCGTCCCCCCAAAAAAAAAGTGTATATAAACACAAGTCAGAACATGTTTTCGAACAGTGTAAGCTCCTATAAAATACATGAAGTGAAATTGTAAAATAATATAGATAGGTAGGTAGATGGATAATATTAGTTGTTTTATCAAGATAGCATGTGATTTGATTGGCCTTTCTTTCTTCACTGAATTGACTGGTAATGAAATCAGCCTAACTCAATAATGAAAGTTTCATATCCATTCTGGAACAATGCATAGAATAGGTAAATTTAAAAAAACTATCAGCAAACCAGTTTTATTTTCTACTTGGTAGGAACTCTCCTTGAGGGGGAAAAAGCATTAAAGATCCAGTGTCTCCATTTACAAATGACACATCAGCATAAGGACATATGTGAGACAACAACGGCTTTTTAGTAAACGTTCCCTTACTACTGCAATCAAAGCCTGGTAAGAAAAATTGTATCTAACAAAGCTAAATATTTAATAAATAAAATTTTATAAATTATTCATCATAATGTCTTTCTGAAAATATGAAATTCAGTTATTTCTTTTAGAAATGAATGCATTATACAAGTACACAGCCTTCTTTATATTACAAAATAAATGTAAAAACATACATTCACACAACTTACCTTATATAACTATTTCTCTAACTTGGTCAATGCATTTTTAAAAACAATAGATTTTTTTTTTTTTTTGAAACTGAGTCTCACTCTGTCACCCAGGCCAGAGTACAGTGGCACAATCTTGACTCACTGCAACCTCTGCCTCCCAGGTTCAAGTGATACTTGTGCTTCAACCTCCTGAGTAGCTGGGACTACAGGCACTTGTCACCATGCTCAGCTAATTTTTGTATTTTTTAGTAGAAATGAGGTTTTGCCATGTTGGACAGGCTGGTCTCCAACTCCTGGCCTCAAATGATCTGCCTGCCTTGGCCTCCCAAAGTGTTAGGATTACAGGCATGAGTTTTTCCAATAGATTTTAGTTATAAGACAACTAAGCTTTTATTAAAATTTTATTATTCTTCTAAACACCATCTTGCAGCAACTGAATGAGATAGGTACTGATATTATCCTTGTTCTATGGACAAAAAAGCTAAGGTTTAAAGATATTAAGTAGTTTGTCTAAGTTTACATTATCAGTGAGCAATTGAGCCAGATTTTGAATATGGCCAGTCTTACACTAGCATCTAGAGTCTTAACCACTATGTTGTTTAACAGCATTACCTAATGCATTATTTCCTTTACAGAAAGGCAAACTTTTACATGGATAGGACACACAATTGTACATTTCAGATAGCTCATATATGCTAAAAGCTTACTGAACAAGTATTTCTGTATTGTTATCTTTGACTTTCTATATCATTGTTCTTACTGTGAATCCCACGTTACTGAGCACAAAGTTGACAGTAATACATATTAATAGCTCACCTCTTTTTAATTAAAATTCATCTTTTCTTCATCGTAATTCGCAGAGACTTGTTGAATATTTTTGTTTGCTGGGATTAGGTACTGATCCTAAAGGATTATTAGAGAATTGGAAGGAAGATGGAGAACCAAAACAATGAGCAACAACTATTGGGGGAAAAAAAAGACAAGGTAGGAACATTCACAGATCACTTTGCGACTTTAATGTCCTTATAATTATCAAAAGGTACATGTAAGTTATTTCCATAATAAATCATTTTTTGTAAAATATTATAGCAGGTGTTTTTAAAATATAAAACTCTCTATAAGTAAAGCACTACAGGCTTCAAAATAATTTTCCCAAAAGGAAAAAAATCAAATTCATGTATTTCTAAATCAATCTTGCATTGACAGTCTAAGCCTAAACTTTTCTCTCAAAAATTTGAAGAGAAACTGATATTAGAAAACTAAAGTAAATTGATACTAAATTTACTTCTATGCAATGGTATCACCATAAAATGCTCATCTTTGTATGGTGGTATATCTAGAGAAAAATGTGTAGAATATACTTACCTGATATATTCTAAGAACTTTAAAAGCCATAGTATATTTTCAAGAGTTTATGTGATCTACATTTTCAGAGGTTAAGAAGTCAAATGAAAAGTCCATTGGATATAATGTATAAAAAGCTGACTTGATATCTACATTTAGTATCATTAAAGTATATATACATAAATACATATATATACTATATATAAAATATATATTCATATATGTAATAATCTGGTAGCAATTAATATGACTATTATTTGAGAACTATAGTTGACTGTGTAGACTATTAATGCAACTAGGACAAGATACACACAATAAACTCAAGTGTACAGCAAGCATCAACTCTTAGCTAGAAAGAAATGCAAGGAATTCATAATCACAAAGGAATAAATTCTATAGTAAGCAATATTAACCCTTAAAAATATACATATAAGTATAAAAACAGCAAATTTTCCTCTGAATATTAGCTTTCCTGCATCTATTATTTTAGCTTATAAGAAAAACCTTGCTTGACATTTTAAAAATAACTCCACTAAATGAATAAACAATAACATGACAAAAATTTATTTTGAACCACCATCACTTGCTTAGATATCATAATCTGCATTTTACTATTAAAACGTTATGTAAATATGTGCAAATTATAAACAAAAAAAAGCTGGGATGGCTATACTAATAACAGACAAATTAGATGTTAAGTAAAAACATGTTACAAGAGCAAAGATGGACATTTTATGTTGTTAAGTTTCAATTTATCAAAAAGATATAACAATTATAAACATATATGCACCATATGACAGCCAGAAAATATATAAAACAAACCTTTAGAAAACTGAAGGGAGAAATATACAGTTCTACAATAATAGTTGGAGACCTTAATGCCTCACTTTCCACAATTGATAGACAAGTAGAAAGAAAACCAATAAGGAAGTAGGAGGCTTGAACAATACTACAAAACCAACTAGACCCCAGAGACACGTACAGAACATTCCACTCAACAATAGCAGAATACAGTCTTCTCAAGTACACATGGGACATTCTTCAGGATAGACTATATGTTCTTCCATAAAACAATTATCTATAAGCTTAAAAAGACTAAGGTGATACATACTATCTTTTTGAACCACAATAAAATGAGTAATCAATACAGAAGGAAAACTAGAAAATTCACAAACACCTGGAACTAAGCAATATACTTGTTCACAAAAAGTATATTGCTTCACAACAAGTATATTGCTTAGTTCCAGGTATTTGTGAATTTTCTTTAGTGGTTTAAAGAATAAATCACTAGAGAAATTAGATAATAATTTAAGATGACTGAAAACAAAAACAAACATTCCAAAACTTACAAAATGCAGGAAAAACTGTATTCAGAGAAAAATTTACAGCTGTAAATGCCTGCATTAAAAAAGAAAAATATCAAATCAACCTAAATTTACACATTAAGAAAACAGACAAAGAAGAGCAAACTAAATCCAAAGCCAGCAGAAGATAATGAAGATCCGAAAAGAGAAAAATGAAATAGAGAAAAAAATATAATCCATGAGATCAAAGAAAATACCAACAAAATTGATAAATCCTTAGCTAGACTACTAAGAAAAAAGAGAGAAGACATAAATAAGTAGAATCAGAAATAAAGGTAGGGATATTACTGCTGACCTTACAGAAATTAAAAGTATTATAAGAGAATTATAGGAACAATTCGTATGACAACAAGTTAGATAATCTAGGTGAAATAGACAAATTCCATGACTTACCAAAAATAACTTAAAAGAAACACAAAGTCTCAACAGACCTATATATAACAAAAAGACCTATATAAGTAAAAAGATTAAATCCGTCAAAACTCTTCCATCGAAGAAATAGCCTAGACCATATAGGTTCACCCATAAGTTCTGTCAAACATTTAAAGATGAATTAATATCATTCTTACTCAAAAATCTCCAAAAATAGAAGAGGAAAGAATACTTCCTAACACGTTCTATGAGGCCAGCATTATCCTGATACCAAAGTCAGATAAAGATACCATAAGAAAAATATAGACCAATATCCCTTATGAGTATAGATGCAAACACCGTCAACAAAATATTAACAAGCCAAATCCCACAGAACATTAAAAAAATTATGCACTATGACCAAGTGGGATTTATCCCAGAAATGCGAGGGTGGTTCAACATAAGAAGGTCAATGTAATATACACTAAAAAAAAAAAAAGTCATCTCAATACTACTAAGGAAAAAAAAATCATCTCAATACTAAAAGTATTTGACTAAATTCAACACCCTTTCATGATAAAAAAACATTTAGCAAATTAGCAACAGAAGAGGACTTCCTTAACATGACAAAGAACATTTATGAAAACCCACAGCTAACATCACACTGAATGGTCAGACTGAAAGTTTTCCTCCTGAGAAAAGGAACAAGACAACAATTCCTGCTTTCACCACTACTGTTTAACATTGTACTGGAAATCGTAGCCAGGGCAATTTGGCAAGGAAAAGAAATAAAAGGCATCCAAATTGGGAAGGAAGAAGTAAAACCATTTTTGTTTGCAGATAACATGATTCTATATATAGAAAAATCCCATGGAATCCACACACACACAAAAAAAATTACTAGAGCTGATCAATTCAGCACAGTGGCAGCATCAGCACACACCTCTAATGAATGATTCAAAAAAGAATTTAAGAAAACAATTATAATAGTGTCAAAAAGAAGAAAATACATAAACATAAATTTAACCAAGAGGTGAAAGACTTGTACACTGGAAACTATAAAACACTGCAGAAATTAAAGAAGACCTAAAAAAATGGAAAGATATCCCACAATCATGGATTGGAATGCTTAATATTGTTAAGCTGGCAATCTGAAAATGGTCCATAGATTCAATGCAATCTCCACCAAAATTCTAATAGCCTTTTGGGCAAAAAATGAAAAAAACCAATCTTCAAATTCATATGGAACAGCAAGGGGCTCTGAACAGCCAAAACAATACTGAAAAAGAAAAACAAAGTAGAAGGACTCCTACTTCCTGATTTCAAAACTTATTACAAGTCTACAGTAGTCAAGAGTATAGTATTGGCATAAGAATAAATACATAGATCATGGAATAGAATTGAGAGTGCAGAAATAAACATCTATGGCCAACTGATTTCAAGAGGGTCAAGACTATTCAGTTGGGAAAAAATAGTTTCTTCAACAAATCACACTGGACAAGTGGCTAATCACATGCAAAAGAATGAAGTTGGACCCCTACCTCATTCATGTATAAAAATTGATTCACAACAGTTCAACAATCTAAATTTAGGAGTTAAAACTGTAGAACTCCTAGAAAACATATACATTAATGTTTATGATGTTGGTTTTGGCAATGGATTCTTTTGACACCAAAAATATGAGCAACAAAGGAAAAAATAGATAAATTGGACTATGTAAAAATTTAAACTTTTGTGCATCAAAGGACATTATCAGTACTGTGAAAAGGCAACTTACAGAATGAGAGAAAATATTTACAAATCATGTATCTTATAAGGGTTTAATACTCACAATAAATAAACAGTCCTACATTTCAACAACAAAAAACAACCCAACTAAAAAAAAAGAATAAAAAGGACTTGAATAAACACTTCTCCAAAGAAGATATATAAGTGGCCAAGAGCACATGAAAAGATATTCAACAAAATTGATCATTAAGGAAATATAAATAAAATCCACAATGAGATACCACTTCACACCCAGTAGGATGGCTTTAATTTTTTTTTTAATGAAATACAAGTGTTAGTGAATTGAATAGAAGCCTTTATACATTGCTGGTAGAAATGTAAAAGAGTATAGCAACTTGGAAAAGATTGGAAGTTCCTCAAAAAGTTAAGTACAGAATTATTTACGTACCAGCAGTTCTACTGCTAGGTATACACCCAAGAGAAATGAAAACATATGTTCACAGAAAAACTCGTACATGAATGTTTACAGCAGCATTATTCATAATAGCCAAAGGTAGAAACCCAATGTTCATCAACAAATAAATGGATAAATAAACTGTGTTCAATAGATACAATGGAATACTATTCAGCCTGAAAAAGGAAGTACTGCAACTTGGATGAACCTTGAAAACATGCTTTTTTAGCATTATGCTTTTTGGCATGTTTTCAAGGTTCATCCAATTTGCAGTACTTCATTGTATGATTCCCTTATAATATATCCAGAATAGGCAAATCCATAGAGATAAAAAGCAGAATGGAGGTTACCAGGGAATAGGGAGAGGGAAGAAGGCGGAGTGACTATGTATGGCTGTTTTTGTTGGGTGACAAGAAAGTTTTGAAATTAGAGCTGCTGGTTATACAGTATTGCAAATACATTGAATACCACCATATTGTATACTTTAAAATGATTAATTGTATATTTTATTATGTTTCTTAATTTTAAGACTTCATGTAGAAAAACATAGAATTTATTTTTTGTAAAGACATGTATTTCAGGCATTAATTTTTAGGCCTTTCCCAAAATTATTCTTTTGAAGCTAGTAATCAAATAACTAACTTATTTTTTGAGCCCCTGCTATCCATTCAGTATGCTTTTTCTCCTACTTCTAGTGGCATTTAAATTTAGATTCTTCTCTTAATGCTCTAACATCAAAAGTAACCTATACCCTTACAGAAATGAGTTTCCATTCATTTTTTGTTCAGATATAGATAAGTAAAAATAGTTTCTAATGAATCCATCATTTAAAAAATCCAATGGTAACTGAAATTTTCACATAAAACTGACTTTTACATTGCAGCTTCTTGAGTTACTCAGCTTTGGTGAGGTTCTGGAAGTTCTCAACTTACAAGAACTGATTTTTCATATTTTAAATTGTTTTAACAAGGATTTGATTTCATTTAATAACTACCATCCAGAACTCTTCATTCATATTTTATAAAACTACATTTTATTATACAAATAATTATATGAAATAAACATTGCCAGTCAAAGGTTATGTTCATACTTTTATGTCAGCAAATAATTTCAAGTTGTTTTTTTTTTTCACAAGAACAGAATATGGGTCTTGTTTTGTTTTCTGTTTTGTTTTTGCTTTTGTTTTTTGAGTCAGGGTCTCACTCCAACGCCCAGGCTGGAGTGCGGTGCTGCAATCGTGGCTCACTGCAGCCCGTCTCCCAGGCTCAAGTGATTTTCCCACCTCAGCCTCCCAAGTAGCTGGGACTATAGATGCATGCCACCACGCCTATCTAATTTTTGTATTTTTTTGTGGAGATAGGGTTTCGCCATTCTGCCAACAGTGGCCTTGAATGCCTGGGCTCAAGCGATCTGCCCACCTTGGTCTCCTAAAGTGCTGGGATTACAGGTGTGAGCCACTGTACCCGGCCTCAAAATGTGTTTCTATAAGAAATCTTCTCACAGATTTCCAGAATGTCGGAAATGAGAAGTTTCTATAATAGCAATTATCACAGACTCTGCTTGTCAATAAAGTAGCAAGTAAATCTTTAAATGGTCATAGCAAAACCAACGACCAGTTGCTTTATTTTTCATTATATTTTCTAGCTGTCAATACATTAAGAACACTTGAAAATATGCACAGTCACCTACTAATGAACTAGTACTTTAGATGTAGTACTTTAGTTGCATCAGTGGTTCTCAACTAGCTGTGATTTTTGACCCTCAAAGTATGTTTGGCAGTGTCTAGAGGAACTTTTGGTTGTCACACCTTGGGGGAGCTACTGGCACCTACTGAGTGGACTTAGGGATGTTGCTAATCCTCCAATAGACTGAACGGCCTCACACAAAAAAAGAATTAACAAGTCCAAATGTCAACTTTGAGAAATCATGAGCTACATTAATGGTCTCATCCATTTCCAGCCTAAAATCTGCAGCTTTATCTCAGAACAGTTTGCTGAAGCTCGTTTTTTTATGTCACAAGCTATAAATTTGATTTGTAATTATAAGAATTTAGCTAAACAATATAATCTCAAGAAAAGCAGAGATTTAGAATGTTTGATAGAAAACTGACAGAGAATGAAACATAAAAAGGAGATATAAATCAAGTCAGAGCCATATATAACCAAAATTTAAATGAAGATCTGGATAGATATCTAGACCTCTCCAACTTATTAGTTACAATTTGCAATGTAAACAGTACAGGACATCACTAAAAATTAAGGGGCATAGCAGAGGTACTTTCTATATTCATGCCACATAAATATCTTTTCTCGAAGACAAAATTTTGAAAAACAGCTATTTAATTTTATACTCTTATTTCAACTTTCAGCATTGTGTTTATCTTTGCTGGCACATTAAGTCTTCTTTGGAAGGAGGTGGGTATATAAATTAAACCATTTGTTCTTCCTAGTACTTCATCAAGTAATAATAACAAAAAAAAGGAAATAAAAAAGAAGTTGCATTCCAAGAGAAGTTTATTTTTCAAATTTGCTAGCCCTATAAAGCACTTTAAAAAATAATGCTATTTAGATTATCTTCACTTCCAAGTCAGATTGTCCCAGAGAATGCAAATGTGCTACATTTGTTACTTCTCCTTACCCTGTTAATTTCTTGGAAGTTTAAAAAAAAAAAAAAAAAAGGATTACAAAATGAAGGACTTTACATTAAAATCTCAATACTGATCTCTTAGTCAGTTTAAAAGAAAAATCAAGTTTCACAAAATAAATACACTGAAGCAACTATAATAGTAATAACCTTTATTTAAAATAGATTTAATTTAGGAAAGCTCATTTTATATGAGTTTCCAACTAATTATTAGAGTCAGAAACAAAGAAAATAAAATCAGAGAAAATCCTCTGTAGAAAAAATACACAAAGAACATTTCTACATGTGAAAAAACAGTAAACAGTGTTAACATCCAAGTTATTAGTCTCAATTCCACGTCTCCTAGTGAACACCACTATCAACCTTGAGATCTGATTTGTTCTTGTCATTCTTCACTGAGTAGATGAAATATGTTAAGGTGTCTTTTTCATTCACTGGAATAGACCTAAAGTGGCAACCAACTATCTACAAAGAAAAGAAAAATTAAGGAAATTAAATTTTAGATATAACAGGTTTCATAAACTACGTAAAAAATACGGTTTCATCAAAAGAAAAAGTGCTATGTGATAAGGGCTATTTCCTTTAAAAATTATATTTAACAAAATATCAACAAGACAGAAAGCATTCAAGAATAAAATGTTACGAACAAGAGATAGTGTGATTTCAAAGGACCCTTTGACCCACTCAATTTAATATACATTGATTAGAAAATATATTTTCCTTTTATTTATTTTAAATTTTATAATTGGGCCAGGCGTGGTGGCTCATGCCTGTAATCCCAGCACTTTGGGAGGCAGAGGTGGGTGGATCACTTGAGCCCAGGAGTTTGAGACCAGCCTGAGCAACATGACGAAACCCCATCTCTACCAAAAAAAATACAAAAATTAGATAGGCCTGGTGGTGTACACCTGTAATCCTAGCTACTCAGAAGGCTTAGACAGGAGGATTGCTTGAACCCAGAAGGTGGAGGTTGCAGTGAGCTGAGATCATGCCACTGGACTTCAGCCTGGGCAACAGAGCAAGACTCTGTCTCAAAAAAAGATAAATAAATAAAATAAAAATAATAAATTTTATAATTAGAATCTAGAATAGGGAATAAATGATTTTACTTTTAAACTTTAAATGAGATAAAACAGACGTAAGAGATCACATGCATCATTAAACCTGCAATGGTTTAGACTCTACTGATAGAAAAAGAAGTATGAAGTTGAAAACTTTTGCTAGTAGAGAAACCAACAATAACATATAAATTGTTTGCTGCAAATTATATTCATTCATTCACACCTTGGTAGCATTCTTTGGTTAAGGTTCCTTGAAAATTTTTCTGAATAAAAATTATGAATGGAAATGAGAGGAGAAAGAGGGATGTTCAATGAAGGATGTTTACCTGCTTCCTTGCTTTTTCATTGTGCTAACATAACATGCATACTACAATTACTAATAGAAGAATAATAGACTTACCTGGGGTGCTGACATGCATATTTAGATTCCAGAAAATAAAATTTCTTAAGAAAAAAGTTCATCCACACAATAATTAAGAGACTTAAGACTTAGTCATACAACCCTGGATTCCCTTAAAACAGTGGTCCCCAACCTTTTTGGCACCAGAGATAGATTTCACGGAAGGCAATTTTTGCACAGATTGAGGGTGGCGGAGTTGGTTTTGGTATGAAATTGTTCCACCTCAGATCATCAGGCATTAGATTCTTATAACAAGCATACAATCTAGATCCCTCACATGTGCACTTCACAAGAGGGTTTGGACTCCTCTGAGAATCTAATTCTGTGGCTGATCTGACAGGAGGCGGAGCTCAGGCAGTAATGCTTGCTAGCTGGTGCTCACCTCCTGCTCTGCGGACCCGTTCCTAACAGGCCACCAACCAGTACCAGTCCATGGCCCTGGGGTTGGGGACCCCTCTCTTAAAATATATGTACTACATCTGCACATTCCTTAACTTGCTAATATCTGCATTTCTGATTAAGTAAAATATAACACTCATGGCTATCTCTTATGTATAAAAAAGAAAATAGCTCTGGAAATAATATAACTGTTCTTAGAAGGTCAGTTTATCAAAAATTACAGGTTTAATTTATACCTAAATATAACATTTAAAATAATCAGTTCTTTGGTTCTCATTTGTCCCAAAACAGGGGTGCCTTCACTCCATTAGTACCTATTGAAATATTTCATCATGGTGGGCAATAACTATATTTATGTTACATTAATGTATTGTACAACCCCAAAAGAACTTGATCTTTTAAATCAAAATTAAAGAAAAATTAATTAGATCTGTGTTGCCCAACCAAGGATAAAAAATTTTAGCTAAATAGTTAATATATTAGATTTTAACAATGTTAAAAAGCATTCTGCCAAATAAATGTAACTTCTATTCATATTTCATTTTATTCAATAGGCACATTTTAGAAAATGTTGGGTAACTACTAAATCCATGCAAAGAATATGAGAAAACTGATTTATATTTCTACACTTCTATTTTGTCTAGTAGGCCAAATTTTCTTTTTTTAGAGATGGAGTGTTGCTATGTTGCCCATGGTGACTCAAACTCCTAGGCTTAATCAATCCTCCTCAGTAGCTGCAAGTAAAAATTTTTATTTTAAATATGATTAAAATATATATATATAAATCTATAAACATCTTAATAAGATGCACAGATTTCTTGGTTCTATTATATCCTGAAAACATATGCATGCTCCGTTAACTTTTCACAACTCAGTGACTGACTAGAAGTCCTCTATCAAAGCAAACTACAAGTAAAAGCTTGGGTAAAAGAAAAGCTTTTGCCTCTTCTAGATGTGAAAAAAACATGGATGTCTCTAATAAAACAAACATCAACAAGGACAAATTTTGAAATAGTTAAGTCAGCAAATTATAAAAATACTGTTTAGGGTCTGATTTGTAGGCCTATTCCACCACTTTAAAATATAAATTCTAATAAGGACATTAAAGCTTGTTAATTAATTTTATTATGCCTCAATTAGGTGCTCAAATGTTTACTGGTTAAACGGAGTTTTAAAATTAATAGATTTCTAAAGTGAGGATTAAAAAAACTCTCATTCAACATTTTGAGGGCCAGGCACGGTGGCTCACACTGGTAATCCCAGCACTCTGGTAGGCTGAGGTGGGCAGATCACTTGAAGTCAGGAGTTTGAAACAAGTCTGGCCAACATGGTGAAACCCTATCTCTACTAAAAATATTATACAAAAATTAGCCTGGTGTGGTGGTGCACACCTGAAGTCCCAGGTACTTGGGAGGCTGAGGCTGGAGAATTGCTTGAACCTGGTAGGTAGAGGTTTCAATGAGCCAAGATCATGCCACTGCACTCCAGCCTGGGTGACAGAGTGAGATTCTGTCTCAAAAAACAATCAACACATTTTGAAAGCCAGTATCAGAAGGTGCTGTACACAATCTACTAAGCAGTCATTACAAAAAGGAATTTCCTAAGTGGCAGACAAACATTTCTACACAACTAGATTCTTCCACAACAGATTTTTTAACTTTGTTCTTTCTAATTAAAATGTACTGTTACATACACTACATTAAAACTTCCATTAGCACTTAATAACCTCTCGGTTGTGCAGATAGTTCAAATAGTTTAAAACTCATATATACCTCAACAAGTTGTGCTTTATTAAGTCCTGGTCTGGTTGGTAGCTTGAAGTGTCTTTTGTATCTCCTAAGTGTATTTACTTGTAATTGGTATAAATCAACCTAGAAAAAATTAACATGTATAAATGAGTTCATACAATTTGTTGAAAATTTATCATTGATATGTATAATAACAAACATTTTAACTTCAGCACAATAAAATTTACTTCCAAAATCAAAAAAAATTTAAAAAATTTATATAATCCAACATAAATTATTAAAGAATTTAATCTTTTGGGGATAAATAATATAAACTGAGGTCAAAAAAAGAGTAAGTTATGTGACAACAGAGCTGCAAAAATTGTCAATCTAAAATGTAACAATTCAAACTGTGTAAATGCATGTCAACTGGCTATATTTAATTTTGCTTTCATTTTCAGATTTCTCAAATGTTTTAAACACTTAAAAGATTGTTCATATCTTTTTATAAAGGCTTCAGAATGCACTACTTAGGATTTACATTAAGCATAAAAAACTTCCATCTACCTCTGGGGTATCAATATCTTGAACAGGTGAATCACCTCCATCATCATCACTCCCTTTTCTCTTTCTTCTGTTTCGAACACTCTGAATTAAGTTTTTATGATAATCACATATGTAAAGATGCCTTGCCTGAAACAGAAAAGTTTTACACACTGCTTATGATTACAGTAAAATGTGTCTATGTATTAGTAAAACACATATGCCACAGTGAGTTCTTAAAAATAAAGACAGCCAAGATGGGCCATTGTTAAGATAATGGAATATTTATACGTTTAAATCCTATACGCTAAAACATAAGATGTCTGGAATACTGTTAAAAGGATGGTGGATGGGGAAGGAGGGGTTGGTTCCATCTGGGGAAGGGGGTAAGGGAGGGAGGGAGAGGAGAATGAGAAATTCCAACCCTCTGGGTTTTGTCATCAAATTGCAGTGAGGGGCTGGGCGCGGTGGTTCACGCCTGTAATCCCAGCACTTTGGGAGGCCAAGGCGGGTGGATCACTTGAGCTCAGGAGTTCCACACAAGCCTGGCCAACATAGTGAAATCCCGTCTCTACTAAAAATACAAAAAATTAGGCGGGCATGGTGGCAGTAGCCTGTAATCCCAGCTACTCAGGAGGCTATGGCAGGAGAATCACTTGAACCTGGTGGTTGGAGGTTGCAGTGAGCCGAGATCGCGCCACTGCACTCCAGCCTGGGCAACAGAGTGAGACTTTGTCTTAAATAAATAAACAAACAGATAGCAGTAAGGATGACCTGAATTAGTTCATGTTGAATTTTTAACTGATGAGGGGAAAGATGATGTTGCTCACAGTTTTGCTACTTGACAGTACTTTCTCTACTTAAAAGAACAGCATATTTTAGTAATATAATGTATGCTTTCCAGTCTTTCTAACTGAATACCCAAATTATAGTCCAGATACAAAACCATTCGTTTTCACAAATGAGCCATCGACTTCAAAACTATATTTAAATTTCAGTTATACATTTTTCTGAATATTAAATCAATGTATTTATCTATAACACATTTTTCCAAAACAATCTGAAATTATGCAAGTTCACCTGAAGAGTTTCTCATGGATAACACTGAAAACTGTTTAAACGGGCAAAAAGTGTCACAAATAAACTTTTCAAAAACTTTAATTACATATACTCCTGCGAGCTGTAGACTAGCATTTGAAACAAACACGGACTGAGCTAACAGGCTTTTACATTTACTTCTAAGCCAAGCGCAAGATAAAAATATGCAGGACTTGTGGTAGGTTCTCGATACCATGTTATTCATTTACCGCTAGCCAGATCTCCCAAAAGTAGCAACGGCTGTTTCTAAAAACCTCATAGATGGTCAAACGAAAAGACGTGCAAAAAATCCTGATGGCTGCCAAGGGGATGGCAAAACCGCAGAGGCTACGTGCTCCCCACCATCGGAGTAGCTGCCCTCGGAGCTGACAGCGCAAACGCCGTTTACAACCCCGGCTCACTGCCAGGCGGCGGGTGAGCTCGGCTTCCCTCTCACTCCGCTCCGGAGGAGACGGAACACAGAAAAGAACAGGATCTTCCTTGTTCGTGAAGGTCCTCCGCTTTCTCCTAGACGACGGGATTTAGTACCGCCTGGGGCCAAACACCAGCTTGGGCAGCAAAACAAAGGCGCCTCCATTCCAGAAGAGCTGCCGGGCTGCAAGAAAACTACTCTGGGCCCTCAGTGCGCCGGTCCCCTTTGTTTCGTGTCCCGGTCGCAGAGGAGAAGGAAGAGGGAAGACTGCGCGGGAGAGACGCAGGCAGCGGGAGGTTGGGGGCCAGGGTGGGAAAGAAGAGGGGAACGACAGCCTGTGTGTGGTGTGTGTGTTGGGGTGGCGGTAGGAGTTGCAGCGACTTTGTTATTTGCTTCCAAACACAGACTCCACGAGACCGCACTGCAGCCAGTGCGGTTGTCTGGGGGACCCCGCCGACAACCCGTGCCTTTGCCCGGCTCCTGGGGCCCCACCGAGGGGCGGGAGGGCAGGGCGGTCCCGCGGTTTACTTACGCTCTTATCCAGCTCGATCTTCACCTTCTTCTGGGAGATGCTCTTCTGGATCCTCTTGCTGAAGCTGGCGTTGCCTGCCGCCCGGCCGCACCGCTCACCATCCTCCCGCAGGCAGCACAGTTGCCCGGGGCCCGGCCCGGCCGCCCCCGGGGGCCCAGCCGCTGAGACCGCCCCCGCGCCCGGCACCTCAGCCCCGGTGCCCGCGCCGGTCCCGTTCCCCGCCGAGGCGGCGGCGGCCGCGGCAGCGACCACTGCGGCCACTGCGGCGGCCGCATCCCCGCCGCGGCTCATCTCGTCAGGCGTGAAGCCGTTCATGTCTCCGAGCTCCCGAGGCCGGCGCTGACAGAAATCCCCTCTCTCCTGGCCGCTCCGCCTCTCTCCGCTCCGGCAGCGGCAATTCACTCTGCACACCAAGTTAGACAGCGGCACGGCCAAACACCAACTGTCCCGGGCCTGCTGGTCTCTGCTGGCACCGAAACAGTGGACAGTGCTGAGGGCCGGGACGCAGACTCGAGCGTCTCCTGGAGCGGGGACCCCGCTCACTGTCACATGGGGACTTCAGCAGTTGGACCGCTACGCCTCCGCCTCCCTCCGGCCCCGGGACCTGCGCAAGCGCGACGCGCCCCCTCCCGTCCCGCCCCTTTCTTTCTGCCGCGCGGCCCCATGGGAATTGTAGTTCTCTGCTGCAGAGTCAACCTGAGCTCCGCCCTGACCCCGCGCCATGAGGGACGGAGGAACTACTAATCCTAGCATGCATAGCGCGGCCACGGACCCACTTTTTTTTTTTTTTTTTTTTTTCAGTACCGGGAAAACAGGAGCGTGTGATTGGGGTTTACAGTGTTTTCTCTCGCTCTCTCTGTTTCTAGGGAATTCGGGCTGTGTTTAGCTGCTGGAATATCGTAGAATTGGTTTTCAGAGAAGTTCCTCGACTCCTGAGGCGAAACATAAAGGGATGGGAGTGGTGTGGGAAGTGATCGTGTGGGGAAAAAAAAGTTTCGAGCCCGTTTCGCATTTGTGGAGACAGAGTTTTTGGTGTGACCACTCTTTTGTGGGAAACCCAAACCAAGGAGAACTCAGGAGAATTGGCGCTCTTCGGTCCTGGAGGTTCCGCAGCTAACATCCCGGCTTGACCAACTATCGAGGCCGCAAATTAATAGGGCACCTCCTGGGAGGAAAACGCCCATCCTGACTTCTCAACTGTGACAGGTCCCCCTCACAAACGCCTTGCGGGGGGGTGGGGGGGCGTTTCTAAACACTTGCATGTTCTTACAAGGGAAATGTTTTTATTCTTGGGCGCACCAAGTTGGCCGCCTCCTGAGGTGGAGTACGGACCAGTTGACAACAGGGCTCCTTTTCACCTCCACGCCCAACCTTTTCCATTTCTCCTCAAACGGTTTTGGAGAAGGGCGGAGTCATATCATTTTAAAGGAAACTTGGAACCTCACCAATACAAACGCTGGTCGAATGTTCCCAGAAACTTCCCTGCATTAGCTCTACCGGGCGCGGGGAGCAGAAAGCGCATTTCCTGAGTCCTGAAAAGCGCGTGCGCGCCTGTGTGCTGCCGGCGTTTGGGCGCGCCTGCTTGTATGTATGTGTTCGCGGGCGCGCGCGTGTGTACGTGTGTGTGCGCGCGTACGCGTGTATGTTCCTGCGCGCTTGCGGGGACGTGCTTGTGGAGGGCGGAGAGAGGGATGGGCGTGGCTAATATGAAAGCTGCATCTTTACTAGTTAGCTACCATGCGTCATTATTTATCAAAAGATATATGCTGCTTAAACACAAATACGTTTTAAAATATATTTTAGGCAGTAGGGTTTTGGGTTTTTTTTTTGCAAGTTCTTTTGGTGAGTAAATTTAGTGATAAATGATTTTTTTTTCTTTTGAGACAGTTTGCTCTGTCGCCCAGGATGGAGTGCAGTGCAGTGGCGCGATCCTGCAACCTCCGCCTCTCGAGTTCAAGCGATTCTCCTGCCTCAGCCTCCCGAGTAGCTGGGATTACAGACGCGCGCCACCCCACCCAGATGATCTTTTTAAATGCAAAATGCCATCGACGCAGAAAATCAAAGGTATCCATTGTATCTGTGCGTTTGAGTTCTAGGATATGACAAAGAAAAACAATTTAAATATTACGTAAATTCAGTAGGAAAAAGAAAGATGATGACTGATAAGTACATTGTGTACCTCCTTAAGCTGTGCTGTCCAGTAGGCTGTCCTCTAGCCATATGTGGCTACTCAGCACTTGAAATGTGGTTGAGACGGAAAAACTGAATCGTTAATTGAATTTGAATTAAACAAAAACCAAAAACCTGATGCTCGATTCAATTGTTGGAATACTTTTAAGTGTGTTTGCAACAACTCAGATATATGAATCTGTTTTTCCAACTTAAATTTTATGAACTCTAACTTTAGCATATGAATTGAGATGTGCTGTAAGTATATATCAGCTGGACTTTTTTTTTATTTCTGGACTTACTACAAGAAATTTTCAAAAAGAATATTGAAGTGCACATTAAAAATTTTTATATATGTTTAAATGTTTTGGATGTAATGGGTTAAACAAAATATTACAATAAATTGTACCTGTTGCATTAGATAACACTGGCTTAAAGTATTACAACACAGTAGGGCGTGGTGGCTCACGCCTGTAATCCCAGCACTTTGGGAGGCCGAGGAGGGTGGATCATCTGAAGTCAGGAGTTCGAGACCAGCCTGGCCAACATGGTGAAACTCCGTCTCTATTAAAAATACAAAAATTAGGCAGGCATGGTGACACAAGCCTGGGGTTCCAGCTACTTGGGAGGCTGAGGGAGGAGAATTGCTTGAACCCAGGAGGCAGAGGTTGCAGTGACCTGAGATTGCACCACTGCACTCCAGCCTGAGCAACAGAGCGAGACCCTGTCTCAAAAAAAAAAAAAAATTACAACACAGAATAATTATATATTTATGGATACATGTTATATATTTATGGATACATTTTCTTAAGTGGTAAAAATGAGAATATATGGATGGGATGATACATCCCAACTTCAGGGTGATGCTCATCTCCAACGAAGGAGGCCAAGGAATTTGTATATGGTGTCAGAGTAAACATAAAATATAAAGAGATGAATTTCTAAATTTAATGGTTTTTTGGGGAAGCAAGAATTGCAGTTCAGGACATACACACAGACTGAGTGGTCTTTAGTATGTCAGAAGAACAAAGAGAAGGTCGAGAGTTTTATTAGAAAGAGAAATGTTGCTACTGTTTTGAAAGAAGGTTCATTGGCACTATAGTAAAGTTTTGGGAAGCTGGCAAGCTCTGATTGGTGAGTGAGAGTGGTAGATAAAACCAGTCTTAGTCATAGGAGATTGTTTCAGCAACTACTCGGTAAAACTGGTCTTAGAGTTACTGCAGGCCGTTTCAGCAGCTGGGTTGTAAAAAACTTAATTCTTAATGCTAGAGCTGTGTGCCCTGATTGCTTTCTCCCCTGGTCCCTCGATTCTGATTTAGTTGGGTATGACAAGAATGATCCAGATTGTATGATCAATTTTCACACTGGGAATGGCTTAAAGATGGTTTCTTCTGAATTTTAAAGTTTTTATTTATTAAAAATATCTGAAACATGACAGTGGGATGTTGAATTTTCATATTTTTCTTTGTACATTTATGTGTTTTTAAAATAGTTCATGAAATTCATATTGTTTGGTTCTTGTGCTTAAAAAAGCTTATATCTTCTGCAAAATGTGACCAAATCATGTAAATTCAGTAGGAAAAAGAAAGATGCTTACTGATAAGTACTTTGTGAATCTCCTTAAGCTGTGCATGTATGTATATGTATAGTTATCAGTTTCATATGAAGCTTACTCAAGTAAAGAACTGTAGCTATGGCTCCTTTACACACAATACAATGGTTGTAAAAAGATCCTATTAAACAGTCACTTGTTGCATGCTAGAATCTTTTTCTAGGCCCTGGAGGCACAAAAATAATTGAGAGGGTCCTAGCTATTTGGGAGCTTCTTGTCTAGTAGGGCAGACAGGTAGCTTAACAAGCACATAATACAAACCTCAATAACAATAGAGAGAAAGTACAGGCATAGCACATAGGAGGAAATGATTCATTTCTGGCAAGTTGAAAAGATTGCTGGAGTAGGGGACATGTTAATTCTCACTGCCAGATTTAAAGTGTATCTTGAGTGAATCTATTTGTTTAGATACATTTTTACAACCATGTTTTGTTACTTATTTCTACAAATCTTCATATTTAGGGCAGGTATAAGAACTCTTTGATTTGAGTGTAACTCACAGTCAAGGTTGGAATCAGGTTTTAGGGGGGCTTCAAGATTATATAATCTGAAAGGTCTTTTTAAAGAAGTATGTAAAATTATGAATGCAAAATTAAAATTAGGTACAGGACTTCATAAGGGTCTATCCAAGTGAGGGACTCTGAAGTTTGAATCCTTTAGCTTCACAGTAAATCTACCTCAGAGTAGACTAGGTAAAAAATATAGATCTATGAAACCTTAATTATAGGGGGGTTGTTCATATCAACAAAAATGCTCTTTGCTTTCTAAAATGGTTCAAAATATGATTCTTAAAAAAGTATGTATCCGTGCCTGTCTTCCCTATAGGCTTTTAACATGATTGCATTTTTCTGGCTTTACTTTAAAATAAGCAACTAAATAATTTTATTTAATTTACAAAAACATATAAATTGGCCAATAATCCCAACATGACCACAGTAGAAAATTCAAATAATACAAAAAGGTTCATATGAAAAACAAAAGCCTGTTTTACCTCATCTCCTCAAATCCCTGTCCCTTGAAGCAACCAGTGTTAACAGATTATTGTTTCCTTCTAGAAAAAAGTATGCATTTACTAGTATATACATCTCTATATGTGAATAATTCTATATTTTACAGCAAAAGTTCATTCCGTTTTACACCACCTTTCCTTTATCTAGTTTTAAACTCAGCCATCATACAGAAAATTGTATAAAGCATGAATGTCCAGTTTAAGCAGTGCTGTGGTTTCAGTGTTTGTGTGTGTCCCCTCCCAAATTCATTGTGAAACTCAATCCCCAATGCAACAGTACTAAGAGGTGGGGCTTTTAGGAGGTGGTGAGGCCACCCTCATGAATGTGATTAGCGCCTTATGAAAGGGATAGAGGGGGCGAGTTTACCCCTTCCATCTCTTCCACCATGTGAGGATGCAGCAAGAGGCACCATCTTGGAAGCACAGAGCAGCCTCCACCAGACACCAAGATCAAATCTTGATCTTGAACTTCTCAGCCTCCAGAACCTTGAGAAAATAAATTTCTGGTTTTTATAAATTACTGAGTCTCAACTATTTTGTTATGGCGGCACAAATGAACGGAGACAAGCAGTTATGGTAAAATGCACATCCGTATAACTGCTACCCAGGTCAGGAAAGAGAACATTGCTGAAAGGGCCAGCTTCAGGGACTTGCAGTGGCACAGGACCCCAAGCTCAGAAGCCAACATGCTCCACTCTCCTCCTCCTTCCTGCTTGACATTTAATGCCCTGCAATCACCATCATGTAATTCTCAATAATTTTATCTTTGAATTTGTGTTTTATCAGTGAAGTATCAATGGGACAATGCATTGATTCAGGCAACATGGGCCTCCTGCCACCTCCCTTCCTCCCCAGAATGAGTTCTGGCTGCTCACTCTCTCCACTCCACCCCACCCCACCCTCTGCTCTGGCAGAGGCTGAGCAGGAGGTACGGTGCAGGAAGTGTCTGGCTGAGGTGCAGGATCCTCCCCATTTCCTCTGAACCAGGAGTCAGGCCCCTAGCTCCTTTGGGTCAGTTTTCCACCTGTGCCCAAGGGAGTGCCACATTAAATAGCAAATAAGAAAACACCATGTGAGGAGAAAGAGAGGGAGGGAGAGAAAAAAGATGTTTGTTCTGGACACCACAAATTATGTAGATGGCCCTGATTGACAACATGCCAGAAAGCCATCACCTGCCACTTCTTCATCATAAATCCCATCTCCCAGCTAGCAGGAGTAGCTATCTTGACTTTTATGGTATTTGTTACCTCGTTTTTCATTACAGTTTTGCCACATAGTTCTTCAACTTTTTTTTTCAGTTTTGCTGTTTTTGAACTTTATATAAGTGGACTCATATACTTTATATTCTGTTTTCTTTGGGTTCATTTACTCTGTTTTTCAAAGGTCTACTTTTATGTAGTTTAATTCTTTCTCTTCATTATGGTATGAATAAACTACAATATATCCATTCTATTGTTGATAGACATATGGATTGTTTCCCGTTTAGGGCTATTAAAAGAATGTTGCCATGAACATTCTTATTCTTGTACATGTATCCTGATACATACGTGACTGCAGGTCAGTAAGATATATATGTTGTTAAGTTGGAGTGAGAACTTCCAGCTCCTTGCTTACATATGTAAACAGAATTGCTGAGTTTTAAGGTAGGCGTAGATTCAACTTTACTAGATATTTCCAAACTTTTACACTTCCTTAAGCAATATATGAGAGTTCTGTATCTTTGCCTACCATTTGATATTGTACTTTCTAAAAAAGATCAAGTAGGTATGTATGGTATCTAATTGTGATTTTAATTTGAACATTCTTAGTTACTAATGAGATTATATATTAATTGGTCTTTTGGATTTCTCGTTTGGAAGTTCCTAGTTAGGTCTTTTGCCTATTTTTCTATTGGGATTGTGTCTTTTTCTGTTGATTTGTAGTAGTTATTCATGTTTTCTGAATAACAGCCTTTTCACAATTTTACATATTGCACACATCTTTGCCTACTTCATAATTTGCCTTTTGACTCTGCAGTGGCAACTTTTGTTTAAAGTCTTTTAATGAGGAAAAAATATATCTATCTTTTCTTTTCTGACTGATGATTTTTGTGACTTAAGTAAGTTCCTTATCCCCAAATCATGAAGATATTTTTCTACATTATCTTCTAACAGCTTCATTGTATTGCCTTTCTCATTTAAGATTATGATTGATTTTTGTGCACAGTGGTTGAGGTACAATTTTATTTTGTATATGCTACCCATTTGACCAAGTACCATTCACTGGAAAATCTATCCATATTCCATTCTTTTACAGTGTCACCTTTGTCATAAATCAAGTTGTATGTATGTAGGTCTGTTTCTGAAGCCTAGTCTTTCCATTGTACTTTGCCAATTCCACAGTCTTAATTATAAAAGTCGTTCAGAAAAATTTTGATAACCTAGAAGTATAGATCTTCTACCTTATTTTTTTTTCGTCAAAACACAGACTTGGTTATTCTTGACCCTTTGTATTTCCTTATACATTTTAGAATCAGCTTAAGTTCCAGAAAAAAGAAAAACCAACCAAATGAACAATAAGACAACAACAACAACAACAAAAAAGGCCTTTTGGGATTTTGGATGATATTGCATCAAATCCATACATTAACCTGAGAGACGAGCGACTTCTTCAACATTGAGCCTTCCAATCATGATTTTCAATTCATTTAGGTCTTCTGTAATGTTTCTTAATATAATTGTATTTGTTGCTATGCAGAAGTTTCACTGATCTTTTATTATATCTCTATATATATTTGATATTTCTGACACTATTGTAAATAGTATCTTTTTAATATTTCATTTTCCTTTTTTGTTGCTTAAATATATATAAAATAAGCTAATTTTCCAAACTAATTTTTATATCCAGCAACCCTGCTAAAATTTCTTATCCAATAAAAATATAAATGTATTTGTGTTTGGGTTTCAATGCATTCAATCATACCATTTTCAAATCGTTGAGTTTTCCTTCATTTTTTATTCCCTTTTTTCTTGTGCTACTACAGGTTCAGGACTCTAGAACAACATTATAAAAGAGGTGTTAGCAGGCAAAAATGTCTCATTTCCAGTTTCAAAAGAAAGGCTTTTCATGTTTCGCTATTATGTATCATGTCTGATACAGATTTTTTTGTTTTTCATCTAAATTTTTATACCATTTATATGTTCATAACAACCTCATGTTTTTAAGGTGTGCAAGATCTGACCCAGTGTCCCTATCTTCATCATCAATTATTAGTGCCTTCTCTCTTTTGTTAATCAGTCTCACCAGTGTTCTATCAATTTTATTAGGCTTTTCAGAGGACCTGAATTTTGTACATAGTTTTTATTGTATTTTTTTCTATTTCAATTATTCTATTTTCTTTATTATTTCTTTCTACTTTCTATTTTGCTGTTCTTTTACTAACTTCTTTACAAATATGTACATTAAAAGCTACAGATTTCTCCATCAATATTGTTTTAACTGCATCACACAAGTCTTGATATGTATTATTACCATTGAATTTAAAACATCATCTAATTTTCCTATCATTTTTTTGATGCATAGATTTAGAAGTATGTTTCTTTTTTTTTCTTTTTTCTTTTTTTTTTTTTTGAAATAGAGTCTCACTCTGTTGCCCAGGCAAGAGTGCAGTGGCTCTATCACTACTCATGACAGCGTCAACCTCCCCAGGCTCAGGTGATTCTCCCACCTCAGCCTCCCAAATAGCTGGGACTACAAGTGCAGACTACCATGCTCAGCTAATTTGTTTTTTGTGTGTTTTTTATAGAGACAAGGTTTCTCCATGTTGCTCGGGCTGGTCTCCAACTCCTGGACCCAAGCCATCTGCCAGCCTCCCAAAGTGTTGGCATTACAGGTGTGAACCATGGCACCCAGCCTAGAAGTAGGTTTCTTATTTCCAAACATATGCAAATAATGTGATTATCCTTTTCTTATTGATTTCGAACACATATAAATTGTCACTTTAGAACTCTGTATGATTTAAATCCTTTAAAATTTATTGAGGGTTTCTTTTAACTTATCTTCCAGTCACTCATTATCTCTTTAGGTGTCCCTAACCTGCTCTAAAATTCACCCGTAGTCTTTGTACTTTTAGTTATTACATTTTTTAGTTTTATAATTCCTATCTGGTTCTTTTTAAAACCTTGAATGTCACTTTTTTATGATTTCTAGTTCCTGGACAAAATTTATATGCTTGACTTTTTCTTTCATGAACATAGTAAGCATAGTAGTTTTTAGACTTTGTTATTAAGTCTGTTTCTTTTGTCTATTGTTTCTCCTGGTGGCTGTCTCATGCTTACTCTTCCTGCATCCATTAATTTTGATTGTTTGCAGTTCATTTAATTGGAAAAACTGATTTAATATAAACAATTTGAAGCACTGGATGATGTAATGTTCCTATAGAGAGGCGCTTCTTTTCCTTCCATTGGGTGCTAAAGGGTGCCAGTAGTCCTGAATCAATGCTTGAGGATTTCTGAGCCAACCAGATCATTCTAGTCCCTCTCCCCACTTTTGGCCTAGGCTTCCCAGGGTTCTATCCCAGAGTAGGAGGTGTTTCACTAGGGTTACCACCATCAAGGTATACTGGATTCCAACCCTACATCAAAGTGACTGCCACACGCTCAGCTCTTCCTCTTACTTCCTATTTTAAGTCACTTGGTTATAACTAGTACAGTATATAGTAAAATAACATCTGCATTCTGATACTATTCATAGTCTTAACATTTTGCTCAGCATATCTCTGTGGCTTTTACCTTGATTTTGTTCTCATGAGAGAGTGAGGCATAAAAAAGATGGAGATGTAGTTCCCAGGTAATGCTGGAACTTGCTCTGGGTACAAAATTATTTGTGACTGACTAGCAAAATAGAATGTTAGTAATTTTTAAAAAGAAACTGAACGTAGATTAAAATCTCCAGAACTAAAATGAGAATTATTATAGCATTCTCTCACCCATAATCCACCTAGATTGGAATACGTTCTCAAACACTTCTGTACAGTGTTCCAGTTACTTGGGTTCAGGAGAAACATTTTGACTAACAATCTTCTTTTTAGTATACCAGAATAAAACGTTGAAAGCACCTCACTGAGGTGCTTTCATTTTAATTAAAGAAAAAAATCTACACTATATGCTGCAAATGACTTTATATAAAAACTGCTTTGGGATATTACCTTCTATAGTTATAGCCTTGGTGTCATTGCAGATGGGAACATCTACATAACTGACTCTAAGTGGGCTACTGACAACTATAACATTCTTCTTCATTATCTGAAGCCAATAATCAGAGTACTTCCCTAGAATTTCTTCATATTTTTTGAAAACATGGAACAGAAATGAATTATATTAGCATTCTAAAAGAATATGAGGTCTGCTTAGTTTTGAAAGTTTTCATTTCTTCTCCTGAAATCTATCCAGAGCAACCAAGAAAATGAAAATAAATTCATAGAAACTGAACTTTCAGCAAATAGCTAAGAAAACTCCAAAACTCCAAAATTAAATGTGAATGCTGCAATAGGCAACTGAGGACAGCAAGCCCACATAGGAAATCAAGACAATATGGGAAAGTACTGGAAGTGGGGAAGGAGTTTAGTGGTGGCTGTACCCTAAAAACAAGGCTGCGACTGAATAGGCTCCAAACATTGGGAAGGGAGAGAGAGAAGGACAGAAGCTGCCCAATCAGAGATTGCAGACCTTAGAAAGCACCAGTAAAATAACTTCTAAAAGCAGTATCATCATCTTAGAAGGCAATATCTGTGTCCCTGCAGCCTGTGAATAAATCAGGAAGCCCAGGACTGTGTGTAGAAGCTCTTTGGAACCAGGTTCAGTTCTGAGAGGCAGAGTAGGTGTTCACAGAGTTTAAGAAAAGAGTCGTCTTCTATAGCAACAGAAGAGGGAGCCCTCGAGAGATGAATTTTATAATGCTATCCTAATCTTTCTTTTCACCTCCTGTTAGTAGTCCAGGAAAATTTCACTAATTTAAATTCAAAGATTATGAAAGTCATATGCAGAACATCTATTCAAAATTATAATAAAAAAACTGTGAAACGGAGTAGCACGATTTTCCTGCAGAAGATGAAAATTTACCAGAAAATGGTTGTCATAAAACAAATGAAATTTATAACTCAACATTCCAACGTGAATTTGAAAAACTTAAGGAAGCAATCACAGGTATGAAGTAAAATCATGAAAAGTAATATATTTGACTCAGCAGGGAGTCAGACAATAGGTTATTAATACCTACTTTTATAGGAATATATTCAGAGAATTGATTATTTTGGTATTTTAGAAGTGCGTAGCAAAGAATTAACCTTACCCAAAAAGAAGTCTGGCCTTTGTCCTTGTATCCTAGGAGGTGATCTCTAGGAAGAGTGGCTTTGTTTACCTGGGAGCCTTTAGCTACACTGGATGGTGTAAGAATGTGATTTATGATGTGGTCTTTGGGCCATGAGATAGCCAGTCTACCTCCAGAGGGGCTGCAGACTAAAATTTCCTGGACTCTGCTCTATGCACCAATTCCCTTGGAATCAGCATCCTTTTTTCCCCCTTTTACACACACACACACACACACACACACACACACGCACACACAAATTTTAAAAAGATGGAGTCCATGTTGCCCAGGCTGGTCTTGAACTGCTGGCCTCAAGTGATCCTCCTGCCTTGGCCTCCCAAAGTGCTGGAATTACAGATGTGAGCCACTGTGTCCAGCCAGTATGCTTTTGTTGTAATAAACCATAACTGTGAATATAATAGTTATCAGTGAGTTCTCTCGGTCCTTCAAGTAAATTACCAGACTTAAGGGTAGTCCTGGTGTGTCCAGAATTTATTCCTTCTGGTGGGTTCTTGGTCTCACTGACTTCAAGAATGAAGCTGCAGACCCTCGTGGTGAGTGTTACAGTTCTTAAAGATGGTGTGTCCGGAGTTTGTTCCTTCAGATGTTCAGATGTGTCCAGAGTTTCTTCCTTCCGGTGGGCTTGTGGTCTCGCTGACTTAAGGAGTGAAGCCACAGACCTTTGCAGTGAGTGTTACAGCTCTTAAAGGTGGTACGTCCAGAGTTGTTCGTTCCTCCTGGTGGGTTCGTGGTCTCACTGACTTCAGGAATGAAGCCACAGACACTCGCAGTGAGTGTTACAGCTCATAAAGGTGGTGTGGACCCAAAGAGTGAGCAGCAGCAAGATTTATTGTCAAGAGCGAAAGAACAAAGCTTCCATGGAAGGGGACCTAAGCAGGTTGCCGCTGCTGGCTCAGGTGGCCAGCTTTTATTCCCTTATGTGGCCCTGCCCACGTCCCGCTGATTGGTGCGTTTTTACAGAGTGCTGATTGGTGCACTTACAAAACCTTTAGCTAAACACAGACGTTGATTGGTGTGTTTTTTACAAAGTGCTGATTGGTGCGTTTACAAACCTTTAGCTAGACACAGAGCGCTGATTTGTGCATTTACAACCCTTTAGCTAGGCAGAAAAGTTCTCCAAGTCCCCACCTGACCCAGAAGCCCAGACAGATTCACCTCTCACTGGGAACCCTGAACTCTTAAGTTGGGGTCAGAAGTGAAGGTGATCTCTTGTGGATTGCTCCCCTAACTTTGAAGGAAACTTTTGAAGTTTTGCTACAAAATATGTAATCAGATTTTATAAGTATTGCTTGTTTATAAGGTATATTTTGGGTTTGTACACAACAGACCCCATTGAGTAGATATGTGGACTACTATTTGTGTGTTTCTGATAATTTTTCTTGTAAAACCAATAATCCTTGCTACATTTATTTTAATGCCATGTTATCTTTAATATGGAAGATACATTTGATCCATGAAAAGACCTGTTTTCCCTGTGTGTGGTTTTTTTTAAGAATGAATGTGTATTAAAGACATTGTTCTAATAAGTAAAAAGACAAAATAATTATGTCCATTTTTGCCATTGGTACCTAAAATTTACAATTTAGTCTGACTAAAAGAAATGTCACCCTTATGCTCTGCAACAGTGACTTTAGGATATAGATGTAATGAGAAATTAATTTTCTTTAATTATTTTTCTCTTCCTATCTTATGTTTAGTCACTTCAGCCACTCTCGATGTCTTCTCTTCCATTAAACCCCACTGCCCTTCCTTCCCATCTGCCTGGTGAAACTTACCCCAGTTCAATCCAATCTTAGTTGACTGCCCCCTCCTCCAGTGCTTCATGCAGGTCCTTCTCCCCATCCCTAGCTAGTTTTGAATCCTCAATACTTTCTCTGACCTCCCATTCCACCAACCATCCCCTCATTTTCACCAAAGACCAACCTGCTATTAAACAAAGAAAATTGAAGCTAACAGTCCGCAATTCCTTGGTGGCCTCATGCCTACCAACAAAATGGTCTGCATTCTCACAGATCTTTGCCTCTTCAGTGGAAGAGGGAGGAATCCTTTTATTTGTTTTCTGGATTTCATTACCTCTCATCTCTCTAGGTTTTTTGTTCCATTAATTATTCTCCCATTCTCCTATATTTTCAGTCTCTTCCTGCAAGCTACACATTGCTCAAGTTTCTCCCATATTAAAACAAACCCCGTGTGTAAGCCATTACCCTCCCTTAACTCTAAGAGGCACTCTAGATATTTACATAAGCCCTTGGATTCCCTTAATAGTCAAGCTGCTTAGAAGGCTAATCTATACCTATTTTCACTTGTTTACCTTGAATTACTTCCCACGCTTAAGACTCTTCTTCCATCCTCTCCCTTCCTGCATTGCTTACCATCATCTACAGGATAAAGTCTGAGCCCTTTATAAATTGGCCTTGTACTAGCTCTATAGTCTCTAGCCTCTTTGCTACCACTCCTCACCTTGCATTTTACTTATACATCACTGAGCCATCCAGATCACACAACACTCTTTAAAGTATCTCTGCTTTTGCACATGCTCTTTCCTCCTTCCGCAATCATGTTTTTCACTTACACCATACACACTCTATTTGTCCTTCAAACCCTAATCTGGGATCACCTTTTCTTCTGAAAGCACCCTCTTAGAAATTTGAGGGAAACATATAAATAGTACTAGCACTCCTCATCTGAGTTTCGAACCAATTTTTATGTAAGACCAAAGAGTATGGCAGGTGGAGAACCATCTCATTTCCTTTATTGCTAATAAAGCTGATGCTGGGGAATGCAGCTCCCCTCTTTATGCAATAATAATGAACCTTGAAAATAGGCAGACTACCACTAAATCATAGGGAGAGCTGGAAAGCCACAGGCCACCTCTCTTTTGTGCTGTGGCACAAAAGTAAGCAGAACATGTGCAGTATGGGAGGGCAGGCTAACTCCCCAAGGAGAGAGGAGGAGACTGGAAGAGGAATGCCAGTTTTCTTTCCAAATTCACCAATCAATAATCCTACTTCTTTAGGGCAGGAGTGGGTAGGGAAACTGAGTAAGACAAAGAAGAATTTCCCCACCTCTACTTGCCATTCTGAAGATTTTCTTCTATAAGCCCACTATGCTTAAATACTAAGCCTAGAGTCCTCCCAGAATGTGGTTATCCTCTTTGGGAGCTCAGCAGTTGACCAAGATAATTTTGCTCCCACTTTCAGAAGTCAGCTCCTTCCTCAATCCTAATCTCCACTCTTTTGTGAACAAAGTATATGGTGTAGCTCTGTTCCCCGGAAGGCTCTGAAATGGATCAAAACAAGACATTACTTGGATCAATTTCAAGGACACTTGATGCTCAAGGCTGAAAATTATTCTATTTCCTACTTCAAGTTATATCTAGTCATGTTGTACACCATAGTAAGCAGAGAGTCTTTAATGACTTCAAATTAAAACATAAAGATATTCTGAGAATAAAATGTATAAAATCATTTCAATGACAAAATACTAACAATACACAGATCTATCACATTTAAATACAAACCACCTCCCATTGTCAAATTCCTAAGGAAAAATTAAAGTGCAACAGTTAAATCCCCTGCAATCAAGCCCCGATCTTTTAAGAGGCAGCTCCCCTAACTGCCCTTACAAAATCAATCTATGCCCTGAGAAACTCTCAGTGGTTTCCCAGATCCTGATTCCTTTTGAGGAGCTGTTCTAATCTGCCCCTTGAAATCTTGTCTCTCTTCTTCTGTTAGATTTATTTGGGCCTCAATCATTTTTCTGATGTAATAACCGTAAAGACATTTTCCCATGTTCTAGTGCGTTCTTTGAGGACATTTAGACACAGGTGCATCTCCATTTCTCTTTTATATGTGTCCATCTTGGACTTTAAGATCTTATTTCCATTTCACATCTTTCTTGTCTTTCCTTCCAAAAGCTCTCTTCCCAAAAGGTAGATGTTCTCTTAAGAAAACCTTTTTCTTCCTCAAGTGCAACCAGCCTGCCAACCTTTATTTTGTTTTTATTCTGTTATTCCTGTTCTGAAAAAAAGACTGAAGCACACTTTTCAAGCCACCCTAGCTTCTATATTATTTCTTTTTTATTTTATCTTATTTTTTTAGAGACGTGGTCTTTTTTTTTTTTTTTTTTTGAGATGGACTCTCGCTCTGTCACCCAGGCTGGAGTGCACTGGCGCGATCTCAGCTCACTGCATCTCTGCCTCCCGGGTTCAAGCAATTCTCCTGCCTCAGCCTCCCGAGTAGCTGGGACTACAGGCGCTCACCACCACGCCTGGCTAATTTTTGTATTTTTAGTAGAGATGGGGTTTCACCATATTGGCCAGGCTGGTCTTGAACTCATGACCTTGTGATCTGCCCACCTCAGCCTCCCAAAGTGTTAGGATTACAGGCGTGAGCCACTGTGCCCAGCCTAGAGACAAGGTCTTGCTCTGTCACCTAAGCTGGAGTACAGTGGTGATAATAGCTCACTGTAGCCTTGAACTCCTGGGCTCAAGCAATCCTCTCTCTTCAGCTTCCTGAGTAGCTGAGACTACAGGTGTGCACCAACACACCTGGCTAATACATACATATATATATATATATATATATATATATATATATTTTTTTTTTTTTTTTTTTTTTTTTGGGGGGGTCAGGGGGAAATGGGGTCTTGCTGTGACCGGGGTATGGCATCCTTGATTTCTTGAACACACTTGATTCCTAAAGCCAATTTTCAGAGCACAATATTTTAAATTGCTTTAAATTTAAATTGCAGTAATTTCATCAAGCTGTTTCTCTATTCCAACCCCAAAAGAGGGTGTAGCCTTTATAATAAGAATTCCCATTATTTGATAATAAAAATACATTACCCTTCTATGAATGAAGCTACTATTTGAGTATAACATGACAGATAAAGCCATGGTCAGAACATATGAGATTAACAAATTAAAATCAACCTGATAGGGAGTGACCCTCAAGAGCTTGTGAGCAATCCACATGAATCCAAGAGGTTTGTACAGTACTTACATAGTTTCCTCCTTTGGTCCTATAGGTAGACAAAAACAGTATACAAATGGATAGGATTTGGCTTATCCACACTGTCCAACTAGGCCTAGCAGTAACAATTTAAAGCTAAAATATTAGTGCTTTGTAACATACATGAAACTTGGGTATAGGATGAGTCTTGCCCTGTAGACCTAGTTGAAAAATGTAGTATAAGCAGCAAATAATTGATCTGCCTCTCATGTCTCTTTTGCCTATGATCGTATCTTTTTAAAATTAGGGCTCGCACATGCTACAGAAATCTGTTGGTTTTGTAGGGGCTCCACACGAGTGAGCTAAGGTGCTGCTGTCTGCTCTCTGAGGATTGTGTCTGCTAAGGTCCTCCTTGCCTTCTATTTACTAAGGTCTCTGACGTCTTTGTAGGTTTGTGGAGCCTAGTCTGATCTATGAAGCAGGGGTTTTGCTTACTTAGGCCAGTCAGTAAGGCCCATCTGTATTTTCCAGCATTTTTTTTTTTTAGACAAGGTCTCGCTCTGTTGCCCAGGCTAGAGTGCAGTGGCATGACCACAGCTCGCTGCAGCCTCCTAGGCTCAAATGATTCTCCCACCTCAGCCTCCCAAGTAATTGGGACTACAGGAGCAAACCACCATACCTGGCTAATTTTTTAAAAAAATGTTTTATAGTGATGGAGTCTTACTGTGTTGCCAGGCTGGTCTCAAACTCCTGGGCTCAAGTTATCCTCCCACCTCAGCCTCCCAAAGTGCTGGGACTACAGGTGTGTGCCACTACGCCCAGCCTCATCTGCTTTTTAGAGGCTGTTTGCTGAGATTCATGCATGTTTGCTTAGGGCTAGCAGGGCCCTTTAAAAACAGCTATTTGTCTATTATTATAAATTTTAGTAGTCCACCAAAGTGAATGAATTCATAAGACCTAAGATTTAAAGACACTCACAGACAGCACAGCACAGCAGCAAACTGTGTAACTGTAAAAAATCTGTCAGGTTGCAGAATAGAAGCCTCAAAGACCAAGGTCAAGAATTCACATGGTTTGTGCTCACAAAAGCACCATAAAAATTTAAAGCTACTTATACAGCTGACTCTAAAAGTCTCAGTCCCTCTGTGTGTTTGATCTCCCATCCACCTCCTTTTTGTTGTCTTATTTCTTGATGATTTTGGCTAATGCACCAGATGTTATGACCATACAGAAGCTCATTAAATAATATGAAGCAATTGAGAAATAAGACCAAAGACATCACATATAGAGAATAAACATCCCCTCTATTACTGATGAAATAAATAATAGAGAATTGACTTATTCAGCAGGCAAGTGAACTTCCTAATACTAAACCCCAGGATTAGAGAAATTAATCTTTCAACCAAAGGCCATACTCACACTGAACTTTGAAAAATAACGCATGGATGAAGGGAACAGAATGTGTGATTCCTGAAGGCAGCTTGCTCCTAAGAGAAAAGGGAAAAAAAAATGGCTGGACTATATATATCCAATTTATTTTCCCGAACTCGTTACTTGATCATTCACTCCAACTCCCTTGTGAGCTGTTACAAAAATTGCTGCTATAAACACTCCAGTATGTTTACTGAATTATATTTATATACATAAACATTTCTGTGAGTATAGACCTAGGAGTAGAATTGCTGGGACACAAATATGTCTATGACCAGCTTCAGTAGGTGCAAATGATTTTCCAAAGTGGTTGTAACAATTTAGACTTTCACCAGCAGTGTATGACAGTTAGACGCTCGATCCTTGCCAAAACTTTTATATTAGTTTTTAAAGTTTTATCCATCCTAGTGGTGTGAAAAGGTATCTCATTATAGCTTTAATTTATATTTCTTTGATTATTGTTATTAAACACATTTTTATGTTTATTGGCCATTTGTATATCCTTTTTGTAAAATGCCTGCGCAAGTCTTTTTGACCATTTTATACAAACGATGTCTTTTTCTTACTGATTTGTAGGAAGTCCTCATGTTTTCTGGGTATGAGATCTTTATTGGATAGATGTATTGCAAATATCTTCACCCACCCTGGGGTTGGCCTCTGCACATCCATAATCATGTCCTTTGATGAACAGAAGGTCTTAGTTTTAATAAAGTCTAATTCGTCAACATTTTTCCTTTTGCTTAGTGCTTTCTGTGTCCTGTTTAAGAAAATTTTATCTCCTGGAAAGATACTGAAGATATTCTCCTCTGTTATCCTCTAGAAACTTCAGTGTTTGTCTTTTACATTTAGGACTAGCATCTACCTAGAACTGTTATTTGTATATGTTGTGAAGTAGCCATTCAATTCAAATTTTTCTGTGTGGATTTCCAATTAACCTAGCACCATTTATTTAAAAATATCATCCTTTCCCAACTATACTGTACTAAGACTTTTGTCATAAATCCGGTGACTTTCTATGTGTGTCTTTTCTGTTCCCTTGGTCTGTATGCCTGTTGTCTCACCAATATCACACAGCTTAACTGTTGCCATTTTATGATAATCTTGATATCCAACATTTGATGTCTGGTCTTCCAACTTAGTTGCTCTTCAAGATTATTGGCTTTTCTTGGCCCAGTGCATTTATACACAAATTTTAGAATCAGCCACATTCCTTAAAAACCTGCTGAAAATTATGTTAGGATTGCATCCAATCTACCCAGCAATTTGGAGTTTTTAAACAATGTTTTTTATTTTACTTTATATTTTACATATGCCATTATTTTACATATTACATTTTTTTTCTTTCTGATTTTTATACTTTGGGGGGAAAGAAGGGCTTTATTACACTGGAGGGAACCATCAATACATCAATACAAGTTTGAATAGGAATGTGATGGTGAATCTCCTTGTCCTAATCCCAATCTCAGGAGAA
Organism: Homo sapiens; assembly: GCF_000001405.40. NCBI lineage: Eukaryota > Metazoa > Chordata > Mammalia > Primates > Hominidae > Homo > Homo sapiens. The sequence goes on along the minus strand of NC_000004.12, from coordinate 173,352,487 downwards.
AACTTACTTCCACATTTCACTTTAAATACAATGTTTGCTGTAGGGCTTTTGCATATATCTTTTATCAAATTATTGATGGTCCCTTTTACTACTTTGCTAAAAGTTTTAAAAATTATAAATAGGGGTTTAACTTTATCAAATGTTTCTGCATCTTGGGATGATTGGATGATTTTTTTTTTCATTCCATTAATACAGAAAATAACGTTGATATTTATTTTTTATTTTATTTTATTTTATTATTTTTTTGAGATGGAGTCTCCCTCTGTCACCCAGGCTGGAGTGCAGTGGCATGATTTAAGCTCACTGCAAACTCTGCCTCCCTGGTTAAAGCAATTCTCCTGCCTCAGTTTCCCAAGTAGCTGGGACTACAGGCACATCCCACCATGCCAGGCTAATTTTTTTATTTTTACTAGAGACGTGGTTTCACCATGTTGGCCAGGCTGGTTTCAAACTTCTGATCTCAAATGATCCACCTATCTCGGCCTCTCAAAGTGCTGGGATTACAGGTGTGAGCCACCATGCCTGGCCTTTTTATTAATTTTTGAATGTTAATCTTGCATTTCTGGAAGAATGCCAAATGGGCCATAATATCATCGTTTTTGAAACTTGCTGGATTTAATTTATCAATAATTTGTTCAAGATTGTTGTATGTATATTCGTAACAGAGACCTGCCTGTAATTTACTTTTCTTGTAAAGTATTTGTCAAGTATTGTTGCCAACACAGTTGTTAGATTTAGCAAATAACAATATGGGAAACCCAGTTAAATTTGAATTTAAAGATAAATAATGAATAATTTTTACTATATCTTGTGAAATATTTTATACTAACAATTATTCATTATTTATCTGAAGTTCGAATTTAACTGGGCAACTCTAGTTACCAAGGTTTTGCTTACTTCATAAAACAAGTTCAAATATTTCCTCTTTTGTATTTCCTATTTTGTATTGAAGAGTTTGTGAACTTTCCAAATATGTGATAGAATTTATTTTTTTTTTTCAGACAAAATCTTGCTCTGTCTCCCAGGCTGGAGAGCAGTGGCACCATCTTGGCTCACTGCAACCTCCACCTCTTGGTTCCAGCAATCCTTCTACCCCAGCCTCCAGAGTAGGCGGGATTACAGGTATACACCAGCACGCCTGGCTAATTTTTGTATTTTTATTAACAGTAGAGATGGGGTTTTGCCATGTTGGCCAGGCTGGTCTCGAGCTCCTGACCTCAAGTGATCCACCCGCCTTGGCCTCCCAAAGTGCTGGGATTTACAGATGTGAGCCAACATGCTCAGCTCATTTGATAGAACTTGTAAGTGAAGCAAAACATGCTGAGAATTTTATTTGTGGGAAGGCTACATACAAACTCAATTTGCTAATAGACAGAGGAACATTCAGGTTTTCTATTTCTTTATCTGTCAGTTTCATTAAGATGTTGATATGGTTTGGATCTGTGTCCCTCCCCAATTCCCATGTTGAATTGTAATCCCCATTGTTGGAGGTGGGGCCTGGTGGGAGGTGACTGGATCATAAGGGCAGTTTCTTATGAATGGTTTAGCACCGTCCCCTGGCTGTTCTCATGACAGTGACTTCTCACAAGATCTGGTTGTTTAAAAGTGTGTAACGCTTCCCCTTTCCCTCTCTCTCTCGCTTCTGTTCCTGCCACATAAGACAACTGCTCCGGCTTTTCCTTCCACTATGATTGGAAGCTTCCTGAGGCCTCCCCAGAAGTAGAAGCCACTACGCTTCCTGTACAGCCTGCAGAACCATGAGCCAACTAAACCTCTTCTCTTTATAAATATCCCAGTCTTAGGTATTTCTTTATAGCAATGCAAGAACGAACTAATACAGAATGTGTTTTCAAGAAATTTGTCTGTTTCATCTGAATTTTCAATTGGATTGACTATGATATTTCTCTTTTTTTGTTTGTTCATTTTTGATGAGGGGATCTTACTATGTTGCTCAGGCTGGTTAAAAACTCCTAGACTCAACCAATCCTCCCATTTCAGCTTCCCAATAGGTGGTAGGATTTCTAGTTATCTTGATTTGTTGAGTCTTTTATGAAATATTCTTTTTGTTTTTAGTAGTATTATCGAAACAAATTTGACTTTGTCTGCTATTAGAGAAGTCATATCAGCTGTCTCTGGTTAGTGTTTTTATGATAAACTTTTTTCCATCCTTTTTCTTTCACCTCTGTGCCATTTTTATGGCATATCTCTTTAAACAGCATATGATTGGGTTTTTGATTTTGTAACCAGTCTGACAATCTTGGTCTTGGTATACTTACTCAATATATTCGAAGTTAAAACTACCACATTACATTTATTTTATATTTGTTCTATTTGTCCTATTTCATTTTCTTCTTTCCCACTTTAACAAATTATTTTTATCTTTCAATGCCCCCCTCCAGTAGCTTGTTATTATAGTTTTTAAAATTAAACTTTTACTCTTAATTGCATATTGTCATACAGTTGTAAGAAGCATTACAGAGAGACACTGTGTCTTTACCCCATTTTCTCCAATGACAATATTTTGCAAAACTGTAGTACAGTATCATAACCAGGAATTGACATTGATACAGTCAAGATACAGAACATTTCCATCACCACAAGGATCCCTCAAATTGCCCTTTTATTGCCTCACCCACTCCCTCCCGTCCCCACTGCCTTCTGAACACCTGGCAACCACTAAGCTGTTCTTTATTTCTATAATTTTGTCATTTCAAGACAAAATATACAAAAAGGCATGGGCTTATATAGTATGTAACCTTTGGAATTTTTTTTCTTTTTTGAGACGGAGTCTCGCTCTGTCGCCAGGCTCGAGTGCAGTGGTGCGATCTCAGGTCACTGCAGTCTCCACCTCCCGTGTTGAAGCAATTATCCTGCCTCAGCCTCCAGAGTAGCTGGGACTACAGATGTGCACCACCACACCCAGCTAATTTTTGTATTTTTAGTAGAGATGGGGTCTCACCATGTTGGCCAGGATGGTCTTGATCTCCTGACCTCATGATTTGCCCGCCTCAGCCTCCCAAAGTGTTGGGTTACAGGCATAAGCCACTGTGCCTGGCCTGGAATTTTTTTTTCCCCCACTCAATGTAACTCCCTGAAGATTCATCCAGGCTGTTGCATGTATCAGTAATTTGTTCCTTTTTATTGCTGAGTAGTATGGTATGGATTTAGAACAGTTTGTTTAGCCATTCACCCAGTGAAGGACATCTGGGTTGTTTCTAGTTTGGGGATATTATGAATAAAGCTGCTATAAACATTAATGTATAGGTTTTTGTGAAAATGTAAGTCTGTATTTTTCTTTCTTTTTTTCTCCCTACTTACCTTTGGAGAAAGTCCTTCATTTTTCTGAGGTAAATTTCCAAGAGTACAATTGCTGGGCTGTGGGGCAGTTTCATGTTTAGGTTTTTAAGAAATTGCAAACTATTTTCCACAGTGGCTGTATCATTCTACATTCCCAGCAGCAATGCATGAGTGATCCAGCTTCTCTGCATCCTTGCCAGTATTTGGTGTTGTCACTATTTTTATTTTATCCAATCTGATAGGTGTATGGTGATATGGCATTGTGTTTTAATTTGCATTTTCCTAATTGCTAATGATGTTGAATATCTCATTTGCTTATGTGCCATCTGTAAACCATCTATGGTAAGTTTTTGTTCATGTCTTTTTTTTATTTTCTAATTGGACTTTTATTGAGTTTTGAGAGTTCTTTATATATTACAGATATTAGTTCCTTGTCAGATATGTGGTTTGCAAGTATTTTCTTCTAGTCTGTAATTTGCCTTTTACTACTCCTAATGCTTTTCACAGAGGAAAATGTATTAGTTTAGATAAAGTTCAGTTTTTCCTTACATAGATCATGCTATTGCCGTATGTTAAGTCTAAGAACTCTTTCTTTATGCTTGTATCCCAAAGATTTTCTCCTATGTTTTGTCTAAAAGTCTTGTAGTTTTACATTTTACATTTAAGACTATTATCTATTTTGAGTTAATTTTTGTGTAAGGTGTGAGACTTAGGTTTAGTTTATACACTTCTTTATTACAATAACTGTCTTTTATCAGTTGTAGATAAATCTTGGCTATTATATCTTCAAATATACCTTTCCCCTATTTTCTCTCTTTACTTTCTATGACTGGAGTTACATGAATGTAAGAAATCACACTGTTGCATTTATTTCTGATGGTCTTTTTTGTAGTTTGCACTTTCCCATTTCTCTGTGCTTCTGTTTTCTACTTATCTACCTTCCTTTTCTTATACCAGCAGCTCTGTTTACCTTTTTAAAAAATAATGCTCACTCTTCCTTTTATTCATACTGTCTTTCTAGGATTATTTTCCTTCTTCCTGAAGTACATAATTTAGTAGTCCCTTTAGGGCTAGTATGTTGATAGTCTCTCAATTTTCCTTAAAATTTTTATTTGCCCACATAGCTTTTCTGAGACAAGGTCTTGCTCTATTGCTCAGGCTGGAGTGCAGTGGGATGAGATCGTAGCTCACTGCAGCCTCAATCTCCTGGGCTCAAATGACCCTTCTGCCTCAGTGTCATGAGTAGATGAGACTACAGGTGCCTTCCATCATGCCCAGCTGACATTTGTATTTTTTGTAGAGATGAGTGCCCCATTATGTTTCCCAGGCTGGTCTTGAACCCCTGGCCTCAAGCAGTCCTCCCACCTCAGCCTCCCAGATTGCTGGGATTACAGACCTGAGCCACCACACCTGGCCTGCTCATAGTCTTGCAGTTCAAGAATGGCAGTTATTTTCTCTCAGCACTTTATATTATAGGTATTTTTCCACTGTTTTCCAGCTTCCACTGTTGCTGCTGAGAAGTCTGCCATCAGTATAACTGTTTTCCTTTGTAGGTGAGCTTTCTTTTCTCTCTTGCTTCTTTTAAAATTATTTTTTGGGCTGGGCATTGTGGCTCTTTTAAAATTATTTTTTGGGCTGGGCATGGTGGCTCACACCTGCAATCCCAGCACTTTGGGAGGCCTAAGCGGGCAGATCACCTGAGGTCAGGAGTTTGAGACCAGCCTGGCCAACATGGTGAAACCCCATCTCTACTAAAAATACAAAAATTAGTTGGGTGTGGTGGTGCACACCTGTAACCCCAGCTACTCTGGAGGCTGAGGCACAAGAAATCACTTGAGCTCAGGAGGGAGAGGTTGCAGTGAGCCAAGATGGTGCCACTGCATTACCGTCTGGGCGACAGAGCAAGACTTTTTCTCAAGAAAAAAAACATATATATATATATATATATATATATATATATACATACACACATATATATTTGACATCTGCAAGTTCACCTTGAAGTTATTGTGGATTTCTTTTTATTAAGCTACTTGGGTTACTTTATGCTTCCTAAATTTGAATTCATATCATTCACTGTGAAAAAAATGCATCAAAAATACTAAAATAGTGCCACTTTGTGCTTTTCTCTATTTCCTTTTTCTAGGACTAATTAAACATATTGCAATATTGATAAACATTATTCTATTTCCAATGTTTCTGTTTTATTTTTAAAATATTGTTCATCTCATTCTTCTGTGATTCAGTCTAATTTCTTCAGCAAAATATGTTAATTTTATTTTTAGCTTTATCTCATCTGTGTAGCTCATTCATTAAAATTTCAACAACTATGTTTTTTTCTTTCTCAAAGATCCATTTGGTTGTTTTCAGAACTTTTTTGTCATTCCTGATAGATACCTGTTGCTTCCTCATCTTTCTAATTTCATCCTTTTTCTTATTAAAAATGTTTGTATTCTGAATCTAACAATTGTAAATATCTGAATTCCTTGGGTGTTCAATGGTGGCTTGCTTCTTCACGTGCCTGGTCATCTCTAATTTTGTACTTATATTTATTCCATCAATCTGTGATATTTCTAAAGTAAGATGCTTTCCCTCAGTAAGGATTTCCATCTGTTTCTGCCAAGAGACAAAGTATGCTACCATTTTAGTTTCTTTAAGGAGTCCCAGCTTAATGTAGTATCCAGTTTGGTTTCCTTTCCTTTTTGTGGGCCTATAGGTAAAGATTACAATTCAAACTTCTGCTTTGGGCATTTGTTTTCATGGCTAATTTGCTTCCCAGGTTTACTTACCACTCAAATTACCATGCCTGAGTCTAGCTGATGATTGGTATCCCTACCAATCCTCATCCTCCGCCCCCACCCTCTGACTTATTTTGGTGTCAAGGAAAATTCCTTAGATATTTTTCCCATTTTCTGTCATCCTAGGAATGCAGTAAAAATCTATTTAGAACTAATTTTGAGGGGATCATAAAAATATCTGAGTATCTAGGTCACCAAAGTGATGAAAGCTGCAATCATACATCACTCTGTTACATGGAAAGACAGAAAAAAAGAAAAAAGGCCAGCTTGGAATCTGAAGACTGCTTTCAAATAAAATCACTGCCTTTCATTAATTCGTTCATTCATTCTGATTCAAACTTACAGGGATTTATGTACCAAATGCTTTATTAAGGGAGAAGAAAAGGAGCATGTCTCTACCCTCTGGAGGTCTAGGCAAGGTTACAGATACTAAACTAATAGGCTAACAAATATATATATAATTACAGATAGTGATGAATGTTATAACCGGTGATAAAAGAGGAAGTTGGATAGTAACTTTATATTTAAGCTTAAACCTGAAGTGAAAGAGCCAGCCACGATGAGAGAGAAGATAAGAGCATTAAACACAGAAGCAATAGTATGTGCCAAAGTCTTGAGGCAAAAAATATTTTGGTGTTTGACAAACTAAAAAATAGTTCTATATAGCTATAGTATAGGGAGTGAGAGTGAAAGTGGTAGGGGATGCAGTCAAAGAGATAGGAAGAGGGCAGGCTATGCAGGGCATTGTATGCAATGATAATGTATTACATTTTATGTGGAATTGGAGGCCATTGAAAGATTTTATGCTGGAAAGTGGATTAACCTGTTTCATGTTTTGAGATCACTCTGGCTATTCTGTGGAGGATCCAATGTTAAAGTCAAAAGTCCCTGGAATCAGGTAGACCAGTTCAGAGTCTATTGTGGCTTGAGCTTGTGTGATGATAGTAGAGATGGAGATAAGTGGATGGTTTCAAAATATATTCTGGTGAGAGAACAGGAGATGTGTTTTTTTGAGTAAGCAAAGTGGCTCTGCAGAAGATCACATACATAACTGGACAAGCGACTTTAACTTGTATCTGAAAGACTATCATCTCACTACAGCTTTCTTGGTGATAGAGCCCTCTTGAGCTTCTTTAGATATGTGTCAAAATGTCAAACTGAATATTGATGGAGCCAGCACAGGTAGAGAGCTGTAGGAAAAAACCGTGATCTTTCTTTAGTTAGAGGGGAATCCAAAATAGTTAAAATGTGAATGGCCAAATACTTACTGCTTATCTCAGTTTTCTGATGAGTTACTATAATGAAATAATCTAGTCCAGAAATAAATGACTTGTCTTGGGCTTGCTACGCAAAAGAAGAAAAAAATGCTATTAAAAAAGTTATTAGCCAATGGCTGCATATAATAGAATATCTATCTAACAGTATTATTATGAGTTTATTTTTCTGACATATAAGAAGACTGAGAGAAGATGGTTACTGGTAATGGTTCAGTAGTTCAATAATGTCCGGGTTGATGTCTACAATTTTCTTGCCTTTCTCTTATGCTACTGAGAATAGCTTTCTCATGATTGGTTTGAACCCGCAATAATTTATCATTACCTTTTTTATAATCAAGATATTTTTTAAAGTAAGAAGAAAGGAGAAAATGGGTTTTGGGTAATTAACAGAGTTCTGAACAACAACCTAGATTTAAGAATTTTAGACAAAGGTATAGAACAAGACCATGCTACTTTATAGTTTTCAAACATAAAGGTTTTTAGAAGTTAACAGTAATGAGTTATTGATATGAATTATAAGTTTAAAAACACCTATTAACCTAGAAAATATTTAATGAATATTTAATAATCATTACATTGAAAAATTCATCCAATAAATATTTGAGCCTATGCATATGCATAGCACTGTACTAGGCCTTAGGAGAGATGTAAAAACATGATATGCACCTCCTGCCTTCAAGAAACTCCTAAACAATAATTTTTGGTATTACATTTTATATTTTATAACACTCTCTCATAGGCGTTCTTTCTTTTGAAATTTATAACTCCATGCATTAGGCAGATAAAATTTTTACCTGATGAAGAAGTTGAGACAGACCCTGCTCTTGTCTCTCTGGCCATTACCACTTCAACATTGATTTCTTGACCTGAGGGCTTTCTCCAAAGCTGTGGAAGGCAGCTCTGTCCCTATGTGATCAGGGCAATTTGGAAATGCCTGGGAATTAACAAACTCCCACTCTAGCAGCCTTCACCAAGTGACTGGAAAGATTTGTTATATAGATACCCCAGCTCACTTGGCCTTCAGATGGGATAACTTTGAGGCCTGTGTTTTCCCAGAGTTTTCTCATGGGATTATGCTCCAGTCATTATAAGTGGTATCTGGCTTGATACCGCACCCTTTATTGACTGTTTTCCCTTCTTTGTCTCGCTTCCCCACCTCCTACTGGTGTTTCCTGCATCTCTTAGATAAACTATTTGCAACAAAATCCTTGTCTCAGGTTTCTATTGAGCATTTCCACTAGGTTATTTCCCCTAATACCTGCCCTGAAAGTGCCTGGCTTAATGAGGGGGGCACACGATTCAAATCAAGCCAGTTGGAATCCTTCACAGGGAAATTTTGTCCAGTCTGAAATACTGAGAAAGGAACTCTCTTCCTTCATCCTTGTTTCATTTTGGTTTTGCATCATTCTATTTCGAGTAGTGTCCGGCACAACGTAGAAACTTAATCTTTCTGGAATATTTAATGAATCCAATTCCTACAATTTCTTTCCTGCCAACTTGCATTCATCATCAGCCATTAATTTTAAAATGTATGAAATAATGTTGCTATAGCATATCATAGTGTCACTGCATACTGTAGTAGTTAAGTGCATGGACTCAGGAGCTAGACTGCTTGAGATATAAACTCTGCCACTTGCCAGTTGTTTGACTGTGCTGGTTATATTTCTGTTGTCTGTCAGTTCCATTCTCATTCTTTTACTCTCTCTATATTACAGAGTACTGGAATTCTAAATATCATTTCCCAGATTCACTTGCCAATTTCTTTCCGGTTCAGTTCTGTTAATGGGAGATTCAAGGCCAAGAGGATGGAAGGCATTTTTGCTTTTCTTCTGGCTCCGGCCTCTGCAATGCTGTGCTCTACTACCCTGACTCCAGGAGTGGCCCGAATAGGGTGAAGGATGCATAATCCTCAATTATGCGTAAGTGCATTTTTTCAGTCTAATTAGAATTCCAGGCTTTAAAATTAGATGTATATTTTGAAAAGTATATCTGAAAATTTCATAGTTTGTGAATATATTTTTAAATACAGTCAAAATACTAAGCACAGTAACAACACGATTTAGAGGACAAAGTTGTAAATATGCCACCTTTATATTTATAAGAGTATTTACACAAGAATTTGCAGTTTTAAGTCGTTATCAATCATTGAGTTGATATAAGGTCAATATAGTATTAATATATCACCTACACAAAAGCAGATAAAAAGTTATTTTCAGCAGGGCATGATGGCTCACACTCGTAATCCTAGCACTTTGGGAGGCCAAGGCAGGTGAATCACTTGAGGTCAGCCTGGCCAACATGGTGAAACCCCACTTTACCAAAAATACAAAAATCAGCCGGGCATTGTGGCGCATGCCTGTAATCCCAGCTGCTTGGGAGGCTGAGGAAGGAGAATCACTTGAACCTGGGAGGCGGAGGCTGCAGTGAGCTGAGATTGTGCCACTGCACTCCAGCCTGGGCAACAAAGTGAGAGTCAGTCTCAAAAATTTACAAAAGGATGATTTCCTAATATGAAAGTGACAGATATTCATCTGAATATGGGCCAAATGAACATTTCTATTACAATTCAAGAACTACAGGCTGGGCGCGGTGGCTCACACCTGTAATCCCAGCACTTTGGGAGACTGAGGCAAGTGGATCATGAGGTCAAGAGATCGAGACCATCCTGGCCAACATGGTGAAACCCCGTCTGTACTAAAAATACAAAAATTAGCAGGGCGCAGTGGCACGTGCCTGAAGTCCCAGCTACTTGGGAGGCTGAGGCAGGAGAATTGCTTGAACCTGGGAGACAGAGGTTACAGTGAGCCAAGATTGCGCCACTGCACATCCTGGGTGACAGAATGAGACTCTGTCTCAAAGAAAAAAAAAAAAAGAACTGCAGAGACTCTTATGGTGTCAATTTAAATCTACTTATTCTTCCTACCTTTTTTGCCATCGTTGTCATAGATTCTACTTGTCCAGTTTATAAAAATCCACAAGACATTATTATTGCTGTTTTAAGAAGGTAATACTCTTTTAAAATTTACATAATTACCCTTGATTATGCTTTTTTCCTCCTTCTAAGGATTTGAGATTATTTTCCTTAAGTAGGATTCCTGGCAGGGAATTCTCTCAACTTCTGTTTGTCAAGAAACATCTTTATTTTGCTGTAATTCTTGAAAGCTTTTTCCCTGGATATGGAACTTGAGGTTAGCAATTTTTTTTTTTTCCTTCAGCGATCTAAAGATGTCATTCAATAGGATTCTGGTTTCCCTAGTTCTGTTGAAGAATCAGCATTTAGACTTAACTGTTGCTGTTTTGAATTTATTTTTCCTTTTTCCTCTGGTTCCTTTTAAGATTTTCTGTTGTTAGTTTTCAATACTTTTTATTATGCTGTGGTCCAGATGATATCTTCTATTAGAGATGGTTTGACCTTTGCAATATTCTACCTATTGCTAACAGGGAGAAAGTTAAAGGATTGATTATCTCAATCCAATTAGAGATTGAGCTGTGTCCAGGCTAGGCTGCAAAGTTTTAGTAAGACCCTTCCATCTGTGGCTTATTTCTTTTGCTCATACATTAAGACATTATCACACAGTCTTTTGATTAAGGGATTGACAGTCTCTGTCTCCTTAGCCCTGAAAGACTATGAAAAATTCATTTCTGCTCTTTGGAGGGTTTGAACTTGTGTCTCTACATTCCTGCCTAAACAGTTTCAAAAAATGTCAAATGTCTTCAGGAAAAGACAATGATGAGTTTGTGGCAGACCCCTCCCTCCAGCTAGACTTTTGTCCACTAAACACTGTGAAACCCTGGGACATTTAGCTTTGTCTTTTAGAAGCTTCTGGCACAACTCTCTAGTCTCCCATACCACCTCGGCATTCAGCTAATCTGTGGAAAATAGGCCAGTACGGATATTTCAGAGTCCTTTAGTTTCCAACTGATTGTGCTAACCCCCACCAATACAACTGACAAATGCTTGCTGGAGTCTCTTTCATTTAGTCAAAGTCCTTCTAGAAGCCTAAGCCAAGTTAGACTGACTTCAGTTCCATGCCTAAAATCTACAGAATGTTTTCAAAACTCATCAGCATACCTAGGAAGGTCTCTTTCCGGTCTGGAATTTTAATTTGAGTTATTTTTTGATTGCTTCAACAGATCTCCAATGTATTTTAAAACATGATTTTTACAACTTGTCATTTTTTTTTCTAATTGTAGTAGAGGCTTTTAGAACTAAGTAACTTTCTTGTGGACATTTTGCTGCTGCTTCTTCTAATTATTATTTTTGAGACAGAGTCTCACTCTGTAGCCCAGGCTGGAGTGCAGTGGCTCAGTCATAGCTCACTGCAGCCCCTGTCTCCTGTGCTCAAGCAATCCTCCTGCCCTCAGCCTCAGTAGTACAGACTGCAGGCACGCATCACCAAGCCTGGCTAAATTTTTTTTTTTTTTTTCAGTAGAAAGGAAGTCTCACTATGTTGCCCAGGCCGGTCTGGAACTCTTTAGCTCAAGCAATCTTCCTGTCTTGGCCTCCCAAAATGCTGAGATTACAGGTGTGAACTATTGCACCTGGCCAGTTTACCATGACTTACAAAAATATTGTTTAAATAGGAAAACAAAATATCTTTGACTATTTAATTGTTTCGCATTGAAAATGTTAGCAGCAGAATGAGAGGTTTTCATTTCTTCCTAACCTGTGCTTCACTTCTTCAAAGATAGAGTGTTAAATTATTTCAGTAAATTGAGTTTTTGGGGTGAGTATACAGTTAGGCTTCAGAATTGGTGATCTACCCACTAGTGGATGTGCCTGTTTGATAATACTTCAGTATACTGATCCTTTCCCTCTCATAGCCTTTAAAACAACTTGAAAATATTAAGCTCCAATGTAAGATTTATCTTTGAGAAATTGTGTGCAGAGTAATGGTTTTCGGTTTTTTACATTGTGCAACTCAAGAAAGCAATTATTTTATATGCAACTAACTTTATATAAAGTATATTTAATGTTGGCTATGAGTTAGTCAATAAATAAGAATTATCAAGACCTTTTTCTTGCTTTGCAGAAGAAGGGCTTAACAAAAAAAGTGTATATTCTCTTTCCATCAGTATTTTCCAGTCTGGTTTGATGACCACAGATTATGAAAAGTCCAATTTTTAGGAAAACTAAATAAGTGCTAGGAATTTCAATAACTGGCATTAACACAGATCATTCCTGTCAGATTACACTGCTTTAGATAAATTCCAGTTTATCAACAGAATAGCTATTTAGAGGTGTTAGAGGACTACTTTGGAAACAGCTTCACTAACTCATAATTAGTTTATTGCCTAATGTTTATATTTTACAATTCATGAGATGCTGAACTCAGACAAAGTTTGGCAGGTAAAGTAATATACTGATATCATCTGGCGGGGAAAAAAGCTGGTAAGGTCATTTTAATGAAAGAATAGGATGACTGAGCAATATTATGTAATCTAAAGTTTAGTCTACATAGTTTATTATATTTGGGCTATCAACTCTATCCTAATGCTGTTTTGATTTTAAAATTTATTTTTATCATTTGGGACACAGTCTCGCTCTGTCACCTAGGCTGGAGTGCAGTGGTGTGATCACGGTTCACTACAGTCTCAACTTCCTGGACTCCAGCGATCCTCCCACCTCTGCCTCCTGAGTAGCCGGGACGACCAGCGCATGCCACCATGCCTGGCTAATTTTTGTATTTTTGGTAGAGATGGGGTTTCGCCATGTTGCCCAGGTTGGTCTCAAACTCCTGAGCTCAGAGTCTTGCTCTGTCACCCAGGCTGGAGTGCCATGGTGCGATCTTGGCTCACTGCAACCTCCGCCTCCCTGGCTCAAGCAATTCTCCTGCCTCAGCCTCCCAAGTAGCTGGGATTACAGGCGCGTGCCACCATGCCTGTCTAATTTCTGTATTTTTAGTAGAGACGGGGTTTCTCCATGTTGGCCAGGCTGGTCTCGAACTCTAACCTCAGGTGGTCCATTCGCCTCAGCTTCCCAAAGTGCTGGTATTACAGTCGTGAGCTACTGTGCCTGGCTTAATTGGCACTCTTATAGTCAAGGGATTTCATATGACCCAAGTTATTTATTCTTTAAAATGTAATTATAATTTCCTGACTGCCCAATTGCGTAAGTTAAAATGTAATATATATTTTCCCACACTATGATCACATATTCACAGAATTATAGAATCACATGATTTAAGAGCTGAATTCTACCTTGGAGATTATCCCGTAAACTTCAATTTATAGTCTATCAGTCTGAGGCCTAGAAAAGACCAGGCACGGTGGCTCATGCCTATAATCCCAGCACTTTGGGAAGCCTAGGCAGGTGGATCACCTGAGGTCAGGGGTTCGAGACTAACCTGACCAACCTGTCTCTACTAAAAATACAAAATTCGCCGGACATGGTGGCGCACGCCTGTAATCCCAGCTACTTTCGAGCCTGAGGCAGGAGAATCGCTTGAACCTGGGAGGCAGAGGTTGCAGTGAGCCAAGATCGTGCCATTGCACTCCAGCCTGGGAAATAAGAGTGAAACTCCATTTCAAAAGGCCTAGAAATGCTAATTGAACCATTCAAAACCACAAGCCCTGGCTGGGTTCTAATTTATGCATTTTTTAAAAAATGAAAAACACAAATATTTTCCTCTATATCATCTTGATACATGTTTCATCTTGATACATGTTTTAGAAATATGTATCATTTTAATAGAAATAAATTTGTGGACTTTTTAGAATATATACAATTGATATGTTCTTGAAAAAATGGCTTTAAAACTGTTTTAGAAATACAATCTTATTTCACATTTAGGACCACAACAGGATTAAAACAATGAGAAAGATGTTTAGTATTAACTCTTTAAGGGACATTTTAGTTTTCTGATAAAGTCATAATAGTGTGGCAAATAATTCATAGTATAGTGAACTGGCCTTATGTTTTGAGTGTGTGTATTTAATCCCTCTTTTGAGAATTAAATTTAGGACTAGATTTTTTGTGCTACCAGAGTCTGTATATATTTTTCACACAAAAAATGGGGTTGTTCTGTAACCAAAAACTGTATAATACGATCTCAGCTAAGCCTTATTTCTTTTACTACTTTACTGTGCCTCTTAATGGTACTTTTAAGGCAGGAAGTGTGTTATAGGAGTAAAGTCTGGGCAGTGATGGTAAAAGTAGGTTAAATATAGAAATGTTTTCCTTTTCTCTGCTGTCATGGAGAAGAGAATGGTAACTGGTATTAGCAGGGGTGGTTCTTTCCCTGCTTCCTTGGAGGCTGTAAGGAAAGGATCAGTTCCACGCCTCTCTCCTTGGCTTGTTCATAGCCATCTTCTTCCTATGTCTTTTTCACATCATCTTACTTCTATGGCTGTCTCTGTCCAAATTTCACCTTTTGATAAGGACATCAGTCATACTGGATTAGGGGCTCACCCTATTGCAGTGTGAGCTCATCTTAACTAGTTATTTCTGCAATGACTATATTCCCAAGTAAGATCATCTTCCGAGATACAGGATGTTAGTCAGGACTTCAACATAGAAAGTTGGTGGGAGGAACACAATTCAACATATAATCCTTAGGTGAGCCAAGCATCTACTCTTAGCTTACCCTGTGGTCCTTTGCCTCTTCTAGGCATCAACTACTGGGAAGTGATCAAAACACCTTTCTGGGTCAAGCACCGTGGCTCATACCTATAATCCCAGCACTTTGGGAGGCTGAGGCAGGCGGATCACCTGAGGTCAGGAGTTTGAGACCAGCCTGGCCAACGTGGTGAAACCCCATCTCTACTAAAAATACAAAAATTAGCTGGGCATGGTGGCACGTGCCTGTGATCCCAGCTACTCAGGAGGCTGAGGTAGGAGAATCACTTGAACCCTGGAGGCAGAGGTTGCAGTGAGCCGAGGTTGAGCCACTACACTCCAAAAAAAAAAAAAACCTTTATGAAAAATAGTACCCCAAATCCAATCAATTGCTAGTTTAAGTGATGGAATAGAAAGAAAAGAGATCTAAGAATCATTCTTAGAAAACAGATGTGCTAGAATAGAATGTAAAATTCAGTTAGTGGCTCTGATTTTGGATGTGAATAAATTCACTATTTGCATTACAGTGACATTAAAAAAAGCAGGTTGTGAAACCATCTTATTAAATTATACAAATAATGCAAAATTCCTCAAGTGAAGTAAAACTTTAGTGAACATTAAAAAGTTGATTAACTTGTAGTGAGAGATTATTAATGTAAATAAGTGACTCACATCTATTACCATTGCCCCTCTGACTAGTTTCGGACTCATAGAAAAGAATGAACACAGTGAATTGATTTCTAACTTTACCTCATTTATACCACGCCATCAACACTGCTATCTAATGTGGAAACCTAATTATTTCATTTTCCCCGGTTTTCCACTGGGGAGATAAAGACTAAATTCCTCTATAAGCTGCAGGTTGAGTATCATCATCATTAAGTTCCTGTAATACAGAACTACTACTAGTTGATCCCCAAACAAGCAAAGCTCTCTCAAAGGCCTTTCTGTTTTTTGTTTCCCCCTGCTTGACGTTCTCCAATCCACCTCTACTCAAATGCTACTTTCATAGAAGAGTTTTCCTACTTCCCTACACAGTCTTTAGGTGACTGTCTTATGCTCTCATTAATGAACAATTTTAACTAATGTTGTACTGTTTCCTATTTTTGTCCCTCTAAATTTTTGAGGTCACAGGCTATGACTTTTCATCTTTGTATCTCGACTGCCAAGCTCAATGCTTGGCATATTCAATACACAGTTCTTGAATAAAGGCCCAGTTTTTATATAAGCACAGCTTACTTTATGCCATAATTTAAAAAAATCTAAACAGAAACTTAAAAATACGTTTTAAAAGTGTAATGCATTAGTGATCTCACTGCTAATTGCTATTTGAATAAAGTACTATGAATTACTTGGTTAATTTGGATTTTTGGGTGCTTTTATAACACCCTTGTAACTAATTTTGTAGGTATTACAACTTAAGGCAGAAAAGAGAATGTTATAAACTAAGGTTTTTGATTAACAAAATTCTGGGACCCTTAAATAAAAGGAAATACATTTTTTTCTGTTTGAAAAACTGCCACTTTATTTTTTTGTGGTAAAACATACATAACATAAAAGTTACCATTTTACCCATTCCTAAGTGTACAATTCACTGGCATTAAGTACATTCACAATGTTGGACAACCATTATCCATTTCCTAGGAAAATACATTTTTTTTAAGATCTTTTTTATTAGTAAACCTAGATAAACAACTGCTGGTTTTCAAATACTATTATGACAACCATATACAAACCAAAGAGCATAGTCTTAACATGTGCCAACGAACTTACTGAAAAATTAAGACAAAATATTTAAATTTCTTGAAACAGTCACGCAACCTATATTCCAATAATGGGGGGAATCCCTCAAAACTAAATACCACAGAAATAGCACACCAGGATGTCAATTAAAGTCCTCTACCTTGGGAAAAGCAGCTTGTGACGCTGGTAAGCAGTAAGGTAAGGTAGCTTTGGCGCGCTCTCCCTATACTAACACGGAGGTTCTTAACCCAAGCTTGGAGGAGCCTGTAACGTGGCTGTATGCCGTTTGGAGAATATACGCAATTGGGAGTGGGATAGGGAGCATGCATTGCTTTTATGCGATTCTCAATTTTTAAAAACTATCACACTAGTAGGACGAGACAGTGAATGCCCAGGCGAAGGCCAGGCCAGCCAAAGACAGGGCAGCCGCCGGCTCCGAGCTCCCGGCGCACCGCTGCAGGGTGCGGCGTGGGGGCCGAGACACTCGGGGCTTGGAATTCCGGACCCGGTAGGAGGGGGCGGGGCCGGGGGAGAAGGCGCCGCCTCCGCCCCTTCGGGACCCGGAGGGTGCCCTTGTTTACCTCCCAGTATTTGTCACCCGAGACAAAGAGGGAAGGAAGGAGGAGCCTTCTGAGGGAAACTCCCTCGGCGGGAAGCATCTTACTTTCAGAACGTTTTTTAACACCCTACGGGACGCGGGAACGGTTCCCTCCCGGCCCCCCGCGCCCTTTCCGAGGTTCCCTGCCTTGACTTCCCCGAGTTCTACGACAACCTCAGCGACAGCGGGAGGAGCTGGGCAATCGGTTTTGCAGGGCAAACTCCAGGCTCTCCTCATTTATTATTCTCTGGGCGGCGCACGGGAGACCCTGCAGGGCAACAGAGCAGAGCGACTACAGCTCCCAGGAGCCAACGCTGCAGGGCTGAGCCGACGCGGGGGACAGACAGGACCTAAATGGTGGTCGGAGGAAGGGCAAGGCAGACCTCTTCTGTTACCTTAGCGCCAGCAAACCGAGCCGCCGCCGTCGCCAAGCCAGGAGACCAACCCCCAGTCTCCCGACTAAGTATTTTTAAATCTGGCGGGGCTTTCCTTCCCGAGCCAACCACTCCCACCGTTTACAGCCCCAACCAGTCAGCGTGAGGCCCGCCATTTTTCAAACCCTCTTCCCGCCGCCAATCAGGATCGAGCAGTACATTCCTCTCCTGACCGGTTCTAACGGGTCTGGGAGTTAACGACCTGGGCGACCCACCGAACCTGCTAGGCTGGGGCGTGGAGGGCGGGTCTGGTAAGACACTGACCAATCGTTAGCCTCCGTGGCAAGGGGGCGGGGACTATCTGGGTTTGAATAATCGTCAGAACCAATCAGATTAGTGGGGATGTGGCCCGTGGCCTAGCTCGTCAAGTTGCCGTGGCGCGGAGAACTCTGCAAAACAAGAGGCTGAGGATTGCGTTAGAGATAAACCAGTTCACGCCGGAGCCCCGTGAGGGAAGCGTCTCCGTTGGGTCCGGCCGCTCTGCGGGACTCTGAGGAAAAGCTCGCACCAGGCAAGAATACCCTCCAATACCCTCGGGTTCGTGGACCTGCCTTTCCCCATTCCCTCAGAGCCTCTACTCGGTCTCGGCGCAGTGGCTCTCGGGGTCTGACCCGGCGAGCGGCATTTGGGGTGCGGGCCGGCGAGGGCTGGGTCTGTGGAGGGCCGGCGGGCAGTCGGAGGAGGCGGAAACTGCCCCTGACCGGGCCCGGTTCTGGGAGTTTTCAATGTCGGTCACGAGGTGCTTAGCGGTTAAGTGAGGCTCGCGACGTGGGAGCTGGGGGACATTTCTGTCAGGAAAGGCGTTTTGAGGGCGCTTGCGGAGTCACCGGACTCGGTGAAGGGCGGGCGGCGGCGTCTCGGGCCCCGGGAGCCACTTGCTGGGCTGAGCCGCGGCCGCTCGGGCCGGGAGGAGGAGGAGGAGGAGGGTGTGCGCCGGGGCGCGGGCGGGGGCGCGGGCGGCCGCCCTTGGGAGGACGCCCTCGGGAGGAGGGGGGCGCGGGCAGGGCGGGAGCGGATTTGGGCGGGAAGCGGAGCCCCGCCAGCGCCCGCCCTGGCAGCTGCGGGCTCCGCGCCGACCCTCCGGCTTCCCCTCTCCCCCCTCGGCCCCGTCAGGTGGACGCGGATCTGTCAACATGGGTAAAGGAGACCCCAACAAGCCGCGGGGCAAAATGTCCTCGTACGCCTTCTTCGTGCAGACCTGCCGGGAAGAGCACAAGAAGAAACACCCGGACTCTTCCGTCAATTTCGCGGAATTCTCCAAGAAGTGTTCGGAGAGATGGAAGGTGAGGCAGGAGAGGGACGGAGCTCAGGGGGTGCAGGTGTGGTTTTCGGCTAGGAGGGCCTTAGGCAGGTAGTAGGCAACTCATGAGCTTCAACTTTGCCACCCCAGTGACTCACCTGAATATCTTAAGAGTTCCAGGCAGACGATTTTAGGTTTTTACTTATATAAGACTTCGAAAGCAAAATGCTGTTAAGGAAAATGTGGTCCTTAAAGATGATCTTGTCGTCTTTGGATGTTTATAGGTAACAATTTTGCTGTATTTTTGGCTCTTATTTTATGTCCACAGACCATGTCTGCAAAGGAGAAGTCGAAGTTTGAAGATATGGCAAAAAGTGACAAAGCTCGCTATGACAGGGAGATGAAAAATTACGTTCCTCCCAAAGGTGATAAGAAGGGGAAGAAAAAGGACCCCAATGCTCCTAAAAGGCCACCGTAAGTTTAAAATAACCCAAATTGCTCCTTGGATTTTTCCTTCAGTTTATTAAACTCTGTTGCTTCCTTTCAGATCTGCCTTCTTCCTGTTTTGCTCTGAACATCGCCCAAAGATCAAAAGTGAACACCCTGGCCTATCCATTGGGGATACTGCAAAGAAATTGGGTGAAATGTGGTCTGAGCAGTCAGCCAAAGATAAACAACCATATGAACAGAAAGCAGCTAAGCTAAAGGAGAAATATGAAAAGGTACAGTGTCATCTTTTTTAAAGCCGTGGATAAGACTAGGTATAGGTAATAACTGTAGAAAACCTGGGAAATTTAGTTAATCTTGTATTAATGGTTGTCAGCTATGTTTTGAAAAGGCCTAATGAAAATTGTACACTTCAACACAAGGTAATTGAAACCTTCCTTTTGACTGAAACCAGTGTTTGTAGCACTAGTATATTCCTGCAGACAGACTTGTAGTTACTTGTAGTTATTGTATAGTCTGTATAGTCTGTTATTTTTTTTTTTAAGCAGAGAGTCAAAGAAATTGTTTTATGTAGATATATATAAAATGTGAAGGTACAGGAGGGACTATGGCACTGTGTGTGATGTAAAAGGGTATTGGTAGTGAAAGTACTGATACTGCTGTATCGCAACCCTTGTCATTTTACGTCATTAACTTGTTAAAGCCTAGTGGGATAAGTGCTCTAAAAACTTAGACTGGTTACCTTTTTAGACAGTTATTAGGGTTATTGGTCAATCATCTTAGATTGTTTACAACTAAGTGGTTTTTCACAGTTGAGTAATGATACCGGATGCTTTATTTTTTTGACAATATTTCAGGATATTGCTGCATATCGTGCCAAGGGCAAAAGTGAAGCAGGAAAGAAGGGCCCTGGCAGGCCAACAGGCTCAAAGAAGAAGAACGAACCAGAAGATGAGGAGGAGGAGGAGGAAGAAGAAGATGAAGATGAGGAGGAAGAGGATGAAGATGAAGAATAAATGGCTATCCTTTAATGATGCGTGTGGAATGTGTGTGTGTGCTCAGGCAATTATTTTGCTAAGAATGTGAATTCAAGTGCAGCTCAATACTAGCTTCAGTATAAAAACTGTACAGATTTTTGTATAGCTGATAAGATTCTCTGTAGAGAAAATACTTTTAAAAAATGCAGGTTGTAGCTTTTTGATGGGCTACTCATACAGTTAGATTTTACAGCTTCTGATGTTGAATGTTCCTAAATATTTAATGGTTTTTTTAATTTCTTGTGTATGGTAGCACAGCAAACTTGTAGGAATTAGTATCAATAGTAAATTTTGGGTTTTTTAGGATGTTGCATTTCGTTTTTTTAAAAAAAATTTTGTAATAAAATTATGTATATTATTTCTATTGTCTTTGTCTTAATATGCTAAGTTAATTTTCACTTTAAAAAAGCCATTTGAAGACCAGAGCTATGTTGATTTTTTTCGGTATTTCTGCCTAGTAGTTCTTAGACACAGTTGACCTAGTAAAATGTTTGAGAATTAAAACCAAACATGCTCATATTTGCAAAATGTTCTTTAAAAGTTACATGTTGAACTCAGTGAACTTTATAAGAATTTATGCAGTTTTACAGAACGTTAAGTTTTGTACTTGACGTTTCTGTTTATTAGCTAAATTGTTCCTCAGGTGTGTGTATATATATATACATATATATATATATATATATGTATATATATACACATATATACGTATATATACATATATATGTATATGGAGTCTCACTCTGTTGCCCAGGCTGGAGTGCAGTGGCACGATCCCAGCTCACTGCAACCTCCGCCTCCCGGGTTCAAGCGATTCTTCTGCCTCAGCCTCCCTGGTAGCTGGGGCTACAGCCATGTGCCACCAAGCCCAGCTAATTTATATTTTTAGTAGAGACAGGGTTTCACCATGTTGGTGAGGCTGGTCTGGAACTGACCTCAAATGATCTGCCCACCTCAGCCTCCCAAAGTGTTGGGATTAACAGGTGTGAGCCACCACGCCTGTCCCAGTATATTGTTTAACAAGTTTATTTTGGGTGAAAAATTCTCTTTAATGGGAAGAAGAGGGGCTAGAATGTGAATTCATATCTAAAAGGACAAACTGAAACAAAATTCAATAACAAGATTAAGTTTTCTGCTATTAAGTTGAGCTGTTTCAAGATAGAATACCGGATTAGGTTTTGAGTTACAGTAGTCCCTCCTTATCTGTGGGGTGTAAGACCTACAGTGGATGCCTGAAAGAGCCAAGAGTATTGAAGCCTTGTTTTTTCCTATACATACGCAACTGTGATAAAGTTTAATTTATAAATTAGGCACAGTAAGATTAACAGCAATAATGAGAACATTTATAACTAGTAAGTTTTGTGAATGTGGTCTGAAAATACTGTACTGTGGGAAAGTGAAGCCATGGTAAGGGAGGATTACTGTATATCTTCATTTTGGTCTTAAGCTTTAGAATTATGGGTAACTAAGAAGCCGTTTGAGATGGTTATATTCCATGACTAAACTTACCTGGGAATTGTATTATTTACGGGGAAGGCAGTTATTTTAAAAATGCTTGTTTAAGGAAGCAGTTGCTGTATTTGAATTAAGATAACTTTCATTAGAGATTATTAGTGAAGGTTGGCCATCTGGTTGGCTATGTGCTTATAGAATTATAGAAGTAAGCTATTTGTTGACAATTTTAGAGTTAAATTTGACAATCTTGGTTACCTACCAAACTTTAAAATAGAAGTCAGGATTTCTGTTACCCAACCATGGGAGCTTTGGTTGTCTCATATTCGGTAAGATAATTCTCTGTTAAATAGTGGGGTATTAGAACAAATGGACTTAAGTAAAATCTTCAATCATCTTTATGATTGCCCTCTATTAATTATATTCTGAGTGGGAGAGACCTCCCAAAGCCATGAAAGAATTGATAAATTGGCCTACATAAAAATAAGAAATCTTACATTCAGACTTGGGGCTTTCACTTATCATAAGATGAAAACTAATTTTCAGTGTTTCCTGGTGGTAGATGACTTAATATGCTAAAACATTTGGGGTAATCTATTTTAGATACTACCTATGTCTGAGACCCAGTTCCCTACCTCTACCAAATGCTAGCAGTATGAACTTTACCTACTTCACAGTGTTTTAATGGTCGAAGTGTTATTTTAAAGTAGTAACTACTGCATAAAGGATATCGAATAAGAGTTTCTAAAACTGAAATAGAGTAAGTAAGTTTGTTTATTTAAGAATTTCTAAATAAATTAGATCCAAGAGGCAGACCTGTTGGGTTCCTTGTCACCTTTCTTTTTGGGAGTCTGTGACTTCTTTCATTATCTTTTCCATAAAATATACTTTTAAGTTTCTAAGCTAAGAACTATTCTTTTAATCAAGAGTTCCTCCAGAATGAACTCAGGATTTGAGATGGATCCTTCCTGGCTCATGTTTGATATTCTTGTAAGTGTGGATCAAAATTCCCCAAATTCTCAATAATCAAGACCAGGTGACTTCAAGGAGTGAACATATTGGAAAGAACTAAAATGAGGGCAAGAATTAGATCTCACACCAGCCACTACTTGGAAGTGTGTTTGTGAAACCTGTTTTCTTTTTAAAAATAGATCATATCTTAATAGTTCAGAATGTAAAAGGATATGTAATAGTTTATACTCTTTCTTGATTCTGCTACCCTGTCCCAGGAGGCAACACCAACAATGCAATAATCTATCCTTTAAGAAAGACATAGGTGTAAAAAATATATATGTGTGTATATGTTACAGTGTTACATAGAAGCTTCCTATATACAAGTGTATTCATCTCATTATTTTGGAGATTGTTTTCAGTACCCCAGAGCAACAGAGCTGCCATTTTCCTTTAAATAGCTATCTGTATGGTATCCCATTGAATAGATCATAATTTAACCAGTTCCCTAAGGATAATAGGATAATTATGGGTTTTGTTTTGTTTTTGTTTTATATACATATTTTCTTTTTTTTTTCAGACGGAGTTTCGCTCTGTCACCCAGGCTGGAGTGCAGTGGCACATCTCGGCTCACTGCAAGCTCCGCCTCCCGGGTTCACGCCATTCTCCTGCTACAGCCTCCCAAGTATCTGGGACTACAGGCGCCCACCACCAAGCCTGGCTAATTTTTTCTATTTTTAGTTAGAGAACACTTGCTGGGTATGGTGGCTCACGCCTATAATCCCAGCACTTTGGGAGTGTGAGGTGGGAGGCTCACTTGAGCCCAGGAGTTTGAGACTAGTCTAGTCAACATAGACCTTGTTTCTACCAAAAATACAAAAATTAGCCGGGCATGGTGGTGCATGCCTGTGGTCCTGGCTATTTAGGAGGCTGAGGTGGATCACTTGAGCCTGGGATGTCTAGGCTATAATGAGCTGTGATCATGCCATCGCACTCCAGCCTGGGCAACAGACCAAGACTTGGTCTGAAAAAAACGAAACCATTTGATGTCACATGTGAAAAAAGACCTACAAGTGAAGTAGGTGGGCCAAAAGACATGCACATTTAAAAATGTGCTAACTATACTAGCTAAAACCTGTGCTTAATATATGCCAGAAACTGCTCTGGTGCTGTTAATGGAGCCTGCTAAACAAAACTGCTTCTCAACAATAGAAGTTGTACTACGCTATGGAGTGGACACTCCATAGCAATGAAATGTTTTGGAGTGCCTGTTTCCTCATCTCAGCAACATAATAGTTCTCAAACTTCTTAGTCTTTGTTATTCTGATATAGATAAAATGTTTTCTATTATGAGTTTCATTTTTTTTTTATGTTTAACAGCCATTTGTGGGGCTGAGTGCAGTGGCTCATGCCTGTAATCCCAGCACTTTAGGAGGCCGAAGCAGGCGGATCACTTGAGGTCAGGAGTTCAAAACCAGCCTGGCCAACATGGTGAAACCCTGTCTCTACTAAAAATACAAAAACATTAGCCGGGTGTGGTGATGGGCACCTGTAATCCCAGCCACTTGGGAGGCTGAGGCAGGAGAATCGCTTGAACCCGGGAGGCAGAGGTTTGCAGTGAGTAGAGATCACGCCACTACACTCCAGCCTGGGTGACAAGAGCAAGACTCTGTCTCAAAAAAAAAAAAAAAAAAAAAAAAGCCATTTGTATTCTTTCCTGTGGTCTTTTCTCACTGGTCTTTTTATTAATAGTTTTTGGGAATACTATATATTAAGGAAAATGACCCTTTTGACTTTATGATGCTTTTTTCATGCAGAGATTTCTTTATGTAGGCAAATTTAGCAATTCTTTCACTAAAACTTTTCTAGTGAGGTCCTTCCCACTCAAAGATCATAAAAGACTATAAAAATAATTATCCTTTGGTTTCTTTTTTTAAATTTTTGATTACATCTTTGATCCTTCTGGAATTAATTTTGGTGCAAGGACTGAGGTAGGGGCTCACGTTTCCTTCCCGATGTCAGCCACTACTTTTGGTCTTTTAATCTATAAAAGCAGGGCACTGGGTTAGAATTTCCTAAATTCTCTTATATATCAAACAAAGCACTCACTGCAAACTTGATCAATAGAGGAAAGTATGCTTTTTTTGTATTTTACCTTTTACCAGTTTCACTTACTGTAAATCATAAGGTTGTCTTACATAGTAGAAAAATAGCATTATCTTAAACCTGGCTTTTTATTACTAAATATATCACTAAAAATGCTTTACAAAGCAGTAATGATTTTATTTCTTGGGGAATAAAATCAAGAAAGCTAAAGGAGCTGCTATGCCACTGTGTAAGATCTAGTCCTTTAAAAATGAAATTTCATACCTCACCATGTTTGGATTAGTTCTTCATGAGATTCCTGTTGGAGACTGACAGTTTTAGAGAAAGGCAGAGTATTTATTGACATTAGGAAATGCCAAGACCTATAGAGACTAGCCAGGGAAAAGGACTGGATGTGGTGAAGTGAAGAACATTTTGAAAGTAAGCTCTGTGAGGGCAGTAAAATTTTCACTTTTGTATACTGCTTTGTCTCTAATGCAAGAAACAGTGTTCTAAGCATGTTTGTAAATATACAAATACCCAGGTTAAAGGGGATAGCCACTGTTTAGCTCAGTCCTGTTGCTAGATGGAAATGTGAATATAGGATTCCCAGATCTCTCAAATTTTCAAGTGGAACTAGAACTCGTGAATTCTGAATTTTAAATACAGTATTGGCAATGAATTCCAATTTTGGGGTCAAAACATGTCTATAGGTAAGATTCTGCCCAAAGGTCACCAGTTTGCCACTTCTATAAATTAAATAGTAAATATAAGTGTAATAATTTTTACTTGAGTCAGGTCCAAGGTTAATAAAAGTTTATATATGCCTTACAGCTAACCATTGTTTTTATAGGTCAGAAACCCTTCTTGCCCTGATTGGAAACTCAACTTACCCTGCAGCAAAGGTAAATAAAAATGTTTCAATTGAACTTCATTGTGCTCCTGGGCCTTTATTCTTCAAGAGTTAACAGTGCAGACTTCTGGTGATCCTCATCCTAGGTGTTACCACATCTATAGAATAGTAACTCAGGAGTGCAATAGACTGTCGCATTAAAAGGAAAGAAAAATAACTTTTCAGCATTATGTAGCACTAAATTTTGGAACTGGAAATGGCCTTTATATCATCTAGTCTTTCATTAGAAAAGCAGGACAATCAACTTGGACATTGTCCTCGGGCAGATAAGAGATAGTAAAATACCATAATCCATTCATATTTGTGTAATTCTTTGATTCTCCAAATTTTTTCCAAAAAATATTAATGGCTTATACAAAGAAAAACAAGAACAAAATATACAAAGAAAAAAACAAGGTTATGAAAGAAATTAAAAGCAAGGTAGTGAATCACGGATTTGAATAGGGCTCTGTTTTTCTTACTGGTTTTGTAACATCAGACAACTCATGTAACATTTCGGTTTCCTCATCTGTAAAATTTGAATGTTTTTGAGGATTAAGTAAAGTAATACATTTAAGACACTTATCCTGGTGGCAAGAAATAGTAAATGCTCGATAAATATTAGCTAAAAGTATATATGCCGATATACATGGGTTAATACAGATACTACGATGGAGTATTAGATAAAGTTCTAGCTCACTGCAGCCTTCACCTTCCAGACTCAAGCGATTCTTCTGCCTCAGCCTCTCAAGCAGCTGGGACCACAGATGTGTGCCACCACACATGGCTATGTTGCCCAGGCAGGTCTTAAACTCCTGGACTCAAGCAGTCCTCTCCCCTTGGCCTCCCAAAGTGCTGCGATTACAGGTGTGAGCCACTGTTCCAGCCCTGAGGTTCTTGATAGTCTAGGTAGAGAGGAAAATTAAAGAAGTTATGTGGAAAACATACATTCTTTAGGAGAGTTTTTCCTGGCACCAAATAAATATTCATCCCACAGAGTTAGAGGGATATTGAGTACTGGACTTGATTATGTCCTTGACCCCAGTACTAAATTTGTGAACTTGGACAAGTTATTTAACCTATCATGTATAAATGTATTAACATACTGTATGTTTACTTTTAGTCACTTTTGAGATTGATAAAAAGTGCTGAATAAAGTGTTTTGGGAAGTGCCTTTTTCATTCAATCCTGTACACCTAAAACTTGTTTATAACAACTAGTTTATTCATATTCATCTCTGTAATATTCCATTGTGTGATTATATCACAATTCATCCTTTCTCCTGTCAATGGGCATTTAGGTTGCTTCCAGGGTTTTCGCTATTGCAAATGGCTGTGGTATAAAAATTCCTGTATAGCTCTCCTGACACTCAAGCGTACTTCCCCTCCAATAACCTGGATTGTAGATTCTAGCTGTTTCAGCAGCCGGAAACCTCCACTCCGCCTCCTCAGTTCAGCAATACCACCATTCTGAGCCGCATTCCTTGCACCATGGTTGGGAATGTCCTCCCATGGAGACAGACATGGTGAACCTGGGATTCACCTTGTGTATTTCCTTTCTTTTAGATATCAGTCTGCTTTGACTAGTATCCAATTCCTGAAAACAGTTGCTTCATATATTTTGTCCAGCATTAACTGTTGTTTGGGGTAGCAAGATAAGTCCACTTAAAATTATAGCCGGAAGTGGAAGTCTATTCATCCCTATTTTCTATTCAAATATTTAGTTTTGTTTCGGTTAGTTAATTCTTAATACAGCTGTGGTTTATTTGCTCAAACCAAAAGCCCAAGAGAAATTTCATTTAAAGGTAATTTGAAGGATACAATATCTTAGATATTCTTCAAGATGCACTTATCACATCACAGTTTCATAATGCTCAACACTTCTTAAAGTGCTTTCACATGGAATAATTTTCACGTACCTAAACTATTGGCCTATTAGGTATCTGGCTTTCTGGTGAGGTACTTGTCATGTTTTCCATTGAATTATATATGGATTTTTTTCCCAATTATGTCCAGAAATGAAATATATTCCAAGATCCCTATGAGAAACTTAAGAAATAAAGAAACTCCCATTTATTCTAGTCTGGTGCTGTCACTTTTTCAAATTTCTTAGCCTACTTCTACAGCAGCTAAGAATTGGGAGATATGACAATAGACAGGTCAGTTGAGAGAAAGTTTCCCAAATCAATACAGCCACTTACTTGAATCTGTTAGCAACCGTATCTTCTCTTGAGATGTGTTTTGTACAAGGTGCTATGGACTATTTCTAATTTCATTGTGGTAGGCTTCCCTTCTCTTCATTTTTCTCCACTTAACCTGATCTGTCAGGTTGTAAACAAATTTGATTTGAAGGCATGTTTGCTTCTAATAGGCAATTCTATAGTACAGCCAAGAAGGCAATTCTATATACAGCCAAGAAGGATATATGTTGCTGGGGTAATTTTTTATAATTAAAAAAAGTATAAACTTAAAAAATTGGTATACATAGGCAAACAGGTAAAAATAAACCTTTGTTTCCTTCCAACAGATACATAAGCTCTGAGTATTCTAAGCATGTGTAACAGAATGCTAAGCAACAGTCAAGCACATACTCAACTAATAACTATGGTCTATAATATTTTAGGTATTGTGTGTCTTGTAAATAGTAAAATCAAGTAATTCTTTCAAATGTGCAGTGTTTAGATTTGAAATGATTACAAGCACCAAAAAAACCCATGAATTAAAATACAATATTTTATTTTTGTCACCTAAAAAACAAGCAACCCAGAATTAAGATATACGTAAGTTTCTCAAATTTATCCTAATAAAATTTTGAATATTTATACAATTTCTACAGAAACATACAGTGTATCAAAATCTGCATAAATCAAATTTATAAAATGTGTAGAAATGCATAGTGATATTACCAACTTACAAAGCAAGGATATGGGAATTATTTCCAAAGCAGCCTACAGTAGAAAATAGTCATTATGGCAGCAGCTTCTGATGTTTTTGTTTGGTAGGTTTTCTGATTTCAATATATAGAATCATATTCATAGAGTATCTTCTTTTAACGAATTGCACAAAGTACCCATTTAAAATTTACATGCACAGTTCATTGCCACCTTTCTTAGGCCTATGCATAGTTAATAAGGTTATAATCTACTCAACATGGAAAATGGAGCCTATTTGCAAACACACAAGTAATTAAAGTACCAATTCTCTCTTAGTTTCTTTTTTTATAGTTGGTTTATTTTGCAATTATAAATGTTAAACATCCCTAGAGATGAAAGTTAAAATGGTTGATCACAGATCAGTAGCAAAATACAAATTGACAATTCAAAATTATAAATAAAACTCTGTTGAGGATGTTTAACTTTGAGTCTCCAAATTTAAGAGCTAAGCTTGGAAGAAACAAATTTATAGGTTATATTTCCCTCTTAAATTAAAAAACAAACTTCCTCTGGCAGTAGTTTGTGAATTCCTTTCATTGTAATGATACCATGATTACAGGATCAAAAATGCTTAACTTACTTGCCATTCTGCTCACATCATCACAGTTGTTTTTTTTTTTTTAAGCACTCAATGTAGGCATTTTAATCTTCTGGATAACAGAGTATCTTTTGAGAAATTAAAATCGAATTGACCATTTGCAATATTTGGTTTTCCTAATAGGTACTGTCTTAGTAAATGTTTAAATCCAAACAAATCTTCTGTTCACCGGAAAAATACTAATAAAAATACACTTTCTAAAAAGAAATTAAGAAACACTAGGGAACACCTAATGTAACAGAAAGTAGTTCACGTTTGTTAATAAACTGTATTTTTAAATAGTCCTTTGTTTTTAAATTTTAAAAACGTGCAGATAATGTCATTTGGATGAAAATATAAATGAAACATCAGTTCACTCTTGGCTTCACAGGTTGCACAGCTTAGGTTATAATGCACACAAGTTTTATAAGGCCTAATCTAACAAGGGCTTGGAAAGTCTTACCTCAGTCAGAATGAACCTTTGATGTGTTTATAACGGTGTTTTGTTGTTTTTGTCACCCTCGCTTTCAAGGGATAACAATAACAACTGATAATAGTTTTCTGTATTGGCAGGTATTGGAGAAAAGTAAATCCCAAATGTCAGTGGACAATTTTTCTCTAGTTGGAAGACTCCTTTGCAATCCTAGAAGTAGGTATGGACAGAGGGCACTGGGAATGCCAGTAGGTAAGGGAGTGAATGCTACACAACTTCCAACCCTATGGGACAGCCTTGGGATGTTCCATATTGTCATTTCTTTTTCAAGCCATACAAAGTTCAACTTTATAGCAAATGGCAGCACATAAATTCATTTCTGAGTAGTAAAAGTATTCCCCATACAGGTGACAAGTCCATCATTACCATCCTATAGATTTCATCACAAGCTCTTGAAATATATACTGAGAAATGAAAGAGGCACTAAATGTGTTGAAATTCACCTTTCAAAAAAGCAGCATGACTGTGAAGGAAGGCCACCTTGGCTAATAACCTGTGGCAGTGCTTCAAAAAGATGTAAAATTAAATAAAGACACAACAGGTTGATAATCACCAAGTTATATATGAAAGTCTGGCTACTCCAACCTTTTTTCAAGTGTGTTAAAAATAAAAATCAAACTGCCTTTCAGACCCCTGAGTGTAATCCCAAAGAAGACAACATGCTTTAACTCTGTCTAATAAAACAGAGCTAAAGGCACAAATTACCAACATCATCTTAAAACACAACAAAAAGATGTAAACATCTACAAAGTTTAAGGTAAAAGCAGTCTTGTAAACAGTAACTGCAGATGATA
Organism: Homo sapiens; assembly: GCF_000001405.40. Lineage (NCBI taxonomy): Eukaryota > Metazoa > Chordata > Mammalia > Primates > Hominidae > Homo > Homo sapiens. The sequence continues at coordinate 173,321,885 of NC_000004.12, read as the reverse complement.
ATGTTATTGTAAAATCACAGTTTATCAATGTCCTTCAAACTGATCAGGAGGTTCCAGGTTTGGAGCTATACAGAGTTAATAACAATAGTTGCAGCAGGTTTCAGGCGGTTTTCAGTCCTGTATAAATTTACTTGTCAGTAGGTAGGTTATTGGTTTATTTTTTTCTCTCTAAACACTATGGATGTTATTCATTTCCCATTTTTGAGTCGTTTTACTGGAGTCACAATTGGAGATGAATACTTGATGCAGGACCTCTGAGCGATCTAAACACTTTCCTGAAGGAATATGAGTAAATCTGTGCAGGTTCTGGAAAACACAGTAAGAAAAAAGTTTCAAATTTGGACCCTTGATATCACTGACATCAGAAATCATCACTTGACTTTCATGAGGAGACAGTTTAAGGAAATGGAAAAGCTTCTCAACCACACCTCAGACTTTGGATTTCTCTTGATTGTCAGTTTTCTGGATTTCTCTTGATTGTCAGTTTTCTAAGTCCTAAGATCTTTCATTGTTAAGTCACAATATACTGCTGGTATCTCACACTCAATGTATACAAACCTAAATTCATTATCTGCCCCTCCAAATCTATGTCTCTTGTTCCTATCCTGGCTAATGACATTCCCAGCTCTCTAGTCCTTAGGAAATACTGCACTTTTCCTCATTCACTCACATACCAGTCACTAAGGATGGATATGTGCAATGTCTCTGGTTTATATTCCTTCCCATCGCCACTGCAGATGCCCTGGTTTGGCCCTCACCATATGCTGTAGGTTTCTTCAATATAGCTCAGAGCTTCTCAAAGTCTGGTCCTCAGACTATCCAGGATTGGGTCTGTAAGGCCGAAACTATTTTCATCATAATACGAAGACACCATTGCCTTTTCACTTTAGCAACATTTATACCGATAGTGCAAAAGCAATGGTGAGTAAAACTGATGGTGCCTTAGCATGAATCAAACTATGCTAGTACCTATAGTTGTATTGCTCATGGCCACACACAGTTGAAAAGTAAATGCCGGTTTCACTTAAGGATGTCACTGATGAAGGAGCAAAACATTCGTTTTATTCAGTCTTGACCCCTCAGTATACTTAAAAAAAATTCTATGAGATGAAGTGGGAAGTACGTATCAAGTACTTCCATATAATGAGGTACAATGCTCAAGGATATCAGTCTACACTGGAAATAACTTTTAAGAAACTACCACTTAATTATTAAGTTGTGGTGTACAATAAAAAAACAGCCACAATTATATGAACGGCTATTAAAGTACTCGCTCCCTTTACAAACTGTATGCTTGTGTGGGGCTGGGTTTCCCTCATATACTTGAACGAAAACAACATTTCAGATCAGACCAAATGAAGCAGGAGTATGAGAATCCAGCTGTCTTCTTCTATTAAACCAGACATTAAAGAGATTTGCAAAAATACAGAATTCCATTCTTCTCACTATTTTTTGTGGGTAAACATAGTTATTTTTCATTAAAAATGTCATTTACATTAATGTTTAATAAGTATATTATTATTACTTTTAGATGAATTAATATATAAAAACTTTACAAATTTCTCAGACACTTTCCAGTTCTGGAAATATTGCTAGTGATAACCTATATAAACAAAAGCAATTTGGGGGTGGGGGAGCTCAAAAATTTTTAAGAGTGTAAAGGGAATCCAGAGGACAGAAAGTTTGAGAACTGCTGCTCAAGCTGATCTCGTTGCTTCATCAGTCCATACCTCACGTTTCCAGAATTATTTTCCTAAAAGTAGCCATTGTTTTCCATCACTACCTTCCTCAAATAAGGTCTATCCCTCTCCAAAACTTAAAAAATGAAGTTCGGTGCTCTTTCCTCCAAAGCACAATTGAGGGATACCAAATGAAATACAATTCTTTGAATTTTCTACATGTTTTCATGCCACATCTTTGCTCATCCAGGCTTTCTTATTTACTTTCCATGGAAAGCCTTTTTACACTTCAGGACTTGTGCAATGACACTTCCTCTATGAAACTCCTCAGCAGTAATTCCTCCCATGAATCACTCTTTTCTGTCCTATGGCATTTTGCTTATCTCTATTTTTGCATTTCTTTCTTCTCTGCCATTATATAATAGCGTGCTTTAGCTATATTTTTGAACTCCCCTACAGTCTAACATATTATTGGTCCCCAAGTGAATGTTCAGTAATATCTAACACACAAATGTATATTCAGTGCTGCGTCTTTAAAATACCTAAAACATGTTATGTGTCATTTTTTGTTCAATTACTTCTTGATGTAGTTTCTGGTGTGTTAGCCCTCTTTTACTATTTTGCTAATATTGTTCTCACTGACCCCTACTATTTATTGCTATTATATATCCTTTTTTTTTGTGAAAATAAATGCTCCACTCTTTAAGGTTTATGCTATTCTTCTCCTTCCTAACTTGTTATAAGAAACAAAATCATCAATTGATACGTGCTTATCACTTCCTGGAAATTATCTGTAAATGACAGTAACAGGGAATGTTAAGCTAGGTCATATCATTATTACATAGCAAACAAGTCCTTGCTTGCATGACAGATGGGATATGATAACAAATACTGGGTGAGTAAATAAAATGGAGGGTTGACAGATTTTTTTAGTGTGAGGCAGCTTTCCCCACTTTTTGTTTAATAATAAATTGATTTATGTTAGCCAAATCTAGAATTTGAAAACTATACATAAATCTATTAATATGTTGTAATCCTCAACTTGCCACAGAGCTTTAAATACTCACAGCTGAAACACAAAGCTACCCCAGCAGTGTCACGTGAATAACTAAATTTGACCATTAAAGTAAGCAACTAGCTACATTTATCCCACTGTATTTAGCACACAACAATGATAAAGACGTTATGAAAGCCTAGATTTCAAGTTTTATTTGTTTGTCTCTATCTCCACCTGCTGGACAATATCAAATATTAACCAAATTTTTAATAGTATAAATATATTTAAATATATTTTACTTTAATGAATGATTCATTTACATTTCAAAAATCAGATTTTGATGAGAGCAATGGTGATGACTGCCTCACAGAACACTGACTTTCTTGTATTACTAAAATTAGCAGTGCTCTTTATAGACATCATCGTGGCCTCATTACATGACAATATTGTAAGAGAGAACAAAAGTGATGCCTCATTATAGAACAATGAGTCATCCAGTGCTCAGGAAAACCTATGCAAGGGACTAAATGAGAGGAAAATGCAAGTGAATTTGAATGCAGGTTTTAAGATTTATTTATCTAAATTCCACATGCTAGATGTTACTGAAAATGAAAAGCATATAATATTTCAGAAGTTAAAATGCAGAATACCTTGAAGTACTGCCATTCCTTAAATTCATTTAGATTACAGTGTGTAATCATAACTTTTGATCCATCAGCTCCCTTTGTCAAACACTGGTCATACTGCATGAGTTGATTTGCTTCATTGATTCTGAAAAGCTGTAAAAGGAAAAGAGAGAATTAAGTAACAGAGGCACCTTCCCTGCTGATGTGCATTTGAAAAGAAAGAAACTTAACTCCTATAATTAAATTGAATGACTAACTTATTTTTCCATAATTTTGTTTAGAACTGTAAGTCCACAGACAAATTATATTTATTTTGATGTTAGTGAAGATCCTTATTAACACTGAAATCATTAAGTTCTTTAGTCTCTAAGATACCAAATGGGTCACTAACACAAATTTATTAAGTACCAACAATGTGAAAAAATGAAAAAGCAAAAACATACCCACATAAGTAAGAGAATATATATTAGTGAAATATACATTACTGGCAGTAACACTCTATTTGCAAAAAGATGAGGATTAGTGAGCAATACTTGCAAAAAATTGTTAGGGAGCTAGGCTTACATAGTTACGGTAGTGACAAATATATACTCCCACAGGAATATATTTTAATCCCTTATATTAGACATTAATTCTAGATTCTGACTGCTTATGTGAAAACCAATACTGCTATTATTCCCATCATTTAAGTGAATGTTTTAACACTGTCAATTTTTTTACAGAATGTTTTACTTTATCAAAACAAACAAAATTACCAAATCGAAAACCAAAGTACAAAGATCACTCTGTGATCAATAAACCTGATGGCCCTCAATACGGAACAACTTAAACACAAAAGTAAGGTGGTTTACCTGATTCCCTCCCATCCTGTGGCAGGGTCCTAGTTCAACAAAGCCTCCATTTGTTTTTCCCATGCTATCAATGCAGTAAGCAGTTTCGAAGCCTCTGATCTAAAAAAATGAATAAAGACGCAAAAAGCAGGCAACAGTTTAGTTTTTGATGAACTCTGGCATCAGAATTTAACATTTCATGTTAAATATTACAGTTTACAGGGAAAATCTGGGTATGTGTAGTGACAGGTTATTACTGGATTGTCAATCTTTACATAGTTTTGAAATAACTTATGGTCTTGAAGTCAACACTGGAATGGGTTCTTTCTCTAAGAGCAAAGGACTATACATTTCCGTAAAATACCACAGAGAAAAAAAAAGTTACCATTAATTGCAATTTCAGAATCACAGTAATTCATGTGAATGAGAAGCAAATAGAGAACCTAACCACAGTGGTAATAAACACTGGCCTGGCCCTAGATATCTAGAACAGACTGGATTTGTAAGGGACCTCTCCCAAATGGCTATGCAGCACTTTTGGTAGCTGCCTGTAGGGGTCTAGGGTGCATAGGCCATGCATGGCACATGACCAGGCAGTGAGGCTTTTCTCTATAAACGTAGATGAAAAGCAAACACAGGTTTCCATCTTTGGAATGTACATTTTGTATGAAAAGAACTATTTTTGGAAAAGCCATTTATTTCTCTGAATTATAAATCGCTATACTATTTGGATAAAATGTTTTATTCTTGCATTCAGTCAGCAAATATGGACTGTGCACCTATAATGATAACAGGTTTTGAGGATATGAAGAGGTGCAAGTCATGGTCCTCACCGCCTGTAGAGAGACAGAGGGGTAGTGGACCAGTCAGGACAGAGGTGTGAATGTACAGAGGAAGAGCTGCTCACCCTGCCTGGAGGAGCTCCAAAGACTGCCCCAAGAGACACCTTTAAAACAGGTAGGGGTTTACCCTGGAATGTTAAGGAAATGCCGAGAAATGAAGTATAAAGTGCAGATGTCAGAATGGGAAGAGGTTAAACTGAAGATATACTTGGGAGTGAGACAGTAAAAGGAGGACAGAAAATTCCATTTATTCATTCATGTATTTATTCAATCATCAAATATTAAGTACCTGATGTGTGCCAGGCATGTTGTAGGCTCTGAAACACTAGTGAACAAAATAAAGACACCTACCCCAGTAATGGGCATGCCACAGTGAATGTGGGCCCCTGCCTCCATTCACTCTGGGAATGTAAGGGAAAAAAGACAGAATATAAGTTAAAAAACATAGTAGACAATTTGTCTGTTATGGCAAAAGGTGATAAGTGTGGTGAAAAAAAGGAAAAGAAGAGGAAGTTAGGGTGGGAGCTAGGGCGTTGGGAAGTAACAAGGTGGACCTCACTGAGAAGTGGTAGGTCAGCAGACTTGAAGGAGGTGTGAGAGCTGGCCATGCATGCGTGTATCTGCAAGGAAGCATTCCTGGCAGAGGGAACAGCACAGGCAGGCACATGCCTGGAGGGAGTCTGAGGACCAGTAAGGACATGGGGCTGGAGTGGAGTGGGGAGAGCAGTAGCAGGTGAGGCCAGAGAGGAATGGGGACAGATGTTGTGGATCTTGGAGACTACCAGAAAGGACTTTGTCTTCACTCATAGGTGAAGGTGCAGGGTTTCTAGCAGAAGAAGGACATGATTTGCCTTTATTTTAAAACAGTCACTCTGACTGCTGTATTTGAAATAGGCTGTAGGAGAGTCAACAAGTTAGTCTCAGTGAGAGATGATGGTGGCTTAGACCAGGCAACAAGGGATCAGATTCTGGAACTAGATATGAAGTGCGAGACAAAGACAGGATTCATGGAAGACTCCAAAGTTTTTGACCAAGAAATCAGCAAAGATGGGTTGGGGGGAGGAGATAGGAAGTTCAATTTAGGCTATGTCGAGTTTGAAATGCCTGTTACACATTCAAGTCCTGATGTTAAGCATACAGTTGGATATACTTGTCTGGGCCCTCAGAGAGAGATCTGTGTGTTGAAAGGCTTATGGTCTAGTTGGAGTTAAACATAATTTGCTGTAATAGGACAGGTAAAATAAGAGTATAGGGAAAAAGTATATTAAAGCAAGAAGTACAGAGAGAGCAGCATGAGTGTCCTCTGTTGGTTTTTCCTTCTATTCCTGAACTCTAAATGCTGGCGTTTCTGACGGATGGGTCTAGTCTTCTCTTCTCTATCTGTGTTTTCTCCCTCGGGGACCTCATTCAGTCCCATGAAACGACCTACCTGCTGATGGCCCCAAATGCACATCTCCAGAGTGGCCTCTCTTCTGGACTTTGGCATCATACAACCTACAATCTATGATCAGTAGGCCTTAATGGCTCTACCTGGACGCCTAGCAGGTACTTCACATGCCCAGAACACCAACAGAAGCCTTGCCCCCTCCATTCACTCCCCTACTATCTTCCCAATCTCAGCAGCCACCTAATCAGCTACTCAAAACAACCTCGATGTCATTCTGGCCCTTATCCCTTCACACACCAACCCATAAGGAATCCACTCCCAGATGAACTATGCTTCCGCAGTTGGTCAGCTTCCCTTCATCTCCACTCTCTGATTGGCTGACTCTTTATCATTCAGATCTGAGAGCGAATGTCACCTCCTCAGAGAGGCTTTCCTTACCCTGCCCTTAAGTCCTCTTGACAGTATTATGTGTCATTATCATTTATCACCATCTGTCATTATCATTTTTGTTTTCTCAGACTTTTTTGGTCTCTCTCCCCAGGTAGCATGCCAGTTCCCTGAGAAAAACGACTTTGCTTCTCTGGTTTTCTGTCTAGAAGAGTGACTGGCACATAGTAGGCCCTCAACCAATATTTGCTGAACATAATTAAGCAGAGGGATGTAGACTTGAACGTTCATGGCAGGTTTAGTGTACCTGTGAGGCATACAGCGGGGCTGCAGGGAGCAATCAGAAGTGAGTCTGAAGACAAGTTTGAATAAACAAAGAAATGACAATGTCTGATTGTCAAAGTGCTTTTGTCTGATTTTAATTATTTTTAATTCATTTGAAAAGCATTGTTGGAGTATCTACTGTATATGGGTCCCTGCATCAGTCCACCTGGACACAAGTGATCAAGGTCCTGAAGCACTCAGACTGGTTGGGAGATAGGTGATTTTGGGTGTTGTGAGAACCCCTGGAAAGAACATAGAACTGCATCTTTTTGATGAAGTGGGGAATAGTAAGAAGGGCTTTTCAGTATTGGTGATCTCTAAGTTGAGAGCAGTAAGATAAATTGAAATTAGTTAAGGAAGGGAGTTGGAGTAAGAGGCATGGAGGCGCCAGGAGCTGGAGTGAAGAGTGGATGTCTTGCAGGCTAGGGGGCCAATGAGCAAAGGCTGCCAGGAGACAGCATGGTGGCCAGCTGGTCTGGCAGCTATAGCTGTTTAGTGGAAAGGTGGTAGATCCTATCAGACAGTTTTTACCCCAACTTTTCCCCAAGAATACTTCCCTCTTACATATTTCCACCTCTCTCTGCCTTCTCCCAAACTCAGTCTACAAACACATACATTTTGAGATGTGACTACTTACTTCTCCCCAGTCAACATTTTTGGGTGGCAAAGGGTAGTGTGAGGTGATATCATAAGCTATTTCTTCCATGAACCACTTAAAACTTTTGCAGTTGTGATCTTCTCGAAATTTTTTCAGCTCCGATATATCCCCATATGGTAATGCCTGCGATTCAGGACGACTAGCATAGAAGTAGTCTTTATATTCATCCCACCAAACCTCCACAACTCTAACATAATTCTGTAAAAAAAAAATATATATATATATATCGTTATAAAAATACAAATGTCATATCATAAACAGCCTATATTAGACACATGAAAATGGCCTACACATAACAAATTCATTTCAACAGGACCTGGCATTTAATTAAACAACAAATGCAAGTTAATGACTCTAATATGTCATCTGCCAAGGATTAAAATATCATGTGTATTTAAGTAAAAAGTATTGTACAAAACCTGATATCCCTGAGCTGGAAGATCATATATGCTGAGATAATGTATTCTATTCTGCTAACAGAAGAATAAATTGAATCTCAGAGAGAGTTTATGAGAGCTTGGCTGGACACTGTACTTCTTTCCCTATAATAATCTCTTTCTTTTCTTTTCTTTTTTTTTTTTTTTTGTGATGGGGTCTTGCTCTGTCATTCAGGCTAGGGTGCAGTGGTGCAATCTTGGCTCATTGCAGCTTCAACTTCCTGGGTTTAAGTGATCCTCTCACCTCAGCTTCCCGAGTAGCTAGGACTATAGGTACATGCCACTATACCTGGCTAATTTTTGTTATTTTTTTGTGTAGATGGAGTCTCATTCTGTTGCCCAGGCTGGTCTCAAACTCCTGGCCTCAAGAGATCCTCCCACCTCAGCCTCCCAAAGTGTTGGAATTACATGTGTGAGCCACTGTGCCTGGCCTACAATCTCTTTCTATTAGAATCGTTCTGTTGATAAGTGTAGGGAAAAAAATATCATTTCAGAAACCATCATGAGAAACAAAAGCTCTGTTTAATAAAACACATTTTTGCAGGTGATTTTATTGATCCTGTTATAACTATAATAGAACTATTTTACTATAACCCCAAATGGACTGGGTATTTTCCCCAGTTGGTTCCTTTCTTTAATTTAAAAAAAATATATATTTTTGAGATGGAGTCTCACTCTGTCACCAAGGATGGAGTGCAGTGACGCAATCTCGGCTCACTGCAACCTCTGCCTCCCAGGTTCAAGCGATTCTCCTGCCTCAGCCTCCTGAGTAGCTGGTATTACAGGTGCCCGCCACCACACCTGGCTAATTTCTGTACTTTTAGTAGGGATGGGGTTTCACCATGTTGGCCAGACTGGTCTTGAACTCTTGACCTCAAGCAATCTGCCTGCCTTGGCTTCCCAAAGTGTTGATATTATAGGCGTGAGCCATTGCCCCCGACCCCAGTTGGTTCACTTTAAGAAAAAGCAGCTATAGAGCAATAAAATATGCTGACACTGTGATAGCTGACAAATATCTAGCTTTTAAAGCTTTAATTGATGAATGAATGGTTGCATGAATATATGTGACCAAATTGGTACACACTTGAGTGATAATTTGCATGTGATTTGTCTCTGCCAACATTCATGTTGAAATGTGATGCCCAATGTGGCAATGCTGGGAGGCAGGGCCTGCTGGGAGGAGTTTGGGTTGTTAATACATTAATGGCCTCCTATGGAGGTGAGGGGGTGAGTTCTTGCTCTCACAGAAGTGGATTCGTTCCCACAAGAGTAGTTTGTTAAAGAGTCTGGCTTCCTTGGTCTCTCTCTTGCTTCCTCTCTCGCCATGTGATGATCTCTTTGCACATGTGCATTCCCCTTCTGCTTCCCATCATGAGCTGAAGCAGCATAAGGCCCTCACCAGATGTAGCTGCCCAAGCCTGAATTTTCAAACCACCAGAATCGTGAATAAATAAACCTCTTTTCTTGATAAATTACCCAGCCTCAGGTGTTCTGTTGTAGCAACACTAAATGAACTAAAATAATACTCAATCCCTTAATCTTGTACATCATGCATCAGCAAATATTCTCTATAAAGGGCCAGATAGTAAGTATCTTGGGCTTTTTGGGCTATACAGTCTCTGTGGCAACTATTTGACTCTGCTATTGTAGTGAGAAAGTAACCGTAGATAATACACAAACAAATGAGTGTGGCTATCTTCTAATACAACTTGATTTACTAAAAAGGGTTGGATTTGGCCTGTCAGCCATGTGGCCGACCCATGTTTTACATTCAAAAAAGAAATACCTAGTGTTCAGATTAAATGTTTTCTAGGCAACAAGATAACTATCAAAGGGTGAACATGCCCCTAGATGCATTGTTGTCACAAAAGCCCATGGGTTTAAAAAAAGCTGTTATAAGCAGCATGATAAAAGAACATACGATATTACCACTTGATATGGTTTGGATCTGTGTCCCTACCCAAATTTCAGGACCAATTATAATCCCCAATGTTGGAGGCGGGGCCTGGTGGATGGTGACTGGTTCATGGGGTGGATCCTCCATGAATGATTTACCACCAGTCCACCCCCCACCCCCATGCCCACACTGTCCTTGTGACTCTGAGTTCTTGTGACATCTGGTTGGTGAAAAGTGTGTAGCACCTTCCTGCTTCTCTCTCTTGCTCCTGCTCCCACCAGGTGAGACGCCTTGCTCCCCCTTTGCATTCCACTATAATTGGAAGCTTCCTGAGCTTTCTTAGAAGCGGAAGCTGCCAAGCTTCCTGTACAGCCTGCAGAACTGTGAGCCAATTAAACCTCTTTTCTTTATAAATTACCGAGTCTCAAGTATATCTTTATAGCAGTGTGAAAACAGACTAATATACCACTAAACATTCTGAATCTTTGCAAATCCATACGAAATTAGACACAGTACATGTACTCTAGACATGAACAAACCTGAAGAGTTATGTATACACATGTAAGATTATGGCAACAAAAAGAAGGAGCAATTAGTTTTCTCAGATGGACAGGGCCAGAGTGGCACTGTGTTGCCCCATCTCGAAGGAGTGGTTAATTAGGTGGGAATGGTATTCAGGGCAAAGAGAAAAGCAAATGCAGTATGACAAATCATGGTGTATTGCAGTATAGCAAGTAGTTTACAAAAACTGGAATGCAGTATTCACTGGGAGAAAACTTGCTTCAGTTTCTTCATTTTAAGATGAGGATATAGGCTGGGCGTGGTGGCTCACACCTCTGATCCCAGCACTTTGGGAGGCAGAGTTCGAGACCAGCCTGGCCAACATGGTGAAACCCTGTCTCTACTAAAAATACAAAAATTAGCCAGGTGTGGTGGTGCGCACCTATAATCCCAGCTACTTGGAATGCTGAGGCAAGAGAATCTCTTGAATCTGGGAGGCAGAGGTTGCAGTGAGCTGAGACTGCACCATTGCACTCTAGCCTGGGCAACAAGAGTGAAACTCCGTCTCAAAACAACAACAACAACAACAACATAAAAAAATTAGATGAGGATATAGTCCTTACCTCATAGTGTGTTGTGAAAATTAAGAAGTTAATCTATATAAAGGATTTAGATTTATGCCTGGTACACTGTAAGTACTTACCATATGTTAGCTATTATTAATATTATTATTTTTAAAAGAACTTTGAATTTTACCCTTGAGATGACAACCATAAAAACGTTTTAAGCAGGTAAGTGACATCAGATTTAATTTTCAGATCAATGACACCGGTAGTGAGTGGAGGGTAGACTGAAGGGGGTTGAACTTGATGGCAAAGAGCCAAGTAGGAGGCTATTTACTATTCATGGGAGAGATTTGAGGGGCTGCACTAAGTATAGAAAGGGATGGATTGAAGAGCTATATGTGAGGCAGAATCACCAGCACTTGGTAAGGGGGAGGGACAGGGAACAACTCTACATGCCTCCCTAAGTTTCATTCACGGGCAAATAGAGAACACAGTGGAAGGAATCACTTTTGAGGAAAAGTTAAAGGTCAGTTTTGACTTCTGTTGAGTGGAAGATCTAAAGGACATCAAAGAGGATAACTCTAGAAGGTTTGAGGCTCAGAGGAGACAAATGAGCTGGAGAAACAGACCTGGCCACTGGCCCCCTGATGGCTCAAGTAGATGCTGTCAAAACTGGAGAAAAGAAAGTGCCTGGCACATGCTGGGTACTCACTAAGTGTATGCTAAATTCACACTTACTGGGTAGTTTGTATGGTATATATAGCTAATTTTTAGAGAGGATAAATAGCCACCTCTCAGCTCTTTTAGTTTTTCTTTCAGAATAGACTTTTTTTGAGTCAATTTGGCTTTTCATCAATTCTTCGTGATTGTTGAGTCCAACTCCAAGGGGAATTTCCTGCAATGTCAATCATGCCTGGTGTTAATTTGGTGCTATTTTTGTTTTATCACAGACATTTAAATCTCATCCCCTGTTGTAGCTGGGGCTTCATTTGGCCAATGAGAAGGATGTTCTGGCTCTGAAAGCTTAGCTGTCTGCTTATTACCTATTCCCATTTTATGAACTGTCCCAAGTTGTGTCTACAGCCAACAATAAACTTGACTTGGTTAAGCGTTCCAGAAAATGAGGGGCATCAGAGTTGCATGCCTCTTAGAACTTATGAAAGCAGCCCAACCAAATAAACCTCAAAGTTGTTTTGCCAGGGATAGAGGTCTTTGTCCTCCAAGCAGTGGGACATCTGGATGTCTGCATGAAGCTTCCTTGGTTTGTTTCATAAATAAATGCCACCCCTAAGTGTCACTAGTCTGGGATGAAATGTCAAAGAACTGGGAGACCCCAACATGGCTGGATAATCACCAGGTCATCATTCACCACTACACTACTTCTAATTCTGTCCTCCCCAGCTAGAAACTGTCATTCTCTTGGAAGACGGCGACTATGACATATCTCATTTGAGGAAGCTGAGAGAGAGCACGTACACTCCCTGGAATGGGGAGAATCAATAGAAGGAACTAGAACTGTGATTTATTTCCTAATAAACGTGTGACTGGGAAAGAAGCCCGGGAGGATGCTCATCCTACTAAAACAGTCCCGTTCAGTTTAAGTTAAATACATTTTATTTATTCAAAAAATATTTTTTAACATTTCCAAAATGTTTTAAAAACCAATGTTTTGTTTTTCTGCAGGTTCATGAGTTTTGGTAAAATATAGATTATCAATCCTAGTTCTATATTTATGGCATAGGAGATGAGATTTTTATTAAATAATCACAGCAAAATATTTATTACAATAGAACAATTTGGATGTCACAATGAAAAGAGTCAGTGGGATTTTCCTCTATTTTTTTGTTTTTTTGAGACGAAGTCTCCCTCTGTTGCCCAGGCTGGAGTGCAGCAGCGAGATCTCGGCTCACTGCAAACTCTGCCTCCAGGGTTCAAGCGATTCTCCTGCCTCAGCCTCTTGAGTAGCTGGGATTGCAGGTGCCCACCACCACACCCAGCTAATTTTTGTATTTTTAGTACAGACTGGGTTTCACTATGTTGGTCAGGCTGGTCTCGAACTCCTGACCTCGTGATCCTCCCACCTCGGCCTCCCCGAGTGCTGGGATTACAGGTGTGAGCCACTGTGCCTGGCCAATTTTCCTCTATTTTATGTGACAGAGATAGAGAATATGGAGGCAGAATACAACAGGACAAAGGATATTCACATTAACTTTTCAATCTTTGAGGGACAAGAGATATTAATCTTTTGTAAGCACTGTTCAAAAATTCGATTTTGCTTATTATGCAAACTCCTAACATGATTATCTAAATTAAAAAAAAAACCAAACCATATTTTACTCATGTGTGAATAACAGAAGCTAGTATTTTTCCCTTCAACTATTTCCCTACACAGTGTCAGACTTTTTTGAGTTTATTTGAAATGTATTCATGGAGAACATTCAATATAGGAATCTTAATCAGAATGGGATATAATGGGAGGTGAGGTCACCAAGATGGCAAAGTAGGAGACACCAGCCTTTATTCCCCCACAACTAAAAAACAAATACAGACACCTATTCACAAACCCAAATAGCCCAGAGAGAGCTCCAGGGCCCATTGAAGAATCTGCAGCAACACAATGGAGGAAAAGAAACGAAGAATATCTACATAGGACAGGATCACCTGTGAGGTCTACATACCTGAGGCACAAGGAGATAGCTAGGAACAAAGAAGAAAGGCAGATGCTATTGGTATCGGCCATGCAGCAGGAACTACCATAGTTTCCAGAGGCCTGCTCCCTAGAGGACACTGGCATCACTTGCCACTGAGGTAAACGACAGCCCTTCTGCTGGGGAACCCCAGAGAGGGAGATGCATCTGAACATTCACCACCATCCAAGCAGCAGCTACTCTTGAATTACTTTGGGCAAAGCTCTGCCAATTCTCCCATGGCCCAGTGAGCCCTGATCCTGAAGCCACAGTTGTTCTGCTAGTGTCCACATTGCAGCCCCAGGCTCTGTGGCTGCACTGGGCCTGCCCCGACACTAGAACCATTGCTATAGTTCGTTCATGCTCCAGGCCTCAGAGCCACGCCTTTATTGTGCATGCCCCATCTCCAGGCCCTGGATCAGCTGCAACAGAGAGCTAGAACCCACCCCAACTCAGGAGCTGCTCTAACTCTACGCATGCTTCTGCTCCTTTCCTTGGCTCTAAAAGCTACTTCACAAGCATCTGGGCCTCACATACTGCTACCAACATGGCAGCAGAGGTACCTATGTCCCAAGCACCAGCTCAGCTGCCATAGAGACCTAGGCACCACTCTGTCCCTAGAGCTGGATTAACTCTGAGCACATCTGTGCTCCCATTCTTGGCTACTTCAGCTGTCTCACAAACATCTGGTACCTCGCATTCTGTTATCAATACAGTAGCGAAATATCTGTGCCCTAAGTCCTGGGGTTTTTAAACTGTCCAAGATCCTGTAGCCATAGTCTCTCCACTCATGCTTGTGCTTCAGTCCTCAGCTCCCCAGCCACTCTACAAGGGCCACTGCCGCTGCAAGTGAGCCTATGAGTCAGAACCAGTGCCAAGGGGCATTCAACTTCTGCAATGAGAGAAAAATCAGGATGACCTTGGCAGCCATACCCAAAGACCCCAACATGCCTCACTGCCACTATAGATATCTACAGCATTAGCCACTGAGGAGCACTAGAATCTTTGCCAACACTGACCTTGGTGGGCTGATCTGCACAGGGAATATATACCTGGTATCCTCAGTAGTCCCAGAACTGCTATATCCCACCAAGCAAGTACCCTCACACCTTCCTTCCCCCATAGAGGAAGCTGAAACCAGCCTGTAAAGTCCGCAAGAGGTGACTGGTCCACAAAATGCACAGGCATTAATGTAAGTCAATAAGAAACTGAAAAATGAAGAGGACATAATACCACTAGAAGATCACAATAATCTCCCAGTAGTAGACCTGGATAAATAATTCTAAATAATTGTTTTACAGAAGCTCAGTTACCTTCAATCAAACACAGAGAAATAATTGAAATAACATTTACAATGACCAAGTGGGCTTTATCCCTGGGATGCAAGGATGATTCAACATACACAAATCAGTAAATGTGATACTCCACATTAACAGAATGAAGGACAAAAACCATATAATCATCTCAATAGATGTGAAAAAGGCATTTGACAAAATTCAATGTAAAAAGCTTCAACAAATTACATGAGGATTGTACCTCAACACAATAAAGGCCATACATGACAAGTCCACAGCAAACATTATACTCAATGATGAAAAGTTGAAAGCTCTTCCTCTACAATTAAGAACAAGACAAGGATGCCCACTCTCCCCACTTCTATTCAACATACTACTGGAAGTTTTAGCCAGAGCAACTAGACAAGAGAAAGAAAAGACATCCAAATCAGAAAAGAAGTAAACTGTCTCTGCAGATGACATAATCTTATATATTCAAAACCCTAAAGAGACTCTATTAAAAAGCTGTTAGAACTAATAAACAAATCTAATAAAGTTGCAGGAAAATCAACATAGAAAAATCAGTAGTGTTTCTATATGCTAACGGTGGTCTATCTGTAAAACAAACTAAGAAAACAATCCGATTTACAATAGCTAAGCAAAACAATAAAATATTTAGGAGGTGAAAAAATCTACATGCTGAAAACTATAAAACACTGATGAAATAAATTGAAGAATACACAAAATAAATGGAAAGATACCCTGTGATCATGGATTCAAAGAACTAATATTATTAAAATATCCATATTATAAAAGCAAACTACAGATTCAATATAATCTCTATCTAAATTCCAAGGACATTTTTCCCAGAAATAAAAAAATCCATCCTAAAATTCATATGGATCCACAAAAAACCCTGAATAGCTAAAGCAATCTTGAGCAAAAAGAACGAAGCTGGAGGCATCACACTACCTGATTTCAAAATCTACTACTAAGCTATAGTAATCAAAACAGTATGGTACTCACATAAAAACAGACACATAGACCAAAAGAACAGAACAGAGAGGCCAGAAATAATCCACGCATTTATGGTCAATTGATTTTCAAGGTAGATGCTGAGAACACATGAGGGAAAACACAGTCTCTTCAATAAATGGAAAACTAGATATCCATATGCAAAAGAATGAAACTAGACCTTCATCTCACACCATATATAAAAATCAACTCAAAATGGATTAAAAACTTACGTGAAGTCCTAAAACTGTAACACTTCTAAAAGAAAAAATTCCATGATATTGGTTTTGGATGTAACAACCCCAAAAGAACAGGCAACAAAAATAAAAATAGACTAATGGAATTATATCAAACTAAGAAGCTTCTGTAAGCAAAGGAAACAATTAACAAAGTAGACAATCTATGGAATGGGAGGCTACATCTGCAAACCATACATCTGGTAAGGGCTAATATCCGTAACATAGAAGGAACTCAAACAAATCAATAGTAAGGAAACAACCTGATTAAATTGGGCAAAGGACCTGAATAGATATTTCTCAAAAGAAGACATACAACTAGCCAACAGTTATATGAAGAAATGCTCAACATCATTAATTATCAGAGAAATGCAAATTAAACCACAAGATACCCTTCCCACCTGTTGGTGGGAATGCAAAATGGTGCAGCCATTATGGGAAAACAGTACAGAGGTTCCTCAGAATATTAAAAATAGAACTATCATCTGATCTAGCAATCTCATTACTAGGTATATATCCAAAGGACATAAAATCTGTATATCGAAGAGGTATCTACACTCCTGTTCATTGCAGCAGTATTCACGATAGTCAAGATATGGAATCAAGCTAAGTGTCCATCAACAGATGAATGGGTAAAGAAAATATGGTATATATACATGATGGTATTAATACTATGCACCCTTAAATAATAAAAAAATCCTGTCACTTGCAACAACATGGAGAATATTATGTTAAATGAAATAAGCCAGGCACAGAAAGACAAACACTGCATGATATTACTTACATGTGGAGTGTAAACAAGTAAACAGATAGTAAAATGGTGGTTACCAGAAGGTGAGGATTGGGGGGAGTGGGCTGATTTTGGTCAAAGGACACAAAACTTCTGTTAGGAACAATAGTTTTAAGAGATCTATTATACAACATGGTGACTACAATTTATAATATATTACATATATGAAAATTGCTGAGAACAAATTTTAAGTGTTCTCAGCACAAAAACAAGTAGGTGACGTAATACATGTCCAAATAGCCAGATTTAGCCATCCCCACAATGTATACATATATCAAAACATCATATTGTACAAGATACATACAATATTTACTTGTCAATTAAAAAAATAGGGTGCAATCTTTTTTTTTTTTAAGAGATGGGGTCTCGTTCTGTCATCCAGCGGGGAGTGCAGTGGTGCAATCATAGCTCACTGCAGCCTTGAACTCCTGGGCTCAAGGAATCCTCCTGCTTCAGCTGAATAATCTTAAAGAACAATAAGATATTTCGTGAATAAGTCTAGCTAAGTTAAAGGTGAGAATCAACATGACTGCTGAAGAGCCCACTCAATAAGCTGACAATTGTTAAGTAACTACTATAGCATGTGGTACATAAATGTTAGTTCCCTGTCCTCCCCTTTTATCCAAAAAACTCACCTTCAGAGTTGGAGAAGACCCAACATAAATGGGCGGAGGATTTCCTTGCCAGCCCTCAAGACGGTAGATATGTCCAACACGAGAACAAGGAACAAATAATAATTTGCCACCACACTGCCATATCTATGAAGGAAAAACACGTTGTGAAAGTTGTTTCAAATACAAACATAAACCATAACTGAAAATTTATCTTGTAAGTGTAAATCTAAAATCTAAATTATATACAGTGTCCACACAGAATTCTTAAACTAAACAAATCCTAAAATAATTTGCTTTTAAAAGCTCATGTAACAACCAAGAAGGCAACAGGGAATACAGTATTAATAATAAACTGCTACTAAGGGGCCTCTTACTGTGTACTCATAGCCCCTAGCAACTTTCTCCCAATATAACCTTGCAAAGTCATGTGGATTCTTTATTCCTAACTCATTAATCATTTCCATTGCTAATATATTTCCTACTTGGGTGATTATTATAATAAACTCCTAACTGGCTTCTTCACCTTCGGCTTCTCTCTACTCAACTATCCTTATTTATAGCAAGAGATTATTATAGGTGAAGGGCAGCTTTGGGTCATGTTATTCCCTTGCTTAATATCTTTGATCGTTCTCCACTGCTTATCAAATTAAATAAAAATCTCTTAACTCAGCTTTAAAGGCTCTCTTCAATATGGCCCTAATACACCTTCCCATTTTATCTTCTTAGATGTCTTCCTTATTCATGTTGCTTGATTCTGCCAAAGTTTGCTCCTTGCTGTTCTCTGAATGTTCCTTGTGTTCTCTTCTTTGTACTTTTCCCCATGCTACTTGCTTAGAAGTCCCCCTCCCATCCCTTATCTGTGCTTACTAACATCATACCCATCTTCCTACTTCTGCCGCAAATTCTGCATCTAGCATAACGCTCGCTCTTTCTTTTTTTTTTTTTGAGACGGAGTCTCGCTCTGTCCCCCAGGCTGGAGTGCAGTGGTGCGATCTCGGCTCACTACAATCTCCGCCTCCCAGATTCAAGCAATTCCCCTGCCTCAGCCTCCCGAGTATCTGGGACTACAGGTGTGTACCACCACACCCGGCTAATTTTTTGTATTTTAGTAGAGATGGGGTTTCACCATGTTGGCTAGGATGGTCTCGATCTCTTGACCTCATGATCCGCCCATGTTGGCCTCCCAAAGTGATGGGTTTATAGGCATGAGCGCCTGGCCGACGGTTTTTTAAGCACACCAACTGAATGCCATTCTGCCTTCTTGTATTATGAATTTAAGTATAATTCTAATATCTTCTTATCAAGTTCCTTGAGAGCAACAACTGGTTTACTCCTCTTCTATCCCTCACAGTGCTACGCACAGGACATTTAAGACAAGAGGTAATGAATACCTGTTTAACTCACACTCTGATATAGTTCTCTCTCTCTTTCTTTTGGAAAATGGGGGTAGGAATAGGGGTTGAGGTGGGGGCTGGAGCATGGAAGATAGTATTGCTCCCAGACTGCTTCAACAACAGGGTGGATGCTGCAGGAAGACAGCGCCAAAGTCAGCCTGAGGATACAGTCATTGTGGGGCTCTGCTTCTGTCTTGAATCATGTCCTACAGTGGTAAAGGGTGACTGTGTCAGTGGGTGGTCAATTGTGGCCCTAACGCATGCAGATTCTTCCAAGGGCTTCTATAATAAAAAGCTCCAATATATAGAAAGTTGGGGTGTGGGGGTAGATATTTTCATTTCTAAAGCTTGCTAGCCACAATTTTGAGCTGAGCCCTGTAAATATATGGTAAGTTTGGAGCTTGCATTTTGCCTTATTTTTTCCTCAAAGGCATCCATTTTCATTAAATCATTCTATACAATTTGGAGAAATGCATGATATAATTGTGGGCTTTTTTCCCCCACAAAAAACTAGCTTTATCTGAAAGCCACAGAAGTTAGTAACGACTTGGAGAATTCCATCTGTTGAAATAAAATGTTACCTTGTATGAGATCTCAAAGTTTTCACCACCCCAAATCTGGAGACCTGGATCATAGAGACCCAATTCAAAGAAGAACTCTCGTTCAATGGCAAATAATCCCCCAGCCATGGCTGGGGACCTAAGAAAAAGAAACACTGCAATAACCATTACAGACAAACCCCCAATAACCCTTCACCAATAGGCAAGAAGCCTTGTAGAATACAGCCTGAAAATGCATAGAAGAGACAAAACTGATGGCCAAACATTAAGAAATTATAAAGCCTTTACAAAAAAAGAAAAAAATCTGTTCATAATTCCCTAACGAATTTACCACAATTTCTAACTGAAACTGTAGCTCATTACAAAATAGAGCATTGTTTGAGTTCACCATTAGAGGGCGCCTTGGTACCTCTGTGGATTTAAAAATTAAGCCTTAGTTTTAGTTAAAATAGAATTTTCTCTTTCACTCTTAAAAACACTGAGCCATACAGCCGTGGTCTGCTAACTGCTCCTGCATTGATTTATGAGTCATTCTTGGGTGAACAAAACCATACACCATGGAAGTAGTCTGTCATTTTTTAATTTTATAGCTCAGGGGCTCGCCAAATAACAGTGTAAATCATTGTAGAACAACCACAGTTCATTCAGAGTTTGCAAATGTAGCACAGAAATGACACAGGAGAATTAGATATAGATATTTACTGTGCCAGGAGGTAGGAATGCAAAAGGGTGACCTGTGTATCTGTGGGGCTTCTTGAATGGATCTTAAATTGGACACTTTTTAGGTCCAAGAGAAAAAAGATTTGGTAGCTTCTTAGGGACAAGTCACTCCCACCATTGGGAGAAATTACAGCAGAATTTATCTTGCTCCCTGCTCCCCTCCCCTGAACAATTAATTACTAATCCATCATGATTCTTAAATTTTAGGGTACTCAGTATTATTAGGGTAACTTCATCATCATACATAATATTCAATCTACTCAAATAGGTTCAATGGAACCTATTTCAAGGTTCCATTGATTCTACCTTGAAAAAAAAATCTTTTTTTTTTGAGACATAGTCTCACTCTATGGCCCAGCCTGGAGTACAGTGGCATGATTGCGGCTCACTGCAGTCTTGACCTTCTGGGCTCAAGCAGTCCTCCCACCTCAGCCTCCTGAGTAGCTGGGACTACAAGCGCACACCAACACATCCAGCTACCTTTTTATGTATTTTGTAGAGATGGGGTTTCGCCATGTTGCTCAGACTGGTCTAGAACTCCTGGGCTCAAAAGTTCCACCTGCCTAGGCCTCCCTAAGTGCTAGGATTATAGGCATGAGCCACTGCACCCAGCCTTGAAAATACATCTTGAATCTGCTGACTTATTTCCAACTTCACTGCCACCAGCCTAGACCAGGCCAACACTGCTTGGACTTTCCAATATCTCCCGAGCTTGTGTCCTTTATTGTCTTCTGCCCCCTGCTCAAGGCTAATCACACAGGGGCCAGAGCAGACTCCTCCACATGCGCCTGCATGATACCAGCCTCTCCCGGCTCTCTGGGCTCACCATGGACTCTCTTCCCGTTGAGTCCTTCACGGCTCTGCTCCCACCGGGAACGTGCCAGCCTCCTTTCTGTCTTAAGGCCTTCATTCATGTTATTCACGATCCTGAAATGTTCCTTCTCCTTTTCCACAGAATTGGTCCCTCATCCTTCAGGTCTCAGCCTAAATGACACTTTGTCAGAAGGGCCTTTCCTGATCTCCCAAGCTGGATTAGGTTCATCTTTCCATAAACTCATGTACTCTGTGATTTTTCTTCATACTACTTATCACAGCTGCTGTTCCAGAGTTTTGTTTGTTTTGTGAGACAGGGTCTCACTCTGTTGCCCAGGCTGCAGTACAGTGGCACAATCATTGTTCACTGAAGCCTTGAACTCCTGGGCTCAAGCAATCCCTCTGCCTCAGTCTCCTGAGTTGCTGGGACTACAGGCACGTGCCACCACACCAGGCTAATTTTAGGGTTATTTATGCAGTTATCTGTTTAATTTCTGTCTGATTCACTGTATTTTAAATTCAATGAGGAAACATATCTTTAAAAATGTATCCCCAGAAAACAGTGCTTGGCATACAGTAAGCATTCAATAAACGTTTGTTGAGTGGATAATGAATCAAGAAATATTTTCAATACTAGAAGAAAATAGCATCAGAAAAAAGTTGTTCTCTCATGCTTTTTCTTCTTAAAATATGCTGCCTAACACAGTAACAACACTATTACATTTTAGGTGATATTTTCATGTCACCTTTATTTAACTGTCATTTAAGATTATTCCGTTATAGCTGTGTCTTTTTTTTTTTGTTTTTGAGACCAAGTCTTACTCTGTTGCCCAGGCTGGAGTGCAATGGCGTGATCCTGACTCACTGTAACCTCCACCTCCCAGGTTCAAGCGATTCTCCTGCCTCAGCCTCCCAAGTAGCTGGGATTACAGGCACACACCACCACGCCCAGCTAATTTTGTATATTTAGTAGAAATGGGGTTTCACCATGTTAGCAAGGTTGATCTCGAACTCCTGACCTCTGGTGATCCGCCTGCCTCGGCCTCCCAAAGTGCTGGGATTACAGGTGTGAGCCACCTTGCCCGGCAGCTGGGTTTATTTTTCTTCAAATATGTTCCCATTCATCTCAGTATATACTTGAAAATGCATCTTAACATGGTCACCAGTGAGTTAATCAACAGATAACCTCCCTTTAATTTTTCTAGGTCACTTTAAAAATTTTCTTTACTGGCCTATGGAATTAACAGAAATATAAATTTGCTCAGCACCCTTTATTTTTTTTCTCCCACAGTTATTTGTTAAGTTAAGCACGTAAGCAGTTGATTCCTGGACTATTCTGAATAAGAAATTTACCAAAAAAAATTTGGTAAATGTCCAATTAAGCTACTATGATTAATTAAGTGCTATAACTTCTTTATGTTTGCCATTCAGTATCTTGATATCATGACATGCCCAAATCCCACAGCGTTTCCATAACATTGGAAGCACCTTCCCAAAACAGAGTTCTAACATCACCAGCAGTGTAACAGGGAGAGAGAGACCAAAAGCAGAACCATAGGATCAGAAAAATAAGATTAGACACATTCAGGAGAAGGCTATACTAACACTTGAGCAAACATTTCATTTGGGGTCACTTTTTACAGAGACAGTAAAATGTTCTAATTACAAGATCAAAAGAAGAGAGTAGCATAAGTTGTTCTACTGAAAGAACCACAAGAAGGGACAAAAGCTGATTTTTGAATAGAGTTTTCTTTTAATCAATCACTTTTCTGAGAATGAAGCAATAAAGGATTCTATGTAACATTTTTTAAAGTCATGTATTGTGATTCATCAGATTTAACTAGTACAAAATTAGTATTTGAGAGTTAACATAACAGCAAAAGGGGAGAAAAACCCAGAAATCTCTTGCTAGTGCCCTTCATTGTTAACATTATACCCACGGCATGAACGTGGAAATAAAAGTCTTGGTTGGATTAAAGTAATTTATGTATTTTAAATTTATAGAATGACACTGTCATCAAAAGAATAAAATTTGATGTCTAATCCAGTAGGACAGGATAACTAAGATTTTATCTTTTTTTCACTTGTACGTGGAACAAATGCCATGTTACATTATTTTTCTTTCCCCAATGAAAGTGTGTACGTCTCAGTAGTGGACATCACATTTAGGGTAAAAGCAATTACAATGGAGCAAATGGAGCAGATTGAAAGCTCTGAAACAGTGTAAGGAAAGATGTTCTTTCAGAATCTGAGACAACATCTACAGTTTTAATAACGAATCTTTAGCTTGGCAAGAGGTTAATAGGTTAGCAGCAACTGGAGAAAAGAAAAATATGTAAGTGATTTAGTGATTACCGATACGGTTCAGTTTTTGTCTTTCTCAGTCTCTTCTCTTGAGGGGTCAGAGGCACCCGTTTCCAGAGCATACTCCAATCCCATGCTCCTCGGGCATACCCATCTTCATCACCACCCCCTTGGGGTATAATTTCATATGTGTTGCCATTTATGACATCTATAAGCGGCACAGTGCAAATGGTTCTGTATTGTGTTGATGGCAGCAAAGATCAAATGGAAGCGTATGTATGGACCCACACATTTATACGAGTTCATGGGGAAGAAAAAAAAAAGAACTTAGATAAACATTCAACATAAGAAAATAAAGTAATAGTCTTTACCGATAAGGTTCAGTTTTATGTTTTCTTTTGGCCTTTTCCTTGTGGCTTAGAGGAATACGTTTCCATAGTAAACTCCAGTCCCAGGCCCCTCTGGCAAAACCATCTTCATCCCCACCTTGCTGTGGTTCAATGGAATAATCATTCCCATCTATGTAATCTATTAGAGGCACAGTACATGTAGTTCTGAAACATTTACAGAAAATGAAAAAGCATTTAAGAACCCAAGACTAGTTCAGCATGCCTAACTACGTTATCTCTTTTTGTTGTTGATTTGTTTGTGCACTAGGGGACTTTAATATCTAATGGGAAATAGAGTAAATGAATGTCCCATAAAAGCCGAAAAGCCTGTTTACGTAAGGGCAGGAGAGAGGAGACTTCCCCCTAGGCTTACAGACAAATGTCAGGGACAAAGAACTATATCACTGAGCTTAATAGAGTTTTCTCCTTTTCGCTTTGGTCCTAAAGGCAACTTTCTTTTGGTAATTTTACCTTATTTATAAGATTTTCTTGCCTGTTATTTTCCCTATCACCCATGAAAAAGCTCACGTGTGCGTGTGCATGCGTGTGCGTGTGTGTGGGGTCACAGATAGTACTTGCCACATTCTTAGCGGTTCTCTCAACCCTTTGTTGCTATTTCTTGGGAACAGTTATGAAAATGTGTTTCTGTACTTTTACTTGATCTTCCTCACTCCTCTAACTGCAGAAAACAGCTTTTATTGCAAAACAAACAAAAAAAAAAGGTATTGTTGCTTTAAAAAAAAAAAGCAAAAAAAATCCCTCAAAACTTGCTGAAGAACTTCAGAAGTGGTCTGAGAATTTGGATCAAAAAATCTCTTATATTTGGGCTTCACGAAAATGCTAGTACTCTATAACCAATTAGATGTCAAAGTGACATTACAAAGATTATCTGGTACCCTGCTTGTTACAATGTTCATCTCGTCAGAAAGGATTTTAAAATCTATTTTCCTAAAATGAAAATGACAGCTTTTTATATCCAGGTCAAGCTGCTTTTCAGAAGTTTAAAAACCAAGGAAAAGGGAAAACCTACAGTGCTTAGAACTTTAATATGGAGGAAGTAAAGTCCAGAAAGATGCTTCCTTCTCTCCAGAGTGTGAACTGGAGGGTCATTGTCAGATTTGTGGAATCTGCCACTGGAATCTGGAAAACCACTTCCTCACTGCCCAGAAGCCTGCTGGTATTCACCTAGAGAAAGTTACCTGACACTTGGTCAGTTAACTGTCCTCACTTATGATTTTCACATTCCTAAATACATGGTGCAGTGTAAACTTTCCCAGGGAGGCCTTGGTCTGACAGTTTATTAGCTCTCTGATTTGGGGAAAATTACTTAATTTCTCTAAGCCTCAGTATCCTCTTCAGTCAAATGGGGCTAATAATCTCTATCTTGCAGGGTTGCTGTGAGGATTAAATCAGACAGCATGTGAAAAATGTTCATGTTCGGCCTTCACATTAAATCCTCTCATGATTAAATCCTCCAAAGTTCTGCCTTTGATTCATGCCATTTGCCATTTGCCACATGGACGTGTTTTATTTTCCTAATTATGGACTAGAAGCAAGGAAGGCTTTTGGAGATAGAAA